>NC_000008.11:65302265-65927265 GCF_000001405.40 Homo sapiens | reverse complement strand
GGGGAACATCACACACCGGGGCCTATCAGGGGTAGGAGGAAAAGGGAGGGAGAGCATTAGGACAAATACCTAATGCACGTGGGGCTTAAAACCTAGATAAGGGGTTGATAGGTGCAGCAAACCACCATAGCACATGTGTATCTATGTAACAAACCTGCACGT
This sequence comes from Homo sapiens, assembly GCF_000001405.40. Classification (NCBI taxonomy): domain Eukaryota; kingdom Metazoa; phylum Chordata; class Mammalia; order Primates; family Hominidae; genus Homo; species Homo sapiens. The sequence continues at coordinate 65,927,103 of NC_000008.11, read as the reverse complement.
TCTGCACATGTATCCCAGAATTTAAAGTATAATAAAAAAAAACTTAAAAGAAAAAAGATAATATCTCCATTATTAAAACCTATTCATAATATTAGCCAAATTCTTATGCCTATCAACTTAGAATTGTCTGAAATTAGTAATGTAGGTAAAATGAAAATCACACAGGTAATCTGTCAGCTTCTCCTTAAGGATTATATTTTAAATAACAAGTATAGGAGATTACCCCCAATGCTTACCTATTCTTGAACTTTACACAAAAATATTATTTGTGGGTTGGTTATTTTTATTATATTTAAAATTATCTAAAACTCCATATAGTTGAGAAGACACCATTCTGGACAGAGGTGGAGTTGTAACATCCCAGGCAATTAATGAGATTGTGTTGACCATGACTATGACCATGAGATGGTTGATCATCAATTAGATATTCAAGGCAGGATGCAAGCCCAAAGGATATGTGCTTACAAAGGGAACAGCTGTGGTGAGAGAGAATTCTAAGACCGCATTCTTCAGATGGGCTCAGTTTTACAATACCTGTTCCCTGGGTTTGTTTCACCTTCACCTTATTTTTTTCACAGTTATAGCTTGATTTTGGTGGATGGAATTCTACAAACCACCTTTCCCCCTCCCTTCTTAACCCTAGTGGAATTAAACTAATCCCTTTGTTGCATGATTGAGTCTGCATTCTTTTTAGATGTTTCTCAGATCACAGCTCTCAAAGCCCTCTGAATGTCATCCCTTGGATCATGAATTCCTCTCAATTCTCCACGGGGCTCTGTGACCCCAATTCTAAAAGCCATACTTTTGACAAAATGTTACACCAACCCATTAATACACTCTAAATAAAACCTCTGAATACCTGCAGGCAGATCACTAGAGTGGTTAAGAGCATAAATCTGCACCATATACCAGCTCTGTGGCCTTGAGCTGTGTGGCATAAGAAATGCCACCCCTAAATGTTTAAGCCTATGTTACTCAGGTTTTCTGTTACTGGTCTCTAGACACAAATCTAGCTTAAACAGGCAAGTTACTTAGTCTATGCCTCAGTTTCCTCATATATGAAATAAATATAATAACAGTCTCTACCTCATTAGATTGTAAAGATTCATTGCAAATAATAACAGAAGAATCTAGTACATTGTAAATACTCAGGGATGCCTATCGTTGTCATGGTGATCATCACCGTCATGACAGGCACAAGACTGAGGATGACAAGTGTGGAAAGGATGTGCAGTATAATTATGCTTACCTAGTGCCAAAAGTAGACCAAATACAGGCCTCTGCCATTTAATTCATACAAATGTACCTGTTATTATAACTGATGTAATTATAATGTATTGGTACTTCTACCAGAATGTAAGTGAATTGTGTAAACTTTGCTAAAACATTGCTATTTTCCCAATACTGCTGTAGTCTTCTGGGAGGGTGTGTCAGTACACAGATGCTAGAAGTTTACACATACTAAAGGAGTGTATTTCATTTTCATTTTATTTTTCATTATATTAATATATATACAGTAAAGAAAATGTGTAAAATAAGTAAAAGATTAATTGTTAAGACTTTGCTTATTTTCTGTTTTTTCTCTTTTAATACATAAAATGTATATATTAAAAACTCATACATATGTAATATACAAAATTGGGACACACTGAAATATTTTTCAGTTGTACTTTTGTCAGTTGTTATATGACCATTCTCTCATGTCAGTTGTTGTTTTGACCATTCTCACATGAAAAGATGCTCTATATCCTTAGCCATCAGGGAAATGCAAATCATAGTCACAATATGATACCATTTCATACTCACTAGGATGGCTATAATAAAAAAAATACAGGTAGCAAGTGTTGGCAAGGATGTGGAAAAATTGAAATCTCTGTACACTGGTAGTGGGAACGTAAAATAGTGCAACCACTTTGGAAAACAGTCTGACAATTCCTTAATGTTTAAACAGAATTACCATATGGCCCAACTGTTCAGCTTCTACATATATACCCAAGAGAATTGAAAGCATGTCTACATAAAACTCTGACATGAATGTTCATAGCAGCATTATTGATTGTAGCCCAAAAAGTGGAAACAATCCAAATGTCCATTAGCTGACAAATGGATAAACTAAAAGTGGTCTATCTATACAGTGAAATACTATTCAGTTGAAAAGAAGTGAAGTACAGATATGTGCTGCAACATACACGAAACTTGGAAACATTGTGCTCAGTGAGAGAAGCAAGTCATACAAGCTCACTCATTGTATAATTCCATTTATTTGAAATGTCCAGAACAGGCAAATCTATACAGAGAGAAATTGATTAGTTATTGCCTAGGCTAGGGTAGGGTGGGGAGAGAGGATTGGAAACTCCATCTTGTACTTCTATGACAGCCAAATGCCAACTTAACCTCAATCAAGGACTTGCTTCTCTCAAACCCTCCTAGATTCTCCTAAAGTTATTCATTTCTCCTCTGGACCTCCAAAGTATTTATTTATTACTTTTGTCCTCTTTGCATAAAAAATAGCTATCTCACAGCTGTGATGGAGGCACAAGGGCTTAGAACGAGAGGCTCAAATAGCTTCTATCTGCATATTGCAAGGGAGCACAAACTATACTTAAGTTGGGAACTTGGAGCAACTAAAGACAGAGAGAATAAGAGTTTTCTGCAATTTGGCATAGAAGTCACAATTGCTTCCTTTTAAAGATATTTCCAATTCCTTCTTCTCACAAGAAGAACAAGAAACAGAAACTTACATTCCATCTCTGATGAATCTAGGAAACATCTGTAACCCCAAAACCACACTATATTGGGGGGAAATTTGATGGAGGAATGGTAAGTGACTTAGCAGAACAGAGGTAGGTCAAATCTAAGTGCCTGCAGAGGTGATGGCAGCCAGAAGCAAGACAATCAACCCATAGGATCCCAGAGTGGCTCAGAAAGTGGAGACATCAGCACTGTAAAAAGTAAGGGCAAGTAGATATCCATAACCAGGAGATTATCTCAAAATCTGTGAAAGGAAAAACTGAGTCTCACATCCTCATTCCCATTTCTTTTAGCCTGGTGACCATCCCTCTGGAAAAATTTGAACCAGAGAGGATATTAACAAAGAGAATGGAGGCATGAAGTGCTAGAGTGAAAACAGGATTTTAGGTGAAAGCCTGCATACTAAAGCTCAAGAACCCTGCCAGCCTCCTTCCTCTGCCCAGCTCAAAACATGAGTGGCCAAGTTTATATTTTCCAGCAGGGGACTGAAAGATTCGAAACTGACCACACACACCAAAGTCTTTCAGCTATTGACATATGACATCCACCGTGAGAAAGCAGGCTGGCCACCCCTCTACAGCAGGATTTCTCAGCCTGAGCACTGTTGATGTTTTGGACCAGATAATTCTTTGTTGATGGGGACACTCCTGTGCCTTGTAGGATGTTTAGCAGCATCATTGACCTCTGCCCATTAGATACCAGTAGTATTCTTTGCCCATTAATAACAATCAAAGATGCCTGGGGGGCGGACATTAGGCACAAAATTACCTTCAGTTGAGAACCACCATCCTACCATAAAGCTCATCAGTATGCCAGCCCTATACAGGGAACTTCTAATAGCTTTATAGCATATCACCAGTTCTTTGAGCATAGTCTGTGACACAAAAGACAGAGACCAAAACAAAAATAAACTGTAATTAATATCTTCAGATAAATTAAAAAATATTTTGTGTATTGAAACAAAAACTGTATTCTATGCAATGGAAACAGATAAAAAGAAAATATTCTTTTAGTTATTTATTTTTTCTGGAGATGGAGTCTTGCTCTGTCACCCAGGCTGGAGTGCAGTGGAGCCATCTCAGCTCACTGCAACCTCCGCCTCCTGGGTTCAAGCGATTCTCCTGCCTCAGCCTCCCGAGTAGCTGGGGTTACAGGCACCTACCACCACACCCGGCTAGTTTTTGTATTTTTAGTAAAGACAGGGTTTCACCTTTTTGGCCAGGCTGGTCTCAAACTCGTGACCTTGTGATCTGCCTGCCATGTCCTCCCAGAGTGCTGGGACTACAGAGGAGAGCCACCATGCTTGGCCCGAAAATATTCTTAAAAATAAAAATATCAAAATAATTTTTAAAATTCAACAGAAGGGTGAGAAAAAAATAAATCTCACCAAAAGTAAAACAAGAAAAAGATTGAACATAAAACATAAAAGTATTAGAGCACCAGCCCTAAAAGACTGACATCTAACTAATAAGGTTTCTAGGAGGAAAAGAGGAAAAGTAAAGGGGAAAAGTTATCAAATACTTCAAAAAAAGTGTCTAAAACTGAAGAACAGGAATTTCTAAATATTAGTGACTACGTGCCGAGTAAAATAGATTTTTGAAAACAATACACATATCAAGTTCATTTTATCAAACTTTAGGAGAAAAAAAATTCTAAAACCCTCCATAGAGGAAAAGCAGAAGTACACAAAAGACTGAGAATCAGAATGACTTAAGCTTTTCCATAGCAACATTAAAATCAAGGAGACAATGGATAAATGTGTTCAAAACTCTTTAGGTAAATAATTTGTATCCAGCATTTCTATACCCAAATTGTCAATCAAGGTATTTAGGATAAGTACAGAGTAGTAAAATCAACTACAGAGTGGCCATTGTTTAAAAGAAAACCTGGCCGGCCTTTGGTGGCTCACACCTGTAATCCCAGCACTTTGGGAGGCCAAGGCATGTGGATCACCTGAGGTCGGGAGTTCGAGACCAGCCTGGCCAACATGATGAAACCCTGTGTCTACTAAATATAGAAAAATTAGGGTGTGGTGGCATGCGCCTTAATCCCAGCTACTCAGGAGGCTGAGGCAGGAGAATCGCTTGAACCCAGGAGATGGAGGTTGCAGTGAGCCGAGACTGCACCACTGCACTCCAGCCTGGGCAACAGAGCAAGACTCCATCTCAAATAAAAAAAAAAAGTTCTCAGGCCAAGTCCTCAAGTGAGGCTGGAACTCAAGAGGCAAGTGGAGCTGCTCACTTTTGCTGTGAGGGTCTTTGCTGAACTTGATGAGCTGGACCTTCAGTTTTCAAGGACTTAGGGTGTAGGGATGAAGAGCTAAAGCCCAGGTTCTAGCCAAGGTAAGTCCAATTGGCGTTCCTTCTCCATATGGCTGGGACATCAAAAAGCTATACCCTCAGAATAAAGGTAAAGTATAAATAAACCTGCATTTTCTTTTTCCAGGGACTGCAGAGAGAATCATTTATTTTGAAACTTGACAATGAACAGAATGAGTGTATTCTTTAGATCCCAGCAGGAAACTGCACAACTCAACAAGGGAATTGAACAGAGTTTAATAAGAAGCCTATTTATAAAGGTATGGTCAGGGTTTAGGGAATCCAACAAAAGATGGGGCAGAATCTTGGTGCTGGCAATTGCAGGGAGCTGTTACAACCTCTATGTGTAAACGCATGTTTGCCAGAATCCAGAGAAAGCAAACTATTTGAAGAGGGCTGCCTGAGAGCACAGCCAATCTACAGCCACCCATCAAGGAGAAAGCCAGGGGCTCCACTTTCTTCCTGCACTCTCATGTCCTGTAGGTATCTCTCTGTCCAGTCCTGAGGCTTCCACGCTGTGCACTTTTGAAAGCAGGATCAGACTTCCAGTGAAGCTGGGTAAAGACCAACTACTCTGAGCACGCACAGGAGCCAATTCTCATGCACAGCCAAGAAGCCCCCATACAGAAGGCTTCACTGAAGGCTGCTGCCTCCTGGGTCCAGAATTAGATTCACTACACACTTGACTTCAAATTTTTTGATTTCCTTTAGGAAGTTCCTACCTGAGACATGCTTCTAACATGCAGCTGTTTTGTAAAGAAGAGATCATTGACATGTTGAAACTAAAAATCTGGTTTTCAGACTTGTCCTCTTACCTAGAATCTCTTTGCTCATGTGCTACCAGGCAGTTATCTTATTAAAAATAGTTATTAGGTATAATCATTATACCTTTATAACATACAATATATAAAGTCATCTGAAGATATTTTGAATGATTGGTATTTTTTCCACTAAGGGAAAAGGAGGATAATTTCCTCCATTCTTTACCTGTATTTTACCTGTCTCATCTCTTTTCCTAACCTGGACCCTCTCTGTAGTCCTGAGAGCCAACTGGCTTACTTAAACATAAACAAGTCCCTGTAACAAGTGTTCCACTAATAATCAAATACATAAGGCAATTTGATATTTGCATTTATAAAAATGAAGTTAGGTTTGTACACCCTACACAAAAGAATTCCAGATAAATTAAATGAACATGGAATAACTTCATAATCCTAAAATGGGAGAGACATTCCTGAATAAGGTCGGTGGGGGGTGGGGACCCAGAATCCATGTTTTTTTTTCCATGTGCCATGTAAATTTTATCCACCAGGCATTATTGGCAAAGTGCCTGGGGTTGGGACATTTCTTTCTTTTTTTTTTTGAGATGGAGTCTTGCTGTAACACCCAGGATAGAGTACAATGGCACGATCTCAGCTCACTGCAACCTCCGCCTCACAGGTTTAAGCAATTCTCCTGCCTCAGCCTACCAAGTAGCTGGGACTACAGGTGTCCACCACCATGCCCAGCTAATTTTTGTATTTTTAGTAGAGACAGGGTTTCACTGTATTGGCCAGGCTGGTCTCGAAGGGGTTGGGACATTTCTAAGAGCCTATGAGCTGTTTCAAACATAAAAATAAAAATAATACTGCCTCCAATTTTAAAAAAAAATTTTAATTTTTGTGGGTACATAATAGATGTATATATTTATAGGGTACATGAGATACTTTGATACAAGCATGCAATATGTAATAATTACATCATGTTTAAAAATGGGATATCCAACCCCTCAAACATTTATCCTTTCTGTTACAAACAATCCAATTACATTATTTTAGTTATTTTTAAATGTACAATTAAATTATTATTGACTATAGTTACCCCGTTGTGCTATCAAATACTAGGTCCTGACCAGGTGCAGTGGCTCAAGCCTGTAATCCCAGCACTTTGGGAGGCTGAGGTGGGCGGATCACTTGAGACCAGGAGTTTGAGACCAGCCTGGTCAACATGAAGAAACCCCATCTCTACTAAAATTGCAAAAATTAGCCGAGTGTGGTGGCAGGTGCCTGTAATTCAGCTACTTGGGAGGCTCAGTCAGGAGAATCACTTGAACTGGGGAGATGAATGTTGCAGCAAGTTGAGATGGTGCCACTGCACTCCAGCCTGGGCAACAGAGTGAGACACTATCTCAAAGAAAAAAAAAATTCGATCTTATTCATTCTTTCTATTTTTCTGTACCCATTAACCATCCCCACTTCCTCCCCACCCCACCTCCAATACCTTTCTTAGCCTCTGGTAACCATTCTTCTACTCTCTAGCTCCATGAGTTCCATTGTTTTCATTTTTAGCTCCCCAAAATAGGTGAGAACATGCAATGTTTGTCTGTCTGTGCCTGGCTGATTTCACTTAACATAATGACCTCCAGTTCCATCCATGTTGTTGCAAATGACAAGATTGCATTCTTTTTAATGGCTGAATAGTACTTCATTGTGTATATGTACCAATTTTCTTTTCCATTCATCTCTTGATGGACATTTAGGTTGCTTCCAAATCTTGGCTATTGTGAAAAGTGCTGAAACATACATGGGAAACCAGGTATCTCTTTGATACACTGATTTTCCTTCATTTTGAGTACAGACCCAGCAGTGAGATTCTGGTTTGTATGGTAGCTCTATTTTTAATTTTTTGAGGAATCTCCTAACTGTTCTTTGAAGTGATCGTACTAATTTACCCTCCCACCAACAGTGTATGAGGATTCTCTGTTCTCCACATCTGGCCACTGTTTGTTATTGCCTGTCTTTTGGATATAAGCCATTTTAACGGGTGAGATGATATCTCATTGTAGTTTTGATTTGCATTTCTCTGATAATCAATGATTTTGAGCACCTTTTCATATGCCTGTTTGTCATTTGTATGCCCCCTTTTGAGAAATGTCTATTCAGATCTTTTGCCAATTCTTATTTTTATTTTTATTTTTTATTTTATTTTATTTTTTGAGGCAGTCTTGCTCTGTCACCCAGGCTGGAGTGCAGGGGTATGATATTGGCTCACTGCAACCTCCCCCTGTCAGGTTCAGGCAATTCTAATGTATCAGCCTCCCGAGTAGCTGGGATTACAGGTGTGCACCACCATGCCCTACAATTTTTGTATTTTTAGTAGAGATGGGGTTTTACCATGTTGGCCAAACTGGTCTTGAACTCCTGGCCTCAAGTGATCTGCCCACCTCAGCCTTCCAAAGTGCTAAGATTACAGGCATGAGCCACCACACCCAGCCTCTATTGCCCATTTTTAATTGGATTATTAGATATTTTTCCTATTGAGTTGTTTGAGTTACTTATATATTCTGGTTATTAATCTCTTATCAGATGGGTAGTTTCAAATATCTTCTCTCATTCTGTGGGTTGTCTCTTCACTTTGTTGATTGTTTCCTTTGCTGTGCAGAAGCTTTTTAACTTGATATGATCCTATTTGTCCATTTTTGCTTTGGTTGCCTGTGCTTGTGGAGTATTACTCAAGAAACCTTTGCCTAGACCAATGTACCAGAGAGTTCACCCTATCTTTTCTTGTAGTAGTTTCATAGTTGAGGTCTTCAATTTAAAGCCTTACTCCACTTTGATTTTATTTTTGTATGTGATGAGAGATAGGGGTCTAGATTCATTCTTCTGCATATAGATATCCAGTTTTCCCAGTAAAATTTAATGAAGAGACTGATTTTCTCTCAATATGCGTTCTTGGCACTTTTGTTAAAAATGAGTTCACCGTAGATATATGTATTTGTTTCTGGGTTATCTATTCTATGCCATTGATCTATGTGTCTGTTTCTTTGTCAGTACCATACTGTTTTGGTTACTATAGCTCTGTAGTATAATTTGAAGTCAGGTAATGTGATTTCTCTATTTATATTCTTTTTGGTCAAAATAGCTTTGGCTATTCTGCATCTTTTGTGGCTCTATATGAATTTTAGGATTGTTTTTCTATCTCTGTGAACAATGTCATTAGTATTTTGATGGAGATTGCATTGAATCGGTAGATTGCTTTGGGTCACATGGACATTTTAACAATATTGATTCTTCCAATCCATAAAGATGAAATAGCTTTCCATTTTTTGATGTTCTCTTCAATCCCTTTCTTTAGTGTTTTATAACTTTCATTATAGAACTTTTTCACTTCTTTGTTTAATTCCTAGGTATTTAGTTTAACTTGTGGATATTGTAAATGGGACTACTTTTTTTCAGATAGTTCACTGTTGCCATATAGAAACATACTGATTTTTGTATGTTGATTTTTGTATTCTGCAACTTTACTGAATTTGTTTTTCAGTTCTAATAGTTTTTTGGTGGAGTCTTTAGGTTTTTCCAATATAAGATTGTATCAACTGCAAACAAAGATAATTCGACTTCTTCTTTTCAAATTTGGATGCTCTTTATTTCTTTCTCTTGGTTGATTGCTCCAGCCAGGACCTCCAGTACTATGTTGAATAACAGTGGTGAAAGTGGGCATCTTTCTCATGTTCCAGATCTTAGAGGAAAGTCTTTTAGTTTTTCTCCATTCAGTATGATACTAGCTGTGTCTGTAAAATATGGCTATGATTATGTTGAGGTGTGTTCCTTCTAAACCCAGGTTTTTAAGAGTTTTTATTGAGAAGTGATGTTGAATTTTATCAAATGTCTTTTCAGTATCAATTAAAATGATTGTATGGTTTTTTGTCCTTCATTCTGTTGATATGATGTATCACATTTATTGATTTGTGTATATTGAACCATACTTGCATCTCTGGGATAAATCTCACTTGATCATGATGAATGATCTTTTTAATGCATTGTTGAATTCAGTTTGCTAGTATTTTGTTGAGGATTTTTGCATTGATATTCATCAGAGATACTGGGCTATAATTTTCTTTTTTAGATTTGTCTTTGTCTGGTTTTGGTATCCATATAATACTGACCTCACATAATGAGTTTAGAAGTATTCCCTCATCCTCTATTTTTTAAAATAATTTGAGTAGAATTGGTATTCTTTAAATGTTTGGTAGAATTCAGAAGTGATGCCATTGGGTCTCAAGCTTTTCTTTTCTAGGAGATTTTTGTTATGGCTTCAATCTCATTACTCGTTACTGATCTGATCAGATTTTGGATTTCTTCATGGTTCAATTTTGGTAGGTCATATGTGTCTAGAAATGTACTCATTTCCTCTAGATTTTCTAATTTATTGGCACATAGTTGCTCATAATAGCTACTAATGATCCTTTGAATTTTTGTGGTATCCATTGTAATGTTTCATTTTTCATCTCTGATATTATCTATTTGAGTTTTCTCTCTTTTTTATTTAGTCTGGCTAACATTTTGTCAATTTTGTTTATCTATTCAAATAACCAATTTTTTGTTTCCTTGATCTTTTGCATTGCCTTCTTCATTTCAATTTTATTTATTTCTGCTCTGATCTTTATTATTTCTTTTCTTCTACTAATTTTGGGTTTGGTTTGTTCCGGCTTTTCTAGTTCTTTAAGATGCATCATCAGGTTACTTATTTGAAATTTTTCTTCTTTTTTGATATAGGCACTTATAGCTACAAACTGCCCTCTTAGTACTGCCTTCGCTGTATCACGTAGATTTGGTATGTTGTGTTTTCATTATCTTTTGTTTCACGACGTTTTTCAATTTCCTTCTTAATTTCTTCAGTGACCTACTGGTCACTCAGGAGCATATAGTTTAATTTCCATGTATTTGTATAGTTTCCTAAATTCTTCTTGTTATTGATTTCTAGTTTCATTCAGTTGCGATTAGAGAAGATGCTTGATACTATTTCAGGGTTTTTTTTTTTTTTTAATGTTTTAAGGCTTGTTTTGTGACCTAATGTATATAGTCTATCCTTGAGAATGATCCATGTGCTGAGGAGAAGAATGTGTATTCTGCAGCCATTGGATAAAATGTTCTGTAAACATCTATTAGGTCCATTTGTTCTATGGTATAGATTAAGTCTGATGTTTCTTTGTTGATTACCTGTCTGGATAATCTGTCCAGTGCTGAAAGTGGGGTGTTGGAGTCTCCAGCTACTATTGTATTGGGGCCTATTTCTCTCTTTAGCTCTATGTATATCTGGCAGCTCCAGTGTTGTGTGCATATATTTATGATTGTTATATCTTCTTACTGAATTTACCCCTTTATCATTATATAATGACCTTCTTTGTCTCTTCTTATAGTTTTTGTCTTGAAACCTATTTTGTTTGCTATAAGTATCCCACTCTTTTTTGGTTTCCATTAGCAAAGAACCTCTTTTTCCATCCCTTTATTTTCAACCTATGTGTATCTTTGTAGGTAACGTGTGTTTCTTGTAGACATCAGATCATTGGGTCTTGTTTTTTTTATTCATTCAGCCACTTTATATCTTTTGATTGTAGAGTTTAGCCCATTTACATTTAGTGTAATTATTGGTAAGTAAGGACTTACTTGTGCCATTTTGATATTTGTTTTCTGGTTGTTTTGTAGTCATCTTTCTTGTCTTCCTTTTAGTGAAAGTGATTTTCTCTGGCAATGCAATTTAATTTCTTGCTTTTTATTTTTTGTGTATCCATTGTATGTTTTTAAATTTGAGTTTACCATGAGGCTTGCAAATACTATCTTATAACCCATTATTTTTAACTGATGAAAACTTAACACTGATTACATAAACAAACAAGCAAAAAGAAAACTAATAAAAACTCTACACTTTGTTCCCCTGCTTTTTAACTTTTTGTTGTTTGTCTTTATATCTTATTATATTTTCTATGTCCTGAAAAGTTGTTGTAGCTATTATTTGTGATTGGTTTATTGTTTAGTCCTTATACTTAAGATAAGAGTAGTTTTTGAGCAGCTGAGGCAGGAGACTTGTTTGAACCTGGGAGGCAGAAGTTGCAGTGAGCCAAGATCACACCACTGCACTCCAGCCTGGGTGACAGAGTGAGACTTCATCACAAAAAAAAAAAAAAAAAATATATATATATATATATATACACATAAGTAGTTTGCACACCACAATTACAGTGTTATAATATTCTTTGTTTTTCTGCTTACTATTTCCAGTGAGTTTTGAGCCTTCAGATGATTTTTTATTGCTCATTAATGTTCCCTTCTTTCAGATAGAGGAACTCCCTTTAGCTTTTACTGTAGGACAGGTCTGGCATTGATGAAATCCCTCAGCTTTTATTTGTCTTGGAAAGTCTTTATTTTTCTTTTTCATGTTTGAAGAATATTTTCACTAGTACACTATTTTAGGGTAGAAATTTTCTTCCTTAAACACTTTAAATATGTCATGCCACTCTCTCTTGGCCTGTAAGGTTTTCCCTGAAGTCTGCTGTCAGAATTATTGGAGCTCCATTGTGTATCATTTGTTTCTTTTCTCTTGCTGCTTTTAGGATCTTTTCTTTGTTCTTTTTTTTTTTTTTTTCAGAAAGAGTCTTGCTCTGTTGCCCAGGCTGAAGTGCAGTGGCATGATCTTGGCTCACTGCAACCTCCAACTCCCGGGCTCAAGTGATTCTCATGCCTCAGCCTCCCAAGTAGCTGGGATTACAGGCACATGCCAAGATGCCCAGCTAGTTTTTTTGTATTTTTAGTAGAGACAGGGTTTTGCTATGTTGGCCAGACTGGTCTCAAACTCCTAGCCTTAAGTGACCCACAACCTCGGCCTCCCAGAGTTCTGGGATTATAGGCATGGGCCACCGCACCCAGCCCCTTTTGTTATCCTTGATTTTGGGGAGTTTGATTATTAAATGCCTGAGGTAGTTTTCTTTGGATTAAATCTGCTTGGTGTTCTATAACCTTCTGTAGTAGAATATTGATATCTTTCTCTAGGTTTGGGAAGTTCTCTAATATTACCCTTTTGAATAAACTTTCTACCCCTGTCTCTTTCTCTATCTCATCTTTAAGATCAATAATTCTTAGATTTGCCCTTTTGAGGCTATTTTCTAGATGTTGTAGGCATGCTTCATTTTTTATTCTTTTTGCTTTCATCTCCTCTGAGTGTATTTTGAAATAGCCTATTTTCAAGCTCCCTAATTCTTTCTTCAGCTTGGTCAGTTCTGCTGTTAAGAGACTCATGCATCACTCAGTATGTAAATTGCATTTTCAACTCTAGAGTTTCTGCTCGATTCTTTTTAATTATTTCAATCTCTGTTAAATTTATCTGATATAATTCTTTTTTTTTTTTTTTTTTGAGACAGAGTCTTGTTCTATCACCCAGGCTGGAGTGTAGTGGCACAATCTCAGCTCACTGCAACCTCTGCCTCCTGGGTTCAAGTGATTCTTGTGCCTCAGCCTCCTGAGTGGCTGAGACTACAGGTGTGCACCACCACACCTGGCTAATTTTTGTATTTTTAATAGAGATGGGGTTTCACCATGTTGCCCAGGCTGGTCTTGAACTCCTGACCTCAAGTGATCCTCCCATCTTGGCCTCTCAAAGTGCTGAAATTACAGGAATCTGATAGAATCCTGAATTTCTTCTCTGCGTTATCTTGAATTTCTTTCAGTTTCCTCAAAACAGCTGTTTTGAATTATCTATTTGAAAGATCACAGATCTCTGCTCCTCCAGAATTCATCCCTGGTACTTTGTTTAGTTCATTTGGTGAGGTCATGTTTTTCTGGATGGTTTTGATGCTTGTGGATGTTCGTCAGTGTCTGGGCATTGAAGAGTTAGATATTATTGCAATCTGGGCTTGTTTGTGCGCATCCTTCTTGCGAAGGCTTTCCAGGTATTAGAAGGGGACTTGGCCCCAAGCCCAGTAATGCTATGGTTCTTGCAGACTCATAGAGGTACTACCTTGGTGGTCTCGAATAAGATCCAGAAGAATTCTCTGGATTGTCAGGTGAAGACTCTTGTTCTCTTCACTTACTTTCTCACCACCTGTGTGGTGAGCCACTTGGAGCTGGGGATGGTGTGACACAAGCACCCCTGTGGCCATGACTGGGACTGTCCTGGGTCAGACCTGAAGCCAGAACAGCACTGGGTCTCACCCAAGGCCCACTGTAACCACTACCTGGCTACCACTTATGTTCACTCAAGGCCCTATGGCTCGGCAATCAGCACGTAACAAAGCTAGCCAGGTTTGTGTCCTTTTCAGGGTGGCAAGGTCCTCCAGGCCCCAGGTGGGTCCAGAGATATTGTCTGGAAGCCAGGGATTGGAGCTAAAAACCTTAAAAATTTACGTGGTATTTTATTCTACTATGGGTAATGTGGCACTCAAGCCACAGGACAAAGTCATTCCCACTCTTCCCTCCCCTTTCCATAGGCAGAGGATCCTCTCCCCATGCCACCACCACCACCAGCCCATGGAGAGTTCTGCCAGGCCACTGCCAATGTTCACTTAAGGCCCAAGGCCTCTTCAGTCGGCTTTTGGTGAATGATGCCAGGCCTGGGACTTACCCTACAAGGCAGTGGGCTCCCTTTTTGCCCCTCGCAGACCCAGAAATGCTGTCTAAATGCCTAGGCCTGGACTCAGGGACCCTAAGAACCCACTTGGTGCTCTCCCACCCTGTGGCCAAGCTGTTACCTGAAGCCAGCATGTCTCAGGGTCTCACTCAAGGTTCACAGTGTACTACCTGGGAGTCGCAGTTAGTTATTCAGGGCCTAAGGGCTCCTTAGTCAGTAGCTGATGGATCCTGCCAGGACTGGTTCCTTCCCTTCAAGGTAGTGATTCCCTTCTTTCCCAGGGTGTGTCTAGAAATGTCATCCAGGAGCTAGGGCCTGGAATGGGGGCCTCAAGACTCTGCCTGGTGTCCTCTTCTACTGTGGCTGAGCTGGTATCCAAGATGCAAGACAAAATTCTTTTTACTCTTCTCTCTCCTCTCTTCAAGCAAAAGAAAGGAGTCACTTTCACTGTTGCAAGCTGCACTGCCTGGTATTTGGGGAGGGGTGGCACAAGCACTCCCTAGCCAAACTGTCTGATATCTCACTAGGTCATATGGACCCCAGTCCATTGGCTCTAAGCCCAGCCTAGTGCTTGGTTGCCTAAAGACTTGCAGTCCTTGTGTCCTAGACTGCCTTTCAAGTTCACTTAGAACCCCAGAGCCCTTTAGTTCATGTTGGCAAGGCTTGCCCAGAAACACGAGTTCTGACAGCTGGGATGGGTACTTTTCCTCTGGTTAGTTCTGGTCAAAATGCTTCCTCCATGGGTGAGTGCTGGCTGAGTTCAGCACAGTTTTGCTTTCCTCTGCCACAGGCAGCACTGAGTTCAATGCAAAGTCCTCTAGTCATTGTGCACTCCCTCCCCCAAGCACACAGATTTTCTCTCTGTACCATGCCACTGCTGCTGGGGCATGGGGGAGGGAGTACATCGGCAATTCAAGACCATCTTTCCTACCCACTTCAGTGCCTCTTTTAGCAATATGAAGTTAAAAATCAGGTACTGTGATTGCTTACCTGATTTTTGGTTCTTATGAAGGTGCTTTTCTGAGTGCAGACAGTTGTTAAAAATTTGTTGTTCCCATGGTGGGAATGATTGGTGGAGGCTTCTATTCAGCCATCTTGCTAAGCCACCTCCATGTCAATGAGATCTAACTTGGCTAAATATTCATTTAATTATATATTAATATAATTTATATCATGAGAATAAGAATAATTTATATTTAATAAAATTGAAAATTTAGAAAAATTATTTTAATCTCTTAAGACAAAAAAGAGTGTATTTTGTGTAGGACATGGGGTCAGTTTAATGAAGTTAATTGGATATGGGGGAGGAGATAGATCTTAGTTTGGCTCTAAACAACTCTGGTTACTTGTAAATGCCATTGTTGGCTATTGCCAAGAGTCAGCTCCATTTGGTCCTCATCCATGTTTTCCTCTGAAGATGTTATATCTCAGTGATATAGATAAGGGAAATGCAATGCAACTTTTTAAAATGTAAAGATGTTTTTTGGCTTTGGACTTACATTGTTCTTCTTAGAATTGCACTCTTTTCCCCTTCAAAGTAAACCTTCTAGAAATTGACTCATGCCATGCAATTTTATGCATAATGCATGCTCAGTAAAAGACAGTAAAGCCCAAAAATATCAGCTTCATTTTCTCTATTCTAATGCTATTTTTCCCTAATAATTTCCTAGGGAAGCATTATCTGATTTTATAACATTCCTCTGCCAATTATCTTAGTGATTCTACATATCAGCAATTCATCAGAATCTGTAACTGGCAGTACCAATTATTCATAATTGTAACTTTTTATAACCACATTTACATTTACATCATCTCTCTATCCATTTTGCAGTAAGAAAAAAAGAGGGCAAATTAAAAAGAAGTAGCTTCTCTTTTGATTTTTTCCTGTGAGTACAAGAACAACAGATAAAAGATATTTTAAAATCCTGAAAGAACAAGTTGTGTATCTTTTGCACTTAGGTTCTATATATGTAAGCAGTTATTTGAGTATTTGGGGTATATGATATCAAAATGAAGATCCTTCTACCCAGGCTTCTATTATAGCTTTTCTCACATTGAATTGCAATTAACTTTTTCCACAATCATCTCTCTCATTGTAAATTCCTTAAGAAGTTCTTATTTATCTTTATATCCCTAGAAATAGCACACCCTTAGCTCCCAGTAGATGCCTTAATATATGTTACTTGAATGATTAATTTATATAATCCCATTAAATTTATGTAGAAATGATTAAAATATGTCATAATTTGGCTTCAAATAATATATTATCATTTACAGTGCATTTCAAGGCTACTGAAATCCATCTGCAGCAATTCTCCATGTACTACATCATAGATTCTATTTCATTGGGATTATTTCCATCAGCATACTGACACACTCTGATTTCTTCTTATCTTAAAAGAAAAACTATCTTGACCCCTTTTCTCTCTCCAATCATTCTCCAAGTCCCTGTTCCTTTTTATAGAAAATCTCTCTACATGTTTTCTATATTCATTGTCTGCAGCCCCAAAAGGGAACTAGGTAGTGGTAAATGGCCTGGTAGGTTACTCAGGGCCTGGAAACAGTGGAAATGGAAAATCAGAGACAAGATCTGGGGAAGATACATGTGGATGGACTTTAGAGAGTGGGCACAAGGAGTGCAGATCTTTGTGTTTCATTGTAATACCCACCAGAAAACACCAACTGCAGAGGAGATATTCAACAACAAGGCAGACTGAGTAACTCTTCTTAGCTGCTCCAGTGCTTGCATAGCATGCTACATACAAGGTAGCCATGGTGGTGGGGTTAGAGGTTGTTCATGGGCTCAGTATCTCAGGTTCTCTTTCACCATAGCTGACCCTGTTATTTCTATTGCTAACTACAAAACTAGGAAGCACTGGGGACCAAATGTGTTCTCAATACAGTACCCCTTAAGCAGGCCAGCTAGCATCTTGGGTAAATGGAATATTTTGCGTCTTTTCAATCCTGAAAGGGTATAATTCATCTTTGATGCTAACTTTAGATAAGGTGTGACTTCTCTGCCTGCAGTACCTTTGATGGCACCAGTCTCCAAGGGATTATAATGTAATTTACCAACATGAGATCCTGTGTAACACCACCACAGGCCAAAAGAGTCATTTTACAGCAAAACAAGATGGAATAGTGGGCACAGGTCCATGGGACCTAGGTCCTATCACATACTATGTTCCCCAGTGCACCAGCCTGGTAGAACTTTGGAAAGGTTCCATTAAGATGCCCATTTGTAGACAACATCCTGCAGTGGTGCTGCACCATCCTTCAGGATGTTATATATGCATTCAACAATTGCATGATATTTGGTCCTATTCCTGACAAGTTCACTGCACAGGTTCAGGAACCAAGGGGTAGAAATAAGACTGGCTCTATGCTGCATGACTCCCATGATCCAACTTGCAGAATTTTTATTTTCCATCCCTGCAACTCTGTGGTCTACTGGATTCGAGGTTCTGATTCTCAGGAAGGAGATAATACTTTCACTAGGGATATGATGTTTCAGTAAACTCAAAACTACAACTAATGCCTGGTCGCTCCTCATGTTCATGAACCAACAGGCGGTGAAAAGAGTTACTCTATCAGCAGGGCCAACTGGCTCTGATTATAAGCAAGAAATCAGGTTGCTACTACTTTATGGGTCAGGGAAAAGCCTACAAATCAAAGGACTGATTGGAACATCCCTTAGTGCTACTATTCCAAGTACATAAAAACAAACAGGTGAATGCAGTAACAATGGCCTGATGAGGGGAAGGCAAGCAAAGCCTCAGTCTAGAGGTGACATTTTAGGTCATTCCATCAAGCAAGGAATCCAGAGAGACTGAAATGCTAGCCAAGGATGGAGAAAATAGAAAATGGGTTATGGAGAGGAGGAAGAGGAAGTATATCAGTTATGGCCCATGGAACAGCTGTAGGAACAGTGACTGTGGCTTTTTCTACTGACCATCTCATTGTAAAACTTTTTCTTTCTAGAGATTATAGCTAGGCCCCATCTTTATTGATTCTTCAGTTGATGGATATTTGAGTATTTCCACTTTGGGAGTTTCATGCATAGTGCAGTTACGAACATTCATGTACAAGTTTTTGTAAGGACATATGTTTTTAATTCTTTTGAGTAGATACCTAGAAATGGAATTCCTGGTTTGTCTGGTAACTCTAGATATTTTTTAAAATGGCTGAATTGCTTTACATTCTCACAGCAGTGAACAAGTGTTCCAACTTTTTTATATCCTTAACAACACTGATTTTATCTGACTTTTTTATTATAGCCATCCTAGTAGGTATAAAGTGGGATCTCAAGTGGTTTTGATTTGTACTTCTCTAATGACTAATAATGTTAAGCGTCCTTCCCTGTGCATGTTGGCCATTTGTATGTCTTTTTGGGAGAAATGTTAATTTTTGTATATGGTGTGAGGTAAGGGTTCCAGCTTCATTCTTTTGCATACAGATATCCAATGGTTCCAACACCTTTGTTGAGAAGACTATTTTTTCCCCATTGAAATGTCTTGGCATCCTTGTTAAAATTCAGTTGACCATAATTTTCAAGGTTTATTTATAAACTCTCAATTCTATTACATCGATCTATATGTTATCCTTATGCTTCATGCACTTCTTAAATAATATTTGATAGTAGATGAAAAAAGTGTAGCATCATCTGATGTGGTGCATAATAAATTGTGGCACTCAGGACAACTATATTTAAAGGTGACTATATTTAAATGGAGAGTAAATGTGTCTAAAAGGAAGTACCTTTACTACACTTCATTCAAAATGGTAAAAAGTTTATATTAATAGATTATGATAAATTACATGCATATATTGTAATAATATCTAGAGCAACAACTAAGAAAACTATACAAAGCAATATACTACAAAAGACTATATATAAATCAAAATAAGAAGCTAAAAATATTGAAGTAGCATACAAAAAGGAAAGAAAAATGAAACAAATGAGAAATAAAAAAATAGAAATAACAAAATGGTAGATTTCAGCCCTAACATATCAATAATTAACTCAAATGTAAATAATTTAATTACATCAGTTAATGGACAGAAATTGGCAGACTGGATGAAAAAACATGATCCAACCATATGTTTTCTTAAAGAAAGTCACTTCAAATACAATGATATAGGTAGGTTGAAGGAAAAAGGATGAAAAAAGAAGAATTCATTTTAAAAAGCAGTAGTGACTATATTAATATCAGAAAAATTAGTCTTCAGTGAAAAGAAAATTACTAACAACAAAGAGGAATATTTTATAACAGTAAAAGGATCAATCACAGGGTAGACATAATGATCCTAAATGTCATGGCAACAAACAACAGCATCAAAATACCTGAAACAAAGCTACCCCAGTTGTCCTATCTTCACTCCAGAAATGAGACTGACTGGTAGGGACTGGTTCTCAGCTGGGGTGATTTACTCCAAAATGTGCATGGTGTACAGGTATTTTTGTTTTTTTATGGCTGGGAGAAAGTGCTACCAGTATCAGTGGGTAGAACAACTTGTGTGGATACAATGGGTTTGGTAATAACTTGTGTGGATACAATGGACTCATGATAAGACTTACCTGCTCTATCACAGCTGCTTTGCAAGGAGCCAGAAGACCAAAAAAAAAAAAAAAAAAAAAAAATCACATTCAAGAGAGAGCTCCAAGGATCAGACCCAAATGTGCATGTCTAGAACAACGGCCACAAGAAGGCAGGCTAAAGAGGAGAATGGAGTCAAGGATTCAGAGAGCTGGGAACATAGAGTACAGAATTGTGAGACGAAACACGCCAGCAGGAGCATGAATGCCAAGGTAGAGTGAGGGATTTCCTGTTACACTTGAACAAGTGGCATTTCTAGATAGCATATCACATAAAATCCATGAATCCATTTAAAAGCCTTAGAACACCATTAAAACTTGTAGATTAATGCCTTATGACCCAGTCTTTTTGCTAAGAAAATTTTCAAAAGCATTTATTAAGCAGTTACTATTTCCAGATGACAATAAATTATGTGCGTTATCTCACAATTTTCACAGTAGCCCTATTGTATTAGTTTTCTACTGCTGCTATAACAAGTTACCACAACCTTGGTGGCTTAAAACACATTTATTATCTTACAGTTATGTAAGTCAGAAGTTTGACATGAGTATCACAGAGTTAAAATCAAGGGGTCAACAAGGCTGTGTTCTTTCCTTGGTAAGATCTATTTCCTTCTCTTTTCCAGCTTCTAGAGGTTGTCCACAGTCTGTGGCTCATGGACCACTTCATCCATCTTTAAACCCAGAAAAAATAATTCAAGTCATTTTCACATCACATCACTCCAACCTCTTCTGCCTCACCCTTTCACTTTTAAGGACCCTAGTGATTACATTGGATCTACCCAAATAATCTAGAATAATCTTCAAATTTAAGGTCACCAATGCAACCTTAATTTCCCTTTACCAGGTAAGGTAACACACTCACAGGTCCCAAGGATTAGGATGTGAACATCTTCAGAGGCTAGTATTATGCCTACTACCTGTGAAGTGGGTTTGGTTATCCATAGTTTGACACCTAAAGGAGTGGTTCTCACTAGGGGTGATTTATCCTAGTACAATGTGAAATGGGTAGAGACATTTTTGTTTTTTAGTGACTGGGAGAAAGTGCTACTGGTATCTAGTGGGTAGAGATGCTAAATATCCTACAATGCACAAGGCAGCGTCCTACAACAAAAAATTATCTGGCCTAAAATGTCAATAGTGCTGCTATTGAGAAACCCTCTATAAAAAAAACCCTGGGACTTGAAGAAGATAAGTGTATTAGTCCATTTTCACACTGCTATAAAGAACTTCCCTGAGACTGGGTAATTTGTAAAGGAAAGAGGTTTAATTGATTCACAGTTCCACATGGCAGGGACCTCAGGAAACTTACAATCATGGTGGAAGATGAAGGGGAAGTGGGCATGTCTTACATGGTGGCAGGAGACAGAGAGCGAGTGTGAAGGAGGAACTGTCAAACACTTATAAAACCATCAGATCTTGTGAGAGTTCACTATCACAAGAACATCATGGGGGAAACCACCCCCATGATCCAATAACTTCCCATCAGGTCCCTCCCTTAACATGTGGGAATTATAGCAATTACAATTTGAGATGAGACTTGGTTGGGGGCACAGAGCCAAAACATATTGTTCTGCCCCTGCCCCCTGCTGAATCTCATGTCCTTTTTACATTTCAAAACCAATCATGCCTTCCCAACAGTCCCCCAAAATTTTAACTAATTCCAGCATTAACCCAAAAGTCCAAGTTCAAAGTCTCATCTGAGACAAGGGAAGTCCCTTCTGCCTATGAGCCTGTAAAATCAAAAACAAGTTAGTTACTTCCAAGATACAATGGGGTACAGGCATTAGATAAATGCTCCCATTCCAAATGGGAGAAATTGGCCAAAACAAAGGGGCTACAGGCCCCATGCCAGTCTGAAATCCAGTGAAGCAGTCATTAAATCTTAAAACTCCAAAATAATCTCTTCTGACTCCATGTCTCACATTCAGGGCATGCTGATGCAAGAGGTGGCCTCCCACAGCCGTGGGCAGCTCTATCCCTGTGGCTTTGCAGGGTTCAGCCCCGATGGCTGCTCTTATGGGCTGACATTGAGTGACTGTGGCTTTTCCAGGCACACAGTGCAAGCTCTTGGTGGATCTACCTTTCTGGAGTTGGGAGGATGGTGGCCCTCTTCTCGCAGTTCCACTAGGCAGTGCCCCAGTGGAGACTCTGTGTGGGGGCTCCAACCCCACATTTTCCTCCCACACTGCCCTAGAAGAGATTCTCCATGAGGGCTCTGCCCCTGCAGCAGACTTCTCTCTGGACATCCAGGTGTTTCCATACATTCTCTAAAATCTACGCAGAAGCTGCCAAAGCTCAGCTCTTGAATTTTGTGCACCCACAGGCCCAACACCATGTGGAAGCTGCCAAGAATTGGGGCTTGCACCCTCTGAAGCAATGGCCCAAGCTCTACCTTGGCCCCTTTCAGCCACAGCTGGAGCTAGAGTGGCTGGGATGCAGGGGGTCATGTCCTGAGGCTGCGCAAGGCAGTGGGGCCCTGGACCTGGCCCAGGAAATCATTTTTCCCTCTTAGGCCCCTGGGCCTGTGATGGGAGGATGTATTAGTCTATTTTTACGCTGCTGTAAAGAACTGCCCAAGACTGGGTAATTTATAAAGGAAAGAGGTTTAATTGACTCACAGTTCCAGATGGCTGGGGAGGCCTCAGGAAACTTGCAATCATGGTAGCAGGGGAAGCAAACATGTCCTTCACATGGTGGCAGGAGAGAGAAGTGCAGAATTATAATTCGAGATGAGGTTTCGGGTGGAGACACAGCCAAACCATATGAGACAGGCTGCCATGAAGGACTCTGAGATGCCCTGTAGACATTTTCCCCATTGTCTTGTAGATTAACATTCAATTCCTCATTACTTATGTAAATTTCTGCAGCTGGCTTTAATTTCTCCCCAGAAAATGGGTTTTTCTTTTCTACCACATGGTCAGGCTGCAAGTTTTTCAAACTTTTATGCTCTGTCACCTCTTGAATGCTTTGCTGCTTAGAAATTTCTTCCACCAGATACCCTAAATCATCTCTCTCAAGTTCAAAGTTCCAAAGATCCCTAGGGCTGGAGCAAAATGCCACCAGTCTCTCTGCTAAAGCATAGCGAGTGTGACCTTTACCCCATTTGCCAATAAGTTCTTCATCTCCATCTGAGACTACCTCAGCCTGGACTTCATTCTCCACATCACTATCAAGATTTTGGTCAAAACCATTCAACAAGTCTCTAGGAAGTTCCAAACTTTCCCACATCTTCCTGTCTTCTTCTGAGCCCTCCAAACTGTCCCAGCCTCTGCCCATTACCCAGTTCCAAAGTTGCTTCCAAAGTTTCAAAGTCACGTCCACATTTTCAAGTATCTTTATAGCAGTGCCCCCAAACTCCTGGTACCAATTTCCTGTATTAGTCCATTTTCACACTGCTATAAAGAACTTCCCTGAGACTGGGTAATTTATAAAGGAAAGAGGTTTAATTGACTCACAATTCTGCATGGCTGAGGAAGCCATGGGAAACTTACAATCATAGTGGAAGATGAAAGGAAAGCAGGCACATCTCACATGGCAGCAGGCAAGAGAGAGCGAGTGTTAAGGAGGAACAGTCAGACACTTACAAAACCATCAGATCTCATGAGAACTCACTCACTTTGATGAGAACAGCCTGGAGGAAGCTGTCCCCATGATCTAGTCACCTCCCACCAGGTCTCTCTCTTCACACTGCAGATTATGGCAATTACAATTTTAGATGAGATTTGGGTGGGGACACAGAGCCAAACAATATCAGTAAGTATCTTGACCACAGTCACAGCTAATAGTTATCAGAGCCATGATTTGAACCCAGGTCCACCTGACTTTGGATTCTGGACACTTTCTAACTCTGCCAAACTGCATGCTTTTCCCATGACAAGCAAAACCTAATGTCCTTTTCCATGAGTATATTAATGCAGAACTAAATGAGGACTTCTTTGGCCTCTTTATTCTGAAGATGCAATGCCCAGTTCCCAGAGAACTGTGCCTTGGTGATTTGGACAAAGCAGTCTTGTTCAGTAGTTTTAGCCGCTATAGTTGTTTCATGGAAGGTTTCATTGAATAGACTTCACTCAGGCCTTAGAGAAAAAAAAACACACACACAAATCCAAGTGTGTGGAGTTACATGCTCTCTCAGTGCTACAGGTAGTTGAGGAACTGGGTGAAAGATCAGATGTTCATGTCAGTCTTTCCCTTCTGTTTACCCATCTCTGTACTTACTGTTGCTCCACTTACCAGTGTGCTAGTTGCTGAGAATATTCAGAAGTATGTATTATCTATGAAGATGGATAAAGACCAGAGTGTGTATATTCTAAGTGCCCACTAAGCATGAACATTTGAAAGTCATATCTCAGCAGACTTACATATGAATCAGGTATCAAAGCAATATATGATATTTATCATCCAACATGTGAAAAAATAGTGCTTTAGCATAATGCAACAAAAAATAAAATTTCTCGGTCACGGAAGATTATTTTTACAACAGTTTACTGTTTTAAACACTCACAACATTAACAATCCATTATACCTGAACATTAACATTGCATAAACCATCATATCATTAAATAAATACAAAATAATTATAGCAACATTATTATTTTCTATAGCCATATGTTCCCTGAAGCACCAATAATTCATTTGAACATAATTATGGCATCTCAAACTATACAAATATCAGCATGAATTTAAAAGACTTTAACTAGGGAACACCTTTAACCTTCATTGGGTAAACAGTTACATTTCAACATCAATAACAGCAATTCACATAATTGCATGTTTATGTACAGGGCTTACTTATACTAAATTATTTAACATTTAAAATCAATTTTACTGCCTTGTAGAGTTTCAAATTTCAGACTAATACAGCATCACCAAAAAGAAAACAGTATCAGCTAAATGGAATACAACATGTATGTGAAGGAAGTTGCACATCTTTTAGAAGTGGTCACTAATGAGTTGAGGTCCCTCCCTTAAAAATTAATTGCCCTGCTCCCTCCCTGAGTTCCACAGATGAGAAAATTAATGTTTCCCAAGAAGCTCCAGGAAGCTAGTGACTCTCTAAGGGTCACCAAGCTCCTCAAATAGGAACCAGAACTAAACCTTGGGTCTCTCCCAATTCTGAACTACTTGAGATATTGCTGAGGGACAGGGTCTATTTTGTACATCCCTATACCAAACATTCCGAAAGCCTAGGATAGTGGCTTGAACATAGTATATGCTCAATGAATACTAGTTGGATAAGTGAACAAACAACCATAGTCTCCATCCAAGCTAATGACAGACTCTGGCTTTGTCTGGGCAACTCAGCGGCCCTACAGCGTTGATCAAACACAAACATAGCAGTTCAGCAGTTGAACCCTAACCCAAACCCTAATCCTAACCCTATTTGCCTAAACTCATAATGTAGATTTAGAATATACACACCTTTTTAAGACACTCAGTATGCCCAGATTCAAGATTCAATACACTTAATAGCTAACATTATTTCTATGAAATTAGAGTAAGAAAACTTATGACCCTTTGAAACTATGTACATCTATTATGCATCAATTTTTTTTAAAAGCCTATAACCACAGTAATTACTCTTGTTTAGACTCTTTACTAAGTAACTTAACATGTTTACCAAGTGCTTTCCCACACATTATTAAATGTATACCATGAACTTTAAAAAAGTGTCTAGTCCTTAGAGATTCTGTAGTTAAGATAGCCTCTTTTTAGTCAAAAAGTGAGTTATATATGATTTTAATTGAGAAACACTAAAGAAAGCTTAAGGCACAATACATTTCTCTAACGAAATGCCATAGTGTATGAAATCCATTACTGTAGTAAGGATAATAGCTTTGTTTTTGCCAGATCCTCCTTTTCAATGTGATTACTTCTTGAATTGCTGATAGCTCAGGCAAAAGGCATGCAATATTTTTTCAAAATGTAAATCATGCCTACTGCCCAAAAGGATTAGAGGCTGTTGAATATGCTGTAAAACAGGAGATTAGGAATAAAAACAACATAAATCACTTAAAAAGCAGAAGAGTAGCAGATACTAGGGTTCAAGGCATTTATAAAACTATTTTATAAATTTCAGCACTAAATTTATTTTCATGTTTTGGCAACTCTGGCAGAAATTGGAAGCACCTTGCGTAACTTGGTCTGTTTCCTGACCAAAAATAAAGCAAACTCATTTGTCTGCAAACACATACTTTCTCCTGGGAACAAGTAGAACCAGAAAGATTGCCAAAACTCTTCTGGTTTGATTGTGAATCTCTTAGGATTAACTCATCCACCTTATGAGAAAAAGGTCAGGTGAGGAATTCAGAGACATATCACCTAGCTCAGATTCCTGTCAGGATCCGGTTGATCAAATGAAAATCGTCCTGCCTGTGCCTGGTTAACTCAGGCCCTTCCCATACATGTCATACAAAGCTACAACGCAGGACAAAGTTAGGCTCAGCTATTACAATAAAAAGTTATTACAATTCGTTTAACGTATACAAATTCATTATTTATCATCAACATCATTAACATACAAAATAAACTTCAAGTAATCAGAGTACAAATAATGATAATGGTAATACCATTTGTATAAAACTTTCTAGTTCACAAAAATATTTTATAAACATTAAATGCATTGGTTTATTCAACAAATATATATAGATAATTGTATATACATTGTATATATACATACATATATACATTGTATATATACATGCATATATACATGCATATATACATGTATATATGCATGCATATATACATGTATATATACATTCATATATACATGTATATATACATTCATATATACATTGTATATATACATGCATATATACATTGTATATATACCATATGTGTATATAATATATATTATATGCATATTTTATATTATATATGTATAAATAATATGTGTGTATATATGTGTGTAATATATGTGTATATATGTTATCTATGTATATATATTATATGCATATATGTACACATATACATATATTTATATATATACACACATATATTTTTAGAGACAGGGCCTCACTCTGTCACCCAGACTAGAGTGCAATGGTGCGATCACAGTTAACTGTAACCTTTAACACCTGGGCTCAAATGATTCTTCCACCTCAGCCTCCCAAGTAGCTGGGACTACAGGCATGTGCCACCAGACTTGGCTAATTTTTTAATTTTTTTGTAAAGAAGGGTTCTCACTATGTTGCTCAGGCTGGTCTGGAACTCTTGGGCTCAAGCAATCCTCCTGCCTTGGTCTCGCGTAAGTGTTGGGATTACAGGCATGAGCCACTGCACCTGGCCTTATTCAACAGATATTTATTAGACATTGATTATATGCTAGATATGTTTGCTAGGAGACAGTAGCATAAAATAAAATATGGTTCTTGCCTTCTTAGAACTTACAGTTTAGTGGGGGAAGCTATACCTTAAAGAAATTATTAAAGAAATAATTAATAAATTACACTTGTGATAGGTGTCATAATAGAGAAATACAGGGGATTATGAGAGTGGCCAATGGGTGTTTGAACTGAACAACAGAGTTAGGGAAAGCTTCCCTGAGGAAGTGAGATGCAGGTTGAGACCTGAAGAATGAATGAATAAGCTTTAGACAACAAAGAGGAGAATGAGCCTTAGAGTCCAAGGAAACAGCCTGTGCAAAGGAGCTGAGTGAGGAAGGGGCACAACCTACTCTAGGAAATGATGACAGCACGGCAGGATGGCTGAGCATCCAGAGCCACGAGACAAGTCACATAAAAGGAGAATGGGCCAGGAGACACAGGGCCACGTCACGTTCAGTCTCGCAGACCACAACCTTCTAAGGATTTGACCACAGAACCTCACACATTCATAAGCATTGGAGGGCCAGGCACAGTGGCTCACACCTGTAATCTCGGCTCTTTGGAAGGCCTAGACTGGAGGATTGCTTGAGGTCACTGGTTTTAGACCAGTCTGAGCAACATCATGAGACTCTATCTATATAAAAAACAAACAAACAAACAAACAAACAGCCAAGCATGGTGGTACTACCTGCCATCTGTAGTACTAGCTACGTGGGAGGCTAAGGCAGGAGGATCACTTGAGCCCAGGAGTTCAAGGCTACAGCGAGCTGTGTTTGCACCACTGCACCAGCCTGGGCAACAGAGTGAAACACTGTCTCTAAAATAATAATAACAAAAATAAGTATTGGTCAATAATGTCAGGCAAAGCCAGACATAAAACAATGGGTGGGATCCACATGGTTTCATTTAGACACATTAAGGAAAGTAGAATGCCCCAAATATTAATCCAGCTGGCTCCAAACTACAACAGCTAACATCTGCAAAAGAGTTACCTTGGCTTTCTTAGTGTCTAAATGGCTTCAGAGAGTAGACTGTCCGTGTATTCGCAGTTAACAGTTAAGCCTTTTCACCTTAATTCAAATTCTGACTCACTGCTTTATGACTGTGGGCAAACCTTTAGCTACTCTGAGCTTCAGGGTATTTTATTTGCAGAATGAAGATAACTTTTTCCTCACCTGGTTATTGTGAAGATTAATAAAGAAAAGCAGGTTGCAAGATAAAATAAATGCTCAGTGTTGATAGCTTTATGGTTCTGAGTCATACCATGTTTTTCTTAGTGAAATTCTTAAGTAATTTTTTATTCCAAACGGTTTTAGAATGTCTTCTTTCATATGCTTAAAAGATATCTTGGTGTAATGGAAAAAAACTTCTGATTTAAAAACACCCAGAGTCAAATGCCAGTCCTGGCACTTCCTAGCTGGGTGACAATGGAATGATTAAGCCTCAGTTTCTTCATCTGTTAAAAGGAATCAATAATCTATACCGCTATTGTTATTTTAAGAATTAAATGAGATAACATTGGTTCATATGTCAGTATGTATTGCACAGCAAATCTTCAGCAAAT
Organism: Homo sapiens; assembly: GCF_000001405.40. Lineage (NCBI taxonomy): Eukaryota > Metazoa > Chordata > Mammalia > Primates > Hominidae > Homo > Homo sapiens. Next base: position 65,898,165 of record NC_000008.11, on the reverse strand, counting down.
GTTTGTTCTCTACTTTTAACTCTTTCTTCAAGGAGAAAGAAACTTCTAGCTGGGCATGATATCTCATGCCTGTAGTCCCAGCACTTTGGGAGGCCAAACTGGGAGGATGGCTTGAGCCCAGGAGGTTGAGGCTGCGGTGAGCCATGATGGTGCTATTGAACTCCAGCCTGGGTGACAGAGTGAGACCCTATCTCAAAAAAAAAAAAAAAAAAAAAAAAGGTAAAAATAATTAAAAAAAAAATAAGGAGGCCGGGTGCGGTTGCTCACACCTGTAATCCCAGCACTTTGGGAGGCCAAGGCAGGCGGATCACAAGGTCAGGAGATGGAGACCATCCTGGCTAACACAGTGAAACCCCATCTCTGCTAAAAATACAAAAAATTAGTCGGACATGGTGGCATGTGCCTGCAGTCCCAGCTACTCGGGAGGCTGAGGCAGGAGAATCGCTTGAACCTGGGAGGCGGAGGTTGCAGTGAGCCGAGATCGCACCACTGCACTCCAGCCTGGGCGACAGAACAAGACTCCGCCTCACACACACACACACACACAAAATTTGTTGCATTTAAGAAAGTAGTGTAGATCAGTACTTCAGTACTTCACAGACTTCAATGTGCATAGGAAACACCTGGGGTTTTGGTAAAATGCAGATTCCAATTCAGTAGGTCTGAGATTGTGCCCAAGATTATGCATTTCTAATAAACTGATCCAGGAATGCTGTCACCACTGGTCCATAGACCACACTTTAAGCGGCAAGGGTATAGGTGATCTGGCTGGTTTATTAATGTTGTCAACCTGCTATCCATGTCAGAATTAGAGTTAGCTAATATTAGGATGTACCTCCATGCTTCCTAGAAAGATGTAAAGTCTAGGACTTGTTAACGTTTGATTTTACTTTTTTTTTTTTTTTTTTAAGACGGAATCTCACTCTGTCGCCCAGACTGGAGTGCAGCGGCATAATCTCAGCTCACTGCAACCTCCGCCTTCTGGGTTCAAATGATTCTCCTGCCTCAGCCTCCCAAGTAACGAGGATTACAGGTATGCGCCACCATGCCCAGCTAATTTTGTATTTTTAGCAGAGACGGGGTTTCACCATGTTGGTCAGGCTGGTCTTGAACTCCTGACCTCAGGTGATCTACCTGCCTCGGCCTCCCAAAGTGCTGAGATTAGAGGCAAGAGCCACTGCACCTAGCCTACATTTCTTGACCCCAAAATAAGGGGCATATTTCTGCCACAGAAAAATCTAGTAAGGATCATTCTTAATGTAGAGGTTTTGATAATCACGCATTCAAGGATCTCTCAGGAATGGTAAGAAAAACAAAAATGAATGAGAACAAAAACATGCCTATCACAAGGAAAAACAAAGTTTCTTTTGCTTTTCAACTAGAATAGTGATTATAGAAGCCAAGAAATTGCTTTAAAAGTGGCACAAAATGCAGTGAGGACAAAATGCCCTCTCTCTCTTTTTTTATTTTGGTCAAATATACATAACCTAAAGTTTATCATGTTAACCATTTTAAGTGTGCAATTTGGTGTTATTAATTATATTCACATTGTTGTGCAACCAGACCACAATTCATCTTCAGAACTCTTACATTCATTAATTACCTCAAACTGAAACTTTGTACCCACTAAACACTAACTCCCCATTCCCCGTTCCCATCAGCCCCTGCTAATCAATATTCTACTTCTGCATTTGTGAATTTGCCTATTCTAGTTTCCTCATATAAGTGGAATCAAACAATATTTGTTCCTTTGTGTTTGGCTTATTTCATTTAGTATAATGTTTTCAAGGTTCATCCATGTGGTAGCATGTATCAGAACCTTGTTTCTTTTTAAAGCTGAATAGTATCATTGTATGTATATTCTAATTTAGTTTAGCCATTTATCTGTTGATGGACATTTGGGAAGTTTCAATCTTTTGGCTATTGTGAATAAGGCTACTATGAACATGAGCGTACAAGTATCTGTTCAGGTCCCTGCTTTCAATTATTTGGGGGTAAACATCCAAAGTAGAATTGCTAGATTATATCATAATTATATGTTTATTTTTTTGAGGAACTGTCATACTGTTTTGCACATGGGCTGCACCGTTCTTTTTTTAGGTTTTTTATTTATGAGATTCTGGTACACCCATCACTCAAGCAGTGTACACCGTATCCAATGTGTAGTCTTATCCCTCACCACCCTCCCACCATTTCCCCTGAAGTCCTCAAAGTCCAATGTATCATTCTTGTGCCTTTGAGTCCTCATAGCTTAGTTCCCACTTATAAGTGAGAACATACGATTTTTGTTTTCCATTCCTGAGTTGCTTCACTTAGAATAAGAGTTTCCAATTCCATCCAGGTTGTTGCGAATGCCATTATTTCATTCCTTTTTATGGCTGAGTAGTATTCCATGGTGTATATGTATATATGTATGTGTATATATATATATAACATTTTCTTTATCCACTAGTTGACTGATGGGCATTTGGACTGTTTTCATATTTTTGCAATTGCGAATTTTGGCGCTATAAACATGCATGTGATGCACGAGCAAATATCTTTTTCTTATAATGCTTATTTTCTTCTGAGTAGATACCTAGTACTGGTACTGCTGGATCAAATTGTGGATCTTTTAGTTATTTAAGGAATCTCCCCACTGTTTTCCATAGTGGTTGTATTAGTTTACATTACCACCAAGAGTGTAAAAGTGTTCTCTTTTTACCACATCTATGCCAACATCTATTTTTTTTATGTTTTGATTATGGCCATTCTTGCAGGAGTAAGGTGGCATCACACTGTGGTTTTGATTTGCATTTCCCTGATAATTAGTGATGTTGAGCATTTTTCCATATGCTTGTTGGCCATTTGTATATCTTCCTTTGGGAATTGTCAATCCATGTCCTTAGCCCAATTTTTGATGAGATTGTTTGTTTTTTCTTGCTGATTTGTTTGAGTTCTTCGTAGATACTGGATATTAGTCCTCTGATGGATGTATAGATTGTGAAGATTTTCTCCCACTCTGTGGGTTGTCTGTTAACTCTGCTGATTATTATTATTATTTGCTGTGCAGAAGCTTGTTAGTTTAATTAAGTCTCATCTATTTATCTTTTTTTGTTGTCGCTTTTGCTTTTGGGTTCCTGGTCATGAAGTCTTTGCCTAAACCGATGTCTAGAAGGGTTTTTCCAATGTATCTTCTAGAATATTTATGGTTTCAGGTCTTAGATTTAAGTCCTTGATCCATCTTGAGTTGATTTTTGTATAAGGTGAGAGATGAGGATCCAGTTTCATTCTTCTACTGTGGCTTGCCAATTTTTCCAGCACCATTTGTTGAATAGGGTGTCCTTTTCCCACTTTATGTTTTTGTTTGCTTTGTCGAAGATCAGTTGGCTGTAAGTATTTGGCTTTATTTCTGGGTTCTCTATTCTGTTCCATTGGTCTATGTGCCTATTTTTATACTAGTACCATGCTGTTTTGGTGACTGTAGCCTTATAGTTTGAAGTTGGATTATGTGATGCCTCCATATTTGTTCTTTTTGCCTAGTCTTGCTTTGGCTATGAGGGCTGTTTTTAGGTTCCATATGAATTTTAAGACTGTTTTTTCTAGTTCTGTGAAGAATGATGGTTGTATTTTGATGGGAATTACATTGAATTTGTAGACTGCTTTTGCCAGTATGGTCATTTTCACAATATTGATTCTACCCATCCATGAGCATGGGATGTGTTTCCATTTTTTGGTGTTGTCTGATTTGTTTCAGCAGTGTTTTGTAGTTTTACTTGTAGAGGTCTTTCACCTCCTTGATTACGTGTGTTCCTAAGTATTTTTTTTTTTTTTTTTTGCAGCTATTGTAAAAGGGGTTGAGTCCTTGATTTGATACTCAGCTTGGTCACTGTTGGTGTATAGCAGAGCTACTGATTTGTGTACATTAATTTTGTATCCTGAAACTTTGCTGAATTCATTTACCAGTTCCAGGAGCTTTTTGGATGAGTCTTTAGGGTTTTCTAGGTATACAATTATATCATCAACAAAGAGTGACAGTTTGACTTCCTCTTTACTGATTTGGATGTCCTTTCTTTCTTTCTCTTGTCTGATTGCTCTGGCTAGGAATTCCAGTACTATGTTGAACAGAAGTGGTAAGAATGGGCATCCTTGTCTTGTTCTAGTTCATAGGGGAAATGCTTTCAACTTTTACCCATTCAGTATAATGTTGGCCATGGCTTTGTCATAGATAGCTTTTACTACCTTAAGGATGTCCCTTCTCTGCCGATTTTGCTGAGGGTTTTAATCACAAAGCGATACTGGATTTTGTCAAATGCTTTTTCTGCATCTATTGAGATGATCATGTGATTTTTGTTTTTAATTCTGTTTATGTGGCATATCACATTGATTGACTTACATATGCTAAACCATCCCTGCATCCCTGGTATGAAACCCACTTGATCATGATGGATTATCTTTTTGATATGCTGTTGGATTCAGTTCGCTAGCATTTCGTTGAGGATTTTTGCATCTGTGTTCATCAAGGATAGTGGTCTATAGTTTTCTTTTTTTCTAATGTCCTTCCCTGGTTTTGGTATTAGGGTGATACTGGCTTCATAGAATGATTTAGAGAGGATTCCCTCTTTCTCTGTCTTTTGGAATAGTGTCAGTAGGATTGGTCCCAATTCTTCTTTGAATGCCTGATAGAATTCAGCTGTGAATCTCTCTGGTCCTGGACTTTTTTTTGGTAGACGATTTTTTTTGTTACCATTTCAATCTCACTGCTTGTTATTGGTCTGTTCAGAGTTTCTATATCTTCTTGGTTTAATCTAGGAGAGTTATATATTTCCAGGAATGTATCCATGTCCTCTAGGTTTTCTAGTTTATCAGCATAAAGGTGTTCATAGTAGCCTTGAATAATCTTTTGTATTTCTGTGGTATCAGTTGTATTATCTCCTGTTTCATTTCTAATTGAGCTTATTTGGATCTTCTCTCTTCTTGGTTAATCTCACTAATGGTCTATCAATTTTATTTATCTTTTTAAGGAACCAGCTTTTCATTTCATTTATCTTTTGTATTTTTTGTTTGTTTCAGTTTCATTTAGTTCTGCTCTGATCTTCGTTATTTCTTTCCTTCTGCTGCATTTGGGTTTGGTTTGTTCTTGTTTCTCCAGTTCTGTGAGTTGTGAACTTAGACTGTTTATTTGTGCTCTTTCAGACTTTTTGATGTAGACATTTAATGCTATGAACTTTCCTCTTAGCACCACTTTTGCTGTATCCCATAGGTTTTGATAGGTTTTGTCACTATTATCATTCAGTTCAAATAATTTTTTAATTTCCATCTTGATTTTGTTGTTGACCCAATGATCATTCAGGAGCAGGTTATTTAATTTCTGTGAATTTGCATGGTTCTGAGGGTTCCTTTTGGAGTTGATTTCCAATTTTATTCCACTGTGGTCTGAGAGAATATTTGATATAATTTCAATTTTCTTAAATTTACTGAGACTTGTTTTGTGGCCAATCATGTGGTCTATCTTGGAGAAGTTCCATGTGCTGATGAATAGAATTAATGTTCTGCAGTTGTTGGGTAGAATGTTCTGTAAATATCTGTTAAATCCATTTGTTCTAGGGTATAGTTTAAATCTGTCATTTCTTTGTTGACTTTCTGTCTTGATGACCTGTCTAGTGCTATCAGTGTTATATTAAAGTCTTCCACTATTATTTTGTTGCCATCTATCTTATTTCTTAGGTCTAGAAGTAATTGTTTCAAAAATTCAGGCCCTCCAGTGTTAGGTGCATATATATTTAGGATTGTGATATTTTCCTGTTAGACTAGTCCTTTTATCATTATATAATGTCCCTCTTTGTCTTTTTTAACTGCTGTTGCTTGAAAGTTTGTTTTGTCTGATATAAGAAGCTATACTCATGCTCAGTTTTGGTGTCCATTTGCATGGAATATCTTTTTCCACCCCTTTCCTTAAGTTTATGTGAGTCCTATGTGTCAGGTGAGTCTCTTAAGGACAACAGGTACTTGGTTTGTGAATTTTTATCCATTTTGCTATTCTGCATCTTTTAAATGGGGCATTCAGGCCATTTACATTCAACATTAGTATTGAGATGTGAGGTACTATTTTATTCATCATGCCATTTGTTGCCTGAATACCTTGGGTTTTTTTTATTGTGTTATTGTTTTACAGGTCCTGTGAGATTTATGCTTTAAGGTGGTTCTATTTTGGTGTATTTCAAGAATTTGTTTCAAGAGTTAGAGCTCCTTTTAGCAGTTCTTGTAGTGATGGCTTGGCAGTGGTGAATTTTCTCAGCACTTATTTGTCTGGGAAAGGTTATATCTTTCCTTCATTTATGAAGCTTAGTTTCACTGGGTACAAAATTCTTGGCTGACAGTTGTTTTGTTTAAGGAGGCTAAAATAGGACCCCAGTCCCTTCTAACTTGCAGGATTTCTGCTGATAAATTTGCTGTTTATCTGATAATTTTTTTTTAATAGGTTACCTGATGCTTTTGCCTCACGGCTCTTAAGAGTCTCTCCTTCATCTTTACTTTAGATAACCTGATGACTATGTGCCTAGGCGATGATCTTTCTGCCATAAATTTCCCAGGTGTTCTTTGAGCTTCTTGTATTTGAATGTCTAGATCTCTAGCAAGGCTAGGGAAGTTTTCCTCGATTATTCCCTCAAATATGTTTTCCAAACTTTTAGATTTCTCTTCTTCCTTTGGAACACCAATTATTCCTAGGTTTGGATGTTCAACACAGTCCCAAACTTCTTGGAGACTCTGTTCATTTTTAAAAAATCTTTTTTTCTTTGTCTTTGACAGATTGGGTTAATTCAAAAGCCTTGTCTTTAAGCTCTGAAGTTCTTTCTTCTACTGTTCAATTGCCAAGACTTTCCAGAGCATATTGCATTTCTCTAAGTGTATCCTTGATTTCCAGAAATTGTGATTGTTTTTTACGTATGCTATCGATTTCACTGATATTTCATATCCTGCACCATGTTTTTTATTCCTTTAAGTTGGACTTCACCCTTCCCTGGTGCTCCTTGGTTAGCTTAATAATCAAGCTTCTTAATTCTTTTTCTGGCAATTCAGAGATTTCATCTTGGTTTGGATCCACTGCTGGTGAGGTGTTGTGATCTTTTGGGGGTGTTAAAGAATCTTGTTTTGTCATATTACCAGAATTGTTTTTCTGGTTCCTTCTCATTTTGGTAGACTATGTCAGATGGAAGATCTGGGACTTAAGGGCTGCTGCTCAGAGTCTTTTGTCCCACAGGGTGCTCCCTTGATGTGGTGTTCTCCTCCCTCCCTAGGATGGGGCTTCATGAAAACCAAAAGGCAGTGATTGTTTTTGCTCTTCTGGGTCTAGTCCCCTAGTGGAGCTACTGGGCTCCAAGCTGGTATTAGGGAGTGTCTGCAACAAGTCCTGTGATATAATCCATCCTCAGGTCTTTCAGCTGTGGATACCAGCACAGTTTTTCAGTGTCTCAGGGAGCCTACAGTGGTGATCCATTTCCTTCAAAGGATCTGTGGATTCTCTTGGCTTTCCTGGTATGTTCCTGCAGTGGTTATTGGAGCAAATGTTCGTGATACGAGTCTCCACACACTGCTCTGTCCATCTGAGCAGGAGCTACAAGTTAGTCCTGCTTCCTATCTGCTATCTTAATCCTCTATCTGGCTGCACCATTTTACATTCCCATCGGTAATGCCCTTCTCTTCCTAAAAGAAGAAAACTTATGTTTTGCAACAAGGAATTATTTTTAAAAGATGCTGTGGAGGCTGGGTGTGGTGGCTCATGCCAGTAATCCCAGCATTTTGGGAGGTTGAGACGAGGGGATTGCTTGAGCCCAGAAGTTCAAGACTAGTCTGGGCAACATGGTGAGACCCCATCTCTACAAAAAGAAAAAATTAGCTAGGCATGGTGGCATGTGCCTGTGGTCCCAGCTACACGGGAGGTGGATGTAGAAAGATCACTTGAGCCTGGGAGGTTGAGGCTGCAGTGAACCACGATTATGTCACTGCACTCCAGTGTGGGTGACACAGTGAGATCCTGTCTCAAAAAATAAATAAATAAATAAATAAATAAATAAATGCTATGGGACTGCAGCTCCCTTCTTAAATAGACTACCGTTTGGGACCTCTATCTTAGAAGTCCCATTTTCTTTACCAATTTATCTGACTGATCAGATAAATGAGTTGGTCTTACTGAGCTGTTGAATACCACATGTTCCCCCCAAATCTTTCTTTTTGTTGCTCATAGTCTCTTCAAATACTTTCCTGTAAAAAGGAAGATGTGATTGTGCTGCACAGAAGAGGAAGGCCTTTGAAGTGGCGTGTCAGAAAGAAGACGGGATTTGGGGCCGTAAGATCCTGGTGCTGGTCCTGACTCTGTCTCAAACTAGTTGTGTGACTTTGAATAAGTCACTAAATTCTCAGTCAGTTTCTTCAAGAATCAACTAGAAATGATAGAAACACCTTCATCACTGATGTGGAGCCAATGGGATCATGTAGGCCGTTGGTTGTCATAGAAGAAACAGAGAACTCCTAGGGAAGCACCTCCCAACTGCTAACACACACACGTGTGTGCACATATGTGTACACACACACACATGCACATACACACACATGCACATACACACACATAGTGACCTTCAGTAGAGTGACTCCACTTGTATTAGTTTTATATATTAGGCTTCCCAGCAAGACTGGTTTGAAGAAACAGCTCTATGGCTAACACAAGTTGAAAACTGCTGAAATATGTGGACCTTGCTTCCTCTTTCATGTTTTTCTTTTTAAGTAGTTTCAACTTCTTTTGCTCTCTTCTGGCCATCTTCATACATGAAGGTCTCCTCTCTAAAGGAGGGGAAGATGAAACAAGGCAACTTTTCTTTTTATAAAAAAGAAATTTTAGTTGACACATAATAAGTGTACATATTTACAGTGTAATATTTACAGTGTGAAATTTTGATACATGTATACAATGTATAAGGATCAAATCCGGGTAACTTGCATCTCACTTTCAGCCTTTATCATTTCTTTGTGTTGGTAATATTCAAAATTTTATCTCCTCCTGAACCTCCCAGATAACCTACAATTTTTGCTACTTCCTTTCATTGCTAAATTCTCTTTTTTGTTTGTTTTTTAGCGACAGGATCTCATTCTGTCACCCAGGCTGGAGTGCAGTGGTGCTATCACAGCTCACTACAGCCTCAAACTCCTGGGCTCAAGAGATCCTCCCACCTTAGCCTCCTGAGTCACTGTGACTACAGGCACATGCCACCACATCTGGCTGATTTTTTTCATTGCTAAATTCTCAAGGAATGATTCCACATTCTGCTGCTATTTTCTTTCTATGGCTTTCCTTTTAGTCCCTTATCTGAATTCTGGCTTCAGATCTTCATTGTAACCATGTACGTTAAGTCTTCTTCTCACTAAATTCCATTCCTATTTTCTCAGTAGCTTTTGAAACAGTTTACTCTCCTCTTCCCTGAAGCCCTTTTGTCCCTAGTTTTCAGAAAAAATGATGAGACTCAGGTATACCTCCTCCTCTGGCTGTTGCTTCCTTGACTCTTCCTGTTCCAGAATAATGGTGGGTGTCCAAGTTCCCAGACATCTTCCTCTTTCCCTCTTTATCCCTCCCTCTGAAATCTTGTTCTGTTTCAGAGCACCTGCTGTCACACTTTGAAGACTCACGGTATAACTAACTGTATAACTGTATAACATGGTATAACTGTCTTTGGCTCCAGTACCCTAACTTCAGTTGCCTGCTGGACACTTCATTTCACATGTCTGACAATCATTGATATCAAGAAATGAAATCATTAATCTAGTCCCCAAACTCCTTCTCCCCCCAGACTTCCTGTTTATGTTATGGCATCAACAAACCAGCAGCACTAAGATTGGACATTGCCCTTATACTCGTCTGATCCTTTGTCCTCATTTCACTACTCCCATATCTGATCAGCCACAAACTGGTATTGATTTTTTTTCACGTAATGCGTCTGAAATCTTTTCCTCGTTCTTCACTTCCTCCTCTAACATACTAGTCAAAGTCTTTAATAGGCTTTTGCTGAAGTCTTCTGGCATTACTTTTCCAGATTTATTTTCCAAGTCTCCCTTACTTAAAAGCATTACTTAACTTTAGTCTAACATGTAACCTCATAGGTAACTGATTCCATCTCTTGTCTCAGTTCTAAGAAGTAGGAACTCCAAAATGAGTCTTAAAGCTCATTTTGAATCAAAGGTCTAGCCCTGGTTTAGTTGGACACAACCTGGGAGTCGTGGTTATGCAGAGGTTTGCCTTTTCTGAGTATAAATAGGGCAGTTTTTCTATGTAGGAAGTACAGGCAAGGAGAAAATTATTTCTGGTACTAAGAAAATGCTGTCAATGCCTGCGCCAGGAAAAGGGTGGTAGAGAGACTTTGGCCATGCTTCAGACCCACAATAATTAACCTCCATCTTTCTTAATGTACACAGAACATAAATGACACTTGGAATTTTCTCAAATCTAGGCAAACATAGTCTCCTCCCACTTCTAGGCAGGCTGCAGCCTGTAAGCTCCCTGCCTTCCGAGATATCCTGGAGTGGCCACTGAAGGTCTGTACGGGAATGGTACATTTGCTAAATATTTGCCATGGTCAAAATTATAGCCTATTTAGGTTTCTTTCTTGGCATATTTCACTTTGAGGCTATAACATATGGTAATCATATTAAAATGTTAGAAACCAAAATTTGATATTCCACACATACAAGATTAGCCTAACATTTTCCTTTCTTGATTGTTTTAGCAATGGTTAGGATAAATATAAAGCCAGAAAGACACTGGTTATGACAACTGGAAAGTCACATTTTTTTCTCTTTACTAAGATGTTTAGGATTCTATACTGTCATAACTAAAAGTTGACATTCATGTCATAGAATAAATATTAAAATTTAGTATAAATACAATGAACCATTTAAAAGAATGGGGAATTTAATAGGATTTAAGGTTAAGAACTTGAAATAAATTGTCAACAAAAGTAAGAAAAGAAAATGGAGTGTCTCCACGTTTCTATAATCTAAAGAAATTTTGGAGAACATCTAAATTAAGTAAGCTTATTTTTATTTTTTATAACTTTATTGAGATACATTTCACATACCATAAAATTCACTCCTTTAAAGTGCTCAGTTCAGTAATTTTGAGTATATTCAGAGTAGTACAACCATAACCAGAATCTAATTATAGAACATTTTTCTCACCCCAAAAATAAAATCATTAGCAGTCATTCCCCAGCCGCAGGCAACTACTAATCTGCTTTCTGTCTCTATGGATTTACCTATTTACCTATGTACCATGAACTTCACATATTTACCTATTTACCATGCATTTCACATGTATCATATGAGTCCATATGATATATAGTCTTTTGTGACTGGGTTCTCTCATTTAGTATATTTTCAAAGTTCATCCATATTCCATTCTTCATTCCTTTTTATGTATCCATTCTTCATTCCTTTTTATGGCTGACTAAAACTTCATTGTGTGGATTTGCCATATTTTGTTTATCTGTTAATCAATCGATGGACATTTGTGTTATATCTACTTCTTGGCAATCATGAATAATGCTGCTATGAACACCCATTTCACCATGGAAATATGTTTCCATTTTTCTTGCATACTTACCTAGAAATAGAACTGCTGGCTCATATGATAACTCTATGTTGAATATTTTGATGAACTGCCAAACCATCTCCAAAGTAGCTGCACCATTTTACATTTCCACCAGCAATATACAAGAGTTTCAATTTCTCCACATCCTCGACAACACTTGTTATTGTCTTTTTTATTTTAGCCACCCTAGTAAGTGTAAAGGTATTTAACTATGATTTTGGGCCACCTTTATTTTTGGCACAAGCAAACTGAAGACTTGAGTCTCACGCTCTAGATCCCAGCTAGTCAGAGGCAAAATCTAATTTGCAGAGATGTGTTGTTTTAGAGAAAGATATGGAAGGATATCTAACTAATTGTTACTTTTGGTTCCTGAAAGTAGAGAGTTAAGGAAGAAAAAGGAAAGACACTATTAACTTTATATTCAGCTATTGTTAAAAGGAACATTGTATGAATATGCATTACATTAATAAAGGAAAATGTCAAACAACAAAATGAGAAGCTCTGTGTCTCTTATATTTTTTTTTAAAGACAGGGTCTTGCTGTGTTGCTCAGGCTGCAGCACAATAGCTATTCACAGCTGCTATCATGGTATACTGCAGCCTCAAACTCCTGGACTCAAGCTATCCTCCTGCCTCAGTCTCTAGAGTAGCTGGGATTACATACACACACCACCATGCCTGGCTAGCTGTTTCCTGATTTCCAGGCTTTTTTTGTTGTTGTTAATTCTTTTGAGAGTTTAGGTTAAAGTCTTTTTGTGCATAAAGATTATATAAATATATAAATTCACAGATATGTATATATATTAGATAACACATTTATAATATTTTTTATATATAAACACTTAAAATACTAGCAGGGCCAAATCTGGCTAAATAAAATCTGAGTATTCTGTGGCAAGTGCTACACTATGGCTAATGATTGGCTGAAATGTTTGAATAAAAGTGTTACACTACCAGTCTTTTCAGACTATGGATCATTTGACTGGAAGAAGTTTTGTTATTAAAACTTAATTTATTAGGTTAAATTTATTAAAATTTAACTTAATTTTATTAAAATTAAAGTTTTGCTATTAAAATGCATTAGAGATATGGTGGGTCATATTCTCCTTGCAATCCTTGAACACAGTTTAATAAACAAAAAAGGTGGCCAGGCACAGTGGCTCACGCCTGTGATCCCAGCACTTTGGGAGGCTGAGGCAGGTGGATCACAAGGTCAAGAGTTCGAGACCAGCCTGGCCAATATGGTGAAACCCCGTCTCTACTAAAAATACAAAAATTAGCCAGTAGTGGCAGCGGACGCCTGTAGTCGCAGCTACTCGGGAGGCTGAGGCAGGAGAATCACTTGAACCAAGGAGGCGGAGGTTGTAGTGAGCCAAGATTGGGCCACTGCACTCCAGCCTGGGAGACAGAGAGAGACTCTGTCTCAATAATAATAATAATAATAATAATAATAATAATAAATAAACAAAAAAGGCTTAGGACTTGATCAGCTCAAGTAAGCACAGGTTGTGCCACTTGGCAGATTTGCTGCCGTGCTTCTGGGAGCTGAATTTTCTGATCTGGTGTGACAATCTATAGAGAATCACTCACACTTGTTTAACAGTTCACAAACCTCTATTGAGCCATTCTTCCAGTACAAGGAGCACAATAGATCTAAATAATTCCAAATACTCAATAGCAGTACAAACATGTAGAATAAATACAGGTCTTAAAGGGGATAAAATTCACGTAATTGTTAAAAAGTAAAACCCGATGCTTCTTTTATACAGTCTCTCAAAACTTCAATCTGTTACATAATTTGATTTGTCAAGGACCATGTTGTTCCTTATTGTGCAAGCAAACTTTCCTGTAGTTTTATAGCAAAGCGCAAGTAAGAGACAGAAAGAGAGAGAAGCAACAGAGCAGGATCTTAAAGTTCTCTCAATCCAGTTATTACCACTAATCAACTATGTACTGCCTGTAAGATTTATACTGGAAAATGCAAATCTAATAAATACTCCAGAAAAAGGGTCTCACTAAGAATGACAAAAATTCAGTGAGTAAGGGGCAGGTGCAGTGGCTCACACCTATAATCCCAGCACTTTGGAAGGTCGAGGGGGGAGGATTGTTTGAGCCCAAGGGTTCAAGACCAACCTGGGAAAAATAGGGAGACCCCATTTCTAAAAGAATAAAAATAAAAATAAAATCAGCTGGGCATGGAGGTGCACACCTGTGGTCCCAGCTAATCAGGAGGCTGAAGCAGGAGGATCACTTGAGCCCAGGAGGTCGAGGCTGAGGTGAGTTGTGTTTGCCTCACTGCACTCCAGTCTGGGCAACACAGTGAGACCCTGTCTCAACAAAACAAAACAAAGCAAAACAAAACAAAATTCAAGCAGCAATGGAAGTAGAAGAGTGTCTCCATGCTTTTTCTGCAATAACCTTCATTATGAAAGTCAGTCAATAGGAAACCAACAAGAGTGAATAGCACTTTATGAGGGCTTTGGGTATGCGTTTGGGATAGAAAGGATCAGAGACTTCCCATCTTGAAAGGAATGCAAATTCCAGAGACAAGAATCTACCACCAGCAATGTGCCTTTGCTGGCCGCAGAATTTCAGACATTTGGAATGAAGATTAAAATTAACTAATCATCGTAACAAGAATTTATACAGGCAGCATCAAAAACAAACTGGTTCTAGGACAATGTAATAATCTGTAGCCTGGCATGTCCCTGACACTAGTTATACTTTCTAAGGAATGAAATTTATAAATATACTTGAGATGAAAAGTATGCTCCCCTGGACAAAGCCCTGGATAAGTAGATAGGAAAGACAATTCAATTCAGTTATTCATTGAGTATCTTACTATATATGTTTTGGGATTGTGTAGATTGGACAAAATTCCTCTAATGTAAATGGAAGAGTCTATTTTTAAAATCTAGCTGGTAAACAAACAAACAAACAAACAAACGAAACAAAACATAACCCAAATCCACAGCTAGGTTTAAAAAATGCTTAGCATTAATATTCTTCCATTGCTAAGCAACTAATAGGATATTTCAGAATGAGAGAAGGAAGTGGAGCCAAATAAACATAGTAAAAATTAAAATATACAACCAATCCACATACTTCCCCTTAAATAATCCCATCTACACCTATGCACATCATATCCACCATCAGAAAATATGTTGTTATTTTTAAAAATACACGGTTTTCTCCTTGTCTAGCTTATAGTACTTTGACTATTTTTTCCTTTTCTTACTAAATTCATTTCTTATTTGATTAATTCATTACGTCAGATGCCAGGTATCAGCTTGACTTAGCTCATCTCATCTCATTCAAAGGCAGATCCAAGTTTTGTAAAGTCAAAAGCTTATACAATTTGGGGGCTCTCTTTAAAGAAAATAATACAAAATTACAAAATACAAGAATATGGAAAACAAGAATGACAATAGAAATCACAATAAATTTTAAAAAATTAAATGCTGACAAATACCATAAATATTACAAACTCTAGGAAACTTACATAATTTCATTAACTAACTGCCTAACATACCTTTATAATAGTTTTCTATTTCATTTTTTGGTTTAATGCTCTTTGGTAGCTTCTTTACACAATAGCTATTTTGTAATATCATCTTCTGTAATGCGACTAGAAAAATACTTCAGTCTTTTTTGGAGTATAGTTGATCAAAATTTGTTTTCCATATTGAGGTTTGGGATATATAAGTCATTCAACCTCGTACACAGACACACTTGTTGTTTTTAGTACAGCTATAGGTGTTTGCCCTAAAAATCAAAATGTTCTGATTGATTCTATTTCACACAATTCCCATCCCAAAAGAAAAATACGTATATTCGTGTGCTGATCGTTGTAGACGTTGCATCATCTTATATACTCCAACTAGAATGCTACAGTTATGCACAGGCTTCAGTGCAAACCAAATCCTCTGCTTACAATTTTCTACATCTGAGGATAGGAGGAATTTTTCATAGACTAGCTTATGACATTTTAAACATGCTTCTCTACCCCTTACCTACACAGTCCTGGTAAGAGGTGTAATAGGACAGTGGTCCCCAACCTTTTTGGCACCAGGAACTGGTTTCGTGAAAGAGAATTTTCCCATGGGCTGGAGGGGACTGATGGAATGGTTTCATCCTCAAATCATCAGGCATTATTTAGAATCTCCTAAGGAGCGCACAACCTAGATCCCTCGCATGCGCAGTTCACAATAGGGTTCGTTTAATGCTGCCGCTGATCTGACAGGAGGCGGAGCTCAGGCAGTAATGCTTGCCCGCCACTCACCTCCTGCGGCACGACTGGGTTCCTAACAGGTCATGTGCTGGTACCAACCAGAAGCCCAGGGGTTGGGGGCCCCTGCAATGGGACACATTCATGATGTACGAACATTGGCTTGGCACCTTTATATCATGGCGCTGGGTGGCTCAGCACAGTGGGTGGTAGAAGTATTCCTGGAAACTATTCATTTGCCAGGACACCTAGCTATAACTACTAATCACAGAAATGATCACAAAGCACATAAATATATCCCATGAAATGTAAATTAAGTATATCACCAACTTAATTTTCTCTTATCAGTACCCTAAAATACACAACATTCCCTCTCCAACACCACCAAACACAAGGGCAAGTCAGAGAGGTAAGAGCACTGTTGACTGAGGGTGGCTAAAATATGTTTTTCTGTGTGCAAATTTTATAAAAGCATATGGCATGTGAACACATTGCTAAGGTCTGTCCCAAAGCCTTAGGAGGAGCTGTTTTTAAAAGGAAGCCTGATGCTTCAGCCTCAGAGTTCAGTGTATCTGTTCCTGACCTCATCTTGCCCCACTTAGGGAGCGCCTACCATGTGAGCAGCACACAGAGAGGCACCTACAACTCCACATGGAAAGAAATCACAGGATATGAAAGGAGTTAGGGCTGCTGCACCAGAAGAAAAGAAAAAGTTCACTTTCTATTATGGTGAATAAACTTTACATTACAATTGGAGTTATATTCCTGTGAGTCTTCAGGAACCCTCAATAAAGTGGCCTTGGGACAATGAAGGGAAATTACCTATTGAAGAGAAAAAGGAACAAATGCCATGGAAATGAAACCCAGGCCCAGTGAATCAGGACAATGATCTGAGTGGCCGCCCAGCACTATTGGCCCAGGGCTGCTATCATGGGTGTGTGGCAGGCAGGGCAGCCGCTGGAGACTAGAGGAAAAGATACCTCAAAAGGGGAAATGGAAAACGCCAAACATCCACGGTGCTATCTTGACAGTTTATGCCTGGGACCGATCTTACCAGGTGGCTCATGCCTGTAATCCCAGCACTTTGGGAGGCCAAGCCAGGTGGATCAGTTGAGCCCAGGAGTTTGAGACCAGCCTGAGCAATATGGCAAAACCCTGTCTCTATAAAAAATCCAAAAAAAAAAAAAAAAAAAATTAGCCAGGCAGAGTGGCACGCACCTGTAGTCCCAGCTATTTGGGAGGCTGAGGTGGAAGGATTGCCTGAGCTGAGGAGGAAGAGGCTGCAGCGAGCTGAGATTGCGCCACTGCACTCCAGCCTGGAGTCCAGACCTGTCAAAAAAAAGAGAGAGCGAGAGAGAGACAGACAGACAGACAGAGAGAAAGGTGTTTTAACTCCCTAGAAGAAAATTATCCTTCCATTAGATCAAGACTTATTTGTGCCTGAAGGCAGATAATATGGTTTGGCTCTGTGTCCCCATCTAAATCTCACCTTGAATTGTAATAATCCCCATGTGTCATGGGAGGAACCCGGTGGGAGATAATTGAATCATGGGGCTGGGTCTTTCCTGTCCTGTTCTCTGATAGTTAATCTCAGCAGATATGATGGTTTTATAAAGGAGAGTTCTCCTGCACATACTGTCTTGCCTGCCACCATGTAGGATGTGCCTTTTCTTCTCCTTTGCCTTCCACCATGATTGTGAGGCCTCCCCAGCCATTGAAACATTGAGTTCATTAAACCTCTTTCCTTTATAAATTACCCAGTCTTGGATGTGTCTTTATTAGTAATTTATAGTATATTAATCACAAATATCTGCAATATTTGTAGATATTTTTGTGATTCTACAAATAAAAAAATCTTTTTAAAAAATAAAAAAGATATTTTTTATTTGTAGAATAAAAATGCTCTTTATAAACCATATAAGCTGAGACTTTCAATATTTAAGATGTTAACATTTTACCACTCAAACAGAACAAAAGCCATAAGAATTTTAAATGTGCCTTGAAAAAAACCATAGAAAAATCACCAAAATATTATTTCCTGATATTTCCTAATAGATTCTTTTAAAGTATTTTTTTCATTGTCATGTGAATAGGAATAAAACAGAATTTTGGAAGTATGCTTAAGTAATTTGTAAAATCTGAATTCATAACAGGCAATTAAGCTAGGAAAACCAAAACTTCTTTTGCAGTAATTCTCTTGATAAAAATTACAGCTTTAATGATCCTTAGAACACTAAATGAGAAAAGTCATGGAACTTCAATGGTACCTAATACTTTCTTTTGCTGGGCTATTCAATCTGTTGGCAAATGAAAGCTTTCCTTTCCTTTTCATTCTCCTCTGTGAATATAATTCTCCAGACAAGGTTCTCACAATCATTGTCCTGGTGATGTCACATCTTCCATGGCAACATTTTGCCAGTTTATTGTTAATAAGCTAAAGCAGTTCTTGGTTTCTTTTTTTTTTTTTAAAAAAAAGATTACATATCTACTTAAAATGTTAGATATCTATTTATTTTCACACAACATTGAATGAAATACTGCAGAAGGGGCTACTTTAATGTGTGAACATGGAATGAAATTTAGGTCAATCTGGGAAGGACAGATAACATGCTAGAGATTTTAGAAATCAGTGCCAAGATTATGTAATGATAACACTCTCTCTTCTGGTCCTTCGCACTTGGGGTGCATGAACACAGGCTTCATGAAAAGTCACCTACAGAGGTAAACAGCAACTGTGGCTTTTGAAAGGAACAGATTCTAAATAACATTATTTTAAGAAAGAGGATGTGAAATTACGACTACGTAAAATAGATTTACCTAGTAACAAGACTGGAAAGTTATATGCAAAAATGAAAGAGTTGGAGTGCTTTGGGGTGAGAGAGTGATTTTTTTTTTCAAAAAAGTTTTTAATTTTGTTCTCTTGGCATCTTAATAACAGTTATTTGAAAATGGGTACATCATCAGGTTAGGAGAGGCAGATAGTCTGTTTGCTGGGAGGGTGTGCCCTTGGCTGCAACATCTGGGCCCTGTGCCTTGGAAAACCTACCGGACAGTGACTTCACTCTCAAAGGAAGAATTAAATCTGAGAATTTATTTCAATAGCTCACTAGGAGGGAAGCAGTCACAGCAATAATTTTATAAGCTTAACGCCTCTCCCAAACTGCCTCAGAGATTCCTTTTTGCTTGGTAGCAGGAAGACTGAGTCTCCTCCCAGCCACATCCACCTATAACAGATGCCGTAGGAGCCTTAATGCCAAGGTCTAGAGAACCATCTACAAACTTGGGGACTTTGTGAGACTTTGGTAAAACAATAAATGATCAATTACATTCATTAAAGACTAGAAAAGAGAAAACAGTACTGAAGAAGTAAAAATAGCATAATGCCACTTGACTAAAGTATTTGTATAATTTTGAATTTAAGAAATAATATAGCATTATTTCATGTAAATGCGTAATTGTATTAATCAACAGTAAAGCCTTGGGATGAGGAAACTATAAAGGAGTTTAAAACATACTTCATGAATTAGTAGAAATTTGACATCAAAAAAGATTCAAAGTTGTGTTTATAGTTTGCCTCTCAAGTCTTGTCTGTTTCTGGAATACTTCTGATGATTTTATCTCTTGTTAGGATGATAGACTTAGAGCAGCAACACCCTTGGATTTCCTCTCTTTCTCGTATTCTTTCTGATGATAGACTTAGAGCAGCAACACCCTTGGATTTCCCCTCTTTCTCGTATTCTTTCTGTTTTGTCTTTCTCTTTCTGTCCTCCTGTTTTCCTTCCTTTCTTCCTTTTTTCCTCTCTGTCTATACATAATATCCTCCAAGTTATCTCTTCTCTGAGACGGCATAATATTAGGTTACCACTATGTGTATGTTAGTGGTTAAGATCTGTGACAGGGAGAAACTGTAATTAAAGCTGAGACCTCTCAGATGTGACTTTACCCTACCCTGTACAGACTCTGTCAGAGACCATATCTCCTAAGCCAGGATGCTAGACCAGGATTTCTTTACAAAACCACAAATAAGGGAAAATACATAGAAGAGTTTTGAGTCTCATATGAGAAAAATATTACACAAATAAAAGATCAGAATTTCTTTTAGCAGCCTTTGGGTTTTTTATATTAAACAATCTTTATTTGAAAAACAGTACTTAACAATCCTAATGCTATCTATCAAATTTCAATAAGAGCAATTTCAGCATCAACTAATGAATCATAGCTAAACAAGAGACTGATCACAAATGCTTTAAAGGTAGCAGCACCAGCTGATGTTCTGCAGAGTCTCTGGGCATTCATGGCCTGGCTACAGGGAAAACAGAATCAACCCAGCAGGTGCTCTGGACCCAAGCCCTCACATTGTGACCCGCCTCTCTCCTGGGGAACCTGGGGGCCTACAGTCCCCCTGGTACTTCCAGGCCCCCGTGGGCTGCGGGCAGAGTCCCAGGAGCCAAAGGACCTCTCAGGAAAGGCTGGAAGTTAGCCTTGCAGTCAGCCAGCTTCTGCCTGTTGCTGTCATTTTCTTTCTGGAGCACCTGGAGCACTCTCTCAGTGGCTGTGGTGGCCATGCAGCCCTCCCGGGCCATTTATCATGGAAGAACATCTCCCTCTGAAAGCTGGAACTGTCTTTCTTCAATTCACGGGTCAGTCAGGTCTTGAGACATCTTCTTGTGGCAGTCATGGGTCTGACAGACATGGTTCAAGTTTCCCTGCACCTAGAAAAGTCTCTGGTCAAGGACTAGGAAGTAGGCGTCCTCCTCCCCCGTGGACTCCCACTGAGGCTCCATGAACCTGAAGTTTTTATTGTCTTCCCAGGAATATGGGTTTGACAAGCCAAATATTGGTCATAAACTATTTTAGCAATTTAGAAGTCACCACACCAATATATATTTAATTTGGATCATTTTATCTTTTCCATAATAAGCCATGGAATGCAGAACTTTTAATAACAAAAGCTTTAAGGACTTATGGGGATTAAGGCGCCCATCCTGGTTCTCCATGAGTCCACATTTAACACTGGACTTTTGTCCTCTTGAATACCAGTTGTGTCTCCAATTATGTGCATAGCACTGATAATTGATGGGTTATCATAGGTAATTTAAATTAGACCAGGGAGTTCATTCAAATTGTGTATCTAAACAATTTCAGTATTGGTTGATTTAGCATGAAAATCTGGCAAAATATTTTCTTCGTATTAAATTAATTTTTTTTCTGCTTGGGTTAGTAGTTTTATAAACCACTGAGTTGTTTCATTAACGTTCCAGGAATTCTTACCCAGTCCAAATGATATGATTCTAAAGTTATCAGAAACCTGTATTTAAGAGTGCTTTTCAGAGTCCTTTCCACCCTTTCATGTACCTCCTTAAAGACACCGTATTCTAGAATTTTCTGTGCTTGTGAAATTTTCAGAAACTGCATCAGAATTAAGCAATTAGCTATGGGAATGATTTTATTTATTTATTTTTATTGAGATGGAGTCTTGCTCTGTCGCCCAGGATGGAATGCAGTGGTGTGATCTTGGCTCACTGCAACCTCCGCTGTCTGGGTTCAAGCGATTCTTTGCCTCAGCCTCCTGTGTAGCTGGGATTACAGGTGCACACCACCACACCCAGCTAGTTTTTGTATTTTTAATAGAGACAGGGTTTCACTATGTTGGTCAGGCTTGTCTTGAACTCCTGACCTCGTGATCCGCCCGCCTCGGCCTCCCAAAGTGCTGGAATTACAGGCGTGAGCCACTGCGCCTAGCTCGGAATGACTTTAAATAGTCATAGTTAAAGACACAATTGACAAGGAAATTTTATTATTTCTGTGGTCTACAATAACTTAACCTAATAACCATAATAATTATTAATAGCATACATTCAGACATATTAGAATTTTAGAAATCCCATACAATTTTGAAACACGTTAATCATATTCATTAAAATATAAGCTGAAGAAGGTTAAAAATTATTTTTTATTTGTCAATGCTTCCCATGTAAACTTAACATGCCAAATAATCCTCTTTACCTCTCTTTTGGATGCTTCAGGGACCCTCTGCAGCATCCTAAAGTTAGGGGTCAGAAAAGAATTTTGAAGCTAAAATTTGATTTTGGGAAGCCTGTCAAATATGTCAAAGGTTTAAAATACTTGACCAAAACAGGGTCACAGGCCACCAAAAAACAAGTCATTTATTTAACCAAAGTGATTTTTAAAAACCAAAGGAGATTTTTAAAAACAAAAACCTGTACTCTTTGATAAAGGAGACTCAGTTTCCCAAACAGTCAAAAGACCTAAGACAGAATTTGTCTCTTCTTCTTTTCTCTCTCTTTTTTTTCCTTTTTGCAGTTTACTCAAAAGGTGAATGAAAATATTTTACTGTGTCTTATTAATACTACACAGAATTTTTATTCAATAGAGAAAACCAAGTTTTACATTTTTATTAGTGTATTATCACTATTAACACTAGTTTTAATAAAACATAAATAAATTGATCAAGTCTGTCATCTTTTAACAAGATTTCCATAATACTTTTATTTCATATTTTTCCCTTTCTATATTTATCTTGTTTTATCTATCCTTTTACTTCAATTTGAAACCTTTAAATAACTTTAAACCAGACAAGAGTTTTAACACACGTTTTTATGCCTTTATAATTTTCCTTACCAAATGCATATTTTGCTTTTGCTTATACATTATGTATACAGAATTGTTTCTCTCATATCTAGTAGTTTTTAACTCTTAGTAACCCTAATTTCTAGTGAAAACCCTAGAAAGTAATTTTGAATGGTTTTATATCAGTATTTGTAGATAAAAACCATTTTATAATTTTTTAGAAAAATAATATGGGAAGGGGGCAGGGAAGTGCTGGGTAGAGAAGGGCGGGGTCCCTGGCGAAGGCTCCATGCTCAGGCCTGTGCTCATGGACCTAAGTGAGGACAGGCACTCCTGTTTCCATGCACAAATGTTGCATTTTCCAAGACCACTCTGGCCCACTATGTCCCCCATCCTGTGCCTGTAAATACCCCGAGACCCTAGCAGACACACATACAAGCAGCTGGACATCAAGAGGAGCAGAGAAGTGAAAGAGCACACTGACAGGCACCAGCAGATGCCAGCAGGCCATAGACAGCAGAACAATGTGAAATTCAGCCAAGAGCAGTCGAGGGAGAGCCTGGTTGCTGAGCAGTCCGACTCCCGGGGAAAATGACCTTCCCACTCCATCCTGCTTCTGGATCCCCATCCATCTGCTGAGAGCTACTTCCACCCTTCAATAAAACATCTCACTCATTCTCCAAGCCCACGTGTGATCTGATTTTTCTAGTACACAAGGGCAAGAACCCCAGGATACAGAAAGCCCTCTGTCCTTGCAATAAGGCAGAGGGTCTAATTGAGCTGATTAACACAAGCCACATGCAGACGGCAAAACTGAAAGAGCACCCTATAACTCACACACTGGGGCTTTGGGAGCTGTAAACACTCAACCCTAGATGCTGCCATGGGGTTGGAGCCCCAAAACACTCCCACAACCTGCCCATCTGCATGCTCTTCCTAGAGGTGTGAGCTCTGGGGCACTGAAGAAGCAAGCCACTCCCTCTGCCACAGGGGGTAAGGAAACTCCTGTTTCAATAGTTCTTCAAAGTATTGTTTATTAACAGATCTAAATATATCTAGCTTTTCTAAACCATATGAAAATAATATGTCAAGGTATATAGACTTAAACTCATTTAATAATTCATATTTCAGTATCTTTACCTACAAATTATTCAGATAGTTTATGATTATGTATTATTTAATTTAATATATCATGACTCTATGATTTTAAATTACTGAAAAGAATTTTGAAATTATGACACAGTTAGCTTCCCTAATGTCTTCCCCCAGCAGTTCTAGGTCCCAAGTAGCCGTGTGGCACCCAAGAGGATTATGAAGGTCAGGGCGTGTCTGAGTCCATTAGGACAGAAGACAGAGCTGTGAAGCCTATACCTGTGTTACAGAAAAGGGGTCCTGATCCAGACCCCAAGAGAGGGTTCTTGGATCTTGCAATTCCACAGAGCAAAGCAAAAGCAAGTTTATTAAGAAAGTAAAGGAATAAAAGAATGGCTATTCCATAGACAGAAAAGCACCCAGGGCTGCTGGTTGCCCATTTTTATGGTTATTTCTTGATGATACGCTAACAAAGAGGTGGATTATTCATGCCTTCCCTTTTTAGACCATAGAGGGTAACTCCTTGACATTGCCCTGGCATTTGTAAACTGTCAGGGCACTGGTGGGAGTGTAGCAGTAGGATGATCAGAGGTCACTGTCTTCACCATCTTGATTTTGTGAGTTTTGGCCAGCTTCTTTACTGCAGCCTGTTTTATCAACAAGGTGTTTATGACCTGTATCTCGTGCTGACCTCCTATCTCATCCTATGACTTAGAATGCCTTAACTGTCTGGGAATGCAGCCCAGTAGGTCTCAGCCTCATTTTACCCAGCCCCTATTTAAGATGGAGTTGCCATAGTTCACAGGCCTTTGACATCTGGAGGATCCAACTCCTCCCAAAATAGCCAGAAGGCAAAACAGAGGAAAGCAGGGAAGAAGGGGTCACACTGGGCTTGATTCTGGCTTGTAGCTGCTGGTCTAGGCAGTAAGAATATGTCTTCAGACCTCACTGTGGTCACTATCTAGACCCCTGAATCCAGAGACTCTTTATTTTTTTATTTTTTATTTTTTTGAGACAGAGTCTCACTCTGTCACCCAGGCTGGAGTGCAGTGGCACAATCTCGGCTCACTGCAAGCTCCGCCTCCTGGGTTGATGCCACTCTCCTGCCTCAGCCTCCTGAGTAGCTGGGACTACAGGCGCCCACCACCACGCCCGGCTAATTTTTTGTATTTTTTTTTAGTAGAGACGGGTTTTCGCCATGTTGGCCCAGATGGCCTTGATCTCCTGACCTCGTGATCTGCCTGCCTCGGCCTCCCAAAGTGCTGGGATTATAGGCATGAGCCACTGCACCCGGACTTCAGAGACTCTTAAACCAAAGGCATAAGTTCTCAGTCAAATCAAGCAAGTATCTAATTATATTTAACTGATAATTTTGAAACCACTTTTATTTTACCAACAATTTAAAAACTAGGTTTATTTACCAAATATCACATACCCATTACACATATGGACATACAAACACATAGAAGCAGATCTTATAGCTGTCATAAAGGATTTTCATTTGCCGGCTTTTAAATAATTTTTCTTTTCCCCACTTGCTCTGTCAATCTTAACAATTATAGATTTCATTGCCCTAAGCCATTGTTAATTAGGCAACAAATTAGCATTTCTAAAAGGACAACTCTTACGTGGAACAAAAAAATTATGTTTTATAAGCATAGAGCTAAGATTTTAGGCCTAAATATTGCATCATTATTTGCTCAAACCAAGGGGGAAAAAAAACACTCAAAAGTTCACTTAGGACAGGATGGCCAGAAAAGCACGTTAAAGAAGGGTGGGACTTCTTATGTAAATTTAAAAGAATGTGGTAAGAGTTTCAAATATACATAGGCAGACATCCTTAAAAGTGGAGATTTCCTTTATAGATGTAAATTTCTTTTAGAAAAGAGATTCAAGGTAGCCAATTAAATTCCAGAAAGGTGTATTTTGCTTTAATAGGGTATTCTTAATTTAGCTACTGTGTTTTAGCTAAAATTACCGAGTTCAGGCTAATAGGTGGAGCCCGTTAAGAAACAGGGCCAATAAAGCACTGGATGCCTGGACTCAGCATGGATAGATCTAAAAAAGAAACAAGCCTATTTTACGCCTACCTTTTATAAACACCTTATCTAGGATAGCTTTCTTTCCACCTTTGAGGCAGGATAGTAACCAAGACAAAAGGTTAGCAGACTTAATTTTTTAAATCATTTAGCCACTTAAGCTTTTTATTTGCCATTTATAAATTTTTAAATAAAAATGTTGAAATCTTTTTAGAAGCTTCTGCTTATCAATAGGCATCCCAAGATGAGACTCATTTGGGAGCCTTTGTTTTCAAATGCAATTCAGTGCAGTGCTGTTCATTTGGAACATTTCACTGCACCTTTAGTAAGATGTTGCCATTTCTGTAAGACTTTGCAGCTTCTGGGGCCTAATACTTATGCACGGATAAGCTGGAAGAAACTCAGTTCTTCAGAAATTAAGGATCCCATTTTTACCTCAAATATTGGCTTTGGCTCTCAGGTTTCCTGGATCAACTTAGCCAATGATTTTTTTCCAACCTAAGCATGCAAGAAAAATGAAACAAAGAGGTAGAACACAAAAATCCCTGCAAATTTCCAAAAGCCAAATGTTACATCCCCTGCAATATTGCCATTTACTAAGTTTCTTTCTGACTCAGTCAGAAGTAAGGGGACTTTAAATGGATCCAAGCAAGTTCATTACCAGATCAAATCCAATCCTGGCCTCAGTCCAGTTTCTGGGACTTTCAAACCCTACTTGGATCAGAAATTTGCTCAGAGAAACTGGGAGAGCTTAAAACAGAAATCCATGGAGATTCAGAATCCGAGAGAAGACTTACCATGATCCCCAGCTGCCCCGAGAGAGCAATGGACACAATGGGCCCGGCGGGTACCTTGCTTGGTCACTCAGTGCTTCAGGGGATCATTTGAAGCTCTATTTCAGATCCCACTTCTGATGCCATCTGTTAAAAACTTTAGCCGAATTAAATTTAAAAGAGTTTAATTGAGCAAAAAACAATTTGTAAGCGGGCAGTCTCCCAAGCCAGAATAGGGATGCCAGTGTAGAGACTCCAGTGCAGCCACACGGGAGAAGATTTATGGACAGAAAAAAGAAAGTGATGTACAGAAAACGAAAGTGAGGGACAGAAGCAGCCAGATTAGTTACCGCTTAGCGTTTGCCTTATTTGAACACAGTTTGAACAGTTGGTCACCTTTGAATGTCCAACCTTGGTGATTGGCCCAATAGTAGACTACAGTCTGTATACAAATCCATTTAGGTTATAGTTCGCAATGTACAGAGAAACCTTTAGGGCAAAGTTAAAATATGTCAGGAGACAGCTTTAGGCTAAACTTGATTTAAAAACCCCTTAGGAAAGTCCTTGAAAATAAGTCATTTGTGGCTTATTTTAGAAACAAAAACAAAAATGCAATGTCTATGCACATTATCGTCAACAGATTATCTTTTCCAGAATTATCTTACTGTAACATGAAGTATCCTAACCTTTGATGAGTAAAAATTTGCTTTTCCTTGGGATAACTACTTCTATAAGGTTTGTTAATAAAAGGGACAATTTCAATAGCTTTTAATTTTCTACTAAAAAAATAATTTTATGGCATTGAACATCATTTCAAAAGCAAGGCCAGGCACAGTGGCTCACATCTGTAAACCTAGCACTTTGGGAAACCAAGGCAGGAGGATCACTTGAGCCCAGGAGTTCGAGACCAGCCTGGACAACATGGTAAAACCCTGTCTCTCCAAAGAATTAAAAAAAAAAATGAATAACCAGGCATGGTGGCACACACCTGATCCCAGCTACATGGGAGGTTAAGGCTGGAGGATCACTTGAGCACAAAAGGTCAAGGCTGCAGTGAGCTATGACCATACCACTGAGTTTCAGCCTGGGTGACAGAGTGAGACCTTGCCTCAAACAAACAAAAAAAGGAAGAAGCCCAAGTTATTTAAAATACTACTTCTAACGAGTAATTTTTTTAATGAAATATCAGCCAGAAATATCTTAACTGAACAAAATGTCAATGAAATCGGAAAAGTAAATCTCATAAAATCAAAAACAAAATGCATTTTAGAAGCAGAGAACAGAAACAATAACTTTCCTTTTTCCTACCAAAACTAAACCAAAACAAAATCCTCTTTGAGGGAAACTTTATGTTGAAGGTGCAAGGCTCTTGTATCAGTTCAAACTCTGAGAGCGCACCAACAGACAACACCAGGCGGTGTGGAGCAACGTGCTGTTTTAATAAGCACCTAGGTGCAGATGGCCTGAGGCCTAAAATGGCGTCAGCCCCAAATGAGGATGGGGCAGGGGTTTTATAGTCCTCTGTAAACAGGAAGCATCCCAGGCTGACACGACTTCTACGTAGTACCCAGACAGCCTCCCTCTTGATCTTCAGGGGGTATGTATCTTCTGGCCAGCTCTCTTCCTGCTTCTGCTATCTTGCTGATGCATGCTGCTGATGCAAGTGGTCTTGTGCCTTGGGACTGGGCCTGAGGAGGGAGGAGTTATTCATTCCCTTAAGCTTTCAGGCCCTGGGGAGAATCTTTCATTCCTATTTGGTTATAGAAAAACGAAAAGGGACAACTTTCTCCATAACTACTTCACGCATGACATAGGGGTGGCGTGGGTATCTTGGAAAAAGAAAAACTTAATTTTGGGGTATTCTTGAGAGATGGGTTGGTATCCATCACATCGCTGTAGCAGGAGCATCGTCTGGATTGTTTGGCCGCTAACTATAGTTTCCACAAGAGTTTAATGGCTTTTATTATCAGTGGGATAACACAGGGGAGAAATAGGAGGAACCCAGTGATGAAGATTACTATCCCTACTAGCGTTTTAAGTCCTCTTAAATTAGAGAAGCATCCTCCTAGAAGGTTTGTCGGGTCCCATCCTTTCCAGGTTTGGACTGGTACATGGGCTACTTTTCTGATGTTTGAAGTGATTTCTAGAACCGCTTTTCCGTTATCATCTATGTTAAGACAACAATTGGAGATATTAAACTTGCCACAGACCTCACCCTCTTCTGCTAATAAGTAGTCTAGTGCTAGCCTGTTTTGATAAATTGCTGCATGCATTTGGTTTTGTTGTTGCATAAGCATTTCCAGGGCTGAGGTGGTTTGGTTAGTGATTATCTCTAGAACCATCTGTAGTCTAATTATTCTATTTAGCATGTACATGGGAGTGCGATAACCCCACGAACCATCCTCAGCCCAAGTGGCAGGACCATAATGTTTGATGATCCATTGTGGAGGCCATTCATCCTGTTGCCATCTTTGGCTTCCTCCTACCTTTAAGTATTGTTTTTTTTTGTTTTTTTTTTTAGGTTATTATATACAGGGACTCTGAGGGTGTTGTCTGCTGTTAATGTTTTGGAGGAAGGAGTAGCCTTAGGGGTGAGCTTGACCCTGGTGCAATGGATCCAGTGGGGGAGTCCTTGGACTCTCGCTACAGTTGGCATACTGAGTATCACAGCATAGGGGCCTGTCCACTTCAGTTGTAGGTTTTCGTGAGGGTCGAATTTGCAGATAAACACTTCTGTGCCTGCAAGACAGTTATGTTGAGAGGACAAGGAGGTGTTGACAGGGAGGGGCATGGCCTCATTTGCTGCTTCACGAATGAAAGACCGTGTCTGGATTAAGAAGGGGAGGTAATTCTCGAGTGGCTCAGAGTCTGGTAAGGGTGGAGGCTCCAAGATAAAAGTTCGGCCATACATTATTTCAAAGGGACTATAAAAAGAGGGTGACTTTGGTGTTGCATGGAGTCTCATGAGGGCGAAAAGGAGATTTTTTTTGTCCATGACTGGCAAGTTTCTAGAGCCAGCTTGGTGAGTTGGGCTTTAAGGACAGAGTTAATTTTTTCAACTTTGCCTGAAGATTGAGGCCTGTAGGGTGTGTGGAGAACCCATTTTATACCTAATGATGTAGAGACACCTTGAGTAATTTGACTGATGAAGGCGGGCCCGTTATCAGACTGGATGGATGTTTGGAGTCCAAAGCGGGGAAGTATATGCATGGTGAGAGTTTGTGTGACGACATTTGCAACTTCTGAAGTTGTTGGGAACACTTCTACCACCCAGAGAAAGTACAGACAAAGACTAGAAGATAGCAGAGCCATTTATTGGGCAGGATGTGAGTGAAGTCTACTTGCCAATCTTGCCCAGGTACCTGGCCCTGGGCTTGGTGGGTAGGAAAAGGCCGTGGCCAGAGGGAGACCTGGGATGACACTGAATGGCAGATAGAGCAGGACTGGGTGATTTCTCGAACACGGCTGGAAAGGTGAGGACAAGTGACAATAGGGTGGAGAAGTTGTAAGAGAGGTTTGTAACCAACATGAAAAGAGTTGTGGAGACTTTGGAGAATAGGGATTGTTTGAGAGTGAGGAAGAACAAAGTGCCCTTCCTTGACATACCATGGTCTTTGCTTTTGAAGGTTTGGGGCTCAGAAGTCCTCCTTTTCTTCTGAGGAGTAAAGAGGCGAGAACAAGGACAGGGACAGAAACTGGCCTTGCACAGGTTGTAGGGCTACTTGTTTGGCTACCTGATCTGCTAGCGCATTTCCTGCTGATATAGGATTGTCTGGGGTTTGGTGGCCCCTGCAATGAATGATGGCAACTTTCTGTGGGAGCCTGGTAGCTTGAAGGAGTTTGCTGATGAGAGAGCCATTTATGACAGGAGTGTTTTTGTAGTTAGGGAACCTCATTCTTTCCAGATGGATGAGTGTGAGAGCACTATGTGGAAAGCATAATGAGAATTTGAATATATGTTGATCTGTTGTCCGGCTGCTAGAGTGAGAGCTCAAGTGAGGGTGATGAGTTCAGCTTTTTGGGAGGTGGTGCCTAGGAGGAGCAGATTGGCTTCAATAGTGTGCATGGGGGTGACACTATAGTACAGCCAGCATGCCAGAATCCTTGATGTAGGAAGGAGCTGCCATCTACAAACCAAGTAAAGGAGGCATCTGGAAGGGGTTAATCTGTTAGGTTTGGAAAATGATAAGAAAGGTTTGAACAGTGTTCACACAGAAGTGTATAGGGTCTTGGGTGGTTGTAGCTTCAGGTAAGAGCATGGCCGGGTTTAGATGGAAACTGGTTAGCATGGTGATATGGGGAGTTTCTGTGAGTAGAGCATACAGTTGGAGGAGCTGTGGGGCAGAGATGAGACTTAGTACACTGCGGTGAGCTAGCATGTGCTTGATGTTATGGGTTGAATAAACTGTTAGGTTGGCATGGAGAGATGGTTTTAGGCTTTCAAGGATGAGGACAGCAGCAGCCACCAATGCTCAGAGGCAGGCAGGCCATCCGAGAACTGTGGCTTCAAGCTGTTTGGAGAGGTAGGCCATAACCTGGAGGGTGGGTCCCTTAGACTGTGTTAGAACACCTAGTGCAACTCCACGCCATTCGTTGGTATAAGGGGAGAAAGGTTTGGTGAGGTCTAGGAGAGTGAGGACGGGGGCTGAGGTGACAGCCTTCTGGAGTAGATGGAAAGGTTGGGTAATAGGCTGTGCAGGGTTTGAAGGCTCATGGAGAGGGCCTTTGGTGGCTTGGTATGATAGTTTCGCAAGTAGAGTGAAGGAGGGGACCCAGAGCCTAAAATATCCCACCAGTCCTAGAAAGGAGAGAATTTCTTGCTTAGTCTTGCAGAGATGGGAGGGATTGGAGGAGAGATATGTGGTCAGTTGTGGCCCTCAGGTTTGTGGGGTAAGAGCTAGGCCTAGATAGGTGACTGAGGGGGTGCATATTTGTGCCTTTCTTAGGGGAGACCCAATACCCCCGTTCTGCCAAGAAGTTTAAAAGAGAGATAGTAAGGGCATTGCAGTCTCTTTGAAAGAGGCTACACAGGAGCAGATCATCAACATATTGAAGGAGAGTGGACGGTTTCAGGGATAAGGTACAGAGGTCATGAGCAAGGGCCTGTCTGAAAAGATGGGGGCTGTCTCTAAAACCTTGAGGTAGTATGAACCAGGTAAGGTGACATGAAAGGTGGGTGTCAATGTTTTCCCATGTAAAGGCAAAGAGGTTTTGGGAATCAGGGTGTAAAGGAATTATGAAAAAAAGCATCCTTTAAGTTTAGAACAGAAAAATGGGTGGTATTGGAGGGAATTGCGGAAAGTAAAATATGTGGGTTAGGAACTACTGGACGTACTGGGAGTACAGTTTGGTTAATGAGCCTGAGGTCCTGGACTAAGTGATAAGTTCCATCTGGCTTTTTGACAGATAGAATTGGTGTGTTAAAAGGGGAGTCTGTCAGGTAGAGTAGGTGACTGGTGAGGAGGCGAGAAATGATAGGATTTAGGCCTATGAGAGTTGCTTGGGGGATGGGATACTGCTTCTGTGATAGGAACTGGGTGGGCTCTTTAAGGGTAATGCGGACGGAGGTGTGGTGTTTTGTGACTGAGGGTGTGGAAGTATTGCAAACAGCAGGGTTAACTATGGATGGGGGATAAGGAAAGGTTCCATGTTTTAAGGTGGGAGGTTGGAGGAATAGAAGAAAGTTGGAAGCCCTGGAGAGGTCTGGGTTGATGCGTTGGGTACTATGGGGAACGTGGAAGTGGAGAACAGTGTGGAGTTTTGAAAGAATGTCTCTGCCTAGGAGCAAAGTTGGGCAGGAGGGCAGGACTAAGAAAGAGTGAGTGAAGGAAAGGTGTGCAGGGAGCAGAAAAGTGGAGGACGGGCTCGGAGTTTGGAGACTTGTCCATCAACTCCCACAACAGAGACTTGGGAGGACTGGGTGGGTCCTGAAAAATTAGGTAAAGCAGAGTAGGTTGCCAGGGTATTAATTTAAAAAGACATACTGGCCTACCTGCCACCATCAGGGTTACCCTTGGCTCAGAGGAAGAGATGGTAGTTGCTGGGGCGTCCGTTCCAGGGCACCGTCAGTCTTCAGTGGCAAGGCTGATGAGATCTGAGTAGGAGGATTTGGCTGGCTCAGGAAGGGAT
Organism: Homo sapiens; assembly: GCF_000001405.40. Classification (NCBI taxonomy): domain Eukaryota; kingdom Metazoa; phylum Chordata; class Mammalia; order Primates; family Hominidae; genus Homo; species Homo sapiens. The sequence continues at coordinate 65,865,700 of NC_000008.11, read as the reverse complement.
GGGGGCGGTCCTTGTGGGGGCCACCCACAGTCTGACTTCCAGTGGGGTCTTCTGTAGAGGGGGCACGGCCTGGTGGGCTTACCTGGGTTTGGGCATTGTCTGGACCAGTGGCCTTCATTGCCGCACTTGAAACAGGCGCCAGGTGGAGGTGGATGTCTAGGAGGCTTCTGTGTGGAGCTGCAGCCCTGTGAGCCTGCAGGGCCCCTGATGGCGGAGGCAAGCATTTGAAACTCTGCCTGTTTTTGCCTTTTGCTTTCTTCATCATGATTGTTGAAGACTTTGAAGGCTAAATTAAGAAGGTCTCATTGTGGGGTTTGAGGGCAGTCGTCAAGCTTCTGAAGCTTGCGCCGAATATTGGGAATGGATTGGGAGATGAACCGAAGGTTTAAGGTAGTGGTTCCTTCTGGGCTGGCTGGCTGGCTCTAGGTTGGTATACTTTCTCATGGCTTCAGTTAAATGAGAGAGAAAAAGGGCTGGGTTCTTGTCGGGACCTTGGGTGATTTCTGAAAGTTTTTCATAGTTGACTGCTTTAGGGCACCCTTTTTGAGTCCTGCAAGGAGACACACAATCATGTGGTCTTGATGGTGGTGTCCAGGGGACCCGTCTTGATAATCCCAGTGGGGGTCCTCGTTAGGGACTACCTCTGCACCAGTAGGCCGGACAGGAGCTTGGTGATGAATTGTATCAGCATGTGCCTGAGCTAGGGTCCAGATATGGTCCTGGTGTTCTGGGGTGAGGGTGGAAGAGAGGATAACGTAGAGGTCATGCCAAGTTTGTTCATAAGACTGGGTGAGGTATTGAAACTCTCTAATATAAAAGGTAGGGTCTTCTGGAAATGAACCAAGTCTTTTGTTAATTTGAGAGAAATCAGTGAGGGAGAAGGGAACATGAACGCTAACAATACCGTCAGTTCCTGCTACTTCCTGAAGGGGGCACTCTAGCACAGATGCTGAAGTAAGGGTGGGCCATGGGCCGAAGATGGCGCCTGAGCGAGTATGGGCAGGAGAGAAGGAAGAACATGGAAGTGGTTCCTGCTGAGGGTTTGAAGGGGGAAGAGGGTTTGAGTTAACAGGCAGTGGAGGATAGGGGCGTAAGGTGGCAGGATGGGTTTACAAGCCTTAGGAGAGGGCGGTGGGGGAGGAGAATGGGTACAGGCAATACTAGAATTGTCCTGAAGAGGGGACAGTGTAGGAAAAGAAGTTAATACTGCTTACTGGGAAGATGGCGGCTGGGAAGATGGTGGCTGAGAAGATCACAGCTGAGAAGATAAAGAGGAGGCTTGGATTAAAAAAGACGGTTGAGAGGGAGAGGTAGGGGCTGGGAGAGGTGGACAGCAGTCTACTGGATCTAATGAGGAAAAAGAGGTGGTGTGGGGAGGAGAAAGGTGATCTGCGCAGCGAGAATGGAGAAGGATTTGAATAGGTGAGCAATAATTGCAGAGGTCGGGTTGTGATCTGAGTGCAAAAAGGCCTGGACATAAGGAATTTCTCCCCATTTTTCCAGTCGTCAACAATAATTGCTTAAGTCAGTTAAAATTATAAAGTTGAATGTTCCATTTGCGAACCATTTGGACCCGTACTGTGGCCAGACTGAATTGCAAAAAAAGACAAGGCGCTTAGAGTGGATATCTTGCCTGAGGCCTAAGGTTTGCAGGTTTTTATGAGGCAGCCTAGAGGGCTGTCCTTTGGAATAGAAGACTGGGAATTTCCCATAGCGGGTAGGCTCCAGAGAACAGGAAAAAGGAGGCCGTCCTGGACAGCCAGAGGGAGACAATAAAAGGAGCGATTGTCACTGCTGCCTTTTTCGTTGCCGGAATGGGATCAAATGGCTTAGAGGCGTCCCCCTAAGACCAGATGATCAGCGAGTGCCTGGCACGCTCTGGAGTCTTCTTGGACCAACGTTGGATTTTTGGACCAGAGAAACCAGTAGGTGATATCAGTGACCGATGTGCGTGCACAGAGAGGCCCGCTGGAGGCTGCAGAGCTTCCTTTGCCTGGCTGCTATGGCCTGCTCTCCCAGGTGAAGGGGTAGGTCCCTGGGGGACATGGACCAAAGCCTCTACTGAGTTTCGGCACCAGATGAAAGACTCTTGTATTGGTTCAAACCCTGAGAGCCCACCAACAGACAACACCAGCGGGTGTGGAGCAACACGCTGTTTTAATAAGTGCCTAGGTGAAGATGGGCTGAGACCTAAAATGGCGTCAGCCCCAAATGAGGATGGGGCAGGGATTTTATAGTCCTCTGTAAACAGGAAGTGTCCCAGTCTGATGTGACTGCTGCATAGTACTCAGATGGCCTCCGCCTCGATCTTCAGGGGTATGTGTCTTCTGGCCAGCTCTCTTCCTGCTTCTACTATCTTACTGATGCACACTGCTGGTACAAGTGGCCTTGTGCCTTGGGACTGGGCCTGAGGAGGGAGGAGTTATTCATTCCCGTAAGCTTTCAGGCTCCGGGGAGAATCTTTCAGAAGGCCACTAAAACCTGGGTCTGGCAAATCAGCAGTTGGAATGAACTTCCACGGGTAGAGAGGGAATTTCTCTTGAGAATTTTGCTGTGCCATTTCTAGAAGTTTCCATTTTGAAAGGCAGCGTCTACAGCATACCGATCTTCATTGCTTTGCCGGAATTTAAGGTGAAAGGTGATGATTCGCCATAATCACTTTAACGACTCTTATCAGTAATACAACAATTCTTTCCTTGAAGAAAAAAACGTTTGGTTTGTAACACAGGCCTTATGGGTTTCTTATGGTCATAATTGGATTCTAAAATGTCAAAATATGGTAGCCGGATATGTTGCTACTATTATTTAGAATGCTGATATAAACACTTTTTATAAAATGTCTTTCAGCCCAATACCACCTTTGAAGTTATTTTCTTGAGGTTTATTCTCCAGTATAAAATGACTGGGTCAAAACAATATAAATATCAATAGTTACTATTAATTGTGTTCCTTTTATGTGTCAAACACACTCCAGATTTTATCACTTTTATCCTAAAGACAGCCCTCTGTAGTAGTTATTTTTTATTACCACATTTTGCCCACAGGTAAACTGAGACAAAGAAAACCTGAACAAGGTCCCTATAGCAATAGAGAAAATAAGTGTTAAAGATAGAATTGAAAACTAGTTTATTCCACATGGCTCCAAAGACCATGCTCATTCCAAAACACACTACTGTTCACAAACATTGTGACCTTAAGACTCCTTTACACTCTTAAAAATTATTTAAGGGGGGGGTCAGGCATGGTGGCTCATGCCTGTAATCCCAGCACTTTGGGAGGCCGAAGCGGGTGGATCACTTGAGGTTAGGAGTTCGAGACCAGCCTGGCCAACATGGTGAAACCCCATTTCCACTCAAAATAGAAAAATTAGCCAGGTGTGGTGGTGCGCACTTGTAGTCCCAGCTACTCAGGCAGCTGAGGCAGGAGAATCGCTTGAACCCAGCAGGTGGAGGTTGCAGTGAGCTGAGGTCACACCACTGTGCTCCAGCCTGGGCAACAGAGAGAGACTCCATCTCAAGAAACAAAAAAAGAACTTAAAAAAATTATTTAAGAGGAAACGAAGAAATTCTGCAGAAGAAGAAATAAAAGTCAAATTAAAAGGTTATGTTCAATTATTAGTAATGAACAATTGGAATTTGAAATTAATAACACAATACCATTTATATTAGCACCAAAAACAAGGAAATACTTTGGTATAAATCTAAATAAAATATGTTCAAGATTTATATGACAAAAGCTATGAAACTTGGATAAGAAGTCCAAAAAGACCTAGGTAAATGGAGAGATATTCCATGTGCATGGAAGAAGACTCAATATTGTTAAAATATCATTTCTTCCCAACTTGATCTATAGCCTCAATGCAATGCTACTAAAAAGCTCAGCAAGTGTAGTTTGTGAACATCAACAAACTTATTTTAAGATGTTTGATAGAGAAAGGCAAAAGACAAAATAGCCAATACATTGAAGAAGAAAAATAAAGTCAGAGAACTGACACTACCAGACATTAAGACTTACTACAAAGCTACAATAATCAAGACAGTATGGTATTGTTAAAAGAACAGACAAACACATCAATGGAACAGAATATAGAGTCTGGAAATAGACTCATACAAATATAGTCAACTGATCTTTGACAAAAGAGCAAAGGCAATACAATGGAGAAAAGATAGTCTTTTCAGCAAATGATGCTAGAACAGGACATCCACATGCAAAAAAAAAAAAAAAAAAAAAAAAGAATCTAGACACCCTTCATAAAAATTAACATTGATTGTAGAGCTAAATGCAAAATTATAAAAGTCCTAGAAGATAGCAAAGAAGAAAATCTAAGTTAATTTGAGCTGGTAATCACTTTTTAGACACAACACCAAATGCATGGTTGATGAAAGAAAAGAAGGTAAGCTGGACTTCTTTAAAATGAAAAAACCTTCTTCTCTGTAAAAGCCAATATTCAGAGAATGAAAAGACAAGCCACAGACTGGAAGAAAATCTTTATAAAACACATTCTGATATAGGATTGGTATCCAAGAAATATATAAGAACTCTTAAAACTCAACAATAAGAAAACAAAGAACCCAATTAAAAATGGGCAAAAGGCCTGCACACCTCATCAAACAAAATATACAGATGGCAAATAAGCATATGAAAAGATATTCCATATAATATGTCATAAGGAAATTGCAAATTAAAACAACAATGAGATACCATTACATACCTGTTAGAGTGGCTAAACTCCAGAACACTGACAACACCAAATACTGGCAAGAATGTGAAGCAACAAGAACTTTCATTCATTGTGAATGGAAATGCAAAATGGTACAGCCACTTTGGCAGACAATTTGGCAATTTCTTAAAAACTAAACACACTCTTACGATACAATCCAACAATGGTGCTCCTTGGAATTTACCCCAATGAGTTGAAAACATATGTCCACAAAAAACCTGCACATGAATGTTTATAGCAGCTTTATTCATAATTGCCAAAACTTGAAATCACCCAAGATGTCCATCAATAGGTGAATGAATAAACAAACATGAAACATTCATACAATGGCATATAATTCACTGCAAAAAGCTAGAAAAAAAACAGGGAGAAACCTTAAATGCATATTGCTAAGCAAAAGAAGCCAATCTGAAAAGGCTATATGATTACTATATGATACTATATGATTCCAATGTGACATTCTAGAGAAGGCAAAACTAGGTAAGACAGTAAAAGGACCGGTGGTTGCCAGGAGTTCAAGGGGAGGGAGGGAAGAATGAGTAAGTAGAAGACAGGAAATGTTTAGGGCAGTGAAGCTAGTGTGTATAATATTATAATGGTGGCCACATGTCATTATATATTTGTCAAAACCCATAGAATGGGTTTTGATAGAAAGAGTGAACCTTAATGTAAAGTGTGGACTTTGGTTAATAATATTGTATCAGTATTGGTTCATCAATTATAACAAACATACTGCATTAATGCAACATGTTAATAATACAGGAAATTGTTGGGGGGCAGCATTGGGGTGTGTGTGTGTGGGTGTGTGTGTGTAGGAATGAGGAGTTTTATGGAAACTCTACTTCCTGCTTAATTTTTCTATACACCTAAAAGTGCTCTAAAAAAATAAAGTCTATGAATTTTTAAAAGAGTAATAAAAAGGTCATATTGAATAACAAAAAAATATTGTGGATCTCAAAGAGCTCTCATTTATGTGAGTTATATCTATCAATATTTATCATATTATAAATTTAAATTTTTAAAGTATTTATTTTAAAATAACTATAATAAATCTATTACATGTTAACATAAATAACGCTTTTGTAAAAAAAAAAAAAACTGTATTTTCCAAAACAGAACAAAAAAAACAGTGAAAGGAGTTGCAATGTTTTACATTTTTGCAAATACCCTTAATATCTGATTTAATAGAAGACAGCTAAATATACATATCTGTTTCTGCATTCAAATTGTTGCAATATATTGTTTTGGTTGACTTATGTGAAGAAAATCTAACTCACTTACATACGCAGTTGGAAAAGGGGGTATTATTTTAATAGGCTTTTCATATAATTGTGGATATTCTTTGATACAACACCCAAACTTCACAAATGGTAGTTTATTACAGGTTTGTTGCAGTGTAAAATCTGAAACTTTACTACAAATGTTTTTTTCTTACTCTGTTACATTAAAATCCACTGGGCTGTCTTGAGTTCTGAATGTATCTTTTTGTCATTGCATACTTTTGCAAATTATACATTCATCATTTAAAAAATATTGTTTCATTTTGTTATGCAGATTTTCCAAATGTTGGCACATTTTATTACACAATATAAAAAATTATATTCATTAAAATCACCATTGATCTCATCAGAAATACATTAAGAATTAAACTCATGGTAGTAGATAATATTTTCCAAAATTCTAATATTCACTTGAAAGTTTGGACTTTGTCATTGATGACAAATCCTGTCAGTTGTTTACCTTGAGGTAAAGTTGTATCCCTTTTAGAGAAAATGTCTGTTAAATACCAAAGACTTAATAACCCTAATTTGTCTGTCAGTCATTGTTTCAGGTAAAATGGTATTTCATGAAAAAAGCAGCTGCTTCAGTTCCCAGTACAAACAATGGCACAAGTGTTTTCCTTGAGAGAAGCATCGAGCAGCATAAGTGCTATACACACACTTCTCATTTCATCCCACAGAATATTAAGAAGATGTGGACTCAAGGGTTGACATATCATAAAACTAATAATCTTTACTTCAAGGACATTTGTAAGCTAAAACTGGCATTTCTGAAATGTGAGTACATAGCAGTGAAGAATGAAATGACTAGTAGCACAGTTTACTCTGTGCTAAGAACCAGCAGTTTTACCCTTTCTTTCATACCATCATTGCAAATGTCAACACAGTGTAAAGGGCAAATAATGCCTTTGTATTCTTAGGAAAGAGTTTTGATCTTTCAGACCTTCTGAAAGAGTCTCTAGGACACCCTAGAGTCTATGAACCACACTTTGAGAACCCCTGAACCACATTGTATTAATAATGATAGTATGAATATAATTGCTACCATTTATGTGCTTGAGTCAGACATCCCTGTAATTTCTTTTTTTCTTATTATTATACTTTAAGTTCTAGGGTACATGTGCACAATGTGCAGGTTTGTTACATATGTATACATGTGCCATGTTGGTGTGCTGCATCCATTAACTCGTCATTTACACTAGGTATATCTCCTAATGCTATCCCTCCCCTCTCCCCCCACCCCACGACAGGCCCCGGTGTGCGATGTTCCCCTTTCTGTGTCCAAGTGTTCTCACTGTTCAATTCCTACTTATGAGTGAGAACATGTGGTGTTTGGTTTTTTGTCCTTGCGATAGTTTGCTCAGAATGATGGTTTCCAACTTCATCCATGTCCCTACAAAGGACATGAACTCATCCTTCTTTTATGGCTGCATAGTATTCCATGGTATATATGTGCCACATTTTCTTAATCCAGTTTATCATTGATGGACATTTGGGTTGGTTCCAAGTGTTTGCTATTGTGAATAGTGCCGCAGTAAACATACGTGTGCATGTGTCTTTACAGCAGCATGATTTATAATCCTTTGCATCCCTGTAATTTCTTAAGCTGTACTACTTCTCATTTCTTATTAATCAGTTTGTTTGACAAATATTACTTGTGTGTTGGGTACTCAGTGAACCCAGGAAATGGTTGCTGCCCATAAAGATCAAAGGAGGTGTTAGAGAAGACAAAAATGTAAAGCAGACATCAGAAATGTGATCAGTCTGAAAATTTGAAGGTGCTATGGAGTAGCTTAAACTAAAAAACTTTCAAACAAAATAGATATGATAAAAAACCATTTCCATTTTAGACTTAGTGAGTTTGAGGTTTAAAGGAGCGACGCGGTGCATGAACTTTCAGCAAGAAGAAAGCAATGCTTATAACAAGAAGTGAGAAATTAAATGAGGCACAGTATAGTTTAAGAAATAGATTGAAGTTTTTATTCTTAGCTATTTTGAGTAATTAAATGGAAATTTGATTGAGAAAAATTATAAAGTAGGGTTTCTTAGCCCCAGGAACTGAGAACAGAAAATAAAGGTGTATGGTTAAGTGGGGGAACTGAAGATTTCCCTTTCAATAACAGAATTTGAGTGTTTTATTAGTTTTAAATGGGTTCATAATTGTATTAAGTGCTACAGCAAAAAACAGCTAACAAACTGGTCAAAAGTGAGTGAGAAAACTAATGTATGTAAAACACTGTGGCTTCTTTGCTTACAAGGAGCATCATTCATTTTCTTATTTGACAAATAGTAGGTTGGTGCAAAAGTAACTGTGGTTTTTGCCATAAAAGGAATGGCCGAGGCCAGGCACCGTGGCTCACACCTGTAATCCCAGCACTTTGGGAGGCCAAGGTGGACAGATCACTTGAGGTCAGGAGTTTGAGATCAGCCTGGCCAACACGGTGAAACCCCATCTCTACTAAAAATACAAAAATTAGCTGGGTGTGGTTGTGGGCGCCTGTAGTCCCAGCTACTCAGGAGGCTGAGGCAGGAGAATTGCTTAAACCCAGGAGGCAGAGGTTGGAGTGAGCCAAGATTGTACCACTGCACTCCAGCCTGGTGACAGAGCAAGTCTCCATCTCAAAACAAAACAAAACAAAACAAAACAAAACAAAAACGACCAAAATTTTAAGAATCTGAAAAATTTCGAGTGGCATGGAGTAGCTTAAACTAGAAATTTTTTGATGAGATGGATGTGATGAAGTAATCAGAAAGGAACTATCTCAACTAGGAGAAGTGCAAGGTGCTTTTCTAGGAACTTCAGTGAATACAAAAATGAGTCAGACAAATTCTGCCTTCATGGGACTTACAATCTTGCAGAAGAGTGGAGACGTGTATGCTGGAGGGCAGTGGACATTTGTTGCTTTATTTTGGCTTCCCAGTAACTTAATTATTTTGTAAATGTAGAGACTCTCCCATTGTATGGGTCTTTGGGAGAGGCAGAGTCTTGCCATCTACTATGAAAGTCAAGGAGTCAGATATTCCGTGTCCTTGAACCCTACCATTTTGACTGTGGGCACTTAACTTAGGATTAGCAAATGTATGTACCCACCCTGGACTTCAAATCTTAAGCAAGTGGTGAAAGATGAAGGACAGGAAGAAGAGATCGTATTGGCTCCTAGACCTAGCAGCAGCAGTGGGATATGGTAACAATAAGGGTGGTGGCATCCTTGCCAGATGCTTCTGTCTGGCCTACAGATAACCCCACCTGCTTTTCAGCCATCCATTTTGTGAGTCTCCACCACATTAATTCAATAAATCATTTTTGCTCTTCTTTTCTTCAAAATTATCGGAGTTGACTACTATTGTTTGCAACCAACAACCTTGACTAATACAGACACATGAAATTTGTCTCTGTGAGAAAACCTCATAGAGGGCAAGTGTTTGAGCTGTATGTTGAAGAATACTGCAAATACTGGCAATATGGTACAAGAGCATTCCAAGATAAGAGAATTGCCTGAGAAAAGGCATTGAGGTGGGAAATTTATTCATTCATCCATTCATTATTTTATTTTGTATTTATTGATTTTCCACTCTAGATAAAGTACTGTTCTAGATACTGTGGATACAGTGATGGACAAGATGCAGTAGTAGTTGAAGTATGGGGCAGAGAGAGATGGGGTAAGTAGAAAGGGTTAAAATTACAATAATATTACAGAAATGAAGTTGGCAAGGCTTTGTAACTGATTGGATGTGGGCAGTGAGGATGGTTGGGGAGTTTTGCACCCAACTGAACAGGATGGTATTGTTGTCATTAACACAAGGAGATCAGAGGAATAAAGTTGGGCAGGGAGGGTGATCATTTCCATTGTAGACTTAGTGAGCTTGTGATTTAAAGGGGCACTGTGGTACAGAAATCTAGCAGGCAGTCAGAAATTAGCGACTGAACTTTGGGAAAAAGAATAGAGATTTTGAAGTCATGTTCACAGAGGCAAGAGATTGTGAAGCAGTGGGGAGGATGGTCTTGGTGGGGGGATATGTGTGTGTCTCTGTGTGTGTGTGGATGTAATGTAGACTGACAAAACAAGGGGCTTCAGCACTGGCCTTTGGAGAACATCTGAATTTAGGAGTCCAGAGAGATCCAAATATGTATATGAAGAAATATAATACAACATGCAGAAAGGAAGGCACCTTAAGAGAAGTACAGATGGTCCTATAGGACTTCATAAGAGAGATTTCTTCCAGCTGAGGAGTTCAGGAAAGGCTTCACTAAGGATATGACATTTAAACTGGGTCAAATTTTATTCATGCATGTGCAAACTTTTTATTTCTATTTCTTCGTGAACTTTCATCACTGCTACATTTATTATAGGTCTGAACAGTGTGATCTCACTGTTGGAGTGAAGGAGGGTCAACTGAGGATTCTTTGGCAGGTGAAACACTCCATAGGTTATGAAAAATAATTCTTCCAGTTATCTCTTTTATGTGACTGGAACTTGTCTATAGTAAAAGTAATTTGTTTCTTGTGGCTTTGTTTCAGAATTTTTTTTAGATATTTTATGTAAAAAAATAAATCTTCTACTTGTAAAGTATTCCTTTCATTTAAATTGTATTATTTTTTGTTTGCCTTATGGTTTATCTGTTCCCTTGTGTGTACTACAGTTTTACTTGTGGAGAGGCTTGTAGTCTGTGTGGTTTATCATAATTGCCAGCAGATACATTGCAATTATTTTATTTTGTCTGCTGGGGTTGGATAGATTGCTTTAATCAAGGAAACAGACACCAAGAGTTGAGTTTCAAGACATATTGTTGCCAACAAAGTGTATAGGCATGATTGGTAACATTCATGTCCCTTACAATAGGCTCAATCTGAATTAAAGAATCCACGTATAGAAAGTGTCAAGGAAAATAATAAGTGAACAAACTTCGACTTGGTGAATGACTCCTTTTTTCTTGGTCAACTCAAAATATTTGAAATAAAAAGAGAAAGTAAGTGTCAGAATATCTGAAAAGTTTTTTCAAGGCTTTCTGGAAAAACAGTAGAGGGAAAAAGTATGATAGGAACTGTGATGAGATGTATCACAGGCTCTGGCACCTGTAGCAAAGGAAAATCATGGTCATGCTGTGAGAATGCGAGCACTGGGAGACTGGAGGGGCTGTGCCTTCCAAGCCAGTGTGGTGACCTGCCTCCGCGGGGGTCTCATTCCAGAGCTCAGATAAGAGTGGTGGGCCAAAGAAGTGAACTCTCAAAGAACATATTTGGCCCTTCCTTTCTACATCTCCTGGGGTGGGCCAGGGGAATGGTCTGTGGTAAAATATTCCTAACATAAAATTTACCATTTCAGTCCTTTAGAAGTGTTCAATTCAATGGCATTAAGTACAATCACAGTGTTGTACAACCTTCACCACTATTTCCAGCACTTTTTCATCACTCCACATGGAAACTTTATACCCATTAAACACTAACTCTTATTTGTCTCTTTCTCTAACCTCTAGTAACTCTGTTCTACTTTCTGTTTCTAAGAGTTTGACTTGGGCCCAAGTTGATCCTCCCACCTCCTCCCCCGGAGTAGCTGGGTCCACCAGGCGTGCCACCACAACCAGCTGATTTCTGTACTTTTCATAAAGATGAGGTTTCACCATGTTGCCTAAAACTCCTGGGCTCAAGCAATCCACTGGCCTTGGCCTCGGCCTCTTAAAGTGCTGGTGATTACAGGTGTGAGCCACTGCGCCCAGCCCAATGCCATCTTCTTAAAGCAGGCTTCCCTGACCTCTGTATCCCACTTTCTAATACACTTCCCTGTTTTATTTTTCTTCATGGCACCTAACACTAGCTTGTTATGTCATATTATGTCATGTCATGCACAGTCATGTGCCGCATAACCACGTTCCAGCCAGCAATGAACCACATACACCATAGTGGTCCCATAAGATTTAATGGACCTGAAAAATTTCTGTCTCCTAGTGATGTTGTAGCCGTCTGAACGTCATAGTGCAACACATTACTCATGTGTTTACGATGACGCCAGTGTAAACAAACCTACTGTGCTGCCAGTCGTATTAAAGTACACCACACACAATTATGTACAGTTCATATTTTATATTTACATAAATGACTATGTTACTGCTCTATGTATTTGCTATACTCTACTTTTCACCATTATTTTAGAGTATATTTCTTGTACTTATTAAAAAAAAAGTCAACTGTGAAACAGCCTCAGGCCAGTCCTTTGAGAGGTAAGGAGGTATTCCAGAAGAAGGCATTTTTATCTTAGATGATAATAGCTCCATGAGTATTATTGCCCCTGAAGACCTTCCAGTGGGACAAGATGTGGAGGTGGAAGACAGTGATGTTGATAATCCCAACCCTGGGTAGGCCTAGGCTAATGTGTGTGTTAGTGTCTTAGATTTTAACAAAAAACTATAAAAAGTTAAAAATATACATATGTTTTAATAGGAAAAAGCTTTGTAGAATAAATATAAAGGAAGAATATTTTTGTATAGTTACATAATGTGTGTTTTAAGCTGATAGTTATTATGAAAGAGTCAAAACATTTTTAAAACTTTATGTCTATAAAGCAAAAGAGTTACAGTAAGCTAAGTTTAATTTATTATTGAAGAAATAATTTTTTAAATAAATTGAGTGTAGCCTATGTGTACAGTATTTATAAAGTCTACAGTAGTGTACAGTAATATTCTAGGCCTTCACATTCACTTACCACTCACTCACTGACTCACCCAGAGCAACTTCCAGTTCTGCAGGCTCTATTCGTGATGTGTCCTATACAGGAGCATCATTTTAAAAATCTTTAATGCAATATTTTTACTTTACCTTTTTTATGTTTAGATATATTTAGATACATAAATACCATTGTGTTACAATTGCCGACAGTATTCAGTATAATATGCTTTACAGGTTTGGAGCCTAGCTGCAATGGGCTATCCCATGTAGCCTAGGCATGTGGTAGGCTATACTTTCTAGGTTAGTTATACTAACCTATGACAGTCGCACAATGACAAAATCATCTAAGGACACTTCTGAGAATGTATTCCTGTCATTAAGCAATGCATGACTGTATTTATTTGTTTATTTCCACTCTCCTCCATTAAAATTTTAACATCATTAAGGCAGGGGCCAGTCTTTATCTCATCTCTAGTGCCTACCAGATAGTAGTCATTCAATAAATATTTGGTGAATAAACAAATGAATGAAAAATTGATTTGAAATTTAAAAAAATCAAAGACTTTTCAAAAATTTTGATTAAAACCCTGTGTATTAATTTCCTAGGGCTTCTGCAACAAAGTACCACAAAGTGGTTGGTTTAAAACAAGAGAAATTTATGATCTCACAGTTATAGAGGTCAGAAGTCCAAAATCAAGGTGTCAACAGGGTTGATTCTTGCCAGCACCTCTGAGGGAGAATCTGTTTCATGCCTCTCTCCTTGCTTCTGGTGATGGCAGACAATACTTGCCATCCTTGACTCATAGATGCATCAATCCAGCCTCTGGTGTCATCTTCACGTGGTATTCTCCCTGTGTCTATGCCTTCACATTGCTGTCTTCTCATGAGGACATCTGTCATAATGTGTTAGGGGATTATGCTGTCTTCACATCATTGTCTTTTTTTTTTTGGAGATGGGATTTTGCTCTTATTGCCCAGGCTGGAGTGCAATGGCACGATCTTGGCTCACCGCAACCTCCGCCTTGCAGGTTCAAGTGATTCTCCCGCCTCAGCCTCCCGAGTAGCTGAGATTGCAGGCATGCACCACCACGTCCAGCTAATTTTGTATTTTTAGTAGAGATGGGGTTTCTCCATGTTGGTCAGGCTGGTCTCGAACTCCTGACCTCAAGTGATCTGCCTGCCCAGGCCTCCCAAAGTGCTGGGATGACAGGCATGAGCCACCACCCCCGGCCATCATTGTCTTCTTATAAGGACATCTTCATAGTGCATCCTAATCCTGTGATCTTATCTTAATTTAACTCATTACATCTGCAATGACCCTTTTTCCAAATAAGTTCACATTCTGAGGAACTGGAGGTTAGGATCTCAACATATATATTTTTTGGCAGGGTGGTGGGGCAACCATAATTCAACCCATTGATGCAAGACAGGTGAGCCTCAAAATTGGGACTTAGCCTAGGAGGGTTCTTGGCTTCACCCAGGAAAGAATACAAGGGTAAGCCAGTGGTGTTAAACAGCAACTTTTAGTGAAGTGGCAGTGTACAGAAGCAGAGGTACTGCTCTTTGCAGAGCAGGGCCACCCTGTAGGCAGTGTACTCAGAGAAGCAGCTCAAGGGCAGTTGTGCAGTCATATTTATACCCACTTTTAATTATATGCAAATTAAGGGGTGTGCTTTGTAGAAATTTCTAGGAAAAGAATGATAACTTACAGGTCATCAGGTCATTGCCATGGAAAGGGGCAGTAACTTCTGAGCATTGGCATGGCAATGGTAAACTAACATGGCACACTGGTGGGCATGTCTCATGGAATGCAGCTTCACCCCAGCCCTATTTTAGCTAGTCTTCAATTAGGTCCCATGTCCGAGCCCCACCTCCAGAGTTTAGTCCTGCCTCCTACCTCATCATTAAAACACACTATAACCAATTGGCTTCAAAGATCTTAAATATTTCGTTATTTAAACTACTTTTTTTTTTTTTTTTTTTAGATGGAGTCTTGCTCTTATTGCCCAGGCTGGAGTTCAGTGGCACGATCTTGGCTTACTGCAACCTCCACCTCCTGGGTTCAGGCAGTTCTCCTGCCTCAGCCTCCCTAGTAGCTGGGACTACAGGTGTGTGCCACTATGCCCAGCTAATTTTTTTTTTTTTTTAAGTTGAGAGGGGGTTTCACCATGTTGGCCATGCTGGTCTCGATCTCCTGACCTCATGATCCACCCACCTTGGCCTCCCAAAGTGCTGGGATTACAGGCATGAGCCACTGCACCTGGCCCTATTTAAACTACTTTTAAGCAGATATTTAGACAGAGGGGGCACTGGAATTAAGAGTGTAGAAAATGTAAATAATACAGGTGCTTTCTTTAAATCTGTCACTATTTTATATAAAAATTATAATTAAGTTCAGAGATATTTGTTAGTGCAAAAATTGTTTAGTAATTGATTTTTAGCTTCACTATAAAAGATTTTTCTGTTTTGAGTAAGATTTATTCTGTTCAATATTTTATGTTGTTATTGTATGGGGTGTGAGGTAAAAGGCCCTTTGTTCTTTACATTCTTCTTCAGAGATAGCAGGGAAACTGAGGGATGTTTTTAAAAACAGAAAGTCAACTTCAGACAGGCGTTCACTTCAATATTTATAACTAGCAACTAAAATTTGTGATTCCATATTGCTAGTCCTCCCACATCCCTTAATTAAACAGATGGATTTTCTACTGTGCCTTAAAAAAAACTAAATTGATTAGTTGTTGTTGTTATTGTGTTGTTTAACCTCAAGTGTAGAAATGAATTTAGAAGAATTGACTCTTTGTGAAACATCTCCTGCTCCAATTCAGATACACAGAATTAACATGATTATATTAGTGTCCTAAGGCTGCTATAACAAATGACCATCAACTGGGTAAATTACAACAACAGAAATGTATTCTCCCACAGTTCTGGAGGTCAGAAGTTTAAAATGGAGGTGTTGGCAGGGCCAGGCTCCCTCTGAATGCTCTAGAAGAGAATCTGATCATGCCTCTTTCCTAGCTTCTGGTGGTTACTGGCAGTCCTTGGTGTTCCATGGCTTGTATACTTACCACTTGAGTCTCCATCTCTGTTTTCACATGGCTTTCTTCCCTGCATGTATGAGTGCCTCCAAATCTCCCTCCTTTTATAAGGGCACCATCATTGGATATAGGGTCCTCCCTTATCCTGCATGACCCTATCTTAACATGGTTGCATCTACAAAGACCCTATTTCCAAATAAGGTGACACATACCAGGAGTTAGGACTTCTTCATGTCTTTTGCAGGACACAACTCAACATAATATGATTATTTTTGTTTTTTGAATGAAAAGCATAATGCATGTACATAGCTTTTAGAGTTCAACGTTGATGATGTCATAATAAACCTAGCAGCATCCTGTCCCATCCCTATGCATTATCAATTTTTGCTCTGCTATGGCAAGAATATATACTGCTTTTAGTTGTTTCTTACAAGGATTTAGTTTCATATTATTAAATCACATGTCAGCCGGGCACGGTGGCTCACACCTGTAATCCTGGCGCTTTGGGAGGCTGAGGTGGGCGGATTACCTGAGGTCAGGAGTTCAAGATCAGCCTGGCCAACATGGTGAAACCCTGTCTCTACTAAAAATACAAAACATTAGCAGGGCATGGTGGCGGGCGCCTGTAGCCCCAGCTACTTGGGAGGCTGAGGCAGGAGAATTGCTTGAACCCAGGAGGTGGAGGTTGCGGTGAGCTGAGACCATGCTGTTGCACTCCAGCCCGGGCAACAAGAGCAAAACTCCATCTCAAAAAAAAAAAAAAAAAAAAAAAATATATATATATATATATATATATCTCACATCTCTATTTTTTATGTTATCTATTAATATTCTACTGTGTAAGATGAAAATTTGGCTCTCTAATATCGCCCAAGGAGACACACACCTTTCATCCCCTTACACCTCTCAATATATTTAGCTGTAACACCATATTTTTGCTAAATCAATATTCAGCGATTATATTGTTGTGAATATGTAATGAATAGCTTATTTATAAACTAGCCATATAATGTATGATGATTAAATTTCTTTTACAGCTTGTTTTTCTCAGTGTTATTAATTGAAGTTTATAGGCTTAATTTTCTATGTCTTCATAATAAATGTATTCCCAAACTCTCTGCCAGAGCTTCTCTCACTGGGTTTAGCTACTACAGGTCACTTATTAGTTCCATTTTCTTCCCAGAGCTTCCACCCGCCTGCTCACATGTGGCCTTGTTGCTGTCTCGGTCTTCTCTGGTGCTGTGACTCAAGGACTATCACTTAGGACTTCCTTCCCCTCTCCCCTCTGTTGACGCCCCTGTTTGCTTGATTGTTGTATTTCCCTTTCGTGGTATCCTTCCTCCTCTTTCTAGAGTACATTACCTAATAGCTTCCTGAGAAAAGGTGCAGTGGGAGCTACATACTGGAGTTCTTCAGTGTCTGAAAATTATCTTTATTCTGCTTTCACACTAAATTGATAGTATGGCCAGGTATACAGATTCCTAGATGGAAAACCATGTTTCTTCAGAATTTCGAAGGCTTTCATTACCTTTTAGCTCCAAATTTGCTGTTTAGATGGTCTTTGCTATGCTGATTCATGGTCCTTTGTATGTGGCCTGTTTTTACGTATATTCCCTGGAAGATGTTTAAGTTCTTAATTTTGTCCCCATTATTCTAAAATTTCACAACGCTATCCCTTGGTGTCTATCTTTTCTCTGTCCATTATTCTAAGCACAGACTTGGCAATCTCCATCTGGAAATGTGCCTTCCAGTTCTGCTAAATGTTCTTAAATTATTTCCTCCCTATGATTTTCTCAATTCTCTCTTTCTGAAATCATTATCATTTGGACATTTAGCCCCCTGGACTGGGACTTTAATTTTAATGTCTTTTCTCACATTATCTGTATCTTTAATTTTTTGTTTTACTTTTGGGAAGATATATTTAGCTTTATCATCTAACCCATTCATTAAATATTTAGTTTTTTGCTATTATAGTTTTATTTTAAAAGAACTATTTTGTTTCATATCATTCTGCCCTTATACCTTATAATTTCTTATCTCTCTAAGAATATTATTGGTTTTTTGAAGGGATTTTTCTGTATTGTTTCTGTTTCCCCTTGTTTCTTTTTTCTGTTCATTTCTATCATCTCTCATGCTACAGGATTTTTCAAAATTCTGATAATGCTTGATTGTTCTTTCATGTTTAAGAATGAGATGCTGTTTACAAGCTCCCTGTGCATGGGTGGGGTTTACTTTAGAATTATGTGTGGACCCATTTATTTGGTCGGAGGACTCCCAACTGACAGCACCAGCAAAACTTCCATTTTTTTGAAAGAGGAATCTTCCAGGCTCTTGCCTGGAGGATATAAACTTGGCTGTCACCAAGTATGCAGACTCTCACTTATGCCACCTCTTTGCATATGGTACTCTCACCTCACCCTCAGCTCTGCCTGGTGAATCCAAGTCCAGAGCCTGTTTGGGTCAGTCCATCCAATCTTCTGCTGAGGTGAAGAAGAGCAAGTTGCCTGTCTGCACAGCCTTGGAGAGGAGATCTGAGGTTCTGACCACTTGTTATAAAGAACTTCAATGATCTTTCCTTTTTCAGCCCGCGTGGATCCTTGCCTTGCAAGATGGGTGGGGTCTCTAATTTCTGATACTTTCCTGTGTCTCCACAGCAGATATCAGCTGGATGTAGCCCTCTCCACTTGTGAGCTTGGGGTTTAGCTTTCTGTTTTGCTAAGACATGTATAACTTACTCATCACCTTCAGTTTCCAAAACATGAACTTCTTATCAGTTTTCATTTCTCCTTCTTTTCTCTTTGTCCTGAACTAATGCTTTATTTTCTTCTTTCAGTGTCATTTAGGAGAGTTTGAGGAGGCAACAGACAAATACCTGTATACAATCTGCTGTGTTTAGCTAGAAATCTTCTGACTGGTTATTCATTAGTGTACTACTATAGAAGTGCTTGTTGATTAGTGTTGGACTACTAAATAGTCTAGGGAACTAACCCTCAAGTGAAATTTTTTCTTTAATTACTCTTTTATTGTATTGTGTGTTTATCATCACATTATAGACATTTTATTTTTACTCACAGTTTATATATTTAATAAATAACTGGGTTTTTTTTTTTGAGACAGGGGCTTGCTCTGTTGCCCAAGCTGGAGTGCAGTGGCACAATCACAGCTCACTGCAACCTCGACTTTCGGGACTCAAGTTATGCTCCCACCTCAGCCTCCCAAGTAGCTGGAACTCCAGGCACATGCCACCACACCTGGCTAATCTTTGTATTTTCTTTGTAGAGACAGGGTTTCACCATGTTGCCTAGGCTATGAATAAGTTTTGTTATAAAATAATATAGGTTTATCTTAGAAAATTTGGCAAACATAATTGATTAGGATAACATTTTAAAAGAAAAGGAAAAACTGCAATCCCACCACTTCTGACATTTTGGCCTATAACCTTGGAGACCACTTTTGGGGTTATATAGAGCTTAGTTTATAAGATTCATCAGGTAAATAAATTGAATTAGTCATTTAAAATCTTCCTACAATAAAAAGTGCAGGTCGCAGATAGTTTTACTAGTGAACCCTATCAGATATCTGTGGAAGAAGTAATCCCACTTTTGTACACCAACACTTTCAGAAAAATAGAACTGTAATGAAACCTTTCCAGCTCATTTTATGAGGCAAATATTGACCTGACACCAAAGCCAGATGAAAACAGTACCAAACAAAACTATAAATCAGTAGGAGCAGAGCAGACTTTTATTTGTAATGCTCTAACCTACTAGGGAATGCCTGAAGGACTGGTCTCCGCTTTGCCTAACTCAGATCTCAAGCAGGGAGAAGCAGTGGCTGCTGCTTGGGAAAGTTGCAGGGAGACTGGCCCGTAGACACCTGGGGTAAGACATTATGGGTAGAGATATATAATAGACCACCAAAGGCCTCAAGGAGAAACTCATTTGGAAAATAAGACATTAAAAAGCAGCTGTGTATACAGAGAAATTTAAAAAGCCACACAATGGCCCGAGCAAGATGCATGCTCATACAAGAACTTGTAAGGTCTTAAGCTTTCTCCTTAAGCTGAAGCTGATCCTAAGGCTTAGAACCATGGGCCACCTAATTAGTGAAAAACTTCGCTGGCACAGGGCCAGTGTGCAAAGACTGGGGGAGGTATCTGTTTTCTCAACTGCCCAATTTTCAGCAATAACAACAAAACTCCCACAAGACATATTTCAAAAACCCAGAAAAACATGTCCCTCTCAAAAAGAAAATAAAGTAGCAGTTACCTTCCCTGAAAAAACACAGACATTAGACGTACTAGACAAATACTTTAAAATAGCTGTCCTTAATATGCTGAAAGAGCTAAGGGAAAATATGGACAGAGAACTAAGTGGAATCAGGAAAACAATATGTAAACAAAATTAATCATTGGCAAAGAGATAGAAATTATAAACTGGAACCAAATTCTGAAGCTGAAAAATACAATAACCAAGTTGAAAAATCTATTAGAGGGGTTCTCCAGCAGACTTGAATAGGCAGAAGAAAGAATAAGTGAACTTGACTATAGGACATGTGAAATTACAAATTCTGAGAAACAGAAATAAAAAGGAGTAAAGAAAAGTGAACAGAGTTTAAGGAACATATGTGACACCATCAAGCAGACTAATGCATGCATTATGGTATTTACAGAAAGAGAAAAGGGAAAGAAGCAGAGAGATTATTAGAAGAAACAATGGCAGAACACTCCCTGAATTTATAGAAATCATGTTTAGATATCTTAGATCAGCCAAATTCAAGTATGACAAACCCAAAAAGACCCAGACCAAGACATTATCACACTGCTGAAAAAAAAAAGACAAAGAGAATTTTGAGAGCAATGAGAGAAAAGTAATTCTTTACATATGTGGGATTCTCAATGAGATTATTATTTAATTTCTCAGCAGAAACCTTGGAGCCAGAAGGCATCCAAGGCATGTGGTCCCCTATAACCTGTTGAGAAAAATATTTGCAACTGATTTACAGATAGTTCTGCATTTTATGGTGCAGACAGTGGACAGCTACAACACGATGGCCCCTCTCTGTGGTGGTTCTAGAGGCGGTGAAGAGAAATACTCCCAGTCAGCAGAACTTGGAGCTGCATACCTGGTTGTTCATTTTGTCTGGAAAGGGGAATAGCTACATGTGGAGGTCTATACTGATTCATGAGCAGTATCTGACTGCTTGGATAGATGGTTTGGACCTCGGAAGGAATATGATTAGAAAACTGGTGACAAGGAGGTCTGGGGAAGGAAAACATGTTGGAAAGATTAAATGGGCACATAATGTGAAGATATTTGTGTTTCATGCGAATACTTTCTAAATATTCAAGTCGGCTATTATATTTCAACCATGTAAAAGCCTCCTTTATAAGAATTTTGCAGTTTTTGATACTTTTTTCTTAGGTACTTTTCTTTTTGTTACAGAAAGTAATAGCATTTCTATATTTAACTTTTGCTTCCTGTGATAGTTAATTTTATGTATCAACTTGGCTAAACTATGATGTTCAGTCATTTGGTCAAATACTAGTCTAGATGTTACTATGAAGATATTTGTGGGTGTGACTACCATTTATAATCCATTGGTTTTAAGCAGATTACTCTCCATGGAGTGGGTGGACCTCATCCAAAGAGTTGAAAGCATTAAGAGCAAAGACTTAGGTTTCCTGAGGATGACTCAGGTCTGCATCAAGACTCCAATGTAGAAACCCTGTGTGAGTTTTCAGCCTGTGGTTCTGCTGTGCAGATTTCAGACTCAAGACTGCAATTTCAACTCTTACTTGAATTTCCAGCCTGCTGGCCTGCCCTACAGATTTCAGACTTGCCAGCCTTCACAAAAACATAAGCCAATTCCTTAAAATAACTCTCTCTCCCTCTCTCTATATGTACATCCTATGGGTTGTGTTTCTCTGAATAACCTGATTAATGTGCTGTAAAGAACACTGTAAAGAGCTGAAAAACTCTGGTCTTGAGATACTGTGTGGTATGGTGGAAAACGCATGGCTCTGAAATCATAGACCAGAGTTCACTGGGACAAATGACTTATGGTCTTGTAATCTGATTCCTCATCTGTAGAATCAGGATAAAATTACCTGACTTACTTGGCTATTGCGTTGGGTAAAGTTAAACATTGTAAGTAGAATGCCTGTCATGGTTCTTGGTTCACAGGTGCACAATAGTAACCAACTATGTTGAAGGGGGATACATTTTTTAGTTATCTACTTAGTGCTCTGAGTGTCATTAAATGATTTAATCAACCTGAGTCTCTTAGATGTTATTAAATGTAATATAGTTATTTTATTTGGCACACAGTAACATCACACCAATATCACCTCCTGGATGGTTAGATTTACACAGAATTCAAACATTATTTGAGGTTAGTTCTTGCCACTTACCTGTGTAAGGTCTAGGGCAAGCGTGTTTCCATGAGCCTATTCTCAACTTAGGTACTAATAATTACCTCATGAGGTTTTTGTGAGAAGTAAACGTGATAACGTAGGAAAACTTGCTCAGTATAATCCCAAGCATATAGTAGATGCTCAATACATCTACTAGAAGTTGTGGGAGTAATTTGGATTTCAAAGATGAGTTGGATCAGCTGTACTAAAGGGGAGCTTACATCATCTAATGAAGACAAAATCCACAAGACCACGTTGGAGGTCATAGTTCTTTTAATAGTAGAAAGCAGACAGGTAGAAAAATATCCACGTAGGAGGTATAAAGTTTTAGCAAGAGAAAAGAAACATGCCATGGGAAGATGATAAAAGGTCTACTTTTGCTCATTTACCGGATTATGTGCATTTGGTATGTGATCTCATCATCAGTGGAAGTTATGCAGTGCTTTCAAAGGCCTTCCACCTTGTCAGTGGCTAGTCATCACAAATCAGTAGAAGGGTGGATGCCCTAAGAACTGAACCAAAGCAATAATTTTGCCAGCAGGGGAGAGGTTGTTCAGGCTGAAATCCCAAAGGCTGGAATGCATTAGAAACAATTAGTTGATGCTGAAAGCTTTGACCGTTTAGTGAGAAATGTGACAAAATGAACACTCAAATTACACATCTAGCTTACAAAACAGGTCAAGAGCTCTTTATCTTTTCTCGCTTTCGAAAAATCGAAAGTCAACAAACAACACTTTTGGTAGAGGGGCATGCAGTCTACTTTTTCCCTTTGTCTTCTCAGTATCATCCTTTCTCATTCTTTTCACCCATACTCTCACTTCTTTCTCAGTCTTGGTTTTTTCCCTTTGTCTCCGGGTCCCCTTCTCACTTCCGAATTCTCGGCTCCCCTCTCCGCCCCTCGGGCTCGGGATGGCCCCGGGGCCGCATCTGCCAGGCGAGCGCTGGAGCCTGGCCCCACCGAGGGACTGGCAGTGACGTAGCCAGGAGGACGGTGCTCGCGCGGCCCGCTGACGTCACTGCCGCAGCGGTCTCTAGCGAAACCCATGAATGGGAATTCAAGGAGGGAAAAGCCAGCAGTGACCCCGCGGTCAGGGCTGAGGACGGCGACTGCGCCGGGTGCTTTGGGTTTCTGGGGTCGGCAGGCCGGAACGCCGCCTCTAGCGCGGGACGAGCACACCCCATAGCCTAGGCGCGCTGGAACGCACGAATTTAGCGCTCGGGGGGATGCCCCGAAACGGTGGGGCCTCGTGCGCACGCGCCTTGGCTGGCGAGGAGCTAGGGAAGGGAGTCACGGCGGGGCGCGAAGGGAACTGCGGATGAGATAGATGGGGGAAAACGTTTGTCGGGAGGCGACTCCAACAGAGCCCCAGGGTGCAGAACACAAGGAAGGCTACTGTCGCCCTCGGCCGCTTGCCAGTCTCCCTGGGCGCTGCGGCGGCGCGGGGCGCTGGGCCTGCGGCGCGGCGTCGTGACGTCACGGTGGCGGCAGCCGTGGTTGGCGCAAGGTCCGCGGCTGCAAAGTGTGAATTACGCCGGGCTCGCGCCGGCGGCGGAGTGAAGTCAGGCTCCGGGGGAGGGGAGGAGCAGGACTCCGGCGGCGGCGGCGGCGGCGGCGGCGGCGGCCCGAGCTGGTCGCTGCTCCTGAGTCCCGCGCGCCCTGGGTCTGGCCGCTGGCTCCAGCTGTCTTTTCTTGCACTGCTTTGCTCCGTTCGTGCTGCGCTCGAACTCTGCAGTCCGGGTACCTGCTCCTCTCGGCCGAGGAGCCCCAGGGCGGCGGGGTTCCCTTTCCGACTTTGCCTGTGCTGGCCCCGCTTGCACCCCGTCCCCCCTCGCCTGGAGCGAGGCGCGCGCCGGTCCTGGTAATTGGCGCCGCGGCCGCCGCGGAGCCTTCCCGCCGGCGGCCCGAGCGGAGGGCTGGGGTTGGGGAGGCGTGAGCGCGGCTTCCCAGCCCGGGGTCGGTCCCCGCCCGCCCTGCCCCCGTCTCGGCCCGGAGCCCCCGAGCCGCGGCCCCCTCCCACTGCAGGGGCCGGCGGCCGCGGCAGGGCGGGCGCCGCGCGGAGGCAGGGCGGGCGTATTCAATGGAAGTGTGTTACCAGCTGCCGGTACTGCCCCTGGACAGGCCGGTCCCCCAGCACGTCCTCAGCCGCCGAGGAGCCATCAGCTTCAGCTCCAGCTCCGCTCTCTTCGGCTGCCCCAATCCCCGGCAGCTCTCTCAGGTAATCGCCGCCGCCGGGCCCACACTTGAGGGCTTCTCTCTTTTGTTTCCCTCTGCCCACCCAGCTTCACCTCCTCTACAACCCCCAGCCCGCGCATTGTCCATTGTCTGGGGATTTCTAGGCTGGCCTTTCGATTGCAGAGCCTTTTCTTTGAATATTCCTGGCTGTCCCCCCTCAGTTCTCCAGCCTCCCCAAAACCCCACCCTGGTGGGTTCCGGGATCCTCTCATCAGACCCTCCCCAGGCTCGTCACCCTCTGTGCCCAGCAGTTTAAGCCTCAGGAATGACCGCCCTTGTCTTTTTCGGTCTGGAAGTTGAGTCTTTATTCCTTAGTCGTGGCCCCAGGGTACACCTGTGCTCCCCCGCCTTGCAACATACCTGTCCCCCTTCCCATACACACAACTGTACGGGGTTCGCGCCTCTCCTCCCCCAGCTCCCGCGCGCCCCGCGGCGCTCGCCTGGTCCTGCGGTTCCCTCTGAACAATAGGCCTAGATGCCCCGTTGCTGTAGTCTCCCCGACTCCTTCGTTTCTGTGGCTGGGCTGTACTGGGTATCAGAGGAACAAGTCTGCAAAGTTCATAGCCAGGAATCAGTTTTGTTTTTAATTTGATAAGGAGATTTTAGGAGAGAAACTACTGATGTACACTCATGGGAAGACTTTGAGTGGTCCAATACCAGTTGCTCCTGAGCATTTCTGTTTTTTTCCTGTGGTGATGCCGTTGGCCCAATTCCTTAGGTTTGGCTAATTTTGATTGTCAGACTTAAAACAGAGAGGTGAAAAGAATTTTGTTTACATCTGAACTGAGTGCCCTCACTTTCTGCTGCCAGAAGTTATGGCTAATGATCACTTTTATTAATCAAATATATTTTTCCTATTGGCTAATACTATCTTTTATGGGAGTATATTTTCTCTCTCCAGTTATATTGTATCTTGAGCAAGGTGTGTGTGTGTGTGTGTGTGTGTGTGTGTGTGCAGGTAGTGTGGACAGCACCTGGTAGAAATTTTGCGTGTAATAAGTGTCTAGTAAATATTTGTCATTTACTTCTTTGCCTAAAGTGTTTGTAGAAGGAGCAAGAGCCTATATTTGGGTCTCTCTCTGAATCCTTTTTATTTAAACTAAAACTTATTTCACAGCACAAGGTAGTATGCTAATGAGGTCAGAGCAGACTTGTGAAAATTACTATAATGTGTCATTTAGAATAATATTACATGGTTATTTATTTTGAAGGTTAGACCTGTGATCTGCCTTTTTAGTACCACTTAAAGCATGTTCAGATTCCAGAATTAATGTTGAGGAAATCTTAATGCACTGCTGAAGAAGGTTTTTAATAGTAGTAGTTAAAGGTTTTTAATGGTAGTAACTTTTTTTACTTCTAAATATTATTTTACTTCCTCAGATCAGCAGGCACATGACTAGCAACTCATTTCCAGTTATGTCTGAATAATAAAGGCAATCACTGATTATTTATACAATTATAAAACATGAATAAAGTTCTTGTGCTCTCTGAGAAGAAAATGAATGAGAAGGAAGATTCCAAGGGATTAAAATGAGGCTGATGCCAGGGGTTTTTCCTGATGTCTTAATTAATCCACAGAGACCAATTTTAAGCTCCACTTCTTGATTCATTTTTCCAGCCTTAGGTTTAAATGGGTAATGGAATTTTAAAAATATGATTGTGGCAGATGAAGCAAATATTGTAGAATTACACCATATTTTGCTAACCCTTACAACTTTTAAAAAAATTTCTGAACCCCAAAGTGAAGTATACAGGAACTTCTTAAACTTTGGACAGAAATTTTCCTCAATTAACCCTTTTTTTTCTATTAACATTGTGGTAAATGTAAACTTAGTGGATGCAGAGATGGACATACTTATCATTATCAAGACTTTGCATATCATTTAATAATAAAGCATATGTTGATATTGATTTCTTTAGGCCTAGATGTGAATTTGTAATAGGAAAAAAAAAAAGGAGACAGAAAACCTTGGAATCCTGCTCAGAACTTGTAAAATAAACATTTGGTTAATCAAATGCTTTCTTTACCCTTAAATTTTTAGTTCGTAAGCCTGAAGGTACAGAAGTTATAAAAAGTTTAACTGGTTTTGTAATTTTAAGATACTTAGGAAAAAAAACCCTTTTTTTTTTAAAAAAAAGACATTAAGTAAAATAGTTACAGTTTTTGTACTTTAAAATATGCTTAAAACTGGCAACCTTCCTTTTCATTTCCTTATTGTCACCATAGTATTGGAGCCCAGCTCATAGTAGGTACTTAATAAATATTTGTTGAATGAATGAATAGGTAATGAAATTATCTCTGACTGAGCATCAGTTTTAAATATGAAAACAATATGGAGCATGAAGGTACAGCACAAATTCATTTATCCAAAACTTGGTTTGGAACTTGTAACTGCAGACCATAACGATTCCAGGAATACACAGAAAAGACCGAGTGACCAAAATTGATTTGGAGATCGTCTTAAAGCCGGTGTGTTTTAGGCAAAGTTCTGACACAACTTGTTTTCAAGTAGCAGCAAATTTGAAGTGGGGTGGGAGGCTGCCAGAGTCAGTTCACACTGACAGCAGCAAAGGTTGACAGCAGACACACCAAAAGCCAGGGATCAGAAGAAAAACTCTTAGAAGCCAGCAACTTTTACAAGCACCCTGGGACATTTAGTTGAGGGGCTTGAGTGTTGTATAACACAATAATTTTTAGTCAGAATAATGTTAATAGAGCCTGTTTTTAAAAGTTGAAAGATTCGTACTGTTTTTTTGTTTTTAAAAAGATTTCCATGCCAAAGAGTTTTAAGTATTGATGCTGAACTGAAATGGACAAGCTTGAGTTACCTGGAAAATTCATTTATGTGGATGGAACACCAGCTCTTCCAAGGATGCCAAGTAAATGAGGCATTAATTTTTTGTTTTAAACTAGGATGTATACTATTTCAAATGGTTAATGTGAGTTTTTTGAATTAGTGAATGATAAAGTAGATGAAGCCTGTTCTTTGTCGTTTTTGGATATCTATTGTTGATAGCTGAGTTTAAAGATTTGTCTTTCAGAATAGCATTCATATTTGGAAAAAAAATATTGTGAAGGCAGAAATTGTGTCTTATTCACCATCATATCTGTGGTACTTTGCATAGGTAGGTTCTTGGTAGATGTGAAAGTTGAGTGAGTACATTGATGGGTATGCCAAAGCACTGCAGTTAGAATTATTCAGTCAGATTTTCTATGCACTGGAAGCAAATCTTATATGGGTTAGAAATTTGAGTTTTAATTTTTAGAAATCTATTGTTAATTTATATTGTTGCTAAGTTATCATTTGTCTTTTTTTTTTTTTAAGAAATATTTCACAAATATATACTCATAGAATAGCTTCTTGTGAGTGAGGCTCCTTGTGTTATGCGTTGAGAAAATGTAAAGAATTACAGGCTGAGCAGCCCTAGTCTGAAAATCCAAAATGCCCTCAAAGGGAAACTTTCTGAGTGCCGACACGGAGACAGCCTGCTATTATTTGTTGCTGTTGTTGAGCAGCTGATGCAGGTATTCTGGGGCTGCTGCTCTGCTGCCTAGTTACCCTAAACACATTATTTTCTCACTGTATTAATGGTATGTTGTACTGTTTACTGTTAAGTACATTTGTGTAAGTGTGAGAAATGATTGCTTATCACTAGCATATAAATTCAGAGTCAGAAATGATGGTGATGCCAAACAAGTACAGATCAACCACATGGGTGTTAAGATCGTCCACATGAGTGATGAGACGCCTTTGCTTTCTGGTGGGTCAGTGTACACAAACCTTGTTTCATGCACAAAATTATTTAAAAGAGTGTGTAAAATTATGTTCAGGCTATGTTTATAAGGTGTATACAAAATCTAAATGAACTTTGTGTTTAGACTTGGGTCCCATCTCCAAGGTATCTCATGACGTATACACAAATACTCCAAAATCCAAAAAAGTCTGATTGATATCCAAAACACTCCTGATCCCAAGCATTTTGGATAGTGATACTCAGCCTGTAGTAATTTTTTGTTGCTGCTGTTGTTTTAATCGTTTGTAACACTGCCACCCTAACCAAGTTTTCCTTTGTATGCATACCCTTCCTTATACACAACCGTTTTTCAACTACAGTCATTATTTCCATTCTCTCTTTAGCAGTGTTCTTAGTATATGACAAATTATCCAGGTCCTGTGAGTGCGAGAATAGTTCAAAGCCCCTTGGATAAAAGTTGGTTCCTCCTTCAGGAAGCTTACAGAATTGTGATAGAGAAAATGGTATGATTATATGTGGTGTAATTATTATACTGGAGTTATCAAAGTGTTATGAGATGATAAGGCATGTATGCCTAAATTTCTGGTTTAAATCAGGATTAGCCTTATGTAATCGTTGAGGCTTTCTTAGGCCAAGGACTGAAGGTGAAGCAGTTGTTTCTAGACAAATGGGTGAATGTAGGGGGAGGAGGAAGGAGGATGGCCCACGTGGATATGATCAGAGATGTCCAGTAGAACTTTCTGTGATGATGGAAATGTTTTTGCACTATCTGATGATAGTCACTAGCCTTATGTGGCTAGTGGGCACTTGAAATGTGGCTAGTATGACTGAGGAAATGAATTTTTACTTCAGTTTTATTTAAATAGCTACATATGGCTAGCAGCTTTTCAATTGGCAGAGCAGAGGTATTGTCAATAAACTAGAGTGAAGTCATGTTAATCTATGAGCAACACATTCTCTGAATGTTGAACATTTTTGTTTTTAGGTTTTCGTTGATGTATGCAAAACTTCATTTAATAAATACCTTCATGCATGCTTGATAAAGTCTTTAAAATCACTAGGTTGGGTCAAAAGGTAAGAACATCTTTTGAAATTCACAAAAGGATCTATCCTTTGATATTACCAAAATAGGTGATCCTGTCTGTTTCATCTCCAATCATATATTATTAGACATTTTATAAACATTTTGCTACTATAGTAGATGCAGTGTGGTACACTGAGTTTGTTTTAAATTGCAGTAAGCAAGAGTGTGCTTTCTGAAGTATTGCTTGTGCTATTTGTATTTGCTCTTTTGTGAAATTTTATTTGCATATCCCGTGCTTGTTTATAAGGGCTCTTGTGTACCCAACATCAGTATATAAATGTGCATTATTCCAAATTACTGTTAGCATAATAGTTGCCTCTTTGCAAACTTAGATACAGAAGCTGATACAGGGACTAGTGTGGCCAGTGAGTGGGATACCCCAAGGGAAGTGGTTATATTTATGAGACCTTCCTACCTGTGTATTCTCAAAACACCTGTTTTGTTGGGACCTTGGCTTCATTTCTGTTTTCAGAAATGCTTCATACTTTGATTTAAATTTAATACTACCATACTTTAGCTTTCACTTCTGAGCTAATATATGTTTATATTTCAGATACATGCTCAAACATAATATTAATGTAAATCCATAGTGTATTTGGAGTGGGAGTGTAGTTCTAACAGGGTGTTCAAATTGCTAGTTTATAGGTTGTCAGGAACACATTCAGTCTAGGAGATGTGATTTATATGCCGAGATTTTACTGCTTTGTTGCTATGCCTAGAGTTCCATCAGCTGTACATGCTGTCTACCCAGGAATTCCTTCTTAAACACCAAAGTCTGCAAGAGGTAAAATATTAAGCCCTTCACAGAAGTTAGGAAGAGAGGGAGCTCACTTTGGGTGGAAAGAGGGAGAGGTGCCCTTCATTCTCTTTGAGGCAATTTTCAACTCTTCTCTTCTTTTCTCTTCCCTCCTCTTCCTTCACTATTGACCAGAGCAGTTATAGAGAATTGTGTTGTTTTCTGAGGATGAATGTAGGGGCAAGTTTGGGAAAAGAAGAGCTGAAGAAAGGGGGAGTGGACAAAACTTAGGTTCTGTCTCATTTTTGTCTAAGATCGTTAACAGTCATTTAACTGGATTAAAGACCTAGTAAATTTAGATGATGAAGAAGCCTTATTGCATGCAGGCCCTCTTAAGGAATTTACTTTTCTTTGTTTTCTTAATTTTCTTTGTTTGACTTTATGGATCACATTTATGTGTTTATGTAAAATCTATTTCTGATTTTGTTAGAAGTCTCTTGACTAAAGATCTTTTCAGATCTAGACATTCTTAAATTCCCTGTGTTCACTACAAAAAACTCCAATTCATTTTGAATCTTCTAATTTAAAAATAATTCAAAACTTAAATTCTGGCTGTGAAGTTGCTTATCTTTTATGGTTAATTTGAATTGAGAGACAATTTTGAATTTATTCTCTTCCACATTTAAATGGCTTATTCTTGCCTAAAAGTAACATAGACTTTGTTGATTTTTTTATATTGTTGCCAAACATGCTTTTCAAAAGGTTATTCACAAATAAGTGATACTTTTGCATATTTGCATTCAGGTATATTTGCATTCAGGTAGTGTTCATAGGATCAGCATATGAGGAGAGGAACAAAAACTAGATTTGTAGATGAGCCTTCTAAACTTGCAGGGCTTTATTTTGGCTGCTGGTAGGTTCCTTTTATAAGGGAAGGGACTGTGCCAATGATTGTATGGTTGACACTGAAGCATCTCCTGCTTATAATTTTCTTTGAGTAGCAATTTTGGAACACTGCTCCATGCCTCCACCTGCTGGTAGGGATGGCTCTTCATTTTCAGAAAGTGATGGCTAGAGGGAGATGGAGAAGACCAAGGCAAGTCAGGGTAGAATTTGGGGGAGAAAATTAGTTGTTAACTGGGTAACTAAATTTCAGCAAAGTCTGCTTTACTTATCAGAATTTTGAGTAGAACAAAGTGTAGTTCAGGACCATATAAAGTACTTGGCAAGTGGTTCTTAATAAAGATGCAGTAGTTTTGCTTTAGTAACAATTATAATTACAGCTGACCCTTGAACAATGCAGGCTGCAACTCCCCGTGCAGTCAAAAATCCACATATAACTTTTGACTCCTCAAAAACTTAACTACTAATAGCCTACTCTTGGTGAGAAGCCTTACTGATAACATAAACAGTTGATTAGCACAAATTTTGTGTATGTATTATATTCTGTCTTACAATAAAGCAAGCTAGAGAAAAGAAAATGTTATTAAGAATATCAGAAGTAAGAGTTTGCTATTCATTAAGGGGAGGTGGATCGTTGTAAAGGTCTTCATGAACCTCATCATCTTCATGTTGAGTAGGCTGAGGAGGAAGAGGAGGGATTGGTCTGTCTCAGGGGTGATGCTTTGCAAGTTTTCTTAAATTTTCATAAATCTTCACAAAATTTCTTAGTATATTTATTGAAAAAAATCTGCTTGTAAGGGGACCTTTGCAGGTCAAACCCATATTGAATTGTCAACTGTATTTGTTTCTGTTTTTGGAGTAACTCCTATATGGCAGATACTTTTAATTAGTGTGGTGTTTTTTTGTTTTGTTTTGTTTTTGTTTGAGACAGGGTCTTGTTCTGTCTCCCAGGCTAGAGTGCAATGGCAGTATCTCGGCTCATTGCAACCTCTGCATCCCGGCCTTAAATGACCCTCCTGAGTAACTGGGACTACAGGCATGCCCCACCATGCCTGGCTAATTTTTCTAGTTTTTGTAGAGATGGGGTTTTGCCATGTTGCCCATGCTGGTCTGGAACTCCAGGACTCAAGTGATCCGCCCACCTTGGCCTCCCAAAGTGCTGGGATTACAAGCATGAGCCACCGTGCCTGGCCCAGTTGGTGTTTTTGATCTTTACAAAAACTCCGTGAGATTAAGTAGTATTACTCTCATTTTTACCAAAGAATAAACTGAGTTTCCAGACATTAAGTTGCTCAAGGTATTATATGAACTTCCAGAAAGGCCTGTTGTGCTCCAAGACCTTCACTTTTAATCTGGCCTGCCTAATCAGGGAAGATGAGTGGACTGCAGTTAGAATTTTGAGTTTACAAATTATAAATCTTGTTGTCTTATGGATGTGGATTAGGAAAACACATTTGACTGATTATTTGATGTAGTTATTTGAAGTAATAACTTTCATTCTGATCTTTTCAAATCCTATCTGGAGTATTTTGTTCTAAATGCCATGTTCTAGGAGGGTATAACTCAGCTAAATTGTTCTCTGAAGATAATGAGCAGGTTGGTAAGGTGATTTGAAACCACTTCTCTGGAGAAAAAAAGTCTCAGATTTTAGCCAGCAGGG
The DNA here is from genome assembly GCF_000001405.40 of Homo sapiens. Lineage (NCBI taxonomy): Eukaryota > Metazoa > Chordata > Mammalia > Primates > Hominidae > Homo > Homo sapiens. The sequence continues at coordinate 65,833,214 of NC_000008.11, read as the reverse complement.
ATAGAGATGGAGATGGAGAGTTGGTGAGAGGGGACAGAGCATTGCTGTCTTCCAGGATTTAAAGGACTGCCATGTGAATAAAAGGAAAAAGAGGGTTAATATGTTATAGATTTCGATTGGTTGTGTGTTGTTGATTGCTGTGCACTCTTCCTACTTTGTGTTAAGCGTCTCTAATTTGGAGAAGATATAAGTTTAAAGCTGTCATTTGTCCAAGGTAACACAATTAAGTAGTGGAAATGGGTTAAACTCTAGGTCATGCTGACTCTAAAGCCTGTGTACTCTCTTCTACTTCCTTTTGCCACATGGGAAAAGGACGTTACCTCAGAGGGTAAAATAAGTACCAATAGCTAGGAACAGTAGGAAATAAGGAGATCTGGTGTTTAACCATGCTGGTAATCAAAGAAATGCATACTAAAAAATGTGATACTGGCTGGGCATGGTGGTTCATGCCTGTAATCCCAACACTTGTGAGGCTTAGGTGGGAGGGTTGCTTGAATTCAGGAATTTGAGACCAGCCTAGGCAACACAGAGAGATCCTGTCTCTGCAAAAAAAATTTTAAAAATTAGCCAGGCATGGTGACACGTGCTTGTAGTCCCAGCTAAGCTGGAGGCTGTGGTGGGAGGATCTCTTGAGCCCAGGAGGTCATGGCTGCAGTGAATTGTGATCGTGCTACTACACTGCAGCCAAAGTGAGTTTATAGCTTGAAGGTTACATGTACACAATGCTAGTAAGATTTTAAAAATTAATACTTAAATTAGTATTTTTGATAATTCGCTTTTGGGAATCTATTCTGAGGACATGACTAAAAATGTAGATAAAGGTTAATCTTCAAGTTTATTCATCCCATTATTTATCACTGTGAAAAATTGAAAACATAATTTACAAATGATGAAGTAGATTATAGTATTATGTAGTATAGTATTTTTCATTGTTTCTGTATTATGTTAGCACTTAAATGCCTTGAAAAATTTAAAGGATATATAAAAATATAGTTTACAAATGGCTCAATGGATTCTAGTATTATTTCTATATTGTATATCCACTAAAATGATTTGAAGAATTTGAGGAATCTTTAATCACATGGAAGAAATGCTAGCAACATAATTAAGTGAAGAAAAACCCCAGAGTATCTACAGATTATCTTAATTGTGTTTAAAAAACAAATAACAGAATACATACATATCTATATACCATGCATGCGTGCCAAAAAATAAAGAGAAAGCTAGATGTATCCCAAAATGCTAACTGAAGCTATTGCTGGGTGGTGAAATTATAAGTTATTTTTAACTTCTTTATAATTGTATGTAACTTTATTGATATTCTTGTATTAACATGAATCTCTTTTTTAACCAAATTAATTTAGGAATAATAAGTCAAGTGAGTTGTATTTGGACCCAGATCTTTGGCAAAGCTGTTCGTAAAGGGTGGGCAGCTCATGAGTTTATAAATTCTCAACCAGTGACTGTTGAGACAGCAGCTTGAAAGGTATTTAGATAAGGATAGTCTCCAAGGGTTTGACTGATTTCTTCCACCTTCGTGATTCTGTGATTTTTTTTTTTTTGGTAAGTCATATATATGCATGACAGGTACACCTGCATAGCTCTGATTATTGTAAAGTAATTTTACTTTCCATGAGAGATCCTGGGAGGTAAAATTAAGTATAGTTATTGTTTTGAAGAAGAGCTATTTGATGACAGCTGGTGAAGAGATCTTCAACAATGGCAGTGGTGGAAGGAAGAGAGAAAGTTAGGAGTTAGGTCCTAGGAAGTGATTTGCTTTGGGAGGTAAAAAGTATTCCTACTGTTTTAGTTTGGAAAGACCAGGTAGATTGTGAAGCTAGGAACAAAAATGCAAATAGGAAGAAGAGGCAGGTTTGTTTTTCTTTCTTCTTTCAAAAACAAATGTGTGCATTTGTAGAGGGGGGTAGATAAGTTTACTTCGAATATGTAGAGTTCAAGTGTCTGAACATCCAGATGAGGATGTCCAGTAGAAAGGTTAGCACTAATGATATATTCTGACCTTTAGTATAAGGGTTTTCAAACATTTTGCTCATACAGCCTTTCAAAGAACTTGAACAACAAAAAAACTGTGTACCTTCTCCCACATCTTGAGTTTTTCATCTAAGTTTTAATATATATAAATGATGTAATTTCTGGTAGTGTTGTTCAAATCACAATTTTAAATGTATATGAGGGGATTTTTAACAGTTCATTCATTAAAAAATATGTGAACAAAGTTAATTTTAACAGAATTTTTTATAGTCTTTTTTTTTCTTTGAACTGTTATTTTTGTTTTACTTTCTCTACATATTATCCTAATGTATTCTTTTATGCTGGAAAGCATTTTTATCAATCATGTTATATTTTTCTGCAACAAAAGGAAATTCATTCATGAATTTAGTAGATGGGAATAAAAAGTGCTTTATTTTAATGGTCACTCAGTTCTGAGTTCTATGGACAGTTATAATACAAAAATACGAAAATTGTGTATGTCCATAATGCTCTGTGTCAGATTTATTTTGGACTGAGTTATCAGTTCAGTCATGTCCAGTAGACAATCAAAACAACATATGTTAATTACAAATTTTAATAAGTATTAAAGTAAAATTTTGTCAGAAATGCGTTTTCAGTGGGATAGATGGGGCTGATTTATTTCAATTATTTTATCCATTTCTAAATATTAGAAAAGATGGGGTTCTGCTTGATTCTGTTCCTTTTTTACTTTAATATTTGAAAGTGTTGAGAAACCTCACTTACGAATTTAGTAGATGGTCATTAAAAAGTGCTTTATATTAGCAGTAGCACCCATTCTTCTAGGTTGTATGCATAAAACAACAAAATAATCCATAATCAAAATTATTCTTAATGCTTTGTCAGGTAGCAACTGGATTTGATTCTCCTTTCATTTTCATGGAAGTGGTGACACCTTGATTTGAAAAAGAACCCTGAACTTAAAATAAATGTTAAAAAAAAAAGAAAGAAAAAGGTTTCAGTGTTTTTAGAGTAATTAACTTTCTCAACATGAATATATTGAAGTGTCCTTTTGTCCACCTGGATATTTTTAGCCCAAAGACAGTACTCGACAGCAAGTTTCAGAAAATGTGAGAGTTACGGTTTTCTTTTATGAAGTGGCAGAGGGGAATGAGGTAAAGGGAAAGAGGAAGTGGAAGTAAAGGAAAACAGACATGCTGTGTCAACACAATGGTTCTAGAAAACTGTACAGATGGAAAGTGAGAACCTAATCATCAATTCTCTTTACTCTCCATGCTGATATGCTTCCAGGGGTATACATGACCCAATTTGTGGACTGCTGGTTTACTATATTCCCTTTGTTACTTGTTGCTGCCTTGTTGCTGTATTTTGCTGCTCTCCATAGCTATACAGAAATAATACCTTATTCATCTGTCATTTTTTTTCTAGGTTTTTGATTGTTACTAGTTCTGGGTTTCCATACTTCATCACTCTGTGGAATCAGAATATCAATGCTTGAAAGGGACTTTATAAATAATTCCATTCCCAACATTTTAGAAATTTAGCAGCTGAGGCTCAGAAGATTGAGTGATTTGTCCCAGATCACACAGTAAGAAAGTGGAGAAGTTACGGCTTTAAATTTAGTTCTTCCAACTTTTAATCTGTTGCTTTTCTCACTATATTCCCTGCTTCCTTATAAAAGGATTGAGCTGTAGGAATTCTTTCAGTTGCCGTCTTTCTTTAATGGACATTATTTGGGTGGCATATCTTCTTTAATACATTGAAGCCATCTGTTTATGGCCCAGTAATCGTTTGAAAAAGTTAAGAGTACAAACACACTCAGTTCTGAAAATATCTGAGTTACTTTTAATTAACATATAATCAGAGATAAAGCAAAGCCATTATCAGAAGTATAATGGGTCATTTGGGAAGATAGCATTTGATTTGTTGAAATGTGATTTATGTGCAACTTAACCTTTTATAAAGAAAGACATATCTTACTTGCCTTTAAAAATTAACTTATGAATGAAGCCATTTTCACCTTGGGGAACAAAAGTTAATATCATAACATACAGCGAGCTCACTCTCTAGCACTGTTATGTATGAAATGGTGAGTAGTGGAATTTTTTAGTAATTTAAATTTTTTTAAAATTTTACTTTTTGTGTAAATTCTTCATAGTGAATATATATTTTAAGAAAAACAATGAAGTTATTCTAAAAAGTAAAATGAAAAGATTCTTTACTTTTAACAAGGATAATACAATCAAATACCCAAGAATGTAAAGACTACTCAGTAGAAAATTAGCAAAATACTCGAATATAAGACTACTCGGTAGAAAATTAGCAAAAGTCTCAAGCAGTTCCAAGAAGAAATATAAATGTAGCAAAACATGTATAGCTTATCTAGTAATAAAGGAAATGCAAATAAAAGGTGGTTTGGCTTTGTTTTGTTTTGGCAGAAGAGTACTTTCATATTGGTGAAGACTGACAAAATCCACTGTTGGGAAGGATATAAGAAAATGAGTAATCTTATATGTGGAGTTGGAGTATCATTTGAGTCAACCTTTTGAGAGGACAGAAGGTCTATGCTATACAGATGAAAATTTTAAATGTAGATACTACCATTTCTGCAGTCCTGGAATTTGTCCAAAGGGGCAATTGCAAAACTTTGCTAAGATATATGTATACAGGTTTTTGGTAACAATTTGCAACATTGGTAATGATAGATATTTTAATTCATTTCAGTGTTTATCAGTGGGGGATTGGATAAATTATGGGTATTTTAATTCAACAGAAAACTCTGTATCCAATAAAATGATGCCAAATAGCCATATTTGTCATAGAAAGATACACATAACAACTTTGGGGGAAAAAAACTAGTTGCAAAATGGCATGCCTGTCAATTTAACAGCCATTTAATGCTGCTTTCTACATCTGTATTTTTGGATAAAATCATGGAAGATATTATATATCAATGTGTGAAAACATCCAAATCTGGAAGGTTATTCAGTATAATGTTAACAGTGCCTATCTTTGGGTAGTGAGATTTCTGGTAATTTTTACCATCTTCCTACTTTTCTGATTTTTTTTTTTAAACAATGAAAATATATCTATTTCAGAAATCGACAAAGCTATTTTTTGAAATAGTCCCTTTAAAAAAGTAACATGTCTGTTAGAGTATCATATAAGTGGAATTTTTAAGTTATGAAGAGACTGAGGTCTAGTTAGTTAATAATCTAATGAGTTACAAGTATGTGAGTTGGAAGTGGGTTATTCACTGCCATAGCCCTGTGTGCCTGGCACATAGAAGGTGTTCAGAGGTATAGTCTGTTAAAATGAAAGTAGAGTCATGTGTCGCTTAACAATGAGGATACATACTGATAAATGCATCATTAGGCGATTTCGTCGTTGTGTGAACATCATATTTACACAAATCTAGATAGCATAGCCTACCACACACCTAGGCTGTGTGGTATAGCCTATTGCTTCTAGGCTGCAAACCTGTACTGCATGTTACTGTACTAAATATGTAGGAAGTTGTAACACAATGGTATTTGTGCATTTAAACATAGAAAAGATACACTAAAAATACAGTGTTATAATGTTATGGGTCCACTGTTATACATGCTATTCATTATTGAATAAAATGTGGTTATTTGGCACATGACTGTATAGTGTTATAATGTTTGGAGGAATATGCTGCATTCTTAATGAAAAATGAAGAAAATTAAAGTGAGTGTTATGGTGGCTAGTTTACAAAAAACATTCTACCTACTTCAAAGCTGAGAAAATAAACTTTCTGTTATATTTAAATTTACTAAAATATTTGAGGGTCTCTATATGCCTAATACGTTCGTAAAATCTAAAAAGTTGTCAAGAAAAATTACGGCTTAAGATCATAGAATATTACCATTAGAAGAGCCTGTAAACTTCTCATAACATACAGATCAGTAGGCTGAAACAAGAGAGGTTAAAGGACACACAAAGGCAATACAGAAATCTCTTCTGTTGAATGTTTCTGATTTTGACTATTCAGCCTTATGGAACACTTTTGGAGCGGGAAGGTTACCACTTGGTAAGGCAATGCATTGTGGTGTTTAATGGTGTAGTGGGGTTGAATAGTGTTTACCAACAATTCTTGTTCACCAGGAATCTCAGAATGTGACCTTATTTGGAGTAAGGGTCTTTGCAAATGTAGTTAAGATGAGAATATATGGGATTAAGACAGACCCTCGATTCAATGAGTGGTATCTCTGGAGTCCCAGAAACTCAGACACACTCAAGGAAGAAAATCATGTGAAGATGGAGGCAGAGATTGGAGTGATGCAGCCACCAGCCAAGAACACCAAGGATTGCTGGGAGACATCAGAAACTAGAAAGGGGCAAGGACGATTCTCCTCTAAAGCCTTCAAAGGGAGCATGGTCCTGCTGACTCCTTGATTTTGGACCTTCAGCCTCCAGAACTATGAGAGAATATATTTCTGTTGTTTTAAGCCACCCGATTTGTGGTACTGTGTTAATAGCCCTAGGAAACTATTACAGATGGTTTTGATTATTTCAAATTTATTTGTTCATTCTTTCAATCAAATTTACTGAGCACTTACATGCCAGGCACTCTGCTAGGTATTACAGAGATAAATAAGACATTGTTCCTGCCTTCATTCTTGGGGTTTGACTCAGTAGAAAAAGCAGCTTTGTAAATAGACAGTTGCAATACATTTTGATACATGTTTTCACTAGAATGTTATATGAAGTTAAGTGATGGCACCTGAAGCTAGGAGAACCTGGGATGTTTTACGAAGTGAGATCTTTGTGTTTGGTTTCAAAGATAGAGTTGAAACCAGCCTCCATAGGAATTCTGTTTTATTCTGCCACTGCAGTGCTATCAGTCCTACCTAGTTCAAAGCATATTTAGCCGGCTGCAATAGCCTCCTGTCACTAGAATTCTACCTCCACAATTTGGTTGAAGTAATTTTTAAGATGCAGTAAGATTGTGTCAGTCTATTGAAAACATCAGTGTGTTCTCATCACAGTAAAACACAATTCAAACTCCTTTTCATGATATGGCCCCATGTGATCTGGTTCCTGCTACCTCTTCAATCTCTTGGCCTTTCACAGTGGTCTTCCTGCTGTTTGTGAATATGCCAGCTTTGTTCTGGTCTTTGTCTTTGCATTGGCTGTTTTGTCAGACTCAGGCTCTTCCCATGGCTCCATGTCATTCAAGTGTCAGCCCAGTCTTTGCAGAGGAGCCTTCCTTGACCATCCTCTTCAAAATAGCACCCATCCCCCATCTATCCCATTACCTGTTACACTTCGTTTTATTTATGACACACCTCACTAATTTGATTTGTATGTCTCTACCTGGCATTCATCTCCGCCTCACCCCCCACCTTCACCGCCATTGAATATGTGGTCAGCCAACAGGAGTCCTGTTTACCCTATTCACTACTGTGTCCCTAGTGTACATCACATAGTAAGTGTTCTTTACAAAAGAATAAAGAAAAACTTACTCATTTAATCTCATGCATACCATGTCAGAGCATATGTCACCATAACTTTCCTTTGGATGAATCCCAAATTGTATTCTTCCCACCTACCTCCTCCAAGATTCCACCTTCATCTTTATACCCTTTCTGAATTGCCCTTTGTAATATTGGAACTATCTTAACTCTAAATATATAAATATAATATATGCAAGTCTTATTTAAGAATGCGTTGAAGTTTAGAAAAGTAAGGTGCCCAAAGTAACACAGCTATAAGTGGTATTTCTAGGATTTAAACTTAGATCTCTCTCTAACTAAAGCTCCTCTGCTATGCTGGTGTGGAGGCTGATGTTCTTGGTAAGTGGGAGGTATAAATCCAGAATTAGAATAGGAGCCCTGTCCATTGGAATAGAAATAGCAAACATTCATTGTTTGTTTCTATAAGAAGAACTGGGTGATATTTGCTAACAGAACCTTTAAAAAGTAACCTGAATTTTTTTTGGACTAAAGTTAATGTATGCTTGTTATAAAATACATGGAATATATGAAAAAATGTAAAGAAGTAAAGACCATCCATAGTTCTTCCACTGAGAGATAACCACTATTAACATTTTAGAATATTTTAATCAAGTATTTTTTATGTAAAAATATTGTGATGATTTTTGTGCATAAATCTTGAATTTTGAAATCATTTCCTAATGTAATTACTAGATCAAAGCATACTGTCAAATTTGTTTCCAGAAAGATGATGCCAATTTATATTTCCAATATATTTAGTTTCCATTTCTGGAATTTTTTAAATATTAAACTTGTAATATATGTTTGTTATTAATTACCTGCTCTATCTATAGGCATACCTCAGATATTGTGGGTTCAGACTATCACAGTAAAGCTAATATCACAATAAAGCAAGTCACGTGAATCTTTTGGTTTCCCCATGCATATAAAAGTTATGTTTGCGCTGTACTGTAGTCTATTAAGTGTACAGTAGCATTATGTCTAATAAAAACAATGTACACACTTTAATTTAAAAATACTTTATTGCTGAAAAAGGCTAACAGTCTTCTGAGCCTTCATCAAGTTGTAATCTTTCTGCTGGTCGAGGGTCTTGCCTCAGTTGATGGCTGCTGACTGATCAGGGTGGGGGTTGCTGAAGGTTGGGTGGCTGTGGCAATTTCTTAAAATAGGATAACAATGACATTTGCTGCATTGATGGACTTTCCCTTTCATGAAAGATTTTTCTGTGGCATGTGATAGTGTTTAATAGCATTTTTATCCACAGGCAGAACTTCCAAAATTGAAGTCAGTCCTCTCAAACCCTGCTTTATCAACCAAGTTTATGTAACATCCTGAATTCTTTGTTGTCATTTCAGCAGTGTTCACAGCATCTTCACCAGGAGTAAATTTCAACTCCGGAAACCACTTTCTTTGCTCATCAGTAAGAAGGAATTCCTGATTAAATTTGAGTGTTATGTGGACAAGTTTCATGGCGCCCCAGACAATTACAATAGTATCATTAAAGATCACTATCACAGATCACCATAACAAATACAATAATTAAAAAGTTTGAAATATTGTGACAGTTATCAAAATGTGACATAGAGATAAGAAGTGAGCAGATGCAGTTGGGAAAATGGTGCCAGTAGACTTGCTAGGTGCAGTTGCCACAGACCTTCATTTTGTAAAAAAAATGCAGTGTCTGAAAAGCACAATAAAGCAAGGCATTCCTGTATCTTCTGTGAGTTGTTTCTATTGGCTCTTGTTTTTGTTGTCAACTTAGTATTTTTATATCAATTTTTGAATTATTTTGTATTGAGAAAGAACATTTTGTCATATTTGTGGGAAACTTTCCCTTTTTTTGCCTTATTTTTAATGTCCTACTTGTACTGCCAGATCTTAACTAGTAAGTCTTTAGTTGCTGTAATGATGTAATAATAGCAGTACGTTTATTATTAATAAAAGTTTTTAGTATTTTATAAATCTCGCACATGTAAACTTTTTGTCTTCAATATACTAGTTTGATAAAGATTTTAATATATTGCATTGGCTAATTGTCAGTAATTAATGACTAGTTATCTCTTCATGTTTTTAATATATGGTAAAGGTGACAAGATAAATATTTTTCTAGACCTGAGAATGTGGAATGGGAGGGAAAAATTTTTATGCGTGTAACTGAATGTACTACAGAAGCACTCAGTGTTAAAGAAATTGCCACACATAATCTCCCCCTAAATCAAGTATTTTTAATTTTGTGATGTTATAGTAAGAAAAATAGAAAATAAGACCCATTTAGACAGATTAGTTTTCTGAAACTTTTAAGTTTTTAAGGAGAATTTATATCTTGCAAACATTTAAAGGGATTTTTAAATAATAATAACATACAAGAGGACAATTTGAAGGTAAAAGCAGAACATAGATTACCTGCAATCTGTAGAAACATCATTATTCAGTTTAATGTTTTCTTTGTCTCACAATGAAAATTCTCCAAATTCATTTTTGGAGAAAAACTTTGTGGAAGTGACTTTAAGGATTTTGGTGGTTGGCCTCAGCTCATTTCTATTTGAGGTGTGGTTTTTCAAACTTTTTAGAGGTTTTCCACCCTCTTCTCCCCATCAGTGGTATTTTTAAATGTCTTTATTTTAATGTTAGGACACCTTAGAGCAGGATTCAAGTGGGCTGTGCAAGAAGAACCACTGGAAATAGAAAAATAAAACTTGAAGATTTTACTTGTATTTATTTTTAACTTTAATTTTTTTGATCCTAGTTTTATTTATTTTCCATAGAGTGTTTGTGTATATAGATAGATAGATAGATAGATAAAGTTAATAGATAAGATAATAAGTGCTTTAAAATTTTGGAGACTGCTGCCTCAGATAATCTGTTAAATTACTATGCATTATTTCCACCTCCTCCAAAAATGGGAGTGGGGGAGCCTGTATAGAAATGTTTGTAACACTTCAAACATTTGGGGGTTCTTGAAGTTCACTCATCATACCCCTAGGATACCATGTATCTATAACTTTCTTTGCTTCCTGAGTCCAGTTGCCCTCAGCTTTTTCTCTACTGATTTATTTGACTTTATTAACCAACTCTGGTTTCAGTTCTTAAGGTTACAGCCTAGGATTAACTCTTAGCACAGCTGACCTTGTCCACTGATCTGTTCCGACTTCAGTATGTTTGGTTAGAATATGTGCTTCTTAAGAGTGGATACTGTTTATTTCACTTTTGTAAGCCCAGTGCTTCACACCAAGTAGATATTAGCAAATATAGAAAGTGAATCAAACCATTATCAAGTCCTGTCAGTGACCCAGTCCTACGGAGAGTCCAGCTGTCTGCTCTACCCACACTTCCTCCTTTTTCTCCTTCCCACAATGCCATCCCTTTCTCTGCGGTGGCATTCAGTCATTTCTGTTCTAAAATACCATATGCCATCTCAAGGTGGCTACTGTTTTTTCTTAGAATGACGGAGGATTTCTGGAGCACTTCTTGAAGTGGTATAGCATTCACAGTCTCTCATATAAAGCTGATGGACGGCAAGGTCAGAATGAGGGGGCAGGTTTCCAGCCCCTTAAAGACTTTACAAAGGTCTCTGGATTTCTCCTGGGGACTTCTTTCTTTAATAGATGGGTCCCTGTTGAGTAGCAGGATGACTATAGGCAGCCCTTACCTTTGGTAATCTGTGGGACATAACCCCAGGTCAACATACCCTCTTTGTTTCAGCATAAAAGTATGGGACTAGAGAGTACTAAGCCAAAAGGCAGTGGTTATAAAATTCTGCCTGTTAGGAACTGGATCAGCTTGTTCAGTTATGACACCATTGGTGTCCAGTAGAAATATACTGTGAGCCACATGTGTAATTTTAAATTTTGTTGTAGCCATATTTTAAAAAGTAAAATGAAACAGACGAAAATAATTTTATTTAACTCACTGTATGTAAAACTTTATCAATTTAACATGTAATCAAAATTAGAAAGATACTGATATATTTTATAGTTTTTAGATAATAAGTCTTCAGAATTCAGTGTGTATTGTCTACTGGTAGCACATGTTGATTCTGACTATCACCATTTCAAGTATTCTATAGCTACAGATGGCTAGTGATTCTCATTGGACAGCATAGCTCTAAAAATGAACATTTATGGTACATATTGCTTGGGAGTCGGGGTACCACTTCTATAGATTTGCAGTAGCAATATATTACAGGGTTATACACATTTCTTCCTCTTCAAAACTTAAGTTTAATCGTTGGGGAATATCAAGATACTGTATAAATTGGCTATATTTTTAGAGGGATTATATAGTTTCAAATATGAGAGGATGGCAAAGTTTTTACATTTATTTTGCTTTCTTTGGGTTGGGCTGTATCTTGGTTTAGGGGGGAGGGAATTTTAACCTTAAATTGCTATTTTATGAGAAGCTATGCTTTTCACAGCGGGAACAGTGCTCATCCTTCTTTAGACAGATTTTTAGGTTAATGGAAGCTTCATAAAGCTTTTTAGGTCTGGTTCTCATATCTCCTTGCATTGAGGCATTATTTTCTCTTAAAAAAAATACAAATATGAAAAAAGGGTTTTTTTTTGTTTTGTTTTGTTTTTTTAAAAAGTCAAAAAGGCCTATTCAGTTATATGGAGGTAGTCTTACTGGTTAAGGCTACTAGCTAGTGCCCTTGAGAAGTATGAGTAGATAATTCTTATTAAAGAATGCAGATGACACTGATTTGCAGACCAAGCACCTTGGATTTGGAATATTGGCCAGAGGACCCATGTTTTATAATATGAAAGTCAATAGGATAAAAATTTCTTAAATCTATTTTGGAACTGCTTTTCACTGTTTTATTATTTATATCCTCAGTTGTTTAAATCAACAATTTCAGCCAGGCATGGTGGCTCACGCCTGTAATCCCAGCACTTTGGGAGGCTGAGGCGGGTGGATCATCTAAGGTCAGGAGTTCGAGACCAGCCTGGCCAACGTGGTGAAACCCTGTCTTTACTAAAAATACAAAAATTAGCCTGGCATAGTGGTGTGCGTCTGTAGTCCCAGCTACTTGAGAGGCTGAGGCACGAGGATCGCTTGAACCCAGGAGGCAGAGGTTACAGTGAGTCAAGATTGCGCCACTGCACTCCAGCCTGGGTAACAGAGCGAGACTCCATCTCAAAAGACAGACAAAAACAATTTCAACTCTTAAAATTGTCAAAGTAATTTAAACAACATTACTGAAAGTTTGATAAAGAATAATTAATAGTTCAACCACCAAATATTATTTTTATGTATTTCCTATGTTTATATACATATTTTAAGGTAGTTTTGATCATTTGGTACATTTAATTTTATAGCTTTGGGGGATATAATTCCTTTTCTTTTTTTTGAAACAGGGTCTCACTCTGTCACCCAGGCTGTAATGAAGTGGCATGATCTCAGCTCACAGCAACCTCCGCATCCTGGACTCAAGCAGTCCTCCCACCCCAGCCTCTTGAGTAGCTGGAACTACTGGCATGTGCCACCATGTCCCGCTAATTATTGTATTTTTAGTAGAGACAGGATTTTGCCATGTTGGCTAGGCTGGTCTTGAACTCCTGACCTCAAGTGATCCACCTGCCTCGGCCTCCCAACGTGTTGGGATGACAGGCGTGAGCCATCACACCTGGCCATGTAATACTTTTTAAAATGTGGATTTTTACAGTTACTTAGTCTTCATAATAAGATAACATTTTATTTTGCTGTCATGTAGTAGGTTGGAGATATTCTATTCTGCTCCATGAAGTAATACAGGGATCCACTTGTCATGGTTGTACAATTTCACACTTCAGTCTGTGGGGAGGAGAAGGAGGAAATTCAGGACAGTTTGCCATTGAGGAGGTGAGCAGGAAGTTCTGCTATTTCTTTTACTCACATTGCATCATTGGTGAGAACTTAGTGACACGGCTATGCCTACCTATAAGGGAGGCTGGGAAATGGAGCCTATGTGACTGATTGTATGCTCAGGAAGAACATGAGAATAGATGTTTTGGGAGACAACTAGTAGTGTGCCACAATTTGAATAAAATTAATCTTACTAACTTTTGTCAATGGGAAGAATTAAGAAGTTTACAATGGAATAATTTTTGTAATTTTAACTTTTAAGGATTATGTAATGTATCAGTTGTGTGTACCATGGTTTTATTAATATCTAGCTCTGCTAAATACTTACATTGCTTTAATTTTTTTGCTGTTAACAATAACTTTGTAAGGACATGCTAATTACAGCTTTCTCCATATTTTGGTGTTATTTCTTTAAGGATGGTTTTTATAGAAGTGGAATTATTGGTCCAAACAATTTGAACATTTTAATAGAATTTTTATTTCTTAAACAAGTTTTCTTTTCTTTGAGACAGGGTCTCGCTATGTCACCCAGGCTGGAGTGCAGTGGTGTGGTCCGGGCTCACTGCAACCCTGAACGTCCGTGCTTAAGTGATCCTCCCTCCTCAGCCTCAGAGCAGCTGGGATCACAGGCATGTGCCACCACACCCAGCTAACTTAACATATATTTTTTTGTAGAGACAGTGTCTCACTATGTTGCCCAGGCTGGTCTTGAACTCCTGGCCTCCAGTCCTTTCACCTTGGCCTCCCAAAGTGCCTGCATAACAGACATGAGCCCTTACACCCACCCTTACATTACTTTTGTAAAGCAGCCATTTCAGTGCTCTGGAGGTTGACTAAAGGCCAATTGTATAAAACTTTGAAAAATGTTATGCTCTTGAATTTGGAGTGAGAACAGTGGGAGTCAGTGGCCATTCTAGCTTGAGGCTACTCACATTCCCCCAATTCTGCCCCAGCTTGGTTGGCATGAAGGTACTGCCAGTGAGAAGCAGGACATAAGGACCTCAGTTTGAAGGGGGCTTAGTTCTTTGGAGTGGTGGGTAATGTTGTGGATATGAATTTCCAGAGGTACAAGGGAAGACCAGGGGCTCAGCTCAAATAGCCTGAAGATTCAGTAGTGTTTGGGGCAAGAATATTCCTGGATGAGGCTGTGCATGTGCTCAACAGAGACCTTAGAAAGCCTAAGGTATTCACATACTTTTGGCTGGTTCCAAAGGTACATGCTTGCACATAGGAGACTTGAAATTTCTCTCTTTGGGAAGTTCAACTCAGAGCAAACTTGAAAACAGGCTGAACTTTGAATGCACTTCCCTGCCCACACACATGCCCATCAACAAAGATGGAAGCCTTGCTATCTTGAGGTATTTGAACACAGTCTCTGTTGAGTGTCACAGTAACTACTAAATTGTGCAAAGGGACAACTAGGAAGGCAGGCTTAAAAATACAAAATGAGAATATATTAAAAAAATGAGCAGAGATATCAGTGATTGTGTACAACAGAGGAGACAGATTCCACATATTTGTCTTGATCATGATGCTAAACAAAAAAACAAAATGGCAACACTACCTTTAATGGGGAAAACAGAATTCTGAGTCACTACATTATCTAAAATCCCTAGGTTTAACAACAAAAAAAATTATAAGACGTAAAGAAACAGAGGGTGACGCATACACGAGGAAAAAAAGGTCAGTAGAAATTGTCTCTGAATGTCCCTAAATACTGGATTTAGTAAAGACTTAAATTACTATAAATATGTGAAAAGAACTAAAGGAAATTTAAAGTATAACAGTGTCAACAAATTGAGATTCTCAACAAGAATATAGAAATTATTTTTTTAAATAACAAAAAAGCTGGCTGGGTGTGGTGGCTCATGCCTGTAATCCTAGCACCTTGGGAGGCCGAGGCGGGCGGATCACGAGGTCAGGAGATTGAGACCATCTTGGCTAACACGGTGAAACCCCATCTCTACTAAAAATACAAAAAATTAGCTGGGCGCAGTGGCAGGCGCCTGTAATCCCAGCTACTCAGGAGGCTGAGGCAGGAGAATGGCGTGAACCCGGGAGGCGGAGCTTGCAGTGAGCAGAGATAGCGCCGCTGCACTCCAGCCTGGGCGACAGAGTGAGACTCCATCTCGAAAAAAAAAAAAAAAAACACTCCTTGATATGATGAGATATAATGAGAGGGACTTCACCTCTGTAGTGTTCTCCCCTAAAACCTATAACCTGAGTCCGATCATGAGAAAACAACAGATAAAGCCAAACTCAGGCTTATTCCATAAGAGCACCTGACTAGTACTCATCAAACCTGTCAAGGTCATGGAACACAAGGAAAAACTGAGAAATTATTACAGGGCAGAGGAGATCAAAGAGACATGATGACTAAATGCAATGTGGCATCGTGTATTGAATCATGGGCAGGAAAATAACAGTAGAAAAACTGGTGACAAATAAAGTCTATATTTTTGTTTTGTTGCACCAATGGAAATTTGTTATTTCTGATAAACGTACCATGGTTATGTAAGACATTTCCATTATTATGTCTGTTAATGTAAATGTGTTATATATAGACATGTTTGTGTATTTGTAGATGTGTGTTTATGTATATGGTATGTAAGTATAACACAGTTATGTAAGATATTAATTAGCATTAGGAGAAAATTTTGACATTAGGGAGGCATATATAGGAACACTCTACTATCTTTGCAACTTTTCTGTAAATAATTTATTGCAAAGTTAAAAGTTTTAAAAATCAAATGGAAATTCTAGAGTTGAAGAATACAATATCTGAAACTAAAAATTCACTAGAGGGGCTCGTAGCAGATTTGAGATGGCAAGAAAATGAATCCATGAACAACAGACCAGTAGAAATTATTCGATCTTGAAAACATTTGAAAAAGGATGGAAGAAAATTGAACAGAGCTCAGAAATCTGTGAAAAACATTAAGTGTACTACAGATGTGTAATGAGAATCTCAAAAGGAGAAAGGGTCAGAAAAATGACCTTTTGGACAACTTCTCATATTTGATGAAAAACATTAAACTACACATCCAGAAGGTCAGTGAATGTGACTAGGATTAATACAAAGAGACCCATGCCTAGACATAGTCAAACTCCTGAAAGATAAAGAGAGTATCTTGAAAGCAGCAAGAGAAAATCAACTCACTACACAAGAGGGAAGCATCAGCAATGACTAAGGGCTGCTTTCTCATCAGTATTGGTGGAGGCCCAAGGCAGTGGGGTGACATATTCAAAGTGCTGGAAGAAGAAAACTGTCTGTGAAGAAGTCTATATTTAGCAAAACTAACCTTTAAAAATGAAGGTGAAATAAATACATTCCTACAGAAAGACAGAATTTGTAGCTATCAGACCTACCTTATAAGAAATACTAAAAGATTAAGTTCTTTAGGTTGATAGGAAATGACACCAGATGGAAACTCAAATCCACAGGAAGAAATGAAGAGCACTGGAAATGTCAATATGTAGGTTAATATAGAAGACTATAAATATATTTTTTCTCATCTCTTCTTTAAAAAGCATTGAATTCTATCTAAAAAACAAATTTAGTATCTAACATTACCTTCTGCACATTCGTCCTAGTTGTAAGCAAATTGCTTTCACCTCTTTGCCTTTTGATTCATAGAATAGACTGTGATAATGATACTCAAAATTTTTTGTTTCAGGATTCTTTTCCACTTTTATTATTCTGAGAACTCTAAAGAGCTTTTGTTTATGTGGGTTTTATGTACTGATATTTATTGTATTAGAAATTAAAACTGAGAAAAGAGCTAAATATTATTCATTTACAAGAAATACCAATTACATGTTAACATAAATAACATGTGTTAAATGAAAATAGATATTTTCCAAAATGAAGTAGGAGAGTGGCATTGCTTTACATTCTCAAATCTCATTAACGTCTACCTTAATAGAAGACAACTGGATTTCACTTTAGGCTTTGCACTGAATTTGTTATAGTGTGTTGCTTTGGCTGAAGTAAGTGAAGAAAATCTGGCCCCACTAAGATGTAGTCGGAGGTATATTTTAAAAGCCCTTTCATATAATGGTGAAAATTCTGTGATATGACAGTAAAACTCAAGAAGTGATAGTTTTGTAAAAGTTAGTTACAACATAGGATCTGAAACCATATCAACGAATTTTTTTGTACTGTTACATTAAAATCCATTATTCTATCAATGGATCTTAGCAATGTATAATTCTATCTCTAAGACCCTTTGAAAAGGTATTGGGTCTCCCTGTATGTAGCACACTTTGAGAATCATCTGACTATTCTTTCATTTTTAACATTTATTGGAATTTTAGTATAAAATGAACACATCTCTCTTTTTTCTTAGGAAAAGTTTTAAAACAGTTAAAGTTGCTTCAGTGAGCACAGATATTTTTTGTGTCATGACTGGGAGTTAGTTTTGCTTATCTTTTGCCTAGTTCTTAAATCTCAAATTTTGTTTCACAACTTGGTAATCAGAGACCAGATCCTGTCTCTAAAGTGTAAAAAGGTAAACAAAGGTTTTCTGTCTGAAGTAATTAGATTTGAAAAAAACTGCTAGGGTAATTGAGCCTTGCATTAGAATGTTATTTAAATGGTTTAATTAGTATTTGAGATTTCTAAATTTAATGGCTCTTATAAGTTAGGGCTTAGTTTAAACTCTCGAAAGCTGGGATCATAGATTATCTATCATTACTATGTATTTAATTTAAAACCTAGTTATATCAACATCACCATTACTGTGAATACATTATAAATATTGTCAACATTATTGTAAATGTGTATTATTCTTTGTGGCAAAATTAATTTTTTTTTTTTTTGAGATGGAGTCTCACTCTGTCACACAGCCTGAAGTACAGTGGCGCAATCTCAGCTCACTGCAACCTCTGCCTCCTGGTTTCAAGCAATTCTCCTGCCTCAGCCTCCCGAGTAGCTGGGATTACAGGTGCCCACCACCATGCCCAGCTAATTTTTGTATTTTAGTAGAAACGGGGTTTCACCATGTTGGCCAGGCTGGTCTTGAACTCCTGACCTCAGGTGATCCATCCTCCTCAGCCTCCCAAAAGTGCTGGGATTACATGTTGGTCAGGCTGGTCTCGATCTCCTGACCTCAGGTGATCTGTCCTCCTTGGCCTCCCAAAAGTGCTGGGATTATAGGCATGAGCCACCACACCTGGCCAAAATTAAATAATTTAGAAGGATATAAAATACACTTAAAGGTAACTTCTTCTTAGCAATTCCCCAGAGTTAAGCAATGTTTATAGTTTCCTGAATGCTTTTTCTGAAAATTTGTTCACATATAAAGATAGACATCTTCGTATGTATTATATGTGTACGTATTATATATATACACATATGAAAGTCCTTTTTTTTTTTTTTTTTTTTTTTTTGAGACGGAGTCTCGCTCTGTCGCCCAGGCTGGAGTGCAGTGGCGGGATCTCGGCTCACTGCAAGCTCCGCCTCCCGGGTTCACGCCATTCTCCTGCCTCAGCCTCCCAAGTAGCTGGGACTACAGGCGCCCGCCACTACGCCCGGCTAATTTTTTGTATTTTTAGTAGAGACGGGGTTTCACCGTTTTAGCCGGGATGGTCTCGATCTCCTGACCTCGTGATCCGCCCGCCTCGGCCTCCCAAAGTGCTGGGATTACAGGCGTGAGCCACCGCGCCCGGCCGAAAGTCCTTTTTAAGCAAATGGAATCATACTACATATTGTTCTATAAATAAATGTATCTTGCACATCTTTATATCAGTATAATAGGTCATTTTCATTTAATCATCTGCTTAGCATCTGTGTTACTGCATTGGTTATGTAAGCCAAGGTCTTCAGAAAAAAAAAATTCAGTAATGAAAATACCACTTTTAAAATTAGTTTGCACTCAAATGTTGCTCCTGACCATTTATTAGCAATTTTAATAAAAGAGAATAAAATCATTTGCAAACTGAAATTGCTCAACTTGCAAAATATGCAGGTGTTTATGAAGTTCATGGGTGTGATATTAAAGAACTCAAAGCTATTGACAGTTGAAGAAGAGAAAATTATCAAGGTTGATGATATAATAGATGCTGTAAGGGAGCCTGATTTGACTACCAGACGATTAAAGAGAGGACCTTAGGAAAATGGATGGAACCCTTCAGAATTTTTGCAAGAATATCTTCTTTGTAATTGTCCCATAAGAGAAAAACATGAAGGATATCCAATCGTGCTATTATACAGTTTTGTCAAAAAGATTACATTAAAAAATAAAGTCAATGCTTGATTCATTCTTTTAGTCTAAGAATTTTGCAGTTGAAATTATAACTTAATTTTGTCAAATATAAAATAAACTTGTTTTTATATTTTTGTCTTATTTTTCAAGTCAAAATTTGAAAATCAGCTATCATTTTCAATATTTACAATTACATTTTGGTTCCTGGTCTAAGAAGATTCACTAAATGGTCTTTTCCCAGTTCATACCAATCATCTTTGAAAAACTAGGATTTCATAACTTTCTATGAATGGACTGTAATTTAATCAGGTCCCTACTAATCAAGATGCTTAGGCTGTTAACAGTTTTTTGGTTGTTGGGTTTCTTGTATTTTTTTTTAATAGTACTTTCAAACAGTGCTGCAGTAAATATTCTGTGCATATATATTTACATTCCTATGCTAATATATCTGTGACATTCATTTCTAGAAGTGGTAGAACTTGGGTCAGAAGCTATGTGCATTTACAACTTTGATATCTCTGAAAGGGTTATGCTAACTTACATTCTCACTACAAAACTGTATGTTTTGTATTTTTATTTGTGTTTTTCACAGTGCCTACTGTGTCCAAATCTTTTCCTTTTCTTGAATTAGCACAGTGAGTTCAAATGGTGAGGGATATGGTGTTATCCAAATCTGTTTAGTTCCTGAGCAAGTGTAGGGACAGTCCAGATAATGAGGGTTCATTTGAAAATTTATTCTAATGTGTTTGGTTCCTGAGTTGGCTAGTGAGCCTTTTTGAACAGTGCGGGTATCTGTTGTTTCTTTCTCGTTATCTCCATACCCTTACTGGCAGTGAGGTGTTATCAGTCTTTCGAATCCTTGCCAGTGTGATAGGTTAAAATAAAAAGGTATCTCATTAGGTTTGTTTTGCTTCTATTAAAAGTGGTGCTATGCATGTTTTTATGTTAATAGCATTTGTATTTTTCAAAAATACGTATCTGGCCATTATCTTGTTGCATTGTAAGAGTAATATAAGAAAAATAAGGTTTTATTACAATATTACCAATATTTTATCTAATGTCTTGTCTTTTGACTTTTTATGGTAGTTTTTTTGTGTGTGGTGGTTTTATTTAATTAAATGTGTCATTTTTTTTCCACTTTTAAGGCTTCTGGTGCTATATCATGCTTAGAATATTCTCCTTACTACTTCAAGATAATACTTCCATTGTTGTGTTCTTATACAGTTCTTTTACATTATTCTTTATGGTTCTGCTTCCACAGTTTGTTTTTCATGTTTTGATCTTTGCTCCATCTGGAATTTATTGTGGTATAAGGAATAAGGCAGGAATTTAGCCTTTCCTCCTCTATTTACTAGCCAGTTTCTCCGAAATCATTTATTAAATACTGCATCTTTTCTCCATTTATTTGAAACACCACCTCTATCACATGTGAAATTCTTGTGCATGTATTTTGTTCTATTCCTGGACTTTTTTTTTTTTTTTTCTGTTTTTGAAACGGTCTCGCGCTGTCACCCAGGCTGGAGTGCAGTGGTGCATTCTTGGCTCACTGCAGCCTCCACCTCCTGAGTTCAAATGATCCTCCCACCTCAGACTCCTGAGTAGCCGGGACCACAGACACATGCCACTCTCCTGGCTAATTTTTTGTATTTTTTGTAGAGATGGGGTTTTGCCATGTTGCCCAGGCTGGTCTCCAACTCCTGGGCTCAACTGATCCACTTGCCTTGGCCTCCCAAAGTGCTGGGATTACAGGTGTGAGCCACCTCGCCTGGCCTGGACTTTCTATTCTTTTCCATTGATCTGTCTATTCATGTTCCAGTATCAAACCATTTAAACTAATAGTTTAATAATTAATTTTTGTATTTGATAGGATTATTTTTCTCTTTTCCCCCTCCCTGACCTTGCGTGTATGTTTATCATTCTAGAAGAATCTATCATTTGTCGAAAACTCCCTTCTTCCCTCTAACTACACACCAAGTATTTTTACTGGAATTGTTTGAATTTGTAGTTTAGGGTTAATTGGCATTATTAGACCATGTGAGAGTTAAAAGGATTAATCCAAATAAAGTGCCTAGAGCAGTGCCTGGCATAAACAGTCAAAGGAGAATAGCTGCTGTGCTGGATATTCCTTTTATCCTTCAAATATATTCTCTACTCTTCATCTTGCTCTCTGCTGAAAGAGGCTAACCTCTGTGGAATCATCCAGCCTCTCATGCCGTCTGGCTTCTCGTTGGGTTGGCCAATGGGAGGCCTAGCAGGAGATGGGCGGGTGGGAGGAGAGAGAGTTTAGGGTACATTTCCCAGCTTTTCCCCCTGGAGGGCTGTGTTTGTTCACCTAAGGCCACATTTCTTGTCTTCTCTCCCACAGTGAGAGTCTTCACTAGGGTTCAGTAGTAACATCTTCCCACTATTGCTAGCCCCTGGGTGCTGCACCCTGGCCAGACCTCAGTAAACAGTCCCTTCATGAAGTTCTCTTTAGTTACCTCCTTGAGTTTGTCATCAGTTTTCTGCTGGGAACCTGACTGGTAAAGTTGCTCTCATCTTCCTCCTTTTTTTCTCCACTTCCTCCTCCTGTTCATTTTAACCGCTAGCACTGAATGTTCCTATTCCAGTCTTCTCTATCCTTCAATAGAGATTTAAATTTTCTTCATAGAGGCCTTTACAATTTTTGTTGTTTACACCCAGATTTACTTTTATTTGGTTGCAGATATAAATTTTTTCCCTCATTATGTTTTCTACCTAATTGGTTGTATGTGGGCAAACTATAATAATTTTTGAATTAATTTTGTAAATCAGTTGTATATTAAGTTTATTGTTTCTAATAGTTTTTCAGTCCCTTTTCTTGTCTGTTTCATAATCACCTGCAAATAACAGTTTTACCTTTTTCTTACTTTATTAGGAAATATTTATTGGGAATGATTGTTTCTTAAAATATGTTTGAATATTAGGAGTATTTATATGGGAGTGATTGTTTATTCACATGATTTTGGGTCATTTATTGAGATACTTTAAGTTTTTCACCTTTGCTCTAATATAGTAAATTACCTTAGTGGATATTCTAATATTAATTTATCCTTAAAAAATAGGATGATTTTTACTTGGTTAAAATATATTGTTCTTTTAAAACAAAAAAAAATGTATTATTCTATTGATGACTACTTGCTAATATTTTATTTAGGGCTTTTACAGCAATACTTTTTTTATTACACTTTAAGTTCTAGGGTATATGTGCACAACATGCAGGTTTGTTACATATGTATACATGTGCTGTGTTGGTTTGCTGCACCCATTAACTCATCATTTACATTAGGTATTTCTTCTAATGCTATCCCTCCCCCATCCCCCCACCCCATGACAGGCCCTGGTGTGTCACGTTCCCCACCCTGTGTCCAAGTGTTCTCATTGTTCAATTCCCACCTATGAGTGAGAACATGCGGTGTTTGGTTTTCTGTCCTTGCGATAGTTTACTCAGAATGATGGTTTCCAGCTTCATCCATGTCGCTACAAAGGACAGGAACTCATCCTTTTTTGTGGCTGCATAGTATTCCATGGTGTATATGTGCCACATTTTCTTAATCTAGTCTATCATTGATGGACATTTGGGTTGGTTCCAAGTCTTTGCTATTGTCAATAGTGCTGCAGTAAACATATGTGTGCATGTGTCTTTATAGTAGCGTGACTTATAATCCTTGGGGTATATACCCAGTAATGATATCGCTGGGTCAAATGGTAATTCTAGTTCTAGATCCTTGAGGAATCGCCACACTGTCTTCCACAATGGTTGAACTAATTTACACTCCCACCAACAGTGTAAAAGTGTTCCTATTTCTCCACATCCTCTCCAGCACCTGTTGTTTCCTGACTTTTTAATGATCACCATTCTAACTAGTGTGAGATGGTATCTCATTGTGGTTTTGATTAGTATTTCTCTGACCAGTGATGATGAGCATTTTTTCATGTGTCTGTTGGCTGCATAAATGTCTTCTTTTGAAAAGTGTCTGTTCATATCCTTTGCCCACTTTGTGATGGGGTTTGATTTTTTCTTGTAAATTTGTTTAAGTTCTTTGTAGATTCTGGATATTAGCCTTTTGTCAGATGGGTAGATTGCAAAAATTTTCTCCCATTCTGTAGATTGCCTGTTCACTCTGATGGTAGTTTCTTTTACAGCAATATTTCTTACGGAAATCAATCTATAGCTTTCTTGGCTTTTCTAGTGTCATGTTGTGGTAATGCTAATCTGTTGACATCCTTGGATTTTTTGAGGTAACTTAAAAAGAGTAATGCAGTAAAGAAAATATTTTTAAAACTTTTTTTTGATACAAAGATCTTCAAAGCACTGAGCAAATTAACCTGTTACCAGAAAAACTGGCATCATAACTTCCTGATTATAAAGCTGTTTTTCTGTATCAAAGTGGAACAAAATACGGTTGTTATAAGACTTTTAATGTTTATGTAATGAAGCAGTGGCATATGATACCATCTTTCATTTGATAGTCTTCATATACTTTATCTCATCCTGTGAAGAGGAATGGGTGTTATTAGCTCCATTTAACAAATGAGAAGATTTAGGTTCAGAGAGATTGCTCCTTGCCAGAGGTCACATGGCTAATAAGGTTTAACTCTAGAACCAGAAACCAAATCTTCTAACTCTTGGTCCAGTGCTACTTCACTTTACTATATCCTCTTTAGGAGTAGAGGTTATGCAATTTCATGAATCAGATCACATTTTTTTCAAAGCGATTATGTGTGAAGAATACAGCACTTTTCTTATAATGCATATTGTAAGTTATGACTACATTGTCTTGAGGTAGAGAACAAGTTTATAACTTTGTATTATAAATAGCAACAAAGAATCACCCAGTTTAAGAACTAGTGCTACCTTCCTACCTGCAAGGAATTGTATAGGTTCTTCCTAGATAAAATGGAAGGAAAAAAAGTGTCTTCTTGTGCTCACGGACAAAAATTACTATACTTTACGTTTCTTCCTCTTGAAAATATAAATTGTATTTTTCTTTATTACTCTTAGTAAGTTAATACATGTTCATCATTAAAAATCAAGGGAAAGAACATGCAAAAATAATAAGAATCATCTGTAATGTTACTACCCAGAGATAATAACATTGTGAACACATTGGTGTTTAGCTCGACAGTCCTAGTATCTGTTCATTGAAATAGATTCTTTCTCCTACTGTGTGTAATGTTTTATAATCAGTTTGTTTTTAAAAAAAAACTTATAATGTCGGTGATTTTCCATATTCTGAAATATTCTTTTATAGAAATAAATACTGGAGACTTTTTTCTAGTAAAGTCTTATTAGAAACCCAGATATATACAGTATTTTGTTGGTAAAATTCTTATTGTAGTAACTTATTCATTATTATTAACTTTATTATGGGAATAAGAAGGTAGATTTGATGAAAAGAAAACTTTGAAACAGAGTTGTATCCAGTGGTATGCTGCTAAATGTGTAGCAACTGGATCTCTGAAAGAAAAATGGTGCTTGCCAATTTCTGCTCATTTTAACTACTAGCACTGAATGTTCCTATTCCAGTCTTCTCTATACTTCAATAGAGATTAAATAGTGTACATCCTGTTACCATGGCTGATTTGAAGCTGTCAGTGCAGTATCACTGAATGGGGGTGGGGAAGACATGTACAGAACTGGCTTTCCTGAAACAGTGTGAGCAGGCTCCAGTATGACACTCGTTGTATCAGCCAGAATTTCTTTAGTGGCAAGTAACAAAAAACTTGTTCCAAATTCTTGTATACAATAAGATTTACCTAGAAGACCCAGGGTTTAGTGGCTCCAGATATGGTTAATTCAGCAGCTCAGAATCATCATCACTGACCCATGTTCTGTCTCTTTTGCTACTGATGTAATACAACATGTCAGTAGAATAAAAAAAGCCATGTGCTCATCCCAGTAGATGCAGGAAAAGCATTTAACAGAATCTAACACCATTTTATGATAAAACCATCCAGAAAACTAGGAATAGAAGGGAACTTCCTCAACCTGATAAAGGGCATCTACAAGAAACCCACAGCTAATATTGTGCTTACTGGTAAAGACTGGGTGTTTTCCCTGTAGGACCAGGAACAAGGTAAGCATGTCTGCTTGTGTTACTTGTATTCAGCATTGAACTAAAGGTTCTAGCCAAGTCAGTTAGGCAAGAAAAATAAAAAAAACATCCAGATTGGAAAGGAAAAAGTAAAACTATCTCTAGTCATAGATGATATGATTATCTACATAGAAGATACTAAGGAATCTACTAAAGAAATTTTAGCACTAATAAATGAGTTTAGCAAAGTTGCAGGATGCAAGATCAACATACAGAAATCACTTGTATTTCTGTACCCTTAAAGTGAATAACCTGAAAATGAAATGGAAACAACTCAATTTTTAATAGCATGAAAAAGCATAAAATACTTAGGAATAAATTTAACAAAGGGAGTGCAAAGTGTATTGTCTGAAAACTACAAAACAATGTTGAAAGAAATTGAAGATCTAAATAAATGGAAGAATGTCCCATGTTCATGGATTGGAAAACTTAATATTGTTAAAATGGCAGTACTCCCCAAATTGATCTACAGATTCAGTATAGTCCCTTTCAGAATCCCAGCTGATTGCTGTAGAAATTGACAAAGTGATTTGAAAAAATATATGGAATTGCAAGGGACCCAAAATAACACAAACAATCTTGAAACAAAGAACAAAGTAGGACTCACACTTCCTGATTTCAGAACTTAGTACAGAGCAATGGTAATCAAGACAGTGGGGTGCTGGCATAAGCTTAGACACATAGATCAATGGAATAGAATTGAGAGTAGAAGAATAAACTAATGTGTCTGTGGTCAGCTGATTTTTGACAAGGGTACCAAGGCCATCCAATGGGGAAAGAATAGTCTTTTCAACAAATTGTGCTAAACAACTGGACAGCCACATGGAAAAGGAATGCATTTCTGACATGTGCTCCAACTTGGATGAAGGCCA
This sequence comes from Homo sapiens, assembly GCF_000001405.40. Taxonomy (NCBI): domain Eukaryota; kingdom Metazoa; phylum Chordata; class Mammalia; order Primates; family Hominidae; genus Homo; species Homo sapiens. The sequence continues at coordinate 65,806,707 of NC_000008.11, read as the reverse complement.
GCGCAGAGCCCAAACTTTGTGAATCAGTAACACGTGTATGGAACATTCACTTACATGCACAGAGGTGCCAAGGGACAGCCTAATTTAAGATTCATATAAACACATTTATCTGGCAACATAAGTTAATATTGTGGTAGGAGTCCCACCAAGTTAAAATTCTAAAGTGTTTGAATATGTGCATTTTTAAAGAAAGAATTTGCATACCATAAATTCACGCTTTTAAGTGTATGATTCAGTGGTTTTTAGTTTATTCACAAAGTTGTGCAACCTTTACTACTCTAATTCCAGCACTTTTTTATCACCTCAAAAATAAACTCTATACTCAATAGCACTCCCCACTCCCTCCTCCCTCAACCTGTGGCAATTAATAATCTACTTTCTGTCTCTATGAATTTACAAAGTGAATATGTACTTTTTTTTTTACTACAAATTTAAAATAGTTAAAAGTGTCCAAGAATTAAGTTATTATCATTTGGGAGATAGTTTGAAAATTTATGTTTTGCAGCATTTACTTCAAATGATTGTAAATATTTCGTACTTCTACTTTTACAGTTAGTCAACCAGTCATTCCTTATTGTTGGATATTTAGAGTGTTTACAGTTTTTCACTATTATAAACAATGCTGTAATGAAAATCTTTGTTGCTAAATCTTCATGCTTATCCATGATTGTTTTCTTAAGATTCCTAGAAGTAGTGTAACTAGTTACAGTGCTAGGTGCAGCTTTAAGTCTTTGATAAACATGGCCAAATTACCTTCCAGAAGTTTGCACCAATTTTTGCTCAAACAGTGATGTAAGAAAGACTCATATAAGTTTTAAAGTATAATAATACAGTAAGTGACTGTTCTGTGGTGGGCAGGTCTGTGCAAACCTACCCCCAAAGTTTGAGAGAGCTGAGAAGGCGGCTAACATATCCAGTTTCTCAGAAAGAAGCATTTAATAGGGACTTACGAACAGAAGCCATGCCTGTGTCTTAGGCAGCAGCAAGACACGAGGGTGAATCCACAGTACCATTATCCCTCAAACCAGGGCTTATACACCATAGGGAAGGGGTGTACGTGATTCAGAAGGAATGTGTGGGACAACTGAAAAACGATAACATGAAGGTTGTTTTGACCCAAGAGCAAGATTGATGGTAAGTCCATGCTGTTACACAGGAAATAGATAAACTGGAAATCTTAGAGGCCTTCCCAGAACAGGTTAATTAGAAGTCAACATGGTAGATTAGCAACCAAGATGGAGTTGCCTTAGCCTCTACAGCACCATATTTTATTTTCTTTATATAGGGTAATCTCTGCTGCTCAATTAAATGTTTACTTGACTACTTTTGAAAATTGTTTTCTGCTCAACACTTTAGAAACTTTTCAGTGAACATGAGTCATAATTTTAAAATCAAATGTACTTGAAGCATTACCTCAAATAAGCAAAGCTACTGTGGTACCAGTTTGTATCCCAGGTTCTAAATAAGGGGCTCTTTAAATATATATTAGTCATCACCCATAAACTGCTTGTACTATATCCAACTGATTCTTAACTGTTCATACAATGAATTAAAACTTTCAGCTTTGGCTGGGCACAGTGTTATACCTGTAATCCCAACACTTTGGGAGGCTGAGGCAGGAGGATTGCTTGAGTCCAGGAGTTCCAAATCAGCCTGGGCAATATAGGGAGAGTCCATCTCTACCAAAAATTTTTTCAAAAATTAGCTGGGCATGGTGGTACACAGGTGTGACCTCAGCTACTTGAGAGGATGAGAGACAGGAGGATCACTTGAGCCTAGGAGGTCATGGCTGCAGTGAGCCTTGATCACACTACTGTACTCCAGCTTGGGTGACAGAGCAAGATCCCATCTCAAAATAAAAGAAAACTTGGCTGGGCACGGTGGCTTATGCCTATAATCCCAGCACTGTGGGAGGCCGAGGCGGGTAGATCACTTGAGGTCAGGAGTTTGAAACCAGCCTGGCCAACATGGTGAAACCCTGTCTCTACTAAAAATAGAAAAAGCTAGCTTGGTGTGGTGGCACATGCCTGTAATCCTGGCTACTTGGGAGGCTGAGGCAGGATAATAGCTTGAATCCGGGAGGCAGAGGTTGCAGTGAGCTGATGTTGCGCCACTGCACTCCAGCTGGGCAATGGAAACACTGTCTTCAAAAAAAAAAAAAAAAAAAGCAACAAAATGAAACTTTCAGCTTTCTCAAATTACTTATTTTGGGGTTTTTAAAGCTTCTCCAGTAAATCTTGAAATAAGCAATTCTGGTGTCCAAATATGACTGAATTTCATTTTTCTCTTTATACCTATGTTTTAGAGATGTTAAAGTTGACACGACTTTCTTGGGATGGAGGGAATTCATTCTAAAATGAGGAAATAAATTGGGTAAAAGTATGACAGTGGTAATGCCCCAGCCATGTTCAGGAAATCATGAGTAACTATTTGGCTTGAATTAGGGTAGGTATAGGGTTAAAAAATGAAATATTAGAATTAAATTTGTGCCATGAGAGAGACTTTAAAAATGATATTCTGTCTTTGTAATACAAAATATCATGCTGTTGGCTAGAGAAGGATGTGTGATAAAGTGCTGGTGTATGCAGTTTGATAAGAGGGTTACATATTGTATGTTCTTTGCTGTGTCCCCTTTTAAACCTTTGTCATATAGATTTTTCTTACCATATTAGTTTGAATTATATCAGCATATTAAAAGAGATATGTTGGTATACTGAATGATGCATATTTTTTCTAGAATGTGTATGTGTGTCTGTGTGTAGGAGAGGTGCAAGGAGAGATGCATATACACACACCTTGCCTCTGCTGGTTTGTTCTCCCAATCGTATCCTCTGTCCTATGGTTCCCAACTGCTGGTGGCAAATCCCAAGAGAATTTGGGAATTGACAGGAGCTTCATGAATTCATGTATATTTCAGAAAGTAAACTTAAAAACTCTCATACATATATATAAGCATATTTCAAATATAAATACTGTTGTGATGAATTAAATCCATTTAAACATAAATTCACAATAATGTTATGCTATTTTGTACTTTTCTCAGTGGATACCAGAAGAAAAAGGCCTATCTTGTGGGTGTGTGCAAACTATTTTGCCATTAAAAGGGGTTTGTCATTCTTCAAAAGATTAAACACCACCTATTCCAGCCATGTCTTGTCTCCTGAAAGTAAATTTGTGATTTAGACTGTCAAACACTTGGGAAAATTTCTGACTGGTTTAACATTGTTAAATGCACACCTGATTACTGATGCAGCTGACTGAAAATTGACTATTACGTTGAGTACCAAGAGTGCTGGCTAGCCAGAACTTGAAAAGGGGAGCACTATGGTCAAACTTTTACTTGATAATGAATCTTCAGTTTATTTCTTTTTAAAGTACCATGTCTGTCTGTTGCTGTAACTTAGAGAAGCTGGCCATTTAAATGGGAGCAATGGGAACAAGGTTGAGTAATGTCTGCTCTGTAGAGAGGCAGAAATCATTTTAAAGAATTGAATCAAGTCATCGATATGCCTGAATATATTATCAGAGCACTGTGTATTAGGCTGTTCTTGCTTTGCTACAAAGAAATACCTGAGTCTGAGTAATTTATAAAGAAAAGAGGTGTACTTGGCTCACGGTTCAGCAAGCTTTATAGGAAGCATGGTGCTGGCATCTGTTTGGCTTCTGGTGAAGCCTCAGGGAGCTTTCAATCATGGCAGAAGGCAAAGCAGGAACAGGCACATTATGTGGCAAAAGCAGGAGCAAGTGAGAGTGTGGGGAGGGGGAGGTGCCACACACTTTTAAAACGACCAGATGAGTGAACCCAGAATGCTCACTTATCAACAAGGGGATGGCCCGGACCCTTTCATCAGGGATCCACCCCCATGATCCAAACACCTCCCACCAGGCTGCACTTCCAACATTGGGGATTCCATTTCAACATGAGATTGGGCAGGGACAAATATCCGAACTATATCATACTAGTTAAAGAGAGATGATTTTTCAGGTTTGCAAGTTTTAATTGATGACTTTATTTGGACTTGCGAGAGAATTGGATAAAAACAACTTGGTTATCTTCCTGGATTATTTTTATGAATACCATCAGTATCTATTTTAATCCTTGTAACAACTGTCCAAGTACCTTCCCATTATCCTGGTGGAGAAAACTGAGGTTTAGAATATAACTTGTATGAAGACTCCGTAGTTAGGAAGAGTAAACACTGGATTTGAATCAGTGATCAGATGACCCAAAGCCAGTGCTCCCCTGGTCCAATTTTAAGAGCATATTTGTTTGCATGAATTTCAGACTAGAGAGAATTCCTAACTTTAATGAATTAACATGAAAATACTTTTTTCTTTTGCATTTTTTTATTGTGGTAAAATATGCCTAACATAAAACTTGCCATTTTAATGATTTTGAAGTGCAGAACTTTGGTAGCATTAAGTACATTCACAGTGTTGTGCAGTGATCACCATTATCTGTTTTCTGAACTTTTTCATCATCCCAAACAGAAATTCTGTACCCCTTAAACAATAACTTGCTATTCCCTGCTCTCCCCAGCCTCTGGCAACCTCTATTCTACTTTCTGTGTTTGTGAACAAAGTATTTTCTTAATGAGAAAGTTTTGTTGATGTTAGATCATGTGGCTTAACTTTTAAATTTCTTTGTAGAGTGTTGATCATAAATGAATTTCTTTCGAACAAGAAGTACCATGTACTTCAATGCAAATTAAGTTATTTTTGACTTCTTAATTTTTTGTCTCTTCTATTTTAAACAAAGTGTTATAATTACATATGCTAAATACAGAAGGCTTCATGTCCTCTTACTTTATTAAATGTAAACAAATGGTGTTAAGAGAAAATAGTTTTTTCCTGAACCTTACTAAACTGCTTTTTATACACTGTTCTAGTTAGAGTTCCTTAAGTTACATTGCTGTTAGTCTTAATTGCCTTTGCAATTAAGCTCATCAAAATGGGTAACAAATCCAAGAGATCTTTTTGCCAGCCTGCATAAATTTGTATCATGTTCTCCTAGCTGATGGTTATCAAATTGCACATAATTTGACTCAAGCTATTACTTCTATTTATTTATTTACTTATTTTTGATTCAAGCTGTTTTTTTTTTAAATGAGTGTAGAATATAATGATTATTGCTCATTGTATTCCGTTAGTAAGAGTTACTGGGGGGTGCTCTATACTTTGGTCAGGTCCTTGGCTTTGTCAGTTTTTGTTCCATTGACCCATGAGGTTGTGAAAATCCTAAAACTCAGGTTCACCCACTTTAATTTGACCTTGAGTTGAAAGCCAGCTTCATTACTTTACTTGTTGCATTCCTTCTTTTACTGTTTTTGTCAGAATAATTATTTTCTTAACTGCTCATGGATTCATTTCAGAATATATTTTCAATATCTTCCAGCATTTTTAGTTGTTTTCAGTGGTAGAGTTGTGTTTCTAAACTAGTCCATTGTTGGAAATGGAAGTATTCTTAGAGACTTTGCTAAATAGTTTCATTCACTCCACCCAGTTAACAGTAATAATAGGAACACAGATTTTGTTTTGGTGTGTTTTTTGTTTTTATTTTTTGTCGCCTTTGGGGGTCTCACTGTGTTGCCCAGGCTGGATTGGAGTCACTAGTCAAAGTTGTGATCATAGGCCTGAATTTCTGCCTCAACCTCCTGAGTTGATGGGACAAAAGGGGTGCACGACTCTATCTGATTCTGCCACTGTGTATTTTTGACTACTAAGTCAGTGTCTGTTCGTGTCTGTTTTAGACTCGAATGAAAGAATTTTTGATGTTAGCTGCAATAGCTTGCTTTCATCTTCTGAAGGCACTAAAGGAGCAGATGAGGGGATGGAGAGGGTTTGAACCTAATGTTCTTTTTCTAGCCTAGCACTGGACGAAACTTTAAGCCCTAAAAGGAGTTTCTGTTTGATGTTCGTTGAGCAAGGGCCTTCTTGTCACTTTATTTTTATATTGTATTCAAAGTGGCGTCTTTCTGGTTTTAACCTTACTGAGGTGTGAGAGGGAGAGGAATGTTACTGGTATGTATGTGTGTGAGAGAGAATGTTATAGAACCAAACTAGGGCCTACTCACCTGGCACAGTAAAACCAAATACCCACACAGAGGAACACAGCAATAGGTGTTTACTGCAGAGTGCTAAGCAGGGAGGACAGGCAGCTAAATGCTCAAATCCTGGCCTCCCCAGTGACTTGCAGGCAAGGATTTTTAAACACAGGGGTGAGTTTCAGGAAAGCAGAAGCTACAGGCAAAATCATACTTCAATACAGGGAGATTACACATTGGTTTAAGTTTAAAAGGTTGAGATATCTTGAAGCAGGGGCTTACATGTTGCAGGTAGATTCAAAGATCTTCAGATTTGCCATTAGTTAAGGAAGAGCAGCTTTGTTTAAAAATTTAGGGTCAGTAGAAAAATGTTAACTGGCTAGGGGGTGTGACTTTCTCCAAGCACTGCAGGAAGAAACTTAGAACAAAAAGCAGTTATAAAGTTTAGTTTTCACTGTCTCCTTATCTGGACTCCAGGTGCCAGTGGATCTGTTAGGTGGGGGGTCCGAGCCTCTGAAAGACAATTCAGGGACATATGTTCAGATGTTATTTTTAGTTTCTATAAGGAAAGCAAACATCTCTGGAGCTTTAACTTCTTTGGCTGTTGTTTTAGGCTACTATTACCTTCTTGTTCTAGTTAGTAGTTACCTCTGGGGCTAGCTAGATGCCTGGAATTTCCCTTGAAGGAACTTAAGGATTTTCCTTTGTGAGTCCCTAAAAAAGGGAGTCCCTGCTCTGTCTCAAAAAACAGCTATCTTCAGGGGCTGCTATTTAGTTTGAATAGTTACCAATTGTGAGTTTTGGCCTTTGGCCCTCCCAGTCCTTTTCTGTCTGTGAGCCTAAAGGTTTTGATTTTAGCTGTCTTCACTTCTCTCCTTGGGTAATCCTACTTAGCAGTCTTGATTGGCAGAGGATTACTCCAGGTCCCTCTCTCCAGCCCAGCTCTCTTTCCAGGCCGTGAGACCCATGCCCAGCCATGAGTGAATATTTCCACTCAGTTGTCCTTAGTATCCAGACACTTAACCTCTCCTAACATTAAAGCAAATCAACCTCTTAAATCCCGTCACATTTCTCTATTCTCCTGTTTACTACCCTAGTCTAGACCATCTTCTCTTCTGGATTAAGGCAATAGCTTTCTTACAGATCTCCCTGAAGAGTGAAGTCTTCCGCTGTGTTAATCCATTCCACTCTGGGACCTAGAGTATTTTTTCCAAAATGTGTATTAGTCTCCTGGATGAAACCTCTCAGTGACTTCCTTTTGTCTTTGCATGCAATTCAGACTCCCTATTATGGTTGACAGTTTTGATTACTCCTGTGGTCTCAACCCTCTTGTTGCTCCCAATTTAACTTTAAATTCTATTAGTAATTATGCTAAATTTCCTCTGGGGGTTGGGGGTGGGGTGGATTTTGCTCCTCTTTCTGAAATTCAGTTTTTTGAGGGATAATTGACATACAGTTTGATTAATTTTAACAAGCAGGTACACTCATGCAACTAGTACTCCAATCAAGATATTGTACTCTTTAGTCACTCCAAAAAGTTCTTTTGGGGCCCTTTGCCATAGGTTCCCCCCAGCCCCTGCCCCAGACAACCACTGATCTGACTTCTATCACTATTGATTAGTTTTGCCTGTTAGAACTTCATATAAATGGAATCATAGAGTATACTTTCTCTTTCCCTGGCTTCTTTCACTTAGCTCAGTGTTTCTGATATTTATTTATTTCATTGCATGTATTAGTAGTTTGCCCTATCTTATTGCTGAGTAGTATTCTGTTGTATGGATATGCCACAATTTATCCATTCATCAGTTGATGAATGCTTATGTTGTTACCAGCTTTGACTTTTAGGAATAAAACTGGTATGAATATTTGTGTTCAAGTTATTTTTCATATATACATTTTAATTAGCATGAGCGTTCTAATTGCTCCACATCCTTGATAACACGAGATATTGTCAGTTTTCAATTTTAGCCATTCTTGTGGTTAATAGTATCTTGTAGTTACATTGGTTTGCATTTATCTGATGATTAAACATGTTGAGCATCCATATGCATATTGGCTATTCGTATATCTTCTATTGTGACTCGTCTGTTTAAATCTTTAGCTTGTATTTTTAAATTGGGTTGTCTTATTAAGTTATGAGTTTTTAAATATGGCCAGGCAACAAGGTGGCTCACACCTGTAATCCCAGCACTTTGGAAGGCCGAGGCGGGTGGATCACCTGAACTCAGGAGTTCGAGACCAGCCTGGCCAACATGGTGAAACCCCATCTCTAGTAAAAATACAAAAATTAGCTGGGGATGGTGGTGCATGTCTTTAGTCCTAGCTACTTGGGAGGCTGAGGCAGGAGAATTGCTTGAACCCGAGAGGTAGAGGTTGCAGTGAGCCAAGATTACGCCACTGCACTGCACTCCAGCAGCCTGGGTGACAGAGCGAGACTCCATCTCAAAAAAAAAAAAATATATATATATATATATATATATATATGCACACACACACACATGTATATATTTCTGGATACTAATTCTTTTATTCTGCCTTTTTTTGGTACAAGTTCTTTATCAGACTTACATACTACAGATAATTTTCTCTGAGTCTGTGCCTTTTTATATCTTAACACTGTGTTTTGAAGAACAGAGGTTTTTAGTTTTAGTGAAGTCCAATTAACACATTTTTTTTTTCCTTTTGTGATTGGTGTTCTTGTGTCTAGAAATCTTTACTTAACCCTAGATTATGGATATATTCTCATACATTTTCTTAGAAATTTTATTATTTTAGTCTTTATGTTTAAATATATAATTCATTTTTAATTTTTTTGTATGGCATGAGATTGTTAGACTCATTTTAAAATTTATTTTATTCATTTAAAAAATATTTATATAGTTTTTCCAGTGTCATGTATTGAAAAGACTATACTTTCCCCTGAATTACTTTGGTACCTTTGTTGGGCATCAAATTTCTAAAAAAAAGTCTGCTGGGATTTTGAGACTGCATTGAATTTATGGAACAATTAAGGGAAAATTGACAGTATTGAGTCTTCCAGTCCGTAAACATATGTATTAGTAACTAGGGCTGTTAAAACAAAGTATCAAAACCTCGGTGGCTTAAAACAACAGAAATTATCTGTCTCACACTTCTGGAGGCTGGAAGTCTGAAATCAAGTTGTCAGCCAAGGCCTTGCCCCCCGGAGGCAGTTGCCTCTTCTAGCTTCTTTTTAGTGGTTGATAGCAATCCTTGGTGTTCTTTGGCTTATAAATAAATCACTACAATCTCTGCCTCTATCTTCACATGGGCTTCTCCCCTGTGCATTTGTGTGGTCTGTCCAAATTTCCCTGTTCTTAGAGGGACACTAGTCATTGGATTTAGAGCCCACACTAACCCAGTATGCCCTCATCTTAACTTGATTACATTTGCAAAAACCTGTTTCCAAATGAGGTCACATTTACAGGCACCTGGGGGTTAGGACTTTGACATATCTTTTGGGGGGACACAATTCAACCCCATACTATGTTTTGTAGTTTTCATTGTATGGATCATGCATATATCCTATTGATTTTATCCATAAGTATTTTATGTTTATGGTTATGATTGCAAATGGTATTTTTAAAATTTCATTTTCCAATCATTTTTTACTAATATATAGAAATACAGTTGATTTTTTTAATATCAAACTTGTGTCTATTGACCGTACTAATTTTTATTAGTTCCAGTAGCTCTTTTGTAGGGTCTTTAGGATTTTCTACATGGACAGTCATGTTGTCTGCACAAAAGACAGTTTTTTCTTTGTTTCTAATTTATATGCCTTATGCTTTTTCTTTTTGTGGCCTTAATGTATTTATTGGCTTTGACTTTCAGTACCATGTTGAAGTGGTAGAGCAACTTTGCTTGTGATCTTAGGGCAAAAATATTTAGTCTTATTGTTAAGTACAATGATGGCTATGGATTTTTTTAATAGATGTCCTTTATATGGTGAAGAAGTTTTCTTTTATTCTTAGTTTATTAAGATTGTTTATCATAATGACTATTGAATTTTGTCAAATGCATTTTTCTTACCAATTGAACTGATTGTATGATTTTTCTTAATTCTGTTAATGTTGAATTACATTTATTGTTTTTTGAATGCTAAATCAGCTTTAGATTCCTAGGATAATTGCCACTTCTCATAATGTATTTCCTTTTTATATGCTAATGGATTTGATTTACTAATGTTTTCTAAATGATTGTTTTATCTGTGTTTATAGGGGATATTAGTCTATGGTTTTATTTTCTTGTAATGTCATTGTCTGCTTTTGGATTTTCAGCATTTGATTGCTATGTATCTAGGTATAGTTTTCTTTGTGTTTTTTTATGTTTGGAGTTCGTTTAACCTGCTTTGACATATGGATTGATAGTTGTTATCAGATGAGAAAAATATTTCATCATTATTGCTTCAAGTATGTTTGCTATCTTTTACATTCCTTTTTGGAGTCTAATTACTCCACTGCTTGATGTTGTCCCGCAGGCTCACAGGTTCAGATTCATGTTTTTTTTTTTAGTTTTTATTTATTTATTTATTTATTTTTTGGCTTTTGTTTCTCTGTGTGCATCAGGTTAGGTAATTTCTATTGATCTTTTCTTATATTGTGTTTTGTTTGCTATTAAGCCCAACTGTGAATTTCTTAGCATAGATACTGTATTTTTCAGCTATAGATGATCCATTTTTTTAGTTTCTTTTTTTTCATTGTGTACATGTTTTCCTTTAAATCTTTGTACATATTTACAATAACATTTAAGAAGTCTTTGTCTACCAATTCTATTATCTTAATCATTTTTGGGTTTGTTTTTATTGAACACTCCCCTCCACCCCAGTTTTGAGGTGACTTTTTTATTTTCCCTACTAATTTGTAATTTTTGATTTGTCATCTTTTAAAGAATGTTAAATTCTGTTCTGGTAGGCAGTTTAGTGACTTGCAGATCCACCTGATCCCTTTACGCTTATTGTAAGTTTTGTTAGTGTTTCTGATAGGGCTTTCTACGCTGATGGACTAGTACCTCCTAACGGTATGGCATTTCTGGAATCTCTATGGAATGTCCCAGGTATTCCCTGAGGTCTCTTCTCTGTGGTTGGTTGGAACTCTGAACTCTCCTGTAGTTGTTCTTTCCCTGGTAGTTATTATTTTTCTGGCCTCATGGAGTCTAATCCTACACATACTCAGCTTAGTATTCAGCCAAAGATTCAAGGGGATCCACCATCAGACTTCTGGAGCTCCTTGTCCTCACAGCTCCCTCCTCTCTGGCATTCAGCCCTGCAAATTCCAGGTACCTCAGCCTCCCTGAGCTGCAGTCTCTGTGTCCTTAGCTTTGTGAGACCGCTGTGCTCTGCAGGATTGTGCCTTGCTTTCAGGTTTGGCGACTGCCTATAGGAAGGAGCCTGGGCAATGTTAGGGCTTACCTTGGTTTTTTCCATTCTCTCAAGGATCAAAGTCCTGCAGTACTTGCTGTCTAACATCTGAAAACAATGTTTCATGTATCTCATATTGAAAGCTTAACTTTTTAGTTGTTTATATAATGGGAGAGCTAGTCCAGTACCAGTTACCTTATAATTTATTGAATCTTGTTTATGTTTTTTGCTGGCGAAGATTTAGCTCACCTCTGATAATTTGTACATATTGCTCTTTCTGCCTGGGGCTCTTTTCCCCACTGCCTGTACCTGACAAGCTCTTATTCATCATTTTTAAGGATGAGATTACATTGTCGCATTTTTCCTGGTAGTCTTCTTTGATGTTAACAAATCCTGGGTTAATTGTCATACTTGGTACTTATAGCACTCTGGATTTACATGTAATTGTAATTACTTGTTGTTATGCTGATTGTTTGTAGCCCCCACAAAAACTTAAGCTGTGTAAAGGCAAGGACTGTGTCTCATTCACATTATTTCCCTTGTGCCTAACACAGTGAAGATCTCAATCTCTGTGTGTGTGTCTCTCTCTTTTGCAATGTTATATGTGGAGATGAAATAGTACTATTCAATTCAAAGTGCCTCAAGTATACTTCAGAAAATTTTTGGACTTCTACACTGGTTTGGAGAGACAGGCAATTATGGACAGTTACCATTCTTATTCAGAAGTCTTCTTTTAAAATTTATCCTATTTCTGCCAAGATTGGTGTTTTTCTCCTTAATGTCTATGTTATAATTTATATTTGCCTACAAGTATTGGTCTGTTTATAATACTACTTATAGGTGAAGTTTTTTTTTTTTCCCTCACCTACAAATCGGTCTCATTAAAAAAAGTATCTTTCAAGATAAACACTGTAACCACTTAGTTGCCATAGTAGTTTTGAGGAAGTTCATGTGGCTTGGTCTTGTGGGGTGTGGTGGTGGGTGCACTGTCCCATTGAGGAGCCTTTGATAACAGTAGCTTTCTTAGAAAGACTTCTTTCATTATTAAATTGAAGAAGGTGCATTCATGCCATGCTAATCTTATTTATCTTTTGTGTATGGAAAAAGAATGTTTCCATTTTTCATTTCACAGAGTTGTGAGTGATAGCATTTTCAGATTACTAGTACAAAAATTTGTCATGATTTGGTTCAAGTTTGCCATCAGTTTAAAGTTTAAAATTAAAATTGTTAGCCTATAAGCACTTATGAGCTGTCAGTTACATTACTGTAGAGCCTTAGAATTGGCAGAGACCTTGAAAGTCATTTGTTCTAGCCTACCCGAAAAGCCCCTGAACAGAGGCTAGTTTGAGGCAGATCCTTACATGATTTTAATTGTAGAAAGTTGTAAGAAGCTGTAGAAAGTTCTTAGGAAATAAGAGTCAAATTCTGTTTTTAACAAACTTGTGCTCCTGGTCCTACTTCTGCCTTATGTAATTTCCCAAAATAAAGGTAGACTTCTTCTTAGGTTATTTTATGTTACAGCAGTTTAACACCTATTCTGTCTTTCTTTTTGTTTCTTTGCCTAAAGCTTCAGTTTTAAAACTATTCCTTATATTGTATCCCTGTCGACATTAAAATATGCATGTAATCATGCATCATCTGCAGTGGTATTCAGAACTGAATTCATTCTTATGTGGCCCGTATTGAAGATAGTGGAGCATCCTTGATTTGGAAACGTACCTGATCTCATTGCCTCCTAAGATTGTCTTCACTTATTATCTCTCATTTAGAATTTAACCATATTTGCCTTTTTTTTTTTTTTTAGGAAACTTTAAAAACTTATTTTCATTGTTTTATAGGTATGCAATTTATTGTATATCAAAATGCAGACAATTTTTTTTAAATTTTTGAAATTCAGCATACTGACATACCTTTAATTTTTTTAATTTTGTAATTCAGCATGCTGATATACCTATTGTGTTTTATATGCAGATTTGCTATATGTTTTTCTGATCTACATGCCAGTAAATAAACTGTGGAACAAGACAAGATCTAATGAAGAGTCTTGTTGGCTACTTCTAGAATTCTTCCACTAGTTTGAAGAATTGGGTGGGAAAGTATTTCCGCCCAAATACTTTATCTCTGGGTGTGTTTGTTCAACTAGGAGTGTGCCTAATTGTAGCATGGGGCTCTGTTTGGTTCTTAAGAATGTCACCAGAGACTTTCTAAGTGCTTTTAGTATCATAAGGTGATGTTTTCTGGACCTGAAGACTTGAATTGTTGGTAAAGTGTCAAGATTTTTTTTTTTACTTCTTTATACTAGGAGAAATCACATGACATTTTCATCAAATATTCGGATACTACATGACAAAAAATTCAGAGCTCTAAGTCAGTATTACAGAAAGGTCTTAATTGAATGGCAAAACTCTCATAGTACCATAGCTTTTAAATAATTTTTTGTTATGGAAGCTTTTTTCTTAGTTTCATGTCACTTAAAATTCATACCATTTGAAGAATAATAAGCCTTGGTTTTTAGTAAAAGAAATAAACCAAAACCTTACTCTGATTTATTACTTGTTATTAAAGTGGGCTGGAATTCAAAACAATGAGAGCACAGTTGGAGGGTTTTTACTATAGTGTTCACATTTTTTCTGTCGCAAATTTGGTTATAGTTTTCTACAGACACTACATTTGTATAAAGAACTCTGTGATAGACTATTTCTGTCCATGGGATTCCAAAATTATAGACACTGATGTCAATGCAGATGAGGTTAGCCTAATTTGGGCAAGAGAGGGACATGCCGAGTCTCTGTATGGATAGCTAAAGGCTATTGCCAAGATTGACAGGTGTCCTGTGAGTGGCAGAGAGCCCCAGGGATAAAATTTTCTCTTGGATTACTTCTCTAAGAAACAATGAACAAAGTCATATTTTTTTCCTATTGATCACACTCATAAAATAGTGAGGTCTGCTTTTAACTCAGCTTTTCTGATATTAGCCTTATAAACCCCAGAAAGGTAAAAAGTTTTATACTTTCTTCTTATAGTATCAAATTCTGTTTTTGAAAATTTTAAGTGTATCCTATGCATTAATTTTTCTAGAATAGTCACCTGATTTATTACTTTGCCATGTTTCACTAAGGATATGAGACAACTACGAAAACAGTTAATGTAAAAGAATACATTTGTTGTTAGTGTAAAAGAGGTAACTTTATAGAATAATAAACTACATGATCCAACTCTGGAAAAATAAACTTTTAGGAGAATTATCTAAGTTATAAGCATAATATTTATGGTAAAAGAGATTTTATAGTAATTTGAAACAGCATTTGTTTTTATTTCATCTTATTGAAATTTTATTATTATTAAAATTTAATTATAAATCACCAAGATAAGTAGTACTAAGTGTATCTCAAAATAAGAAAAAGTCTTACAGCCATTAGGTTTATGACATTGAGAAAGTTGAGATTACTACTTTAAGAAAAACTGTGTTGCCTGAGATTTTTGTAAGATTTGAGTGATGTAAATGTGTCATTAGCAATGAAAGCTTTACGACTTCAGGCATAAACTCAGTAGCTGTTTCTGTTCTAATAGGAAATTTTCTGATCTGGGGGAGAATTGTGTCTTGATTATCTCTGTATTACCGTGTCAGACATTAGTGGAAATTAGGAAGTGGATGCTGGGGGAAGCATTTTAGGGAGCCAACCTATTAACTAGCGTGAGAAATGAAAGCCAAGAGCCTAATCCTGCTGAGAATCGGAGGTTTCTCAGGGCACTTGCAAACACAGTGCAAGTTCCCTTCATGGACCATTGTGATTGCAGTTAGGTCTAGAGTTAAGGTGAAGCTGGAGTGTTTAGGGCATTCTCATTTCTAGGTTTTAAATACAGTAGAATTTAATTCTGATTTAGCAAAAATTTGTTGAGAGTCCACTACGAGCTAGCTGTTCGTTTATAGATACCACTTACCTCCCATGAAGGGGAGAAAAATTAAGGCACAGAGAAGTGGTGATTTGCCCATGGCAGTAAAGCTGGGAAATAAATCTAGGCTCTGAACTTCAAGCACAGTAGAGTTTTGAGATGGTAGAAATAATCTAGATAGAAATTCATTTCAGTGAGACAACTTTTAGAACTGCCTTTCTTACTTCCTCTTTTTAAATCTTCATCTCAATTATGATTTTTCAAGTATTGTACCAAAAATAGCCATCTTGTATTCGCTTTCCAAAACTTGACTCTTTTTGAGCAGTTGATTGGAAGAGAAATGTGAAGGTGGGAAGGGTAGCATCCCTGGGCCAAGCATCGAGGTTATAGGCTGGTTTGGAGTGTATAGCCCAGGCCAGAGTGGCAGAGAATGACCTCGAAGCCAGGGGCCCAGGCTGCACAGCCTCTTACAGATGACCGCCAGTGTTTCCCTGGAGCATTGGCCTAAGATACACTCTGCTGCTCTGTCTCATGCCTAGGCATCCTTCAAGTTTAGTTGCTAGAACCTTACTGGAAGACAGAGTAATCAGAGACCTTGACGGTCTCATATTAAAGCTAGTCTCATGGCAAAAATTAAAATGTTATCTGGATTTATGCAAAGATGAGTATTATAACTTGTTAGTTCTGTAGCAAGAAGTGAAAATTTTATGGCCATGTGTTAAGAATGGTTTCAGGTTAGGAAAATTTGGATTTACACCTATAAATTTAATTTGCACTTCATTTTGACAAGCCTAGAACTGACTTCTCTTTTAAATAAGCTCTTTGTACTGAGGATTAGATAATGAAAATAATATTATTATTTGAACTATTTTGGTTCTTTTCAAATATTTTAGGATCATCATTTGTGTACATTGATAATCAGATGACGTTGTCTTGTCATGGACTGCAGTCACCTCCTGAGTGTTCTTCAGTCAGCCCATGCCATCTTCACCTTTCTCTGGGACCTCTGCAGTGGTGGCCTGACTGCCCATCCAGCCCCTACCCCACCTCCCTATACTTGACCAAAGTGGTCTTTTTAAAAAGCAAAATCTACTACAGTACTTCAGTAGATTGAAATTCAGACAAGACACCCCCACATGGCCCTCGTAGGGCCTGGCCTCTGCTCCCCAGGGCTGCAGCGTCATCTGGCTCCTCCTCCCTGCCCTTGAGCCGCCCTGGTCTTTCTGTCTCTCAGACTTGCTTGGCTTGGTTTTGTCTCACCCTTTGGCCCTCACGCCTGTTCTTCGTCTGCACAATCTGTCTTCTGTCTTCACAATTCTTGCACCATCACACTTTATCTCAGGGTCATTTCAGAGATTCTGGAAGAAGTCCTTCACCTCTTAACTAGGTCAGATTCAGGTTTGTTGGCGTTTCCTACGTCTGCTTCATCGCATTTGTTACAGTTGCAATTTTGTGTTTATTTACATAATTTGATTAATGTACACTCCAACTAAATTGCAAGCACCACAAGGGCAGGAACCTTGTCTGCTTTTACTTGATGCTTATATCCCTGCCATCTGGTGCAGAGCCTGGTACATATTAGCAGCTTAATAAATATTTGCTGAATACTTGAATGAAAGTTTCACAAAAGGCATTTTCTCAGCAGTATTATCTGCAGCCTCTCGGTTATGAAGATGGATGAATAGAAGCATACTTTGTTATTAGAAAGCTCACTTACAGCCGCGAGAACAAGATCTGTACCAAAAATATAAGTTAGATTGCAGTTAGTGCTTGAAAATAATATGTCCTTAATTATTTGAAAATGCACTATTAGACTGGCTTTTTTTCAGTAAGTCCAAAATGAGTGAATTATAATGTTAAGAAGCATAGATAATATGACAGCCTCTAATATTCATAAAGTAGTTCTATCCCTAAAAGAAATAAAAAGTTGAACAAATTTCAATTAAAAATTGAAAAGATGGAATAAAATGCATTAATATTTTAAAATGTCACAGGACACTGTGCTTGTGAAACAGTTCTATGTGAAAAGAATGAAGAAATTTTTAGTACTGCCACACATTTTTTGAAAGTTGTTTTAAGGCACTCTGTTAGTACTAAGATTGTAGAAGTGTTTGGGGCTGGCCTGAGGCCTCCTTTGCCTACATTTTGTTAGACTGTTAGGTCAGCGCTCACTAAAGTCTTTTCCCTCCCCTCTTCCAACATTACTTAGGCAGTTCTACCCCAACCCTGCGGTTGTGGCATGAAGCATGCGCTGGGTAAGAAGGCTGGCTGGGTAGTGCATTCCCAGAGGAGTCAGGTGATCACTGTTGGAAGGCAGCTGCTTGAGGTCCAAGGCAGTCAGTGTCCCCTCTCTTTTGCCTCGGGACAGCTGGTATTTATCAGACTCCTAAGAAGTTTTCCTTGCTCCCTAGTAGAAGAGAGAGATTATGCAGCGGGCTTTTGATTGATCCAATGGGAATTACATTGATCTGGTGTCTGGCCTTGGTTCTTATCAAGTGGATCACCTCTAAGGTAGGCCATCTTTATTTTTAGGATGGTGACATTCATCATTAGTTTACATATTTGATAGGAATTAAATAGCTCGATTTTCTCCTCCTTTTGCCTCAGTTTTTATTCTCTGATTAAAAGAGCTGTGAGTTTCATCTGTCGACCAAAGGGCTTAAATTTACTATTTGTAGTTTTTGTTCTTATCCCACATTATTTCTTCTTAAGGGCTTTTTATAATATCTTTCCTCAGTATCAAAGCAGCATTCCTCAGTATCACTGCCTTAAAGAAGTTTTTATGACTAAAGAAGTTTAACTTTTAAGATTATAAAATTAAGTTATACTTTTGGTGTATATATTTTAAACATTCTCTCGGAGAAAATGTAATAACACTTGTGTATTTAAAGTATAATGTTGAGGATTTCTAAACAATTATAAACTTTTTAAAAACGAAAAACCACCGTCTATCATGTTTTCTCCTAAGGTCTTGCTACTGCTAAAATACGTGCCTTAGCTATAATATAATGACATAAATGTAGGATTACATATATGTTGTTTTTGAAGTTGAATTCTAAATGTCAGGCTTGAGAAATTCTTGATAGAATGCTAGCTAGCCATTTGCCATCTGGAGAAGGGTCTAAAACTAAAGTAAAACATATTTAAAATTATACTCTTTGAAATTATTTTTTTCTATTCTTCTATAAAAATGATTATATCTTTCATCCACCACACAGCTTTTTTTCTTTCTAGATTGAGAAACTGAATTTTTAAGGCTATCACTTAGAAACAAAGCTTCTATAAAGTTAATTTTCTTTCTCAAGCAAGATTTTAATACCTGCTATGTAATTTTCCACGTTTAAACATAATGTTTTAAGCATAATTATCTCTTGGTCTTCTTTTCTTAGTGAATATGATTGAAGAAATCTCTTAAAGAAAAATAATGTATTTAAATTTTAAAATCTTTGTGTTTTAAAAGTTAAGAATTAATTTTGTTGCAGTGACAGCTATTTTCTTGTTTTTAAAGGATTGGCTTGCCAAGTTATTGAATGAAGGTCAAGTTAATGTTAATAATGCATTAGTTGTCTTGTGGGTGTTTTCAGAGACTTTACTTTTTTTTTTTCCCCCCCCTGTAGAGATGAGGTCTTACTATGTTGCCCAGGCTGGTCTCAAACTCCTGGGCTCAAGCAATCCTCCTACCTCAACTTTCCAAAGAACTGAGATGTGAGACAATGCACCTGGCCTCTAGACTTTACTCTTTTAATTGCCACCAAAAAATTAAATTGTTTTTAAACAAAAACAATGCTAATATTTTATTTTTAAAAAAACTGTTGAAAAAAGGAAGAAGAATGGGAAGGATACTGTTTGGTAGATCAGTGCAATATTTGAATACTTTAGGCACTCAAGTACAAGCATGTTTTTCTAGCATATGTAAGATGACTACTCTGAAAAAGCTCATTTTGCTATGTCAGAGGAAATTGACTTCACAACTTTGGCTGGGCTTCATCTTTTGCTATATTATTATTTTTTCGGTAATGTTGCCAAAAATTTTGTTCAGTGCTCCCGTGTTTAAGCCCTTTAACCATCAGTTTATGAATCTGCAAAATGGAACTAATAAAGCCTACCTTATAGAGATCTTGTGTGGGTTGAATGAGATTTTGTGCGAAAACACTTGGAACATTTTTTTGGCACAAGGAGCACAGCAAGTGTTAGTTAATATATTATCACTCTTACCGTGTAATGGAAATGGCACTTGCTTTTGCTAATAAATCATTTAGTGGAAAACTTGGAACAAAATAAAAACAATGACACTTAAAATATCTTTGCTGGGTTTTAAAACATGTCTGTCTTTAAAAGTTATGTATTAACTAATATTGGGAACAACTTTTACACCTTTTATCATTTACCTTCAAGTCAAATCTTTTGTGGAAGAATGATTCACCCTAATTCAAGGTGAGTCTTACCAGGGCACTCAGAACTCCTGTTAGTGAGGCAGTGGGTCCTTTGGTGCTTTACAGTTTAACTTGTTTGTGCTACTGCTGACAGTTTCTGATTAGCTCAGCCTCGCCCATGTTTTGACCTATACTAGTTCGCTTTACAAGCTGTTCCCAGGATGGCTAAATTAGAAAAGTCACGAGTAGAAGCCTCTCAGTTATTTCCATTCACTGGTGAAGTGAGGTGGGAATGTGGGTGATAGCTCTGAGAGTTTTATGACTGACAGTGTGACACAGGATTTTGATGAAATTTGTTTTACTGTTATTAAAAAGAAAATTCTAGTAGTATATGGTTTTTAAAATGATAATCTTTAAAGAAATCTTTTTTACATTTGCAGCAGTCTTATATAAAAGTAGATATAATTATTTTTAAAACAACATGATTCTAACACGGAGGTCAAATTTTTATTGTTAGAACTCATAATTTATAGTGTTTTTTCCAAAATGAGTTACTGTAGATTATTCTACCTTCCTACTTTAGATTATTCTACCTAGTGAGAGAACTTAATATTCATTTTAATTTTAATTCTTAAGTGGGTAGGTGAATGAATTATCACTCAGGATGTATTTGTTGATGGGTTCAGATATTTATTTTAAAGTCCATTCTTTAAAAACAGTTTTGGTCTCATTTGGATTTATTTCATAAAAGCTATGTCTTGTGGTTCAGTATAGCATTTAAGCTAAGTATTTGTAGACTAGCCTTACTTAAATTAGTACCTTATAATGAATAGAATAACTTGGATATTTTGCACAGACCTATGTAATTTGTATCTATTTTAAAATTAAACTCTGCCTTTTTTGCTTAAGAAATTAAGATTAATACAGACCCTACCATTTTAATATCTAAATTAGTGCTTCTATAAATGAGGCTAAAATGATTACCTTAGTTAAGTTTAGTATGCCATGGTGTTATCTAGACTATGCGCATTACCCAGTTTTTGACTTAATATTATTTTGTGATATTTAACAGAGAGCTAATATTGGTCAGTCTTTCACAATCCTTAATGTGTGAAGTGATAAATATTTTACCTTTCTAAATAGCAACTGTTATAGTAAATGCCCTTCCTACATTAAAAAAAAATCATAATAATAATGTCAACTCCCCTCCTAAAGAGAACTGTTAGAGATAACACCTTAAAATTTATTTTAACAAGTTATTTATCTGAGTTGTTACTGGACACCATCAAATTGATAGGTCATGACAAGTTATTACATAGTATCTGCAGTTTCATTAATTTGCTTTAGCTGATAGGAATATTTATTGCCACATATGCCCTTCCTAGGCTACTAGGTTTACCCCTAGATTGGTGGTATTGAGGAGAGACCTGTAATCTAGTAAGCTAAATATGTTGGGGAGGGGATTTGCACAGTAGCTGTGAGTGGTGCCTTTTTACAGTGGCTGTTTGCTCCAGAGTAAATACCATGAAACACTGCAGGAGGCTTCCTTAGGATATTCTATTAGTGGAAGACACTTTAAGCATGATGCCAGAAGTGTAGTCTATATGATTTGGTCCCTTGGGATTTAAGATCATGCTTTTCTTTGTAGTAGATTTTTATTTTACTTTTCAATTTTAATTTTATTTATTTTGTGAATATATGATAATTACACACACTGCAAGACTCAAAAAGTGCAAAGATAAACATTGAAAAGCCCCTCTCCTACCTCTGTATCCCTCAGCCTCCTTGGAGACACCCAGTGGTGATAGTTAGAATTTTATCTTTGTTTGAAATTTTTGTTCCTCTTATATTTCATGAACTGTGTTTTTTTAAGAACTTGTGAAATCATGTAAGATTTTAGTTGATATTTTTCTCTTAAAAGATAAGCATTAAGGATATAATAACTTAATGTTTTGGGTAGTTCTTTTGCACACTAAATCCAAGTGAGGGCTTTCAGTAAATTTTCAATATAATAATTGTAAAAAATGTGATTTTTTTTTTGGAGATTTGTAGGTATATGTTGAGGAGTTGTAAATCCCATGCCAGAGTTTTGTGAGGGAAGATGATCATTAATCTGATATGTAAAAATACAATCTCATTGCTTTAATATGTATTTCTTTAGTTAATGAAGTCAAGCATTTTTTTATATTTTTTTTAACCTTGTGAATAGTATATTTATGTCCTACCTGTTTTTCTACAGCTTTTTAGTCTTTTTCTAAT
Organism: Homo sapiens; assembly: GCF_000001405.40. Classification (NCBI taxonomy): domain Eukaryota; kingdom Metazoa; phylum Chordata; class Mammalia; order Primates; family Hominidae; genus Homo; species Homo sapiens. Next base: position 65,784,760 of record NC_000008.11, on the reverse strand, counting down.
TGATTTGTAAGACAGTTAAAATTTTTTTTTTTGGTGGGAGGATAGTAGAGGAAAATTAGCCCTTTGTCATATCAGTTGAACTCACTTTTCTGGGTTTGAAGTTTATCCTTTACTTTGTTTGTGATAACTTTTACCATCATAATTTAACTTTTAAGTGGCCAAATTTGTCAGTGTTTCATGACTTAGGGATTTTTATAGGACAGTTAGAAAGGCCTTCCTATCTAAGACTTTTTAAAATACAGTCCTGTTTTCTTTTAATATTTTCATGCTTTAATTTTTAACATATGAATCATTGTTCCATGTGTAATATATTTTGGAGCAGGAAGGTAATAATATAGCTTTATGTTTTTCTAGATAGCACCACTTAATCTAACATTATTTATTAAAAATCAGTATTTCCTCCACAGATTCTAAGTCCTGTATTTATCATATACAGAATCACTCTTGGATTTGCTTCTAGAGTCTCTATTGATTATTTTCTCTATTTCTTTGCAATGTCACACTACTTTGTTAATATCCCATGGTGCTAGTCCATTCCCCTCGCCCCTTTTTTTGAGACAGTCTCACTTTGTCTCTCAAGCTGAAGTGCAGTGGTGCCATCCTAGCTCACTGCAGCCTCCAACTCCTAGGCTCAAGGGATCCTCCTGCCTCAGCCTCCCAAGTATCTGGGATTACAGGTGTGTGCCACCATGCCTGGCCTATTACTACTTAAACTTTTTTTTTTGCTTGTTAATTCAACTGATTTTACTGATCACTTTTGACATGCTAGGCACTGTTCTAAATGTTGGGATCTATCCTAGATCTGGGAATATAGCAGTGACTGAAAACCCTGCCTCCACAGAGCTTAGATTTTATGTCTAAGCTCTGGTTTGATCAATTTTATCTTCCTCATTTTTAAATCTATCCTTATTTATATCCATTCTGTTAGTGACTAATTTATTCATCAATTTATTTATCAGTTATTATTAATTTGCAATAAGTCCATTTAGTCATTTATTTACCAAATTTTTATTTAGAACTTAACTAAATAATAGGTCCTGTTTTAGAGACCAGGGATGCAGTGATGACTAAGATAGACAAAGTTTCTGCTCTTGTGGAGCTTTTAGTAACACGCAGACAAGACAACTTCAGCTGTAGCTACACAGAGGACTGAGGTAGGGAGCTGTGGAAGGGGATGGCTTCTAGGTGGCTGTAGATTTGGTAGTCAGGGAATCCCTTTCTGAAGAGATGATGCTTTGTCTAGAAGCTGCATGGTAAGAAGGGAACAGTGAAGCAGTGATCCAGGATGAGGGAACAGCACTTGGAAAGGCTGTATATTTGGTGTAGATGAGGAAAAGCCAGGAGACCGGCTTGGCTGTCTCCTAGCAGTGGGGGAGGCCACAGTACAAGAGGGCAGGCAGGTCACAGATGACTCTCGAAAGTAACGTTTGGGGAGCCCCAAGTGTGATGGAGAGCCTTTGGAGGATTTTGAGCAGGAGCTGAAGTGCTTACTTTTGCTTTTATGTGAAGCATGGAATGGGGACCAAAGAGATGCAGCAGGAAAGCCAGTGGATTGTCCTTTCCTTTCTTTTCTATTAATATTTGGCAACTCCTATCGATCCCTTTTGAGTCAACACAGATGTCACCCCAAAACCTTTACTGACTTACTCAAACAGATTAAATTTCCAAAGAGAGGCTGCATGTGTCTCTCTTTGTATCCATTTTTATGGTAGTTCTTAACCATACTGTATTACAATTATTTGTCGTCCCCGTACCCCAGAGATTTCAAGAACAGGTACCATAGCTAATTTCATTTTGTGTATCCAACTTCTCTTGCACAGTGCTTCACAAATAATAAATGATGAATACATGTTTGTTGAGTTGAATTTTGTATCATATTTAATTGTCATGTATTATAATGTGTATTTTTTTTTCTAGAGGCGTGGAGCTATTTCCTATGACAGTTCTGATCAGACTGCATTATACATTCGTATGCTAGGTAAGCATTATTTATTTTATACCAATATCAGTTAATTTTGTTATTACCTGTTGTTATTTGAGTTTGAGGTATCTTTCATTAGATAGCTTTTCATCACTGTTTGTAGTAGAAATAACCTATTCATGGAGTTTAGAGTCTGGAAACCAATATTGAATGTGATGTGAATAAAGAGAGGCATTTTAGAGTTATAGGTAATTGAGAAATCTTTGGCCTAATAACTGGGACACTGTCATTAGTACACAGTTTCGAATTGCATCTTGAACATTCTTCATAGAAAATAGTCTTAGATTTGTAGAGTGGCTAAATACCAAATAGATGAATGCCAGCATGGACAAAGGTGAGGCTGTGAAACACCTGCTCAGATAGTCCTGTCACTAGATGTATTTTGTTCTCAGTTGGCTGGTAAGGAAGACCATTTGACTTCTTCTAGTTCTGGTGCTTAAATTTTTTATATATTAGTCAATTCCGCAAGGTAAAATGAATTTAGATATGTGCGTATATATGTCTAATTTTCTTTTTCTCTTTTTCTCTGTGCCAGATTTCTGTCTTCATCCATGTCTCCTTCATCCTTGCACTTTAACTCATATTATTAAACATGCATATTAAGATTCCAACAGGCAAATTTATTCATTTTTTGTTAGAAGTCTCTCCCACGACTCCTCCTCAGCTCAGAATTCCTCCCTCAACTTTATGATACTGATCCATCCTTATTCTTCACCTACTTTTGTTTTCTTCTTTGCCACCTTCACTAATTCCTTTTCATACTTTTAAGCTGAAGTGTTCCCCAGAGTTCTATTGTAACTCCTATTCCTTTTTGTCCTCTTTATTTTATCTTGTGTGTCTTACCTGCCTCAGTTCTTTTCTACTCCAGTACATATTTTTCCCCCACAAATGTGCAGCCTTTTTCTCCTTGCTGTCTCCATCTTTCTCTAACAAACATGTTCAGGATTCCGCTGTCCTTAAGACAGAGCTTTGGATTCATATTTTCTTTAACTCTGTAGAACATCTCCATGTAAATGTTATGGATACCTCAAACTTAACATGTCTAAAGCAAAACATTTGTGTTCCCCATGTCTGTGTTCTGCAGTCTTTTGCCATCTCAGTAAATATAACTCCACTCTTCCTGTCATCAGGTCAGAAACCTCAGAGTCATTTTTTTACTTCCTATTTCTTACACACTCCATATTGAATTCATCAGCAGATCCTACTGGTTGATACCTTTAAATACACCCAAATCTCACCACACCAATGCTGTTACCACCACATTTATTACTTACTCCTTAACTGGAGGCCCTGTGTCTACCTGTGTTCCCTGACTCTGTTCTCATCACACCTAGAGTGAACCTTTTCAGACATAATCATCTGACTCCTCTATTCAGAAGTCTCTGATGGCCACAAAGGTCCAGCATGATCTGACTCCACTGCCTCTCCACCCCACCCCCACCAGTTCCCCTCACTCACCTTGCTCCTGCCACGCCAGCCTCTTGCCTTGCCATTGACTGTGCCAAGCATGCTTCTGTCTTGGGGAGTTTTACACTGGCTCTTCCTCCCTGGCTCACTGCCTCACTTCCTGTAGGTCCCTGCCCAGATGCCTCCTTTTCAGTGAGGCCTTCTCTGACTGCACTAATGAGTCACCCTCCCCTGCTCCTCTCTCGCCATTCCTCTTACCTTTAGTTTTCTCCATGTAACTCATCATCTTCCATAGACTGAAATTTGGTATTTATTATTTGTGTCATCACACAAAAAGATAAGCTTCATGAGGACAGTGACAGGGACTTTATGTATTTTGCTCACTGCTTTATTTCCAGTGCTTGACATGTTAACATTTGTTGCAGCATGAAGGAATGGCCACAGGACAGGTGACTAGTCATTGTGGGATGGAATTATAGTCGATGAAGTGAGCCTTGGAGGAAGTCATGGTCCTACTCAGAGAAACAGAGTAAGCAGGAGTGCCCTCTAGGCAAGCCAAATTGCAAGAGCAAAGGGATAGAGGCTGAAGATTTAAAGGTTATGAACTTGGAGGCTGTAAAAGTGTAGTGAGAACAGTACTGTCTTTGGAACCCATGGAGCTGGGTTTAAATCCTGACTTACCCTTTGTACTAGCTTTGTGGCATGGAGCATGCTATTTAACTTCTCAAAGTCAAGTTTTTGAATCTGTAAAATGAGGATTAAGATTCCTATCTCTGAGGGTCGATGAGAGAAGAAAATAAAATAATGCCTGTAAAACACGAAAAAGAGTGTCTAGAACATGGTTGCTATGGTTATGTTGCTGTATAGAAAAATAAATCTGGAAGTAATGTGGGCACATGTAGGAACGACACTGAGCTTCCAAAGACCAAAGTTTAAGACTCAGCTAAAGGCCTTGGATGTACCCACTGTCAATGAGAAAAGAGTGATTAATCAGATTGACTTTAAAACAAAGTCTTTAACATTTTAAGTTTTTACACATCTATGAAATTGTAAACTGCTTAAAAATAAGTAATGTATTTTCCATTTTTCATATCCCTTTTAGCCCATAGTATAGTGCTAGGCACAGAGTCGGCTCTTAATAAATATGTTGCTTCTTTCTGCAGCTTTCTAAAGTTTTGTGCTGAGGATTTTCAACCTCCTGTAAAACAGATATTGCTTCCCAATGGCCTTTTTTTAAAAAAAAAAAAATGTTGCCCATGTGAATAATATATTAGGTCATCTTATCATACACTTGAATCCTCTTTCAGAAGGCTAACTTATTAAAATATAGATTATAATAATTATTATAGGGGTAGATTTAAAAAAAATCCTCCTCATTCAGCCTTACAATTAATTACTGAGATTTTGTGAACCCTTTTGAATAAATCAGCTCTTAACTACCTGTTCCACATATATGATCAGTGGGCTGTTACTTATGAATATGATACCACACGGACCTTTGTTGCATATGGAAGCTTCTTCCCGAATGACAACCTTCTAAACTTATGTTTTATTCTTGATTCTGTCCAGGAGATGTACGTGTAAGGAGCCGAGCAGGATTTGAATCAGAAAGAAGAGGTTCTCACCCATATATTGATTTTCGTATTTTCCACTGTAAGTGTTGGTAGACATGAAGTTTCTCGGATTTTCACTACAAATTTTAATAAAATTACACAGTTTTCCAAGGGAAAAAGAATACCAGAAAAAAAACTCTATTATGTTTGGAATGTTTTTAAAACCTAGGTCATGTAAATGACACTATTTCTAGGTAATCTTAGTAAATACTTAGAGACAATTAGAAGAGGAAGATACTAAAATATGAAAGTTGATATAGCTTTTCTCTTCTCCTCTAATTTATTACTTTTTTTTCTTTAAAAAGATTTTTTTAAGTTGTTTTATTCCAAATGGTTAGTCTTCACTACTTCAACTGAAATGTTTTTGTGCAAATGATATTTTATAAAGGTATTTCAGTAGTTTAACTTATCTTTTAGGTTTATTTGAAAATGTATATCACCTTTAAAGATGCTTGGTAGAATGCCTATTTCAAAAACAAGCATTCTTTGTGGATTTGGCCTATAGTGGAGGGAAAGGGGAAAAAACAGAACTTCTAAACACCTTAAATATTAAACATATTAAATCTGTTTCTGGAGGAGTTCCACTTTCAGTAATGTTAGCTAAAGTAATTTGGATTGATGCTCTAAAAAATGAGAAAACTATTCAAAATGTAAAAGACATGTATGTATTCAAATGTATCTGAATGCTATTGAGGCAGAGAGATAAGTCCAGAACTTCAGGCCACTTTTCTTCTTAATAGCATGTACTGATTCTGGGAAAGGTGGATTAGAAGATGGGCAGAGCTTTTTATGGACACTTAGGGATAGAGAAACAAAAACAGGTGTTTAGAGCCCAGCAAGGCTGGAAGGTTGGTGCTGGTAAACCATTCAGGCTTCGGTTGGAATCCTAAAGTGCTATGTCTTAGAAATAAATCCCAACTTTGAAATATCTCACTCACCGAATACATTAATGTGATCTGTGACTCATGTTTCTTGCCACCTGCAGGACAGAGATGTTACTCATCCCTTAAGTTTGCTAGCTGCAAACAGAGCCCTGGGACATGTCCTAGGCAGAGAGTAGTCAGGGCTTTGTATTCTTGAGACATCAGTAAGAATGTGTAGGGACACTCGGGGCCTCGGAGGAGGATTACCTCTCCCAGTAACAAATGACCCCAAAACTTATTGGCATAAAATAACCACTATTTTTAATGCTCATGATTCCGAGAATCAGGAATTCAGTCAGGGTATATATCAAGTTTGGCTTGCTTGTGCTCTACAGTGTCTTGGTCTTTGATTGGAATGGTTCAGACAGCTTAAAAATGGCTGGGATGGTGACACTGGAGCCTTATGTCCAGGGCCTTGGTCCATCTCATGTCATCTTCCAGGGCTGGAACCTCCAAGATGGCTTCTGCACTCTTAGGTGTGGTGCCAACATTTTTCTCTCTCCATAAATGGCAGTCTCAGGGAAGTCTTAGGGTAGTTGGACTAATTACATGGCAGCTACTTTCTCCCAGAGCAAGCATTTCAAGAAAGAGGAAGTGTGAGGACTCATAGTGTCTGAAGATCTGGGCCCAGACCCTGGCATAACATCGCATTTCCATATTCTGTTGATGAGCTGTGTCACACAGCTTGCTCAGGGTCATGGAGGGAAGACACAGCCCTCTCCCAACCCTGGTTGTCAAAGGGATGCAAGGTCAAAACCTTTTTAATCTCCCATCTGTAATCTGGCACAAAATGTTTTGAAAAAGTAATTAAGGTCCTAGAAGGAGAGGAGAGGGAAAAATGTAGCAGGAGCAGTCTTTAAAGAAGCAATGGCTGAGAAATCTCTAGAAGTTGGTAAAAGACATTAAGGGACAGATTCAGGAAGTATTATAAATCTCAAGCAGAGTAACATTAAAAGAAAATCACACCTAAGTGTACCAGAGTATAACTATGAAAACCAAAATCAAAGACAAAGAATTAAAAGTAATGAGGGGTAGTGGAGTATTACTTTCAAAGGAGCAATTATGAGATTGCCAGAAACAGATGGTTTCATTTTCCACAGAAACTAAAAAGGTAGAAGACAAAGGAAAAATAGCTCTGATGTGCTAGAAAAAAATAAACTGTCAAACTAAAAATATCATCCACAAACTCTGAAAAGGATACACTTCACAATTTGTTACGTAAGGCTAGCATGTAATCTTGATACTACAACATGACAAGGTTGTGGAAAGAACAAAAAATAACAGCCAAATCGCTCATGAATATAGAGGAAACATCCTAAATAACATATTATCAAATTATATCTATAACACAAAGGGAGAATTAATATATTTTGACCTAATTAGTATTTTTCCAGGAATATAAGATTGGTTTAACAGTGAAAAATCAATCAGTGTAATTCACTATATTAATAAAATAAAGGAGAAAAGTTGTGGCTCACGCTTGTAATCCCAGCACTTTGGGAGGCTGAGGCGGGCGGATCATCTGAGGTCGGGAGTTCGAGACCAGCCTGACCAACATAGAGAAACCCCGTCTCTACTAAAAATACAAAATTAGCCAGGCGTGGTGGTGCATGCCTGTAATCCCAGCTACTTGGGAGGCCGAGGCAGGAGAATCGCTTGAACCCAGGAGGCAGAGGTTGCGGTTAGCCAGGATTGCATTGCACTCCAGTCTGGGCAACAAGAACAAAACTCTGTCTCAAAAAAAAAAAAAAAAAAAAAAGCATTTGATAAAATTGAGTATTTGTTCTTTCTTATAATTCTGAGCAAGCTAGGAACAGAGAAAAACTTAAACAGTCTGAAACATTAGCTACAAAACCCATAGCAAACATCATATTTAATGCGCAATATTAAAACATTCTTTCTGCGATGAGAAATCAAGAATATCTTTCATCATCTTTCCTATTCAGTATTGTTTCAGAGGTTCTGGCCAGTATAGTAATGCAAGAAAAAGAAATGAAAAGTATAAGGACTAGAAAAGAAAAAGTATCATTTTTATGGATGACATAGTTATGTACTTAGAAAATTGTTAGGATTAATAAGTGAAGTTAGCAGTTTTCCTGGATACAAAGTCAGTACGTAGTGGGAGTTCTGTAAAGTAACAGTGACAAAATTAACATAATATATAATTTGAATTTGTATCAAGAAACATCAAATATGTAGGGATAAATCTAACTAAAGATATGTATAACTCTACATAGAAAACTGTAAGTGATTACATAGAAAAATTAAAGATAACTTAAATAGAAATATATATACTGTTATTTATGGATTGGAGGATTCAGTATTTAAAGATGCCAGTTTTTCTTCTTTCCTAAATTGATCTGTATAGGTTTAGTGAAATCACAGTGAAAAAATCCCAGCTCCAAGAATAGCCAAGACAATTAGGAAGAAGAATGAAATTATGGAGTTTACATCTCATAGATATCAAACTTATTATAAACAATAATAATTAAGTCAAGGTGATGTTAATTCAAGGACTGACAATAGAATAAAGGCATACTATAGAATCCAGAAATAACCCACACATATATGGATATTTGATTTGTGACAAGTGTGGTAATGAAGTAGGTAGAAGATAAATAATGCAATGGGTAGAAATAGCAATTTCACTAAATCAAGTGAATCTTGGACCCTGTTCACACCATGCATTAAAAAAAATCAAATTTTGGTTGATTAACTTTGCCAAATTATGCTGATAATTCAGGTAAGATGAGGAATGCTAAATCAATAACATTGATTTAGCAATGTGGATATGGTGTAGGGGAAGCCTGAAATTAAAGTGAATTTAAGAGAGAACAGAAAGATGGGAATTAGATATAGCAAGTATAAACAACTCTTTTAGAGACTTTTGCTACAAAGAAAAGGGAAGAGGCCGGGCATGGTGGCTCACGCCCGTAATCTAGCACTTTGGAAAGCCGAGGCAGGTGGATCACCTGAGGTCAGGAGTTTAAGACCAGCCTGGCCAACATGGTGAAACTCCATCTCTACTAAAAATAGTAAAAATTAGCCAGGTGCAGTGGTGCGTGCCTGTAATCCCAGCCACTCAGGAGGCTGAGGCAGGAGAATCACTCGAACCTGGGAGGCGGAGGTTGCAGTTAGCCAAGATCACACCACTTCACTCAAGCCTTGGCTACAGAGCGAGACTTCGTCTCAAAGAAAAGGGAAGAAATAAGAGAGGCAACTGACAGAGGACGTAGGATCACTGATACTAGAAATTAATAGCAAAGCTAGAAAACAAAAAGGCCTGGCCACCTGGAAATTTTTCAAATTCTGAAATAAGTACTTCTTGGGTCAAAGAGGTAGACCATAAAAACGTGATAATTAAAGACTAGATGGGAAAATCTATGAAATTCAGCTAATGCAGTGCTTGCAGGAAAATTCATAGCCTTAAAAAATACTTATATTCATAAATGAGAAAGAATGAAATAAGTCAACTAAGTAGTCCAACTCAAGAAATTAGAAAAATAATATCAAAATACACTAAGAAAAGATAAAGTAGTTGTTAAAGATAAAAAACAGCAATCAATGAACTAGTAAACTAAAATAAAAGTAGAACTCTGTAACTAAGAGCTGGTTGTTTGCAATAAAAGAGATAAGTTGCTAGCTAACTTAAAGATTGAATGGAGCTAACGTGCATACTCAAAAACTAAGAGGGGAAAACACCACAGATAAAGAGAAAATATAAGAATCGAAATGGACTATTTTGCTTGACCCCAAAAATATATTTGAACACTTGTATGATCCAGAAAATTTTCTTAAAAATTACAGTTTATCAGAACTGAATGTAGAAAACATAAATTAATCCAGCAGTACTTAAAGTGCGGTCTGTGAGGTTAAAACTATTTTCATCGTAATACTAAGATGTTATTTGCCTTTTTTGCTTTTATTCTCTCTCAAGGATACAGTGGAGTTTTCCAAGGCTGCATGATGTGTGATGTCTCAGTAAATTCAGTGTATTAGCAGATATGAGAAACAGCCGGACGTTTCTCATTAAATTTTTCTTTGTTTTGGAAAATATAGTTATTTTTAATAAAAATGTTATTTATGTTACATGTTATGGGTTTATAGTAATAAATTTTTTAAATAAATTTAAACAATATTTAGCCATTAGATATTTTCAAATAAATTTTGTTTTATATATTTTTAAATTAACTAAATATTTAAATATTAAAAATTTAATTTCTATGGTAAATACTTAATTTCTGTGGTAAATATTGATAGCTATAACCCATATAAAGTTAAAGTTATTTGGGTTGTCAATAATTTTTAAGAGTGCGAAAGACTCCTGAGAACCAATATGTTAGAGAAAGTTGTGTAAGAGTTATCTCTCTAAAAGCCTGAGGGCCAGAGAATTTTATAGGCAAATTATTTAAGATCTTTAAAAGATTGATGATTAGTTTCAAAGCTCTTTAAACTTTCTGATTATAAAGAGGGAACCATTCAGAGTAATTTTATAAAGCAAATATAACTTTTTATAATATTCTCACTATAAATGTCAGTACAAAAAATCTTTTAAAAATATTTATTAGCATGAGGATTTCCAACAGCACGAAAGAGTAATACTTCAGCGATAGTGGGGTTGTTTTAGAAAAGGAAGCAAGGATGATTCAATACATAGTTTTTCTGCAATAACGTAGCAGAAACTGATAACATTGGTTGCTTCCAGGATAGAAACTGGGTGGCTTGAGGAGATGGGAGGGGAAAGAAACTTAGTTGTAGACCTTTTGAATTTTGACTCATGTGAACGTATTGCTCATTGGAAAGTTTAAGTAAAAGTATGTTTTGGTATTGCAATAAATAAGGATTGGCTGTGGGTAAGGAAATCAGTAAAAGAGTTAAGTCTAAATATTGATATTTGTATAAAGAAATGTACAATTGTATTTGGAGTCTCCAGCCTACCCCCTAACATTCACTGAATTTAGTAAAATAAGAGAATTCGAAAAATATAACTGTTAGAAGTTTTAAATAGGGGGCATAATGGGACGTTTTAGTGGGAGAGGGACATTAAAAATGATTAGATTGTTAGAAGTATCTCTAATGAAATTAAAATAGGATATGTACTATCTAAATCACTAGGAAACCAGGAGCAAATAAAATAAATCTAAAAGACAAGAGAAGGAAGACCAAACATATCAATGTTAGTAATAAAGATAAATGGGTTAAATATTCCTTTTAAGAGATAAAGAAGGTCAAATTGGATAATAAATGAAACTTAATGACAAAAAAATGGTTCAAATTAATATGAAGCAGAACCGGGCTTGAGGTTTTGGTATCTATACTTATATCCTGATCCAGTGATGTGGAAGCTTTGTAGTATGGTATTTAGAACACTGGAGGCAGCTCAGTGTTAAGAGCAGCAGATTATCCTCTCGATCTCATCATGCTGTTCATAAAAGGTGACAAATGTGTAAGTTGTAGTTGAAAATGGACTCTTGCTATAGACTTGGTCCTATAGTTATTACAAAACAAGAATATGTCTCTTTAAGCCACCATGGTAATATAATTTAGAGGAGTTTTTTTTAATAGAGAAAAATGCATTATTCTTTGCTGCTTATAATAGGTTCTGCTTATCACACAGCTTGGAATTCTTTTTGAAATTGTAATCTAGTGTGTTTTGTGAAATGTGATCTAATCAGAGAAATGAGCACGTGCTCCTGCTATGACTAAAATCTGTTAGTCATCTTCAGGCCTTCCCTTCTTCCACTGACTCCTCTGATTGTCCTAAACATTAGCCTGAACTTGTTCTCTGCAGGAGTTAGCTTACAAAACTTTTTCTTAATTTTTTTTTTTGAGACAGAGTCTCAATCTGTCGCCCAGGCTGGAGTGCAGTGGCACGATCTCAGCTCACTGCAGCCTCCGTCTCCCAGGTTCAAGTGATTCTCCCACCTCAGCCTCCCAAGTAGCTGGGATTACAGGTGTGTGCCACCACACCTGGCTAATTTTTTTTTGTATTTTTATTAAAGATAGGGTTTCACCATATTGGTCAGACTGGTCTTGAACTCCTGACCTCAAGTGATCTGCCTGCCTTGGCCTCCCAAAGTGCTGGGATTACAGGCATGAACCACCGCACCTGGCCAGTTTAACCCTAGGCTTGAGTTTATGCACAGTAAAGTTGAGCTGCCTTGGACTTAATGACCAGGAGGATTATCCTTCTTTTATTTCCAGTTATGAATCTTAAGGTTTCTTCCTTGTGGGGTATTTCCTTTCTCCCTTGCACTAGTTGAAGATATCAGTAGTTTATTTACCTGGAGGCAAAGTTGTCCTTTTTTACCCCTCTTCTTCCCTGTGAAGTTCCTTGGATTAGGAATTTGTGATTTATGCCACAAACCCATTCACTTCCTATAATCTCAGACTTGGCAAAGATACAAACACTAAAGCAACCTTGCAGGATGTGTTTAAACCTTCAGAGGTACTGAAGCTTTGAAAGACTATAATGTGCCCTCTACCTTGTATAGAATTAAAAATAAGACTATTTTCCCTAATGATACAAAAATTTACATGCATGCTGAAATAAAAATAGTTTCTAGGTGTTCTGATTGCAAAATTCTGGATATGTGTATTAAATTCATTAAAGCTAGAATGTTCTCTGCTTACAGCTCCTCAACCCACTTATTTTCTGCACCTGTTTACTTTTATCCTAAACTCACTGTTAATTTCCCTGTTGTAAAATTGTTGTCTCTTTCTGTTCTTTCATTGCTTAAATCCAGTCTCATTAAATCCTTTGGGTTTTTGTATGCTTACATAGCCTATTCTATTCATCTCTTTTCTGCCTCGTTATCTCTTATTCTCCTTGAACCAGTCATTTATCACCACTGTCTGAGGTTGTTCTGGTATTCTCCTAACTAACCGTTATCCCTGCTTTCAGGATATTTCCTTCTTTCTTCTTCTTCTTTTTTTTTTTTTTTTTTTTTTTGAGAGATGGAGTCTCGGAGTCTCGATCTGTTGCCCAGGCTGGAGTGCAGTGGCTCAATCGTGGCTCACTGCAGCCTCCACCTTCCAGGTTCAAGCGATTCTCCTGCCTCAGCCTCCCAAGTAGCTGGGATTACAGGCACCCACCACCACGCCTGGCTAACCTTTGTATTTTTAGTAGAGATGGGGTTTCACCATGTTGGCCAGGCTGGTCTCGAACTCTTACCTCAGGTGATCCGCCCGCCCTGGCCTCCCAAAGTGCTGGGATTACATGCGTGAGCCACCGCGTGAGCCACTGCGTGCGCCCAGCCAGGATTATCTGTTCTTTGATCCATCCTCTACCCTTTACCCAGGGTCAGGTCTTTTTAAAGAGAGAGAGAGCTTAAAATATAGAGGGAGATCGATATCAACAGGTTAAAGACATATGATATTAGTGTTATTTATTAAAACTATTCATAATTTTTTAATTTCTTCTATGTGCTGTATCTGTGGGTGCTGCTGAATTTTTTTTTAGATGTTGAAATATTTTTAACTTATTTCTGGAGTGTGATTTTCTCCATGTTGAACATATTCTGTTTACTAAATTTACCTAGAAATTAGACATCTATATTGCAATATTGAACTTTTCTTTTAAGATTTTTTATATGTACAGTTTATTATAAGCAACGTTTGGGTTTATATTATGAAGATACATTCTCCTGTGAGCCAGCTGATATCTAAGATACCTGACCAGTTAAGGAGCAATTATAGGCCTCAAAATTAACAAAAGAAGGACCTCAACCATTTTATTATGTAGATGCCACAATATTTCCTACCATGAATTATTGTGGTTTGGATTGTTTTTGTCATAGTCCTTATTCTCTTAAGGCTTATAAATTTATCTTCAGTAGGATTTGCCATAGGCCTTCTTGTCCAGCAGGTTCTGACTTTAACGAGTCTTTTCTGAAAGGGTATGAAGAGGCAAAAGAAGAAAATCAGTTGAGCACAGAAACACATTAAACACAAGAAACAATGCTAAACCTCACATCTAAACAAATTCCTATCAAATTTAGAAACTTAGGCAATCAGCTAAGGAGCTGGTGGAAGAAGTTCAAATTGTTACAGGCTTTCTGGAGGGCAGTTTGGTAATATGTATCACCTTTAAACTTTTTTTCTCTTTGATTTCACCACTAGAAATGTATGCAAATGGAGTCATCATATATAAATGTTAATGTATGTGCAAAGACATTCACTTTCACCTTGTTTATAATAGGAACATGTATTAAGTTATGGTGTTATTCACTGAAGTGTTTAGAGGTTGATATGGTTTGGCTGTGTCCCCTCCCAAATCTCATCTTGAATTGTAGCTTCCATAATTCCCATGTGTTCTGGGAGGGGCCCAGTGGGAGGTAATTGAATCATCAGGGCAGTTCTCCCCCATACTGTTCTCGTGGTAGTGAATAAGTCTCACGAAATCTGATGATTTTATAAGAGGTTTCCCTTTTGCTTGGCTCTCATTCACCCTTGCCTGCTGCCAGGTAAGACGTGGCTTTTGCCTTCTGCCCTGATTATGAGGCCTCCCCAGCCACATGGAACTGTGAGTCCATCAAACCTCTTTTTCTTTATAAATTACCCAGTCTCAGGTATGTCTTTATCAGCAGCGTTGAAAACAGACTAATACAGAGGTGAAGGACTAGAGTGCTTATAACCTACCCTCAAATGTTCAGAAAAAAGAATTAGGTGTGGCACACACACACACACACACACACACACACACACACACACACAGAAGTATACTGCAAGTAATAAGACAAATGTTAACAATGCATATCTGAGAATAGAGTGTTCTTTATACTATTTATTTTTGTAACTTTTTGTATGTGTTTTGAAATTATCTCTGGACAAAAATTTTTAAGAGTATGGTATTATGAAATTATTCACCTAATTAAAAATCACGGGTTTATACTCAGATCACATATTTGTGGGGTTTTTCTGTTTTGTTTTTGTTTTTTTGAGACAGAGTTTCACTCTTGTCACCCAGGCTGGAGTGCAATGGCACAATCTTGGCTCATTGCAATCTCCACTTCCTGGGTTCAAGCAATTCTCCTGCCTCAACCTCCTGAGTAGCAAGGATTACGGGCAATCACTACCATGCCCGGCTAATATTTGTATTTTCAGTAGAGACGGGGTTTCACTATGTTGGCCAGGCTGGTGTCAAACTCCTGACCTCAAGTCATCTGCCTGCGTCAGCCTCCCAAAGTGCTGGGATTACAGGTATGAGCTACCGCACCCAGTCTAGATCACATATTTGTTAATTAACTGAAATTTAGGCCAGTTCTGTAGTTATTTATAAAGAGCCGAGAGAGTTCAAGCTTTGGGAAGACATTTTGAAACTAACTTGTATTCGTGGTTACACAAGATAGAGGGATTTTGATGATTACGAATTCTTCTAGCCAAGAAGTAGTTTCTCAAAGATCTGGTACAAATATGCTCTCAGGGTTAGTTTGGCAGCTTTGTTGCAATGATTCTGATTTAATCAATAAATTCTGTAATTTTTAAGTTAAGTCATTTCTCAGATGGCCGTATCATGCAGACTTTCATAACAATTTTTTAAAAAAAATATGTGCATGCATCTGTTACTTTTTTTTTTTTTTTTTTTTTTGAGACTGAGTCTTGCTCTGTCACCTAGGCTGGAGTGCAGTGGCGTGATCTTAGCACACTGCAACCACCAACTCCCTGGTTCAAGCAATTCTCATGCCTCAGCCTCCCAAGTAGCTGGGATTACAGGCGCCTGCCATCACGCCCGGCTAATTTTTGTATTTTTAGTAGAGACGGGGTTTCACCATGTTGGCCAGGCTGGTCTTGAACTCCTGACCTCAAGTGATCTGCCTACCTCAGCCTTCCAAAGTGCTGGGATTACAGGTGTGAGCCACCTCGCCTGGCCATGTCTGTTACTTTTAGTGGGCTCTTCATGCCAGAATAAAAAAATTTCCTCAGATAGCATCTGTCACTAAAGAAGTTTTCTGATGCATTCTTGACCTTTTTGTATTATTTTTGATTATATCTTTTATTATCTATTATTCTAGCACAGAAGGTAATATTTATCATACATATTTACATAGTTTATGAGTTTGAGAAAGGGATTTTTTACATAAAGAAGTCATTGTTAACATCACTTTAGGATGACCAGAAACATTCTTGGAGTATTTTCTTGAAATAGTATTTTCTTCTCTGGGAAATGTTCTATTTTGTGATTAAAAGAGAATACAAGTATCAGTAAGAATTTGTATTAGTCTGTTTTTACGCTGCTGATAAAGACATTCCAAGATTGGGCAATCTACAAAAGAAAGAGGTTTATTAGACTTATAGCTCCACCTGGCTGGGGAGGCCTCACAATTACGGCCGAAGGTGAAAGGCACATCTCACATGGCAGCAGACAAGGCAAGAGAGGTTGTGCAGGGAAACTCCCCTTTTTAAAACCATGAGATCTCCTGAGACTTATTCACTATCATGAGAATTAGCACCCCCATGATTCAACTACCTCCTACCAGGTCCCTCCCACAACACATGGGAATTGTGGGAGTTACAATTCAAGATGAGATTTGGGTGGGGGCACAGCCAAACCATATCAGAATTATACTAGTGGCTTGTGTTAAGAGATTTGGAATATTTTAGCTCATTAAAGATACTGTTTAAATTTGTGGATGCTCACTGTGTAGGAAAAACCCTCAAACTGTGTTTTCCCTCTGCTCTCACACCACCATGGCAGTCATCAACACAGAAGACTTCTGTGACCAAATGTGTGGAGGGGTTTCTCCCAACACACCAAGCGGTGGACACCAACTGGGTGTCCTCTAATTCAGTTCCAACACTGTCTACCTGGAGGGAGTGTCAGACCCCACAGGTTAAGGGCTCAGTTCCTAAACCTGCCTCCCAGCCCCCAAAACCCAGACACCAGTCACAAGTCCTGGCCTCTGGAACTTCTGACCGACCAGCTTCAGGTTGCGGTTCCCAGGACCCTCTTTTTGGGTTGGATTAATTTGCTGGAGCAGCTCACAGAATTCAGGGAAACACTTATATTTACCAGTTTATTATCAAGGATATTGCAAAGGATCCAGATGAAGAGATGTGTAGGGTGAGGTATGGGGGAAGGGGTGCAGAACTTCCATGCCTTCCCTGGGACGCCACCCTCCAAGAAACTCTACATGTTAAGCTATGTGGAAGCACCCAGAACCCAGTCCTCTTGGGTTTTTATGAAAGCTTCTTGAGGTCAGCATTCCTTCCCCCAGATTCCCCCAGGGTATGGGGCAAGACCCTCTCTGGGGAGAGTCTTAAGACTCACAGTCAGAAAGGCCAGGGAAGATTGAAACAGGTGAAAGGAGGATAGGAGAATATTGGAGAGATTGTTTCCTTAGGCCTAACACACCCAACGTTTTAATAAAAGACTGTAACAAGGGATATAGGAGTTAGCCTGGGACTGTGGATGAAAACCAATATATACATCATAATACTACACTCCCATTAGTTAAAAACTTTTATTCAACCTGATAGAAGGACTGTGGTTGCTTATACAACAGAAAGCACAGTCTCTGGTCATGCAGTTGGAAATGTATCATGACAACTAATCCATAAACGTTCATACTATGCTGGTCATTGATGATTTATTTACGTAACAAAAATCTGAGGTTCATGCTTCATGTTTAACCTCTTTGCCCTGTGTCTGTCCCCCAAAGCTGTGCATGCAATCCTGTGTTGGTGTTGAGGGCTACAAGATTAGCCACAAATAAAGGATCTAATTCTTCTAAGTGTATGACGTATTTAATATATACCTTTTTTAAAAAACAAGATTCAGTTGGATGTAGTGGTCCAGGCGTTGTTGTTGTTGTTGTTGTTGTTGTTGTTGTTGTTTTGAATGAGCAGACTTATTTCTGACAAATATTTAAACTGAAAATGTTGGCATTAATACTTTTCCAAGACCCATTGAGAAACTTCCTCAACTCTCATCCCATTTTAAAAAGATTCCTAATCCTCAGACCTGCCCTATATCTAAGTATTACACCCATTAAGGTACAGATTTGTGGTCCTCCTGCATTTAATTAACTGATTCTTGATGCCCTTTCATTCAGCTAACGTTAACCTGTTTGGTCTCCTGACTGATGCTGGGAAAATTTAAGTTTGAGGCACTTAATAACAATGAGCAATGGGTAGCCCCAACAAATTGGGAGGAAAAGATAATGGAGGAAGAGGAGAGAGGGAGAAATAGAGAGAGGGTGATGCATGGGAGAGAGGAAGAGACTGACGTCAATGCTGGGCTGACCATAGAGTGGTTTACACTGAAAGGTGCCCAGAGCTTTCTACGTGTTCTAACAGGCTCCCTTGCTCCTAAGCATCATTTTTTACTATGGCAGCGTCTCCTTACTAGGCTTCTCAAGTTCCTGCTTTCATTCAACTCCATAAAGATAACCAGGAGGCTCCTTGTTTAGTTTCACTCTTTTGAGTAAGTAACTTCAGTCAGCTAAAGTAAGAGTCGCAAATATTCCTACAGAGATTTTCCTCTGTTCAATTAGCCATATACTTGGTCTCTTGAAATAAGATATTTTGAGTCCTAAATTAAGTGAACACGAAATAAATTCCATATTGATTTTTTTGTCAAAAATTCATCTCGGCTGGGCATGGTGGCTCACGCCTGTAATCCCAGCACTTTGGGAGGCCAAGGCGGGTGGATCACCTGAGGTCAGGAGTTCAAGACCAGCCTGGCCAACATGGCGAAACCCCATCTCTACTAAAAATACAAAAATTAGCTGGGCGTGGTGGCGGGCGCCTGTAATCCCAGCTGCTCGGGAGGCTGAGGCAGGAGAATGGCATGAACCCAAGAGGCGGAGGTTGCAGTGAGTTGAGATAGTGCCACTGCACTCCAGCCTGGGTGACAGAGTGACACTCCATCTCAAAAAATAAATAAATAAAATTTCATCTCTTTTCTGCTCTAAATTTGTCTCTAAACTTAATAAATCATTCTTTAGTTACACATTATTTTTAACGTATAAGAGATACTAATGTCTTAAACATTAAAGAATTATTATAATCCCATTATGCATGCCCATTAGAATTTCTAGTCTGATGTGTTCTTTTGAACAATTCTGGCATGATTATTAAATAGTAATGGAAGTTGTCAGCTTGACAGTTCTTTTCATGGAATTTGCCAAAGCTCATTGACGTCATCCAGACTGGAGGGCCTGGTCTCTCTGCCAACATCCAGCAAGATGTAATACAAGGAATATGTTTTCTTTCAGTGTTTCTCATGTCAACACAAATGCAGTTTTTTCCATTTTCTTTTTACTCTTGGGACACAGTCATGTTCCAGTCCATGTAAGCATGTTTCGCCCATTATCTTTTTTTTTTTTTTTTTTTTTTTTTTTTTTTTGAGACGGAGTCTCGCTCTGTCGCCCAGGCTGGAGTGCAGTGGCGGGATCTCGGCTCACTGCAAGCTCCGCCTCCCGGGTTCACGCCATTCTCCTGCCTCAGCCTCCCGAGTAGCTGGGACTACAGGCGCCCGCCACTACGCCCGGCTAATTTTTTGTATTTTTAGTAGAGACGGGGTTTCACCGTTTTAGCCGGGATGGTCTCGATCTCCTGACCTCGTGATCCGCCCGCCTCGGCCTCCCAAAGTGCTGGGATTACAGGCGTGAGCCACCGCGCCCGGCTCGCCCATTATCTTGAGCTCTGTATTCATTTTAACAGTTAACTTCATCCCATGCTAGGGCAGCAGGGGGACCTTTCAGGATATTTACATTGTAGCCTATAAGCTCTTCACTTTAGGCTTTTAGTTTTATTCATCTTTTTATTTCTGGTCTCTGGCAGCTTCTGGCTCATAGTAGAGACTGAGTATATTTTTATTGCATTGAATTGACTATGGCTGTGTATCTCCTACAGTTAGATTTTACAGGGGCCTGTTTGTAGTTCTCTCCATATAATCTGTATTAACTGTTAACCAAGTTCAGGCTGGTTGCTGCCTTTCTGTTGAATCATGTGTCTCATATTGTCTTTATTACAATGACTGTATGAAAGCATACAGAATTTTCCCTAAATTTCGCTTAGTTCCTCATGTGTATTTGATTTGGAGTTGTTTCCTGTTTTTCTGATAAGACTGTGTTAGACTTTGATTATTTGTTTCATACTTAGTTGTATTATGACATGAAAGAAGATGTTTCTTAAAAGCTCATATCGTACTGATTATATTGTCTTAGTTTATCTCAGTCTTTAATATCTAGTAACTCCCATACAAGGGTAGATTCTGTTATATTTGGAAGCTTTTAGTGCTTTTCCCCTTTTCTTTAGGTGTACAAATAGTTTGCTCAGCATTTCCCTCAGCCATGCAGCTTTCTTCATTATAGTATTTTTCTCTTATCTAACTTTCATACTGTACTGCATGGTCATTAGTTTCCTATTCACAAGCATACTTTTTTCCAACCATTATCTGTTTGGTCTGCGAAAGCAGCTATCCATCATTTGTAATTTAGTCTCTCATTCAGACTCGAGTTTGCCAGCCTGTGCTTGTAGTTATGGTATTGTAGACTAAGATCTTATTTGTCTGGAGTGTCTATTAAATTTTAATTTCTTCCCAGTCGTTCATTTCTCTTGAAGTCATATCAGGTTGTTTCAGAGCAAACATTTCTTTAATAGTTTATGGCGATATCCCAGGAAACAATAATCCCATGTCCCTTTTTCCTGTCTTTTCTATCACCCATGCTCCTATCTCTTTTCTATTGTAATTCCTTACAAAGTGGTGCTTGTAGAGATTAGCACTGCTGTACTGAATTGCATTAGGACACAGAGCATTCTGCCCCATGTATGTGCAGTTTTTAAAAAAACTTTCACCTAGTTTCCAGGTGATTCATAAGTGCCTACATTTAAGAACCACTAATCTTTGTTTCTTGTTTGTCCTAAAGTTGAAAGAACAGAATGTTCTGTCTTCTAAATATCTTCCTTAACTCGATAGCATAAATTAGGAAATTGACCGATACGTATTGGACCTTAATCTTAATACAGTTTAATGGTAGTTTAATTTTACTTGTGCTTTGGCAAGTTGGTGACATTGGAAATTCAGCTTTATTTTGTATGTTAAGTTTTGAAGGAACTGCATTAAGACTTTGTGTACTTTGCTTTTCATCTTTCTTTCTCAGCTTACTTTAATAAGGGAATTAAGAATTTAATGACTGAGGAGCTATGCTATGTTCAGCGTCTGAGTTTCAGCATAAGAGGGATCCAGCATATCCCACATCCCAGCTCTGAAGAGTAAAAATATGCCTAACCCATAACAATAAGAGTAATCAATCTTTTTTTTTTTGAGACGGAGTTTCACTCTTGTTGCCCAGGTTGTAGTGCAATGGCATGATCTCGGCTCACCTCAACCTTCGCCTCCTGGGTTCAAGTGATTCTCCTGCCTCAGCCTCCTAAGTAGCTGGGATTACAGACCTGCGCCACCACGCCCAGCTAATTTTGTATTTTTAGTAGAGACAGGGTTTCACCATGTTGGTCAGGCTGGTCTCGAACTTCTGACCTCAGGTGATCCACCCGCCTCAGCCTCCCAAAGTGCTGGGATTAACAGGCGTGAGCCACCGTATGTAACCTTTTTATAGGGTTTTATGTCTCCCATATCCCTATTTTATTAAATTTTTTCAAAGTGAACATTGAATTCTGCATAATCTAAAACTTAGATCAATGTTATATGTATAACAAATATTCCCTCCCTTAAGCAATTCTTTTGGGAGGGAATATTGGTTGTACACATAACATTAATCTAATTTTTAGATTACGAGTGGCTAATTTATTTCTTTGGTTCATACTGAAGTTTAAGCTGTATATTCATTTTATACACACACACACACACACACACACACACACACACACACACACACACATTGTTTTTATATAAATATAAAGAGATGGAGGCTCACTATGTTGCCCAGGCTGGTCTCGAACTCCTGGGCTCAAGCAATCCTCCCACCTCAGCTTCCCATAATGCTGGGATTATAGGTTTGAGCCACCATACTTGGCCAATATACTTGTTTTATGGTAATGAGATTGTATGCTTATTCTGAAATATTTTAAATGTTTCCAATTATTTCTCTAGCACATTAGTTTTCAGGATGAAGTTATACTGTCATGAAAAATAAATCTGGTTTTGTTAAAAAAAATGGTATGACATATTTAAAAATATTTGATATTCATAATAATGACCATGTCTATTAATTTTAAGTGCTTTTTCTTTGCCAAAAATGTGCAAAGACATACTGCATATATTATCTCATTTAATCTTTAACAGTCTTGTGGGGCCTATTTTACAGATGAAGAACTGAGGATTAGAGACCTTAACTAACCTGTTTAATGTCACAGAACTAGTAAAAGTGGCAGAATTGGGATTCAAACTCAGATGTGTCTAATTCCTAAGCCCCTGTGTTCTCATGTACTTTGCTGCTCTGCCTCTCCATGTCAGCACGTGCTGCTCTACTAATGACCATTGCTGCAGACACCTAGCTGATTTTCCCCTATTCATTCATGCATGCTAAATGTAAAATTTTTTTCTAAGAAAATGTGTCCCGTAGATGTAGGGTAAGTGTAATTACCCGATGTTAACAATAGGCTTTTAGATACCACTCCTGTTCTTTTTGAGGGAAATCAAGAGAAAGAAAGGGAAGGTTAGGATATAGAACATCTTCAGGTTTGTTTTAATACCAGCGCCATTCAACATGACCTTGCCCTAGATTAGAGTTAAAACCTTATAGGACTGAATTAAAAAAATTTTAAACAATAATCTCCAAGGGTAATTCATGATTAGTATCTTCATGATTGTTAAGGTGGCAGATACAGTGGCTGCAGGGCTCCCTCTCGTGGACTGTTAAAGCAAGTAGTGGTCGGGTCTCAAGAGCCAGAGGCTTTTCTGTTAAAGGCCTCTTTTGTGACATCGGTTGTGGGAAAACATGCGATTTGGGTGATAGAAAAGAATCTGTGGAAGAGTTAGAGTAATACTGCTCCAGTTGTGTTGGTTCTTCAGCGCTTGTTTCCTTGACCTGGGGCTTGTATTTCCTGTCTACTTTCTAATATGAGGAGGGGAAAGCAACAGAAAAACATGTCTTTTACATTCGTCTGCTATCCCACTTTTTGTGATTTGGCTTAGAGAAGCTAAGAATCATTAACTGGAAGTAATACCCGTGATCACTAAGTCACAGTGTTCATTTAGGTTTGGTGGAGGCTGGTAGTTTGTTCTTGGTCACATAGTGAAGTAATGTGATATTTTAGAAAAGAGCCAGCAAAGCCAACTGCTCTTTAATAGTAACTTGATTAATTCACTGAGCCCTGTTGGCTTTCTAAGCTGGATTGGAATGTAGGTAACCATGTAAACTAGCACAAGCCTGGGACTTAAAATAAATAGTCCAGGCTTGATGGAAGTGGAGCTTTAATAAAGGCAAGTTTAATCTGTTGTGCATTATGCTGTGAAATAAATAATTTGTCTCATGTCACAGTGAGCTCATGAGAATATTGGTAAGAGGGCCAGGCGTGGTGGCTCATGCCTGTAATCCTAGCACTTTGGGAGGCCAAGGCAGGTGGATCACGAGGTCAGGAGTTCAAGACCAGCCTGGCCAACATGGTGAAACCCCATCTCTACTAAAAATACAAACATTAGCTGGGCATGGTGGTGCGTGCCTGTAATCCCAGCTACTCGGGAGGCTGAGGCAGGAGAATTGCTTGAATCAGGACCTGGGAGGCGGAGGTTGCAGTGAGCTGAGATTGCGCCACTGCACTCTAGCCTACGCCACAGGGCGAGACTCCGTCTAAAAAAAAAAAAAAGAAAAAACAATATTGGTAAGAAGGTCAGATATTGTGTAATACAGCCAGAGGGTGAGCTTTTTAGTAATTGTTCGGATGAAAGTACTAGTTAAATTCTCATAGTCACTCTTGTTCCCAGTTCCTCATGTATCCTCTCTCCTGTATTCCTAAATGATGTTAATTATTCAGCTTGATATCCTTTCCTCTCTGTAGTGGCCTCTATTTGCTTTTTTCACTCAGGTTTCGCTAACCTGCTGACAGAACACCTGGGTGTAACCTTCCCAGCACTACCCTCCTTCCTTTCCCCATAATAGGAGTCTAGGCTTTTCCAAAGTAAGAATTTTACATGTCATTACTCCAGGAAAACAGTGTCTGTGTGATGAGGGGAGTGGGGGTGTGGAGTAAACATGAAGAAACTAAAAATTTCCAACAGTCTTAAAGTGATCTCATCATGTTTTATCCTTGATTTATAGTTCTTGATCCCTTTTCTTAGATCATATTTTGGAAGCAATTCTAGGACAGTTCTGGAAATCTCTCTAATTTTCTTTTAGTACTTAGTCTCCAGTTTGGCATGGGTTTTAGACACTATTGAAGTGCACTCCTATTCCTTGTTCTACTTCTGAATACTTATTCTAAGGGAATCTATTAGGTTGTGTACAAAAATTTAGTTATAAGGATCTTTACTGCAGAATTGTTTGTAAGCAAAATAAAAGTTTGAAACAGTTTTATAGCAAAAATATTAAGTGATGATAATTTCATACATTAGACTAATACATGGCTAGTAAAAGTGATGTTACATATATTTATTGGCATGAAAAGATAATAGATACATTTTTGTTTTGTTTTGTTTTGAGGAGTCTCACTCTTGCCCAGGCTGGAGTGCAGTAGCACGATCTTAGCTCACTGCAACCTCTACTTCCCAGGTTCAAATGATTCTCCTGTTTCAGCCTCTCAAGTAGCTGGTATTACAGGCGACCACCACCACACCCAGATAATTTTTGCATTTTTAGTAGAGATGGGGTTTCACCATATTAGCCAGGCTAGTCTTGAACTCCTGACCTCAAGTGATCTGCCTGCCTCGGGCTCCCAAAGTGCTAGGATTATAGGTGTGAGCCACCGTGCTCAGCTGATAAATTCTGATGTGAAAAAAATAGTATTAACTTTCTTAGATGAAAGAAAAATTATACGTATATATACATATAGAAAATAATTCTTAAAAAAAAAATCTAGAGTACCAGGGTGGGGTGTTAACAATGGTTGTTTCTGGACAGTTAAGCTCTCACATGCAACCTTTCCCCATTCTCAAACCTAGGCTGAGCAAAAGAGAGGGTTTGGGATGTCTCATTCCAGAAAGGACCTTTAGGAAAAACCCCCTTTAAAAGAAAGGGGTGAATGCCATTCAAAATGACAGAGTAAGAACCTCCAGGGGTTGATCTCTCCACTGAAACAACTACCCAAGTAGAAAAAATGACCAGAATCAACTATTTCAGCATTCTGGGCCCTGATTGGACACTTAGAGTCACCAAGAGAGTACTTGTTGAAGGGAGAGGCCACTGTTTTTTGGCAGGACAGCTTGGGTGAACCAGTAGCCATCCCCCATTCCTCAGCCCTGTGGCCTGTGGGGATATGGCCCATATGCCTGCAGTATCTGGCTGAAGCCAGGGTGGGAAGTGGGGACCTTGGTGTTCTCGTCATTCTGGCGGATCCCTGAGGGACTGATGCAGATGTTTTCACAAGATTTGGCCCTCTTGGCCTCAGGGGTTTCCCCCAGTGGCATCTGTCAGGAGATTTAAGGAGATAGTACTGTCCTGAGCCCCTCACCCCCATTTTGGAGCCAGACACTTAAGGAAATCTGTGCCACATCACTGGCTGACTGCAGAGATACTGGAACAGAAACTTCAGTGATTACATACAAGGAATAGAAAAAGGCAAACAGACAAGCAAAGGGAAAAATAGTTTGGAAAAGACGTAAAATGCAAGCAAGTATCCCCGTGTGCCTCCCTGAGGTCCATGGAATGAGTGGATCTGGGGGTACTGCAGCAGTGTAGAGATGGGCTGAGTCAAGACATGTTCCTTTTGCCCCCTCTCAGACACATAATGACGGTAAGAACAGTCCTGTTTCTCCGCAAGAGAGACAGAGGCTGCCTATGGTTATGGGACAGATTCCATGGTAGGAACGCCCTGAACATAGCTGGCAAGTGAGACTGATGCTGGTAGCCCTGGGGGGCTACAGATGGGATAGACCTGATTCTGGATTGGGCTTTGCTTACTTGTGGAAGATGCAAATGCTTAGAGTGCCATTAAAGAACTAGAACAGAAGGTACTGCATGGATTTCGGTGGCCAACAGTTGTCAGACAAAGGAACATACTGTACAGCCCATAATGTCCAGCACTGGGCAGAGAGATAACCTCTTCAGAGTATAGTTTGAAAGATAAGTAGAAATGGCAATTGAAACACTGTCCATAACAGAGGGAGATGAAAGCACAAAGGGCTGGCTTACTCACCGTCACAAGTGTGTGCTCACATTCAGCATGAGTGGGACTAAAGGAGTGTCCCCACAAGATTTGTGTCTTTTTCTGGTGGATCTGGTGAATAGGGGTTGTGGAGGATGCTGATATGACTATAAATTCTTGCCAAGGGAGAAGTGCACTAGTATAACAACTGTAGTTTTTTTCTTTCTTCCCCAAATCACCTAAAAACATTTTTTCCCCCTTACCTGATACAGTAGTCCTAGGACTACAAGTGCTGGAAACAAGGATTATTTCTAAGCAAGAAAGTATAACTGTATTTTTAAGCCTTATGCCAGAATTCCTGAGGGCCTGATGGGGGTGGGTTGTGCCTTCACCCCATCTGGCAAAATTGGGGCTGAGAGTGAATACGGCTGTTATTGCCTAGTGGTAAAAATGGTTCACTAGTTCAGAACCTTTGTAACCCTACCCTCTATGAATGGGAATGGACACAGGAAAAGGCACTTGCTAGACTAGTATTACAACCAGCAATCTGGACTAGCACAGAGACCAAACTTAATGCTCCTTCCAAATGTGGAAACATTTGAGTAAAAATAAATGACAAGTGGAGAAAAGGAGGACTAATAACTGAGGGTAAATAAATGAGTAAGTGGGTTATAAATTGAGGGAAATCAAATATTACATTAAAAGTCTTGGAGTTGGCTGGGTGTGGTGGCTCACACCTGTAATCCCAGCACTTTGGGAGGCCAAGGCGGTCGGATCACGAGGTCAGGAGATCGAGACCAGCCTGGCCAATATGGTGAAACCCCATCTCTACTAAAAATGCAAAAGTTAGCCGGGCGTGGTGGCACACGTCTGTAGTCCCAGCTACTCAGGAGGCTGAGGCAGAAGAATCACTTGGACCCGGGAAGCAGAGGTTGCAGTGAGCCCAGATCATGCCACTGCACTTCAGCCTGGGCGACAGAGCGAGACTCAGTCTTAAAAAACAAACAAAACAAAACAAAACAAAACAAAAACAAAGTCTTGGAGCAAGAGACAACATTATCTCTTAGCTCAATTATTCCAGATGCCGGAAAGAATAACACTGTATGTTTGCCAAACTACTGCCACTTTTGGAACCTGACAAGATCTAAAAAAACCCTACAAACCTGAGTAGCCTCACCCTGGGAGACAGTCATGCACTATGATGGACTGGACTAGTTATTAATAATTATGTATATTCTTTTGATTTAAAGGATCCATGTATGAAAACCAGGGGATGACCTGTGGTATTATGTTTTTGCCCACAATTCCTGGCTTGTAACTTCCATAGCCCTTGTTACAGTCTTTTGTTGTAATGTTGAGTGTGTCAGGCCTCAGGAGCAGGCCTCAAGAAAAACAATTTCTCTGACCTTCTCCTGCCCTCCTTTCACCTGCCCCAAGGCAGGACTCTAATGTCTGCCCACTTTTCTGATTGTGGGTCCTAAGACCTTCCCCAGAGAGAGTCTTGCCCTATACCTTGGGGGAAGGAATGCTGACATTATGAAGCTTCCATAAAAACCCAAGAGGACCGCATTCAGGGAGCCTCCACATAGCTGAACACCTGCAGGTTCCTGGAGAGTGGTGCACCTACGGAGGGCATGGAAGCTCTGCACCCCTTCCCCCATACCTTGCCCTATACATCCCTTTATCTGTTTCCTTGAAATACCCTTTATCATAAGCCAGCAAAATTTTAAAAATAAACAATCCTGGAGGAGTAAAATAATTCAGTTTCCAGAGCTTCCCCAGTGTAAAACTTGGAATGTTCAGTTTCCAACAAAAAAATACAAAACATACAGGAAAATATAGCCCACAGGAAAAAAAAAGAATTTGATATAAACCACCCCGGAGGAAGCCCACACATTGGAATTACTAGTCAAAGATGTTAAATGAACTATCTTAAATGTTTACTGAACTAAAAGAAAACATGGACAAATAACTAAAAACAAATAAGGAAAACAATGTACAAACAAAATGAGAATCTCAGTAAAGAGAAAGAAATTGTAAAAAGGAACCAAACAGAAATTCTAGAATTGAAAAGTAGAATAACTGAAATGAAAAATCTGCTGTTGAAACCTTTGAGCAGGGGGAAGTAAGGATCAGCAAACTTGAAGGCAAGATAATTCAAACTGTCCATTCTGAGGAGTAGAAAGAGAGAGAGAAAAAAAAGAGAAATGAACAGAGCCTGAGAGACTGGTGGCACCATCAAGTGTACCAATACATGAATCACTGGAGTCCCAGAAAGAAAAAGGGGCAGAAAAAAATATTTGAAAAAATAAACTTCCCAAATCTGATGAAGACATGAATATGCACATCCAAGAAGCTCGGTAAATTCCAATCAGGACAAACTCAGAAATCCACACTGAGACACACTATAGTCAAATTGTTGAAACCCAAAGAGTAAGAATTTTGAAATCAGCAAGAGAGAAGCAACTTGTCTTGTACAAGGGATTCTCAATAAGATTAATAGCTGATTTCTCATTAAGAACCTTGGTGGCCAGAAGGGAATAAACTAACATATTGTCAGTCCTGAAAACAAAAACAAAAAACTGTCAACCACGAATTCCATATTTGGCAAAACTATCCTTGAAGAATGAAGGGGAGTTTAACATATTTCCAGACAAACAAAAGTTGAGGGAGTTCATTACCAGTAGACCTGTCCTACAAGAAATGGTAGATTCAACACAGTGGCACATGCCTGTAATCCTAGCTACTCAGGAGGCTAGGGCAAGAAGATCTCTTGAGCTCAGGAGTTCAAGGCCAGCCTAGGCGACATAGTGAGATCTCCATTTCAAAGAGAATAAGAAAGAAATGCTAAAGGGAGTTCTTTATGATGACATAAAAGGGTATTAACAGTTACCTAAAGCCATAAGAGGAAATAAAGAACACTGGTAAAGGTTACTACACAAGTAAATATATAAACCAGTGTTATATTTTTGGTTTATAACACCTCTTTTACTTATATGATTTAAAAGGCAAATGCATGTAACAATAATTATGTCTGTGGTAATGGGCACACACATATAAAGATGTAACTTGTGATAATAACAATAGGAAGGAGGAGGATTGGAGATGCATACGAGCAGTGTTTGTATACTATTGAAATTAAATTGGTATTATTCAAACTAGGTCTTTATAAGTTTAAGGTGTTAATTGTAAACCCCAAAGTAACCACTAAGTAAATTTAAAAATACACAAAACAGGAAAGGAGGGAATCAAAATGATGCACAAACAAAACAAAACAAAACAAAAACCTAAATTTTAAAAAGGCAATAATGGGCCGGGCATGATGGCTCATGCCTGTAATCCCAGCACTTTGGGAGGCTGAGGCGGGTGGATCCCCTGAGTTCAGGAGTTCAAGACCAGCTGGGCCAACTTGAGGAAAACCCATCTCTACTAAAGATATAAAAATTAGCCGGGCGTGGTGGCATGCACCTATAGTCCCAGCTACTTGGGAGGCTGAGGCAGGAGAATCACTTGAACCTGGGAGGCAGACGTTACAGTGAGCCGAAACCACACCACTGCGCTCCAGCCTGGGCAACAGAGTGAGACTCTGTCTCAAAAAAAAAAAAAATAAGTGAAAAAAAAAATAAACAGGCAATGATGGAAGAATTTTTATTTTTATTTTTATTTTTTTGAGGGAGTCTCGCTCTGTCGCCAGGCTGGAGTGCAGTGGCGCGATCTCGGCTCACTGCAACCTCCGCCTCCCGGGTTCAGGCGATTCTCCTGCCTCAGCCTCCCGAGTAGATGGGACTACAGGTGCATGCCACCATGCCCAGCTTATTTTTGTATTTTTAGTAGAGACGGGGCTTCATCTTCTTGGCCAGGATGGACTCAATCTCTTGACCTCGTGATCCACTCGCCTCAGCCTCCCAAAGTGCTGGGATTACAGGCGTGAGCCACTGTGCCCAGCCTAATGGAAGAATTAAAGAACAAAAAACAAGGCATATAGAAGACAAATAACGGCTGGGCATGGTGGCTCAGCCTGTAATCCCAGCACTTTGGGAGGCCGAGGCGGGCGGATCACAAGGTCAGGAGTTCGAGACCAGCCTGGCCAACATGGTGAAACCCCATCTCTACTAAAAATACAAAAATTAGTTGGGCATGGTGGTGGGCACCTGTAATCCCAGCTACTCGGGAGCCTGAGGCAGGAGAATGGTTTGAACAAAGAGGTTGAAAGTAAAAGAATGGGAAAGGAGGTATATGATGGTTAATAGTGAGTGTCAACTTGATTGGATTGAAGGATGCAAAGTATTGATCCTGGGTGTGTCTGTGAGGGTGTTACCAAAAGAGATTAACATTTGAGCGAGTGGGCTGGGAAAGGCAGACGCACCCTCAATCTTGGGGCGGGGGGGCACCATCTAATCAGCTGCCAGCGTGGCTAGACTATAAAGCAAGCAGAAAAACATGGAAAGACTAGACTGGCCTAGCTTCCTAGCCCACATCTTTCTCCTGTGCTGGATCCCTCAAACATCAGACTCCCAAGTTCTTCAGTTCTGGGACTCAGACTTGCTTTCCTTGCTCCTCAGCTTGCAGATGCCCTATTGTGGGACCTTGTGATCGTGTGAGTTAATACTTAACTCCCCTTTAGAGGGACAGAACTAATCTAGAGAACCCTAATATAACATACCATGCAGATAATAACCAAAAGAGATCTGGGGTGACTATATTATTATTGGCAGACAGTATACACTTTAAGTTTTGAAAAAAAAGGTTATGAGATAAAAGGCATTGTATGTTGATAAAAGTTTCAATCCAGCAGGAAGATATAATAATGATAAACACATACGTATATCTAACAATGGATTTCCACAATATATGAAGCAAAATTTGACAGAATTTAAGAGAGAGACAATTCTACAATAATGAAGACTTGAATACCCCACTTTCAATAATGGATAGGACAATCAGAAGAGTAATAAGGAAATCGAGCACCTGAGCAACACTATAATCCAGTTAGAGGTAACAGACACAGAGTACTCAACAGCAGAACACAAATTCTTCTCGAGTGCACATTGAATAGACCATATGTTAGGACACAAAGAAGTCTTAATTTTTCTTTTTTAAAGCTTAGGGGTGGGTGAGGGTGGGGAGCTCACCCTGAAGTACAAAGCTAATTATTTCACTTTCCACATCTGGTCTAGGATCTGGGTTAAGCAGGGTCCAGTGCAGTCTCTCTGGGCCCAGTATGGTTTAGAGAAATAGCAGAGGCATGATCCTAAGAAGCAGTTTATTTCTTTGGCAGAGAAGGAGAGAGCCATTTGGGTAGTAGAGCTCAGAGGGATTTCCTCTGCTCTCTCCCAAGACCTCCCTTTTATCCCCATTAAGAACTTGGTACAAAGAGTTGGTCCAGGAAAATTCAGCTCATTCAATAATGACTTTTAAAAAAGGAAACTGGCACAGCAGATAATTTAAGTAAAACAGTGGAAGACAGCAGCAGAATTTAATGACTGGAGAGCACTTAATGGAATAGTGCTGCCATAGAACTGATGAAAATTGTGACTAAATTTCCTACCACTCAAAAAATTAAATTAAACAATAGCTTTACCATAAAGCACAAATTTAAGAACTCAGTGAAGAGATAAGACAACAAAAGGAGTTCAGTTGCATTAGACATGTACATTCAGAATCAGAAAATAGTAGAAGTAAAATTTAAATATATCATGGAAAGGAAGACAGATTTGGAAGGCGACAAGATAGAATTTATACTGAACACAGTAATGGTTATAGTGGATAGAAATGAGAAAAGCAAACAAATAGTTAAAAAGAATTGGAGAGAAAGTGAGATAGAAAACACATAAAGGTGTTTCAACATAGACAGTTTAGAGTGTCTGATTTTAAAAAGCTAAAATAGTGGAGCAAAGTAGATATTTAGAGATATAATTCAAGAAAACTTTCCAGGAATAACAGAAGATTTAAATTTGTATATTGAAAGAACATACCAGGCAAAAATGACCCAGAATGGTTAACAATGAGATATATCTTAGTAAAGTAATTGGCCTTTAAAGAGAAAGAAAGAATTCTGTGGGCGGCCATACAAAAATACCTAGTCACTTACAAGGGCAAAAATAACAGGTTTGCCTCAGATTTTGCAAGTTTCAATGCCAGAGATAATGAACCAGTACCTTCAAAGAAATTCAAGAAAGGAAAAGGAGAACCAAGAAAGACAAAAGACTACTGAAAAAAAATTTGAACATTCAATAATATATTATGAGTGAAATATATTGCTGTGAGATAATTTTGTTTTCATGAGCACTTAAGGATACTACTAGAGTATGAACACAAGCAAATAGATAACTGGGGAAATTAAGATAAAAGGTCTTGCGTTATTGAGTATATTCAGTTTCTACAGCTAAGCCTAAAATGAAAGTAGAGATAAGAGTGAAAGGAAAAAAATATGCTCTGGTAACTAACAATACTGGAAGAGGAAAGGGGAAAGAAGATGGCATATAGAGTGACTTCCTCGTGCAATAACTGAAAATTAGAGGATGATATCTCAAGCTGACAAATCAAGTAGTAGAAATATAAGCATATTTAACAAAACAAAGGTATTCTTGCAAACTGTAAAACTGTAGCAGTGCCCTTCAGTAGAGGACTGGCTAAATAGATTATGATTCATCTGTATGATAGAATACTTTACAGCCTTATAAAAGAACAGGGAAGGTGTCTATGCACTGACAGGGAGAGTGATCCACAATAAATTAAAAAGCAAGATGCAGAACAGGTTGTAAAATATGCTACCATTTATGTAAAATAAGTAGAAAAATAATATGTTTCTATATATTTAATTTTTTAAAACTCAGGAAGGGCTGGGCGCAGTGGCTCACGCCTGTAATCCCAGCATTTTGGGAGGCCGCGGCAGGCAGATCACCTGAGGTCGGGAGTTCGAGACCAGCCTGACCAACATGGAGAAACCCCGTCTCTACTAAAAATACAAAATTAGCTGGGTGTGGTGGCCCATGCCTGTAATCCTAGCTACTTGAGAGGCTGAGGCAGGAGAATTGCTTGAACCCCGGAGGCGGAGGTTGCGGTGAGCCGATATCGCACCATTGCACTCTAGCAACAAGAATGAACAACAAGAATGGGCAACAAGAGATGAAACTCGAGAAAAGAAAAAAAAAAACCTCAGGAAGGATACAATAGAAACTTTAAGATAAAAGTTACCATTTTGGGGTAGGGCTTGAGAGTGGTTGTATAAGGGGACACATAGAGGGTTGAATCATTCACTGTTATTTTCTTTCTTCCCTCCCTTCTTGTTTTTGAAACGTGAATGCATTACATATTCAAAGATTAGATTAATGAAAAAAATCAAACCAGACATCCCCCGAAAGTTCTGGTCCTCTATTAAATCTTAGACAAAACTTTGAGGTAGTTTTAGTTGGCATCTCTGCAAAGTCTCGTGGGATTTTCATTCTTTACCAGAATATAATCTTGTTACGTGTAGGCTTCCTGTATGAGGCCCTCAGACCCTGTAGGTGAAGAAAACACTTTTCCTTGAATGATCTTCCATTTCATCTAGACAGGCTCCATGTCCTTTCTTAATTTGTCTGTGACATAATCAGTAATTGATAAGGGTGGTCCTATATCATTAAGTGAAGGTCCATTTCTTATCCTGTTATGTAGGTTTCTTTATGAGATTAATCTTAGAAGGCATTGGGCTTCCATGATGAGTGATCATTTCCTTGTGAGTCAATATCTAATACTCATTTGCAGCTTAACTTGGTCAAAATAGAACTCTTGATAATGAATCTTAACTTCAGGGCTCTGTGAAACAGGAAACATGATTTTTTTTTTACAGTTAAGGAAAATGAGATATCAGAAGGTTATGACTTGTCAGAAGTTGCCCAGAAAATAAGAGTTAGGCAGGGGAGGATACAACCATGATTTCATGGTTGGGGCCTTGGCTCCCAGACAGTACCAATTGACTTAACCATTGACAGTATGTATCCTACCATGGTGACAGAGCACAGTGGATTGAATTGTTGGAGTTTCCCTCTCAAATGAGGCTAATTCATGTTTTGGACCTTATGCAGTTGTCCTTGCAAAGAGATTCTCAAATTCTCTCTCTGTCTCACACACACACAGACACACACAGACACACACACACACACACACACACACACAGTGATTCTAATTTACATATATACATACAGTGTGATCCTAATACACACACACAGCAATCCTAATTGCCAGTAATAAAATTGTTACCTTTTGTGTGTAATTTAAGGTAAATCAGAGGGAATGCTCATGAAGTGGCACTCATGACCTTGAACTCTGCTTTAGGTTATTTTTTCATAATAAATACAGTACAAGTATTCTGCAACATTTTCTAAAAGTTTTCTAAGTGTGTCGGCTCTAATGCATTCATTGTATTGCATTTTTACCTTGGTTTCTAAGGATATATTTGTAAAATGGAGATGATAATCTTTGCCTTCTTCACAGGATGGTAATGATTACTAAATGGGATAGTGGATGTGAACATACTCTGGTAAAACTGTAAAGTGCTTTACAAATACAGAGATGGTGGTGCTAGTGTTACATTAATTAGATCTTATCTCCTCCCCCACATATTCATGCCATGCTATTATGTCCCTTGCAGATCCACTTTTTTCTAGTAATAAAGTTAGAAGAGTCCGTTATATACTTAACATTCCTTTGCATTAGCTATTTTCCTTCTGTTTCTTTTTCTGTCCATATCTTCATCTGAAATAAAGACTATTTTGAATAAGGATGTACACAGAATTTTGTAATGGACAGTAAATAAACAATACTGTAGAAATATAATTTAAAAACCCTTGTGAGTAAACAGGCTTTATAAACAGATCTGTGTTTTTTAATCCAGGTGTCACCCTATATTGGGTATGTGACCTTAGGAAAGTTATTTAATTTCTTGTAGGCACAGTGTTCTCATGTGTAAAGTGGGGCATACTATTTATCTTTTGAAGCTGTTGATGGCTAAATGAGATTCTTTTTACAAAGCACTTGGAACATTGCTTTCATAGAATTTAATCTACCCAAATTTCTTCAAACAGACCAATTCTAGTTTAAACATAATCATCACTTGATATTAATAGTTTTTACTATTTTGGTTCTAGTCCTTTTTTTAAAGTAAGTTACATTGGTAAAGATCAGAAATTTAAGATTCATAATTGTTTTAGATACTTGCATTTTACTCACTGGAATGAAAAATGGGAGAAGTAAATCACATAACAGTGTGCATTATTTTACTTCTGTTTATTTGTGTGTATGGGAACCTCAGAGTTCATCAGATATTTTAAAAATAGTATGCATTTATTTAATATATTTTACAATTACTTACTATATGCTTTGCATTACTATTAGGCTTTGGAATACAGAGGTAAAAAAGATAGTTCATGCCTGTTCTGAAAGTCATCATTTGTTCAAGGAGACAAAAAACTAATTATAATATCAGAAGTACTATTATAGATGAATGCACAGGGAGCTTTGGGAAGCCAGAGCGGGTGCTTCCCGCCTCTTCAAGATAGGGGCAGTGTACTGAATGTGCTTCCCAGGGAAGGTGACAGCTGAGTCAAGTCTACAAAGAGCCAGACTTGGAGCGTGAAGCCTTCTCTTCCAGGCTAAGGAAATGAAGTTCATATTAAGATGATGAAGAGCCATGAAATGCTTTTATTTAGAGCAAGATGAGCAGATTCAGAATTTCTGATAATTACTAGTAGCATACCTGCAAGCAGTGGGAGCAGCATCAATTTTACCACCCTCGACATGGCTACTATTTAACACCTGCTGTGTCTCTGACTTGTATATATATTATCTCATTTAATCCAGCACCCCTTAAATTAGATATTATTGCCATTATACACATAAGGAAACACAGGGCTAGAGGTTAATAGAGGAGTGAGTGACTGGATATGCAAGAGAGAATATGTTTGATTACCTTCCATTTCACCTGGTGATTCTAAATTAAGAGATGATTTATTGATCCTCAGTCTTGATTTTCCTGTTTTATATTGTGAACATTTTACTGAATTTGGTTTGATTTTAGAATCTAAAGATAACGTATGTTCCCTGCAAGACAGATTTTACCCCAGATCTGTCATTTCATCTGGTGCCCAATCCAGGGAACTCTGGTTTATTCTAACACTAGAGGGAAAAAATGGCTATGTTAGACTCACTGAAAGAGAACATTCCAGTCTCCACTGTAGAACTGCATCTTTTCTAGAGCATATCACCTTAATAATTTTTATCCCTATCCTTTAGAACACTTACAGGATATAAACCACTTTGCTCCCCCTTCTACCTCCTTTTCTTCTTAATTATCTTAAGTAAATATTTGAAATGATACCTCATTGGGATATGAAATGTTTTACTTGTGTAATTGTTAAAATCTCATATGTAACTTAGGACCTGGCTTTTCTAGTAGTTTGAAACTAGGTTTTTTCCATGTTTCTGCTCCATGTTTATGTGGTATATTGAAGCAAAAGAGTAAGAGGTTATAGTATTTTAAAGTTAAAAAAAAAAACAAACCGTGATTATTAATCCCACCAGTCTTCGTTAGCTTTCTAAATGCTGTCAAAATTGGCCATTGACCTTCATCCTTAGTTCTTTCATTGAAAATAGAAATGTAATAGAGTGAGAACTCACTTAAAAAAATAAAATAAAATAGAAATAAAGTATCACTTCTTTCATGGAAATGTGGTATAATTATTTAAATGAATTTTTAAAAATACTTGTACATAACTAAAAGTGGTATTGCAAAGATAGCATGTGTATAATTTTAACTTGCTATACTTACCTTTTATTCTTTTTATTTCAGCTCAATCTGAAATTGAAGTGTCTGTCTCTGCAAGGAATATCAGAAGGCTACTAAGTTTCCAGCGATATCTTAGATCTTCACGCTTTTTTCGTGGTACTGCGGTTTCAAATTCCCTAAACATTTTAGATGATGATTATAATGGACAAGCCAAGGTGTGTATAGTTTTTTTAAGAAAACATTAATTTTTTGATAAGTTTACTGAAGGCCTTTATTCCCCATACAGTAATGATTTATAGAGTCTTTTTCTCTGTCTATGAAAAGCAGTTGAGCCTATTTTCCAGGTTTTTTTCTTTAGAGCAGCTGTTTGTTTTATAATTAGCCATTACAGAGCAAGGGAAATTTCTGAAATAACTAAAGTAGTGACAATGTTTTCATTTATTATTATAACATTACGTAACAAGGAGATCAATAAAACATTAAACTATAAGATCTCACAGAATTGTAATGCTGGGAAGACTTAGAGATTACCTGATCTAATCATGTCCGTATTCCATCAATAAAGAAACTGAGTCCAAGAGAGCACGAGGGACTTGTTTGCGCCCACCCAGCTGGTTAGAGGTAAACCCAGCACAGAAAGTTAGGTCTCTCTCTCTTTTTTGTGTGTGTGTGTGTATTAATAACATCTTTTCACAAAGGTCTCGTGACTTTCAGTCAAATGAGTCTTGATAGTCTCTTGCATTGAGAGAGATTTTTGAGGGTTTAGATGTATCATAGTTAAACTTGTTGATTGTGAGCATTATTTACTTCCTCTTTATATAATTTAAAAGAAATGTCTTACTGAACATCAGGGTTAAATGAGCTTGTTTTTAACCAAATGAGGATTTTAAATAATATTAAATTTCCAATGTATTTTAAGTTATATTTGACTTAATATTTACAGACCAGATTCTTGAGTTTGTGTAGATAAGTTTTTAAGTTGTGTAGGTAAAGCTGGGGTGTCTTCTTTACAATTACATGAAAGTGAAGAAAATTACTTCCCTGTTTAGTAAAAGAAATCAGTGGAAAGCGTTCATGCCTGCTTTAAATGTTAAAATGTTTACAAGTTCTGCCTTTTAGAATGAGAATATTGATCTCTATGTCATTTGTTGTTATTAGTACTGTTATAATTAATGATTTCTACTAGTAGTATCTTAGTGTTGCTCATGTCAGTGTATTCATAAATGTATACAACAGTGAACTTTTGGATATAAAATATAAGTTTTTTTCTAGAAAAAGTCCACAAAAGGTTCAGGTTAAGAATGTATGGTATAAAAATATTTGGTTTTTAGGGCCTTTGTGGGATTTATTTGCTTGGCTGAAGTACACATTATCCTAAAAGTTAATGTAGTAAATTGTGTTATTTTATAAGCATATTTAGATAATATAAATACATATCCATAAGTTAGAAGTGTTTTTTTAAAAACTGAATAACAAATAATTTAAGCATGGTGTGGTATCAGTGTCAGATGCCTAGGTTCTAGAAACAGACTACCTAATTTAAGATCCCAGCTCTATCACTTTATAGCTGAGCAAGTTAGTTATTTTTTGCTTGTTTCTACGTCCCTAAAATGAGAATTGAAAACAATGCCTGGGCTGGGTGCAGTGGCTCATGCCTGTAATCCTAGCACGTTCGGAGGCCAAGGTGGGAGAATCACTTGAGTCCAGGAGTTTGAAACCAGCCCTGGGCAGCATGGTGAGACCTTGTCTCTACAAAAAAAAAAAAAAAATTAGCCAGGTATGGTAACACATGCTTGTAGTCCCAGCTTCTCGGGAGGCTGAGACAGGAGGATTGCTCGAGCCCAGGAGGTCATGGCTGCAGTGAGCCGTCTTGTTTGTGCCACTGCATTCCAGCCTTGGTGACAGTGAGTGTGAGACCCTGTCTCAAAGAAAAAAGAAAACAACATCTGATAGTGTTGTTCTTAGTAATAAAAGAGTGAGTAACTTATAACAGTACCTGGAATACAGTAAATACTCAGTAGTGTCACTTATTTTTATTAGATTGTTTGCAATTTAGTTTCTAAACCATACAACATTTGAACCACACTTCTGTGATGTTAAGTGATACTAGAATTCTTAAAGGTTTGCAAGACTGTAGCAATAAGCTGGGAAACATAACCTTCCTGTGCATTCATTAATTGAAAAACAAAATAATGTTTCATTTTTCAAATGGAGTTTATCCCTTTGGCATTTTTTTGGAGCCAGTTGAAAAAGTCATGATTAAAAGAAAAATGATACTTGTATTTTTTAAAGTAAATCAATCACTTTACATTTTCTTTAACTTCTCTATGGAATATCTCCAAAAGACAATGTTATTGAAATTAAATTACAGTAGAAATGTTTGGTTTTCATTTCAGTGTATGCTGGAAAAAGTTGGAAATTGGAATTTTGATATCTTTCTATTTGATAGACTAACAAATGGTAAGTGAAGAATTTGACTTGCTCAAGTTAATGTAGTCTAGATTACTGCATTGATGGTGCAGCCGCTGGTGCGTTGCTTTCATTTACTGTACTAAGGTTGTTAGCCCTCTGCTGGAAGAGAGTGTATTAGTCCATTTTCACACTGCTGATAAAGACATACCCGAGACTGGGTAATTGAGAAAAAGAGGTTTAATGGACTCATAGTTCCATGTGGCTGGGGAGGCCTCACAATCATGGTGGAAGGTGAAAGGCACATCTTACATGTTGGCAGGCAAGAGAGAAATGAGAGCCAAGCAAAAGGGGAAACCCCTTATGAAATCATCAGATCTCGTTAGACTTATCCACTACCACAAGAACAGTGTGGGGGAAAGCACCTCCATGATTCAATTGTCTCCCACCGGGTCCCTCCCACAACACATGGGAATTATGGGAACTACAATTCAAGGTGAGATTTGGCTGGGGACACAGCCAAACCATATCAGGGAGCATCATTTTTTTCTCTTTTTAAGTGACTTTTCTAAAAGCCTACAGAATCAATCTCATAATTTTATGTTTTGATTATTGTCCTTAAAAGTAATCAAATCATCATTAGTATCATCATCATCATGACTTGGCAGATTGGTTGGCAATTGCCGCTGCTATTATTAATAACCCAAAGTAAACATTATTATCTCATGTTTTTTATTTTTATTTTTTGGTTTCTTTTAGATTGTGGCCATTTATAATCACATCTGATGTTGTATGCCTGTTTCCTGACCAAAGCAGTGGTTCCTTGCTTTCAGATAGGGAATGGGGAAGAGCTGTAGCTTCTTTAAGAGCGCTTATCAGAATCTACAGAGTATGGGTGGTTTGGGGGAAAATGCCCACAGGTGATTCTAATCACTCCTGAGTTTAGTTTGGTTCTGGATGGAGGGGTCATGTTTTCTTATTCTCTTTGCGGACAGAAACATGTTCTGTAGGAAAAGGAACAGGGAATCACTCTTATTTAGGATAAAATTGTGGGCATAATTATTGGTGGTACAATTGAGGACCACTAAACCTTAGGCAGTTCTACCTTTTAGTATATTTTTATTTGGGTAGCTTTTCTAGAAATACAATTTCCTTTATCAAGAAAGTGTTCATTTCCATTTCCATTTTTAAAAAAGTTCCTTCATGCCTGTTTTTTTTTGTTGTTTTGTTTTGTTTTGTTTTGTTTTGTAACACAACTAAGCATCTCTTATTTGAAATATTTTGTTGATTTGTGTTCTTATTCACTGGTAAAAGCAGTTCAGCTAGGCTGGGCGTGGTGGCTCATGCCTGTAATCCCCGCACTTTGGCAGGCCAAGGCTGGTGGATCACATGAGGTCAGGAGTTTAAGACCAGCCTGGCCAACATGGCAAAACCCCATCTCTACTAAAAATACAAACATTGGCTGGGTGTGGTGGTTCATGTCTCTAATCCTAGCTACATGGGAGGCTGAGGCAGGAGAATTGCTTGAATCTGGGAAGCAAAGGTTGCAGTGAGCTGAGATCGCGCCATTGCACTCCAGCCTGGGCAATAGAGCGAGACTGTCTCAAAAAAAAAAAAAGCAATTCAGCTAATGTTTTGCCCCAGAGCTGAAAGTACACTGAGAGGAAGTCAGTGCTGACTTTAGAATAATGAAATCACTGCTGTACTTTGAAATCACCTGCTTTTTCTTATTGCTTTGGAATGAAGCTCCTTTGATAAGGATGCCAAATATGTAAAATGAACAAATAAATTACCTTTATTTTTCTTGAGAATCAATGTGGGTCTTTTAGTATCACTCCATTATTCTCTGTAAGCTGTATGGCAATGCCTAGTGGAAATACCTTTGTCTATACCTTCTGTTTGCTTATGCAGTGTTGACAGAAAATAAACTGGACTGATCCTAGGCAAAATTGTGAAGACAGTGAAGTTTGTCTTTATCAGCAGAGCCACCCTCCTGCCTCCCTGCCTTTTTATTCCTCCCCTTCGCTATCTCTCTTCTACTTTTCCTTTGCCCTTGGTGATTAAGTGTTCTGTTCTTCTCCCTGCCCCCACCTTGGCCCGTACACACAGGAAAGGCTCTGATATCATTTACACAGTTAGCCTTCCCTTGGCCCTTCTCCTTTTTGAAAATACAGGTAGTGAAATATCAAGTGGCCCACCTTCTTCTTGCTCAGGGAAATTCCCCTTTCCTAACTTAACACAAATATTATTTTAGGTATTATCTCAAGGCAAATATAGATGAAACAATGCCACTCTTAACATTTTCAAGGTTTAGCCTTACATAAACTCTCACAGCTCATAGCCTATTATTAGTCTACTGGGACACTTGTCACTCATTGAAATAGTTGATTGTTCTTCTCCAAATTTTATTTTTAAAAAGTACATACTCTGCTAGTTGGGGGCATGGTGATGAAAGCGGCGTGAGCTCAGCAGTGCACTGGATGGGCAGAAGAAATAGCCAGCAGTCCACAGTAGTTAACTAAGCACTTCGCTTTCCTTTTGATCACCTCACTCTTTGAATGGGATTTGTGGACAGGGTGGCTAACTAGTTTCCCCTTAGGGTTCATTCCAGATCATTAGGGTTTAGTAGAAACCACTCATGGTTAGCTACCCACCTTTGATTTTAGAGGTGGAGATTTATACATTCAGTTAACTACAGCTATTCAAAAGCTCAGGAATTTTCTACTTAAAGAGATGTTATTGGGGAACAAATGGGCAGAAAAAAATTCCTTTAGCTTATATTATATAATGAGAATGGCTTTCCTTTTAAAACTGCTTCACCTGAAGTGAATTCTGGATAACATACATTCATGGTATCCAAGTGTATAGTTTTCCCTTCTTGCTTATTGATCCAGTGCTTTCTTGTGTTTCTTATGCTGGTAATTTCCCAGTTGATATTGGGGGAAGAACAGCAAGGCAGAGGAGGAAGCAAAATGCAGTGATTCGTGCCAAGACAAATCGTTCCCAGCTTGTCTGCTACAAGGAGGGAAGTAGTTATTGTCTGGTAGGATGCATTTGGAGTTCCTTTTGTAGGATTGAGGGAGTTAAGTGATGCGACATAGCAAAAGCTTGTCACTCCTAAAGCCACCTGGTTCATGAGGACACTAGCTGCCAGGCCTGCGTTGTCAGGGTGGCCTACTCCTTCCAACCAGATCCCATCTGGGATCACCTTCTAAAAATGATTGAGGACCACTCTTTCATAGGCAGTTCTATCTTTTGATATATTTTTATGTGGGTAGCTTTTCTAAAAATACAATTTTCTTTTTCAAGAAAGTGTTTCCATTTCCATTTTTTAAAAAGTTCTTCTGTGCCTGGTTTTTGTTTAACACAACTGAGCATCTCTTGTTTTGAAATATTTTGTTGACTTGTGTTCTTACTCACTGGTATTATAATCCTCAGTTGGTATCTTGCATGCAGCTTTTCAATTACATATGGGTAGTACACTTTAAGAGACTGATTCTTGTCAGATTCCTTTGGTGGGGACATTACATGTGTTTCTTCACTGCACTTTGCCTGAATTCCAAAAGAGGGTATTTTCCCATTAGATTGTAGCTTTCTTAAAACTTATTCTACATCCTAGAAATGGGTAATTTGTTTTGTTACATTTGAAAAACAATTTGGAGAACCTTATGATAATCTAAATATACAGAGAATGAATAAACATTCTAAAATATTTATATACTCGAAGATGGTTGTTACAGCAATAGCAACAGACACGTTGTTCACTTCTTCAGAAATGGCTCCACACCACATGGACTCGTGTTTGTACCAATAGAGCATATCAGGACCTGAACACATTTTAACATTTAATTTATTTAAAATGTAAGATTTGAAATGCTTTTTTCTTTCCACATGAAGGTGATACGTCAGGTAGTTTTTAAAAATAGTCTCTTTTGGCCTGCCACATCTTTTCTGTCATTGCTTATGCAAATAATGCTCCAATTAATGTACTTTTTCATCAGCTGTGGTCTTTTGTTGGCAGTTGGTTAGGCAGTTTTAGATAACAAGGTTAACCAAACAGTCCTTTATTATCCTTCATAAATATTATTATTATAAATTTTCAATTTGGGACTAGTATGTCTTTTATACATTTTTGTAAGAGTCATCATAGACGAGAGAATACTAGAATCGTGTATTTTATTGCATTATCTGAATGTTGGCAGTAATTTATGAGTCTATGTGAAGGATGTAGTCTACTTAAAATAGACTTTTTAATATGTAGCCTATTTAAAACGTGGTCTATTTAATTGTTAAAATAATATAGTATATGTGTCCTATGGAAGTTTACAAAACTGAGAAGTATAATAGGAGGTATAAAAAATGGAGAGTTACACCATGGAAGGGAAAACGAAACATCATAAAAATGGTAGTTTTTCCAAATTTAATTTCTATTCTTGGTGTGACTCCACTTGTTAGTGACAAAGGAGTGGACGTTGAGGACGAAAACAGTCCCCATTGCGTGTAGCAGCTCTTTCCAAAAACTCGGCTCTGTAGGGGGATGGAGCAGGTGAAACTGGAGGGGGCCA
Organism: Homo sapiens; assembly: GCF_000001405.40. Lineage (NCBI taxonomy): Eukaryota > Metazoa > Chordata > Mammalia > Primates > Hominidae > Homo > Homo sapiens. Next base: position 65,740,892 of record NC_000008.11, on the reverse strand, counting down.
GGAGAGGCTGTGATTCTTTATTGTTTCAGAGATGAGAGAATCTAGAACATGTCTGAATGCTGATGCTTGTTGAGACAATATAGAAAAGAGAGAGAGATTGGTGGGGTGGGGTGGGGATAGTTGTACCTGATAGAACAAGGAATATCTCTGAGGAGGTGTGGATGGATTGGCTTTTGAAAGAAAGGGAAACTTGGCCAGGCGTGGTAGCTCACGCCTGTAAATCCCAGCACTTTGGGAGGCCGAGGCGGGCGGATCACAAGGTCAGGAGTTCGAGACCAGCCTGGCCAACAAAGTGAAACCCTGTCTCTACTAAAAATACAAAAAATTAGCCGGGCTTGGTGGCGGGTGCCTGTACTCCCTGCTACTCGGGAGGCTGAGGCAGGAGAATCGCTTGAACTCAGGAGGTGGAGGTTGCAGTGAGCCAAGATCGCACCATTGTACTCCAGCCCAGGTGACAGTGCTGGACTCCATCTCAAAAAAGAAAGAAAAGGAAACTTGAGGGCTTGTATTATTTCTGTGACATATGAGGCTGTGGAGAATGAGGGGGTGGATGGGAACTAAGTATGTTGAAAGTTTAAGAAGAGCATAAAAGGCTTGAAAATAGGCATTTTAAAACGTGAAAGAGCCATTTCACTGGAAAGACAATATGATTGCTGGGCAGTGTTGACTACGAGTTTGTAGCGATATTCTGCCTAGTTTTGTGATTCCCCCTCCCCACCCCCCCAAGCAACTCTCAGATTTTCTGCAGCTACTCTGGAAAAGCAAGTGGCTGAGTTCAGAGTTTTTAATCCTGATGATCTTGAGGTCATTGATGCCTCCTCCTAACCCTGTATGGATGAGAATAGACACATTCTCCACCTAACAAGGCTGCAGCCAAGGAAGTGTGCTCTGGGGCAGTCAGTTTCAGTGAAAGCAAGATGGCAGAGGCAATGTCAGGAGGGAGGTCAGGTGCAGCCACACTGAGTTAGGTTACTATGTGGGACAATTTTTAAAGTTTTCTATTGTCTATTCTCATTATTTTGGTGTCTTTAAAAAATTAATCTATTTGAAAATGTCTAGTTTTCAGTTCTTTGGTTGTGGAAAAGTAAAACAACAAAAATTAAATTTTTCTTATAATGAAACAAGATGTGACATATAAAGTTCATAACTGGTAAGAAGATGCATATTTTTGATAGACAAAAAGTGGGAATTATTACTCTTTCCATGTTTTATATTCAAAATCTGTATTTCAAAGCATAATATAATTGTGTTGACTTGTATTTCCTACTAATGTAATGTCTCTTCTTTCTTTTTAGGAAATAGTCTAGTAAGCTTAACCTTTCATTTATTTAGTCTTCATGGATTAATTGAGTACTTCCATTTAGATATGATGAAACTTCGTAGATTTTTAGGTAAGTGATTCTAACCCATTAACAGTAACAAGATTTACATTTATACAAGAACCTGTTTAAGTTTTATCTCAGTTATATCGGTTAGCTATTGCTCTATAACAAACCAGCCAAAATTAGTGGCTTAAAACAACACACAGTTATTTAGCTCTTGCATCTGTGGGGCTGTTAAATGCTTCTTTTGGTCTGGTCTGGGTGAGCTCATTTGTGCACCTGCAGACAGCAACAGGTGGGCTGCATGTTGGTTTTGTAGAGACCTCAGCTAGGATACCAGGCCTGACCCATCTCGGCTCTACATAGTCTTCTGTTAAATTTAAAAGAAGCAGAGGAGTTTGGCACCATAATAGATTTACATTAAAAACAAAAAAGAATTATTTATTTTACAATTAGCCGAGCTGGTTCAAACAGTAGTGGCAGGTTTCCGAGAGAGCTGATATCCCCAGGCCGCTGGAGCCCTGGGCTCAGAATCGGCCCACCTTCACTTCTGCATGCAGCAAGTGGCCACAGCAAGTCAGACCAGGGATGCACTACACCTGTTGGTGCAAAGGCTGCAAAGTCACAGAGCCACAGATACAGGAAATTGTGGATACTTGATTTCATTTTGCAATGTTCCTTACATTGGCCACAGATTGCTGACAAAGATGACACAATTTCTGTACTTTTCTAAATTTTTGAAGGCTAAAACTTTAAAAGAGCAGGTATATTGCAGTTAGGTTTCTTCTTTTTCTGACCCCTAGAATCTCTTTGACGGTAGGCTTTAAAGATTATTTGGGGCCAGGTGTGGTGGCTCACACCTGTAATCCCAGCACTTTGGGAGGCTGAGGCGGGTGGATCACGTGAGGCCACGAGTTGGAGACCAGCTTGGCCAACATGGCAAATACCCCATCTCTACTAAAAATACAAAAAAATTACCCAGGCATGGTGGCGCACGCCTGTAATCCCAGCTGCTCGGGAGGCTGAGGCACAAGATATCAACTCTAGTCTTCCTTCTTGTAATAGGCACCAGTTTCTCCTAGTTGGTTCTACCTGAGGAAGGAATTCATGATTCCTGGTAAAGTCTTTGTCCGTCCTTTAGGTGGATAGGAGAACTTCTGAGAAAGTCCTCTCCTGCATTTGCTGCTCTGAGTTTGAAGTCCAAAGCAGCATATTTTGGGGTCTCATTTTCTGACCCTCATTGTGATATTTCATATAGTGCCCAGATCAAGAGATAGCTTAATTTGTAATTTATTTGGTTATATACAATTTTGCTTATATACAGCAAAAAGATTACAACTTAATGAAGGTTCACATAATGATTAGCATTTTATAGCAATAAAGTCTTTTAAATTAAGGTGTATACATCGTTTTTTTTTAAAGACATAATGCTATTGTACACTTAATAGACTATAGTGTAAACATAGCTTTTGTATGCACTGGGAAACCCAAAATTTTGACTTGCTATATTGCAATATTCACTTTATTTTAGTAGTCTGGAACTTAACACTAAATATCTCACTGGTATGTCTATACTTAATAGTGAGAGACCATCACATTGATTTGATATCCTTTTTAAAATCTTTCAATTTTAAGTAGAGAGAAATTACAAATTATTCAGGAAGTAATTTATTACTGTAGGAAAATGGTAAAACTGTGGAACTATAAAATAAGTTAAGATGTTGCTGGTGGGGACATTTAATATTTCATACATGCTGGGCATGGTGGCTCACGCCTGTAATCCCAGCACTTTGGGAGGCTGAGGCAGGTGGATCACTTGAGGCCAGGAGTTCAAAACCATCCTGGCCAACATGGTGAAACCCCGTCTCTACTAAAAATACAAAAATTAGTCGGGTGTGGAGGCATGTGCCTGTAATCCTACCTACTCGGGAGGCTGAGGCAGGAGAATTACTTGAACCCAGGAGGCAGAGGTGAGATTGAGAGAGAGAGAGTGAGCCGAGATCGCGCCACTGTACTCCAGCCTGGGCAACAGAATGAGACTCTGTCTCAAAAATAATAATAATAATTAATATAACCATTTTTGCTAATCTGCAACTGCTTTATCTAGGTAAACAGAAGCCTGTGTGACTCTACAGATACAATTTTGCAGTAAATTCTCAAGTTTATAATTAATATAGTGTGAGTAGCCCCAGTAGCTATACTGGCAATTATAAAGATGCATATCCCCACTTTGCACATTGTTCATATGAATACTTGGCTGTTTATCCCTTCATCCTGTTGCCGCTAATGTGGAAGCCACTAGAACAGGTTTATGAGAGAATTAAGCCTTAAAGCCATAAGGAATCCATTGGCTTCAATGGATTATCTTTTGTGCAGCATATCTGGAATGGCTTTGGCTCTATACTGTCCTTGGGAGAATTGAGAAAATAATAACTCAGGTGTTTTTAGTTAGTTTGTTTGTTTGAGACAGGGTCTCACTATATTGCTAAGGCTGGAATGCAGTGGCATGATCATGGCTCACTGCAACCTCAACTTCCCAAGCTCCAGCCAGCCTCCCACCTCATCCAGGCTGAGGCAGGAGAATCACTTGAACCTGGGAGGTGGAGGTTGCAGTGAGCCAAGATCACGCTACTGCACTCCAGCCTGGGCAGCAGGGCGAGACTCCATCTCAAAAAAAAAAAAGCCTCAATACCAAGAATGTACAGCCAAATGAAGAGCTAGAAATATTAACTCAGACTTCAGACTTCTACTTAGAACTCTGGCAAAAAAAAAAAAAAAAACAGATAAATTTATTACATAGGGCTTTTGAGAAGCTTTTTCTTTTGGAGAGTCTTGCTCTGTCACCTAGGCTTGAGTGCAGTGGCGTGATCATGGCTCACTGCACCCTCAACCTCTCGGCTCATGCGATCCTCCCACCTCAGCCTCCCGAGTAGCTAGGAATATAGGTGTGCACCACCACACCAGACTACATTTTTATTTTTAGTAGGGACAAGGTCTTGCTAATGGCCTAGGCTGGTCTCAAACTCCTGGCCTCAAGCAATCCTCCAGCCTCAGCCTCCCAAAGTGCTGGAATTACAGGTGTGAGGCAGTGCACCTGGCCTTGAGAAACTTTTTAATGTGTATTAATTATAAGTAGTATGCCTGAAATACTGTACAGTAGTCCGCCTTTATCTCTGGTTTTGCTTTCTGTGGTTTCAGTTACCCATGGTCAACTGTAGTCTGAAAATATTAAATGGAAAATTCCAGAAGTAAACAATTCATAAGTTTTGAATTGCACACCATTGTGAGCAGCGTGATGAAATCTCATTGCATCCTGAACCGTGTTGGTTATCAGATCAGCCATGTTGGTATCACAGTGCTTGTGTTCGTCACCCTTATTTTACTTCATAATGGCCCCAAAGCACAAGAGTTGTGATGCTGGCTTATTGTTATAATCGTTCTATTTTATTTTAATTATTGTTAATTTCTTACTGTGACTAACTTATAAATTGCGCATTATCGTAGGTGTGTTTGTATAGGAAAAACATAGTATAAATAGGGTTTGGTACTATCTGTGGTTTCAGGCATCCACTGGGGGTCTTGGAACATATCCCCCAAGAATATGAGGGGACTACTATACTAAAAATATAAATTATAAAACACATACGGCCGGGCATGGTGGCTCATACCTGTAATCCCAGCATTTTGGGAGGCCGAGGTGGGTGGATCACCTGAGGTCAGGAGTTAAAGACCAGCCTGGCCAACATGGTGAAACCCCATTGTGACAAAAATACAAAAATTAGCCGAGCATGATGGCAGGTGCCTGTAATCCCAGCTACTCGGGTGGCTGAGGCGGGAGGATCACTTGAACTCAGGAGGTGGGCGTTGCACAGTTAGCTGAGATCATGCTGTTGCACTCCAGCCTGAGTGACAGAGCGAGACTCCATCTCAAAAATAACCACATACAAAAATAGCTTATTAGGTGGGGCATAGTGGCTCACACCTGTAATGCTAGCACTTTGGGAGGCCAAGGCAGGTGGACTCCTTGAGCCCAGGGGTTTGAAACCAGCCTGGGCAACATGGCAAGATCCTGTCTTTATAAAAAATACAAAAAAATGAGCCAGACATGGTGGCATGCACCTGTGGTTCCAACTACTTGGGAGGCTGAGGTGGCAGGATTACTTGAGCCCAGGAGGTCAGGGCTGCAATGAGCCATGATCATGTCACTGCACTCCAGCCTGGGCAACGAAGTGAGATCCTGTCTCAAAAAAACACTATTAACCAAGGGTACTGAAAGGCTATTTTAAAGGATGGGACGGAAGCAAGTGCAGAATTCTGATGGTCTGTCCCGCTCACTCGGCGATTGTGTTTCCCCATCACAGGTAGGCTCGCTTTCCTTTGAGACCACTGGATTTGTGTGTTATGCTGCTAGGGCTGTCAAGTAGGTTGATGGCAGGGGGCACAGCTCCACCCCGAAGCCTAGTCTGTTCGTCCATGATAGCATAGAGAGTCAAATTGATATTGATTCTTTTGGTATACATGTGAGTTGTGAGGTGATTATCATCTGCCCGAATCGGCACGATTTTAGCCGATAGCTACATGAAAAGTATGAGTGGGTAACTCATAATTATCACAATTTTTGTCCTTGTATATGTTGCTCATATACAATAAAATCGGGATCTCTTTCTTTGATGCAGTTATGATTCAAGAAGATTACCACAGTCAAAATCCTTACCATAACGCAGTCCACGCTGCGGATGTTACTCAGGCCATGCACTGTTACTTAAAGGAACCTAAGGTAAGAGGTTGACATTGATTTCAGGTGAAAATCATAAGAAAATTCCTTTTGATTTACTTTCACATACTTCTCCTGAAGTTACTGCTTTGACTGAAAATCACAGACTTCCTTCACAAGAATGAGATCTAGCTGGATCAAGTTTCTGAATCTGGCTGTGTTTCAGAGTGCAACAGCTAGAGAATTGGGTGGTTGTTGAGAGAGAGGCTGGAGAAGCCCAAGCAAGGGCCAGGTCACTTGAAACCTCGACTGCTGGCATTTACACTGAGCTCCACATGGGCTCCATGTGGGCAGGGACAGCCTTGGTCTGACTCAGTGAATGAATGAGGAGCTACAGAGAGGAGGCAGGAGACTTTAGAAAATTATCCTGGCTGTGATGTGAAGATAAATCGTATCAAGACCAAAAGCCTGAACACCTGCCAGGAGTTACTTCAGTGCTCCATGGAAGAGAGCAGAGTGGCCTTGGTGAAGTAGGGATGTGGATAGTTTGCAAGTTCTCTTGGGAATTAGAATGAACAGGATGTGGTGGTGAATGCATTTCGGGGAAAGAAACAGAAGTCAGTGAAGACTGGTTTGGGCAGTTGAGTAGAAGGTGGAAGTCTTCCATGAGAGGAGGAATGTAGAGCAGAACAAGTTTTGGGGGTAAGGCTTGTAGAGACAGTGAGCACCATTTTGGATCCGTGGTATTAAATGTATTTGACATCCTAATATAGAGGTCTAGTATAGAGTTACATAAAAGAGTCTGAAGTATAGAAGAGAAATCAGACTTAATGTATGGATTTGGGAATCATTGTCTGCAGGTGTTAATGAAAGCCATGTTTGCCCCTGGACATTTCCTATCCCTGGCAGTTCTGCAATTATGTCTGCCTATCCCATCTCTACTTCAAAACTGCTCTCTCCCTAGATCTTAGTTCTGGCTAAGGTGTTAGGCGGGAAACAGGATGACCAAACTGGCTTGTGCCCATTGATGCCAACTTAAGAACACAGCTAGTCTTCTGATTATTTAAGAGATCATAGAATATGTGAAAATGCCCGTTTTTTAGTATATATATCATGACTTTTAAAAAATCAACTTTATTGTGGTAGAACTTACATGCAGTAATACAGTGCATACATTTTATGTGTACGGTTTTGACAAATGTATACTCCCAACCACCCAACTGTTTTTTTTTCTCTAAGAGACAGGGTTTCACAGTGTTGCCAGGCTGGAGTGCAGTGGCGTGATCATGGCTCACTGCAGCCTCGACATCCTGGGCTCAAGCTGGAGGCCAGCTAATTTTTTAAATTTTTTGTAGAGACAGGGTCTCACTCTATTGCCCACCCCAATTTTTAAATTAAACTTCAAAAAAATCTCTGGGCCAAGACTGCATCCTCTGTTTGAGAATGTTGTGGGAGAGATTGATGAGTAATCACCATACAATCTGGTAAGTGGAAAGATGGTAATAAGTTCTCTGCAGCACACAAAAGGGTTAACCTGGTCAGCGAAGGCTTCTGCACTCCCATCTCCCTCTGGGCACACCCAACCCAAGCCAGGGGCAGGGAAATCTGGGTGATGCCAGGTGAGCAGGGTGGGGATGCATGTGGACAAAAATTAATAAAAACATGATTTTGAACACTTTTTGCCTGTGGAGTTCTGATAATACTTAAACACTTTTCATCCTTAACATACTCAGTGAACACTTTACCCAAGGCTTCAATTAAGGATATAGATAAAATCACAAAGCCCTACAATGCAGGCATTTCCCTTCTCCCTTATCATAGTGAACATTTTAAAATGGAGTCACCCAGGACTGGGCACGGTGACTCATGCCTGTAGTTCTGCACTTTGGGAGGCTGAGGCGGATGGCTTGCTTGAGCCCAGGAGTTTGAGACCAGCCTGGTCAACATAGCAAGACCTCATCTCTTTTATTCAAAAAAAGATAGAAAGAAAAAAAAACAGAGTCACTCAAAGTTTTAAAAATGACTTCTGAAAAATTTGAAGTAGGTCCAAGTGCGGTGGCTCATGCCTGTAATCTCAATACTTTGGGAGGCCAGGGCAAGAGGATCACTTGAAGCCAGGAGTTTGAGAACAACCTGGGCAATATAGCAAGATCCCATCTCTACAAAAAATAAAAAGTTAGATGGGCATGGTGGTGTGTACCTGTGGTCCCAGCTACTTAGGAGGCTGACTCAAAAGGATCACTTGAGCCTGGGAGGTCCAGCAGAGAGTAGTGATAGTGCCACTGCACTGCAGCCTGGGTGACAACCTATCTTTAGATAGATAGATAGATTAGATAGATGCCTGAAGATTGTATCTCTTTTACTCCTGAGCCTTTGCACAGCATCACGTTTTATACTCTTTGAGCATCTGCCACATGCCAGGCTCTATCCTGGTGCAAGGAATGTGGTGGTGAGCAGGGCAGGAATGATCCCTGTCTTCATGAAGTGTACATCCTAGTGGGGGAGGCAGTCATTAAACAAATAGATAAATAGAATTTTGATCAAAATAATATGTTAGTGGCTGGGCATGGTGGCTCACGCCTGTAATCCCAGCATTTTGGGAGGCCGAGGCTGGTGAATCACCTGAGGTCAGGAGTTTGTGACCAGCCTGGCCAACATGGTGAAACCCCGTCTCTACTAAAAATACAAAAATTAGCTGGGCATGGTGGCGGGTGCCTGTAATCCCAGCTACCTGGGAGGCTGAGACATGAGAATCCCTTGAACCTGGGAGGCAGAGGTTCCAGTGAACCGAGATCATGCCACTGCGTTCCAGCCTGGGCGACAGAGTGAAACTCAGTCTAAAATAACAACAACAACAACAACAACAACAATAATAATAATAATAATAATATAGAGAATGACCAGGTGGATGGCAAGAGTTTTACAACTTTAGATAGGGTGATCACAAGTCACTTAAGTGGACAGTACATAACTAAGGAGTCAGCCATAAGAAAGTCCAAGTACAGAGGGAATAGTAAATAGACTTAAGTATATATATTTTGTGAGAAATTTGTTTTCAGTTTTTATACCTTATAATTTATATGGAAGAGCTAATTCTTGGACTCTTGTCTATGTGGAAAAAAAAATATTTCAAGCCAAAGAAATTACTGGAAATTTTGGAGACAAACTCATCTCTCTATATATGCATTGTCACTAACTTGAGTATTTATTTTTTATGTCCTCAAGGCTGAACTCATGTGGATTATAAAGCATTTTGTTCAAGTTGAGCCCAAAGTCTCCTTGATTGATTGACACTGGTAACATTCATAGTTGTCAGCTGAAGAGATTGTGATTTTCCCTTTGTTTCCTATTTTAATGTTTAGTTTCATGTTTCTATAATGAGTTTAAATTAGCTATTTTACTTAATAACTATACTTAAACTAAGTCTGGATAAGAATTACGCTTACATGTCCCAGAGATAAACCCACTCTAGCACTGAACCTTTAAACCTTGCTCTACTTGTCCCTGGCAGTTGACAAAAGAGCCTGGCCCTGCACGTCCCTCCCTGGCCCCCGCATCCTTCCCTTTGATGTCAGCAAGACTGATGGTTGAGTTGCCTTTCTTGCAGATGTACACTTATTCATGCTCTGAGTAGATGCTAATTGCTAGTGACAAAAATATGAGTAAGATAGGAATTTTGGCCCCCAGAATCTTACTTGTAAAACATATGGGAACCTGACATGGAAACCACAGGAATGTCAGGCCTCCAGGGCAGGAATTTTTGTCTGTCTATTCCCTAATATTTACCTGTCCCCTAAAACAGCACCAGCACATGGTAGGTACTTGGTCAATATGAGCTGTTAATGAATGATATTGTATATGGGCTTTATCATTGGCTGGGTTTACTCTAACTGTTCTCTGTTTTTATGTTTTTATTTTGTTCTGTTTTGTTTTTCAGATGGAGTCTCACTCTGTCGCCCAGGCTGGAGTGCAGTGGCACAATCTTAGCTCACTGCAACCTCCACCTCCTGGGTTCAAGCGATTCTCTTGTCTCAGCCTCCCAAGTAGCTGATAGGCATGTGCCACCATGCCCAACTAATTTTTGTGTTTTTAGTAGAGATGGGGTTTTGCCATGATGGCCAGGCTAGTCTCGAACTCCTGACTTCAAGTGATCTGCCTGCCTTGGCCCTGCAAAGTGCTGGAATTACAGGCATGAGCCACCATGCCCAGCCTAGTTCTCTGTTTTTAGACCTCTAGAGCAGTGGCCGCCAACCTTTTTGGCATCAGGGACCAGTTTCACGGAAGACAATATTTCCTTGGATGGGGAGGGGGATGGTTTCAGGATGAAACTGTTACACTTCAGATCATCAGGCATTAGATTCTTATAAGAAGTGTGCTGGCTGGGCTTGGTGGCTCACACCTGTAATCCCAGCACTTTGGGAGGCTGAGGCAGGTGGATCACCTGAGGTTGGGAGTTCGAGACCAGCCTGACCAACATGGAGAAACCCTGTCTCTACTAAAAATACAAAATTAGCTGGTTGTGGTGGCGCATGCCTGTAATACCAGCTACTTGGGAGGCTGAGGCAGAAGAATCACTTAAACCCGGGAGGTGGAGGTTTCGGTGAGCCGTGATTGCGCCATTACTCTGCAGCCTGGGCAACAAGAGCGAAACTCCATCTCAAAAAAAAAAAAAAAAAAAAAAAAAAGAAGTGCGCAACCTGGATCCCTCACATGCACAGTTTACAATAGGGTTTGTGCTCCTATGAGAAGCTACTGCTTCCAAGGCAGAGCTCAGGCAATAATGCTCACTGGCTGGCAGCTCACCTCCTGCTGTGCACCTGGTTCCTCTCAGGTTCCTAACAGGCCATGGACCAGTACCGGTCCATGGCCTGGGGATTGAGGAGCCCTGCGAGGACCGCCTTGTCCTTTTGCCTTCTGTGTGTGGGAGGTTCATTTCTTTCAGTAATTTCTCAGGATGGACATAATGTGTCAAGAATCTGTCTTCACTAGGCAGGGCATGGTGGCTTATGCCTGTGATTCCAGCACTTTGGGAGGCCAAGGCAGGCGGATCACCTGAGATTAGGAATTCGAGACCAGCCTGGCCAACATGGTGAAACCCCATCTCTATAAAAGTACCAAAAAAAAAAAAAAGTCAGGCATGGTGGTAGGCGCCTATAATCCCAGCTGCTCAGGAGCCTGAGTAAGAGAATCGATTGAACCTGGGAGGCAGAGGCTGCAGTGAGCCGAGATCGCACCACTGCACTCCAGGCTGGGCATCAGCAAGACTCTGTCACAAAAAAATAGAATCTGTTTTCAGAGGTAGCATCATTAGGAAAAATAAAAATACAATACTGATTCAGGACATTTTATGTCACTAAACTGCTCTCCTCCATGATAGTGCCACCTCCTCTTTACCCTCAGCAAGCCACCAGTATCTCAGGTACCTTCTTTCTGCTATTTCTACTATATTTTTGATTTGCCAATTTAGCCAAAAAAAAAAAAAAAAAAAAAAAGCTACCACCAACGAAACTCACTGTGATAACCATTACAATGGGAAATGATAAGGGCTGGCAGGCAGTGAAAACAGTAAGCTTTTCACTGAACACAGCAAAACTCACCACTTAATAGTTTTCTATTTTATTGAAAAAGAACCCTAATGATGGCTTTGCAGATACAAGTAAAAGCTGACCTTCACATATGTTAAATAATCTGTAGTTTCTTTTTTGACATTTCTTTGTTGTCAGCTCTTAACAGATGTAATCACAGAATGGAAATAACATCTGTCTTTTAATCCACCTTAAAAAGTTAAGTTATTGAAGTCCTTGTCTTTGTTATAATATTGAAAATTTTGTTTCTGATGAAAGGTTTTTTTTTACAAGCAGAAATGTTACATTTTTATATCAAATATTTTTTTGCATGTGTGATTTGTTTTTAAAGTTACTTTCTCTTCACAGAATTTTTGAGAATTCAGTTGCTTATTGTCATGTTCCTATTTTTAATGGTTAACTCTTTAATATACCTGAGAATGTTTTGATGTCATGTGCAGTCATACATTAATTTTTTAAATCAGTCTAATTTTGGATTATTGTATTCTCCCAGGATGTCTATTCTTCTGCCAATAAGAATGTAACCCCTTTGCATACTGCCTAATAAATTACATGTTCATAAGACATAGACACCCATGCCCATTCATGTATATGTCAAGGAGGGGAGATTGCTTTATATGCAGTATGCTTTATATCCTATGCATTCTGTTCATCTTGATTAGTAAGCAGCGCTTTAGAATGCTTTATTTTTTCAATGCTTTTGTATATCCTAAAGAGGAAATAATTTTCTTCATCTTCTCCTATTCATTGACCTTCTCCGTGTACTAATTATATGCGATACAAAAATAAATAATATGCATCTCTGCTTCCAGGTAGCTTACAGTTTTCCAGGAGATTCAAGCCCTCAGACAGTGATTTCTCTGACTGAGATGAACTTAACACAGGGAGTAGAAAGAGATGATTGATTCGTTCTAGCAGAGAAAGAAAACAATAGAATTTGAATCTAAAATTATTTTTATCTCATTTTTAAAATTTTCAGTTTTTATCTTTGTTGTATAACATATAAATGTTAGTTCAGTATAATAATCCATAAGTACATATACTTAATATAAGTGGTGTATGCTCAAAAATTTTCACTGTTAGAGCACAGGATCATTACAGTTTAGTCAGCACTGTCCTAACGTAAACCTAAATAATACCATGCTCTGATGAGTGGTATTGTGGCAGGTCATGAGGTGCTGTGGGAACACAAATCTGGCCAAGTTTGCCAGAAAATGAGAGGCATTTCATGAAAAGCAGATGATATAGTCAAGGTGATCTTTTTTATCATTGAACATTTGTCAGCTAATCATAAACTTTTATTTATTGTGATTATTAAATAAGTTTGGTAATGATTATTGAGAGTAAAGTTACAATTTCTGGTGTGCAAGATTGCTTTCCCTGACATGAATACATTGTATCATTGTTATGAATGTAGCCATCCGTTAGGGGAGGATTTTATCACAGACTTGACATAGACTTCCACTTAACATGATTACTCAGTAGCCTCCTTAAACATCAGGACTAAAGGAATAACCTTACATCTTAGATTACATTATTGAAATCCAATAACCAATTTGTTGATAAATAAACACCCTTAAAATTTTAGATCTTTTGTTCAGTAATGGCTACAGTAATAAAAATGTGCCAAACTATGTTTGTCATTTTAAAGCCATTATTTCTCAAAAAGAACGGTTTATGTTTTAGCTGCCATTTTAATTAAGCTTGTTAAAAATGAAATGGCCTAAGGATGAACTCTGTAAACTCCACATGGGCAGGGCCACTGTTGTATCATGGCTTTGCCAGTGTGGTGATGAGATCAGGACCTGGCAGATGTGCTTGGTGAACCTAATGAACAACCACCTGAGGAATGACGTGAAGGGGGAGGAGATTACCACCACTACCATTGGCTGCTAATTCAAAACTACTGTGATGGCGTAGAGCTTATTTTAGATATATCTGTGATTCATTATTCTTTTGTCACACTTCAGCTTGCCAATTCTGTAACTCCTTGGGATATCTTGCTGAGCTTAATTGCAGCTGCCACTCATGATCTGGATCATCCAGGTGTTAATCAACCTTTCCTTATTAAAACTAACCATTACTTGGCAACTTTATACAAGGTTAGTGCAATTTTATCATCAAGATTTATTATTTTTGCATTCTAGAAAATCTTTCATATTTTGAAGAAATGAAAGTAATGAAAATAAATTCTCAATGAATGTTAGAATTTTAACCAGATTAATATTGCTAACAGTATTGTTAGTAATGATATGTCCAGAAAGAGACGTATCATTAAGTAACTCAGAAACGTCCTTTGTTGTAGAATACCTCAGTACTGGAAAATCACCACTGGAGATCTGCAGTGGGCTTATTGAGAGAATCAGGCTTATTCTCACATCTGCCATTAGAAAGCAGGTAGGTTGGATTAAGACAAATTTAATTTGTTACTGGTTATAGAAGTTAAGTTGGCAAAGTAATTTTATAAAGTTTTAAAAATTGTTATGTTCAGGTGTTCCACAGTTTTCAGTGTTTGTCAAATTTAATAAATTATATACAATTTTAGTAATTTAGAGCTATCCTACTATATAGTCGGTAACATTTTAATGGATAGTTATTTTTATCAAAGACTATTCCATGGGTTTGAATACTATAAAATTTACTCAAATACACAATTGCTCAGCCATAGTTTACTACTTATTTACATAAATAGATATTACACATTTCCATACTCAGCTGAATAAAACCTTAAGGTCTAGGTATAAAGGTAAATTGGATGGAATGTAAACATTCTATTACATTAAATAGATTCATTAAAATCTGTTCCCAGAAGTTTTCAAAACTGACAAGAAAGTAAAGAGAGTGCCTTATGTCCTCAATAGCATAATCCTGGAGTCACACTTCTAGAGCTATAGGATATAATAATGAATGGAAAAAACCCTAATATTTTAGGAAAAAAAAATAAATGGGCTATTTTAGAACCTAATAAAAAACATTAATGTGAATAAGGCTAACACGATGGTGATGGTTTATAAAATCTCACGTCATTGCCATAGTGTGGTCCACACACAAGCTTTTTAGTAATGTTGCACTGAGGGAAAATGCACGTCAGCAAACCATGAAAGTGGATTGAAACCATCCACTTCAAGAAAAGTGGTGAGGTATAAAAATATGTTTGAGTATTAAAATTTAAGTTCCACTTGCTGTTCTCTGGTTTCCCTTTCATAATTTAAAACAACTGTATAAAAAACTGTTTTGTGTAATGACCATGAGAAAAAAGCTGGACTTTATTTTTTATTTTTTTAAATCTTTATTCACGGATACCATTTGGAGTATGACAATACTTCTGGTAAGTAAAATCATTTTTTGCTGTAGTACAAATACGAAAATTGCTTAAACACACTGTATATGTAAATTATGGGTTCTTAAAATTAAGACAGATTAAAATGTTTGCTTCATTATTCCCTTTTTAAAAATCATGTTTTTCATTTGATGATTAACCCTGTTGAGTTCTCAGATTTAATAAAAATGGAAATAAGGAATACTACCTAATAGCATTATTTAATGTTTTCTTCATTTAGGGTTTGTTTTAACATTCAATATTGTGAGTCTTTTTATCTATTTGACAGCTCTTTACTGATCATTATACAGAGATAGTATTTGCTATGGCCCATTAAAACAAAAGGCAAGAATTTTTTTTAAGTATGTTTATCTTGTTAATTGATCTGAGGCAGTTTTATAAATGATGTATGTATTTGCTGTTTATATTAACATGTTACCTTTTTCCTTTCAGAAAAGTTGGATATTCATTTACAGATAACTGATTGGTTCTTGAGTTTAACCTTGAAAACACAGTTATTAAGTTGCTCAGGGGAATTGCAACAGGCATCTTAGTCAGAATGTCTGTAGGAGTCAGCTGTTGAATGGGCCATTATTCTTTCTATTTGAATCTTCCTTCTGCCTTCAGATCTCAGGCACTAAAAAGCAAACCAAAGTTGTTTACCCTCAGCATGAGAATTTTCCAGCAAAAGAATCCCAGCAAGGAACTTTCTCAAAAAACAACCAATGTTACATTGATTTTTTTTTTAAAGCAAATAATACCACCTTGGCTGGCAAAATAAAGGCTCTCCTTTTGGAATGTTTGCATATTGGTATTTTCCTACAAACTCTTGGTTTTAGTTTTGGTTATTTTAATGGCTTTTTTTGAAGCATTCTATAAAACTCATTTTTTGTGTGATAAATTTTAAATTGAATGATAGTTGGATATTTTAGGGTTCTATAAAGCCTTCCGATTATTATGGTTAAGAAAAAAAATCAATAAATAGTTAATTGAAAGTCTTATATTTTCTCTTTATATTTCTCTATTTCCAGGCAACAAATGGAGACACAGATAGGTGCTCTGATACTAGCCACAGACATCAGTCGCCAGAATGAGTATCTGTCTTTGTTTAGGTCCCATTTGGATAGAGGTGATTTATGCCTAGAAGACACCAGACACAGACATTTGGTTTTACAGGTAAAATGGGGCTTGGAAACATTCTATTTCTAGGATAAATTATGTGACTGTCAAACTAAAAAATGAATATTCTAGTGTAGTTTTTCAGAATGGTTAAATCTTGAGGGCAAGCTAAAGAATTTCCTTCAATTAGCGCACACTCCTTCCAAAAGGAGATCACTGGTGAATCTGCTACCTAGGAAGGCATCATTGCTTACGTGTTTTTCATACTCAAGATTTCTGATGAAAACAATTTTTACAAGATTAGGGTACCAATTAAGAAATAGCATTTTATTCTCATAAATTCTTACATCTAAAAATAGGAGAATTATATTTCTGGCTTATTTATTTATATTTATGGTTAATCCAGTCCTTGCACTTGGTTCTTTGGTATTATTGTCAAGTGTGTATATATCTTAAAACAATATTAATGTTTTGTTTGCTAGATGGCTTTGAAATGTGCTGATATTTGTAACCCATGTCGGACGTGGGAATTAAGCAAGCAGTGGAGTGAAAAAGTAACGGAGGAATTCTTCCATCAAGGCAAGTTACAGTATTGAGTGATAATTAATCTATCCAGTTCATTTTTTTTTAACATCGTAAGAATAAAATAACTCAATAATTTATATGGGTCTAGCAGTAGAGTCTTGACATTTTTAGTAACAATTCACAATAGATATACATCTAATCAATACAAATTGAGCATCTGTTTTGAAAATTAGAAGTCCTCTTTTGGAATGATCAGATGTATTTATGCATTTATGAGTATAGATAGATTAGGTTTGGAATTTTGCTGTACAGAAAGATTTCCCTGAACTTGCTTTATCCTTGTCGTGTGTGGAGGGCCATATGAACATGTAAAACTTTTGTGTGTGTAATTTAAAACCCGGATCCAGGAATCTTTATTTCATGAACCTTCCTTTCAGGTTGTATATTAATGTGTTATAAATTACAGTCTTGGGGTAACACCTTGCATTTAAATAAAAATATCAGCTTGGCAATCTCTTCTATGTGTAAATAACTTAAAATTTTAAAAAGAACTAATTGCGAAGCTGTCCTCTCATGAGGATTAAGTATGTTTTTCCTAAGAAATGCACAGGTATGTTCAAGCCTTTAATTATATATTTAACCAATAGATATTCTTCATATTAATACTTCTCTTTTTTTAATTTATAGGAGATATAGAAAAAAAATATCATTTGGGTGTGAGTCCACTTTGCGATCGTCACACTGAATCTATTGCCAACATCCAGATTGGTAACTATACATATTTAGATATAGCTGGTTAGAAAAATGCCACTGTTTTTATCAAGAAGGGAAATATATTTGAAATATAAAATATTAAAATTATGCTCATTTCTATTTTTAAAAATAATTTAAGAAATTTTACCCTTGTTTTCCCTTGTTATGGCTCTTCTAATTCTCATTTAATTTTAGGATGTAAAAAGTATATTTTTGCAGAACAGGCAGCAGCAATAACTTGTTT
This sequence comes from Homo sapiens, assembly GCF_000001405.40. Lineage (NCBI taxonomy): Eukaryota > Metazoa > Chordata > Mammalia > Primates > Hominidae > Homo > Homo sapiens. Next base: position 65,723,311 of record NC_000008.11, on the reverse strand, counting down.
CTGTTCTTATGTAAATAAGAATCCATTATTCGCTCATGTGGAAGCTTCTTTTGCATCATTTGGGACTGCCATTTAAAAAAGGATAGGTAAACAAAGAAATGACAAAAATAAAATAAATAAAATAAAAATGGATAGGTGGTGACCCACTGAGCCTGATCATAATACGAAGACCAGCTTCTGCCACTGCCTTTCCAGACTCTTACCACTGCCTGTTGATTAAATCTAACTCTTCAACATCCTAGACAGGCCCTTATAATCTTGCTTCAAATGCTGTGCAGCCATCTTGCCTCAACTTCCCTCTCATTTGCCTACAGCATCTCGGGACGCTTCTGTGTTTCCCAAGTATACGCTGTTCTTTCGCTCTTTGTGCCTCGCCAGTGCTTTCCATGTGCCTCGTAGAGTTATTTTTCTTGAAGAGGCAGCTCAAATGTCACCTTCTCCAGAAGCTGCTCTCCACTTGCTTTAGGCAGAGTCAGTCACTTTTCTTCTAGATTCCAAAGTGCCTGATCCACTTGGTTGTGGATTCCTGGAGCCTAGCACCACACCAGAAGCACGAGGCCCTTGAGAACTGTGTGTTGAGTGAACTAATAACTGTATTATAGAAAGCATAATGAAAATGTCCTGTGACTGAAGTATGTGTAGCTTGTTGCAGGAGTTCACAGGAAAGTTGACTAGGATTGAGTGTGTTGGGCTTTGGGTATAAAGGAGGGGGATTCTACGGGGGCAGTAGCTCAACAAGGAATAGAGGGAGGAGTGTAATTTTGGTAGCTGGTGTTGAATAGGGCCTTTGAGAATCAGACTGAACACAGTGAAATATGTGCCCAAAGTTCAGAAAGATGAAGTTTCCAGAAACTAAGAAGGTAGCACAATATGTGGCATCATACTCAGAAAGGAAGACCATGCCATGGGGCCAGAAATTCAGAAACGTAATTCTTACATTGTGATTGCAATGGATACTCATGGAAGAAAGTGGGTAGTGGCCGATTTGACTTCAGAGTGACAGGTAGAGAAGGGAAGAGCGTGTAGAACTGTGGCCAGACTTTAGGAGTGTGAGGGATGCTGAATCTCCCAGAGAGCTCACACTGGCCAGGAATGCTGAGAGTAGCAGATGCTTTTCTTTTGGGAGGATAGTAAAACAATTTAGAACCAGATATGCTTTGTCTTGATTCTCAAGTAGAATAATCTTCAAATGCAAAAGAATACATTAGAAATGGACAAAAGTGGCCAGGAGCGGTAGCTCATACTTGTAACCCAGCACTTTGGGAAGCCGAGGCGGGCTGATCGCTTGAGGTCAGGAGTTCGAGACCAGCCTGGCCAAAATAGTGAAACTCACGTTTCTACTAAAAATACAAAAATTAGCTGGGTGTGATGGCCACTTGGGAGGCTGAGATAGGAGAATCGCTTGAACCTGGGAGGCAGAGGTTGCAGTGAGCCAATATCGTGCCACTGCATTCCAGCCTGGGTGACAGAATGAAACTCCATCACTCCATCTCAAAAAAAAAAAAAAAAAAAAATGGACAAAAGAGAATTGAATCGAAGACAGGTGAATCGGTAGTCAACTCAGTTACTTTTAATATTAAATGTCTTTTTATCCTAGTAAACTACTCCCTTGCTTAATGGGAGAACTTGCAAATGAGATTTAAAACATTGTAATTTTTATAAGGTAACAGAAGCTAGATCCCTTTCACTGTTCATCTCAAGCTATTGATCTTGTCAGTGTTGTACAGATCTAGAATGGGTTGTCAGGGATAAGGTCACTGATCTGATGGTGATTGTTGACATCTGCTGACTCCACACAACAACCCTAGGGGACCGGTGCTTTGAGCATCCTTATTTTCAGATGGTTTGCCCACTTCATGCAGTTAACAGCTGTTGGTGTTGGGCTTCAAATCCAGGTCTTTCGGACATCAAATCCCAGCCTCTTAACAACTCACCAAGCAGTGATTACTACTCCCCAACATAGGGGCAGTATGTACAAGTCATGTTGAACTAATACAGTTTCTTTCTTTGATAGGAATACTAATTTTGTTGAACAAGAAAATATGTACTGGATAAGAGTAAGGCATTTGACAAGGCGTCCTGTGAAATCTGTGAAGATAAAGTAGAGGCTTGTGGGGCTAGTACAATTAAATGGAGTCACAAATGGTTGAACAGCTGTGTTCGAGGTACTAATTAACAGAGTCCTGCCCTCCAAGAGAGAGGCTGGTCCATGGCTCTGGTCTGTTCATTTTTATCAGGTATTTAAAACCTAAAAGAAATTTTAGGTTAACGTAGAGCCAGAAGTGATAGCTAATTTGTTGGCTGTTGGAGGTAAGATCCCCAAGGATCTCAACCAGTTGGAACAGTGAGAGGGATGAAATAAGATGAATGGTATGAAACCTATAATAATAAGGGCCATGTGGGTAGATAACTCCAGTGGCTTATGACTTTATGGCACGTAGGAAAGACAGGGCTTTGGGTGGCTGGCTCAACATAACACTGTAGTGTGAAGATGGCTGCCAGAAAGCCGCTGTGTGCTTTGACTATAATGACACTTTTCTATGTTTGTTATCTCTTTCTCCTCACCAGAACATAAGCTCCTTGAGGGCAGGGATCTTGTCTGTCTTATTCACTGCTGTATACCCAGCCACCGTGGCATAGTGCCGGGGACATAGTAGGTTCTCAGTAAATACGTGTGGAGGGAATGGATCAATGAAAGAAAGAAAGCCTTATTGCACATATTGTACATAATTAATATTTCAGATACCATAATTATATACACTTAAAAAATTCAGCCATCAGACCATATATAACTTTCCTGATTAAAAGTAGTGGATGCTGGTTGCTTTAATTCTGGTGAGATTCTTATGTTGGATAAATGGAACCTATGTTGTCTGTGGTCCACATGGTCTTTTGCTGCAACGAGAGTCTTGGATATGAAGAAAATTTTAAAGCGTGATAGAATCAGAATGTATATTTTCCCCATTCTTAACAGATCAAAATGTGATAAAGATGTTATTTGTTCCCAATATATAATATGATTTGATTGATAGCTATTTTCTAGAGGGCTTCTTTTGACCTTGTTTAAGATACTACTTAGTATTAAGTCAGATCTAATGTGCAGTGGAGTGCTATATAACCTAAAGATGCAACAATCCTGAAATCACTCATTTTCCTTTTCTGACTGAATTAAGGGAGATTATATGAATTGTTTATAAAATAGGTCTCTGGTACACATTTGTTGTTCACTTTAATGATTTTTTCACTAACCCCACCTGTTATTTTTAGACTGACTCTTATCATAAGTTTTGCCTTTATAAATTCTGAGTTAAATAAAATGACCAATTGTAGTCATGACCAGGCATGAAGATTCCATCCCTGAGGGGTAAAGCAGTAGACTACTGCCAGCTCCACTTCAGTTCAGGCCACATCACCCTCAGTCCTGAAGGAGACCCCTTCTTAGCCTCCAGTTGTTGCACTGCAACTCTGCCTCGAATTGGGCTATGCCCGAGTATCCTCAGAGTTTAGATGGGCAGTGTATTTTTGCTTAAGTAGAAGAATGTAGTTGTGCCACTGAGAAGGATAACCAGAAAAGGTTAGATATATTTGTCAGTTCACTTTTACTCAAATTTCCATTGAGTTACTTAAGAAATCAGTTCTTCAAAGTGGATATGTACATTACAGACTCTGTCACCTACACATACACAGGAATCTTTTGAAGAATAAGATCTGGGTAATACTGGAGTAGGATGTAGGAAGGTTAATGTTGTATAGATGATGTTTTAAAGATAGAGTTTCAGCATATATGTTAATAACTTTTTCTCCTATTTTCTCAAGGTTTTATGACTTACCTAGTGGAGCCTTTATTTACAGAATGGGCCAGGTTTTCCAATACAAGGCTATCCCAGACAATGCTTGGACACGTGGGGCTGAATAAAGCCAGCTGGAAGGGACTGCAGAGAGAACAGTCGAGCAGTGAGGACACTGATGCTGCATTTGAGTTGAACTCACAGTTATTACCTCAGGAAAATCGGTTATCATAACCCCCAGAACCAGTGGGACAAACTGCCTCCTGGAGGTTTTTAGAAATGTGAAATGGGGTCTTGAGGTGAGAGAACTTAACTCTTGACTGCCAAGGTTTCCAAGTGAGTGATGCCAGCCAGCATTATTTATTTCCAAGATTTCCTCTGTTGGATCATTTGAACCCACTTGTTAATTGCAAGACCCGAACATACAGCAATATGAATTTGGCTTTCATGTGAAACCTTGAATATGCAAAGCCCAGCAGGAGAGAATCCGAAAGGAGTAACAAAGGAAGTTTTGATATGTGCCACGACTTTTTCAAAGCATCTAATCTTCAAAACGTGAAACTTGAATTGTTCAGCAACAATCTCTTGGAATTTAACCAGTCTGATGCAACAATGTGTATCTTGTACCTTCCACTAAGTTCTCTCTGAGAAAATGGAAATGTGAAGTGCCCAGCCTCTGCTGCCTCTGGCAAGACAATGTTTACAAATCAACTCTGAAAATATTGGTTCTAAATTGCCTTGGAGCATGATTGTGAAGGAACCACTCAAACAAATTTAAAGATCAAACTTTAGACTGCAGCTCTTTCCCCCTGGTTTGCCTTTTTCTTCTTTGGATGCCACCAAAGCCTCCCATTTGCTATAGTTTTATTTCATGCACTGGAAACTGAGCATTTATCGTAGAGTACCGCCAAGCTTTCACTCCAGTGCCGTTTGGCAATGCAATTTTTTTTAGCAATTAGTTTTTAATTTGGGGTGGGAGGGGAAGAACACCAATGTCCTAGCTGTATTATGATTCTGCAGTGAAGACATTGCATGTTGTTTTCACTACTGTACACTTGACCTGCACATGCGAGAAAAAGGTGGAATGTTTAAAACACCATAATCAGCTCAGGGTATTTGCCAATCTGAAATAAAAGTGGGATGGGAGAGTGTGTCCTTCAGATCAAGGGTACTAAAGTCCCTTTCGCTGCAGTGAGTGAGAGGTATGTTGTGTGTGAATGTACGGATGTGTGTTTGCGTGCATGTTTGTGCATGTGTGACTGTGCATGTTATGTTTCTCCATGTGGGCAAAGATTTGAAATGTAAGCTTTTATTTATTATTTTAGAATGTGACATAATGAGCAGCCACACTCGGGGGAGGGGAAGGTTGGTAGGTAAGCTGTAACAGATTGCTCCAGTTGCCTTAAACTATGCACATAGCTAAGTGACCAAACTTCTTGTTTTGATTTGAAAAAAGTGCATTGTTTTCTTGTCCCTCCCTTTGATGAAACGTTACCCTTTGACGGGCCTTTTGATGTGAACAGATGTTTTCTAGGACAAACTATAAGGACTAATTTTAAACTTCAAACATTCCACTTTTGTAATTTGTTTTAAATTGTTTTATGTATAGTAAGCACAACTGTAATCTAGTTTTAAGAGAAACCGGTGCTTTCTTTTAGTTCATTTGTATTTCCCTTGTTACTGTAAAAGACTGTTTATTAATTGTTTACAGTTTGTTGCAACAGCCATTTTCTTGGGAGAAAGCTTGAGTGTAAAGCCATTTGTAAAAGGCTTTGCCATACTCATTTTAATATGTGCCTGTTGCTGTTAACTTTTGATGAATAAAAACCTATCTTTTCATATTTTTATCTTTGACATTTACCTTATAACTCAATCTTTTGGAAAACACAATGCTAAATTACAAGGAAATCAAAGTTAGCTTCTTGGCTCTTGTAATTCATCCCTCAGATGTTTACTCAGTCCGAGCTTATCTACTAATGACTCACCTTGCAAGTGAGTAAGCAGAAGCCCAGTTAGGGCTGTTGGAGTCCTGACTAACACAGGGGAGAGGTCAGCTTTGAGCCAGGCCTTTTGTTCCTACAGTGGTGAACTGCATAAGACATCAGCAAGTCTTGCAAGTACTAAAATACTAGTTGTATTTATTTCTATCAATCATTGGCCTTTTTAAAGTGATAAGAAAAGGCCACTCCACTCTACTTGATTGATATCAGTTGTAAACAAGGTACCACTGTGCCATTCCCTATATCTTCCCAGGTCCAACTCATTAGAAGGGATATGGTGCAAACTTCTAAATCAAACACATTAACATATTATTTGTACAGAAGAGTGTTGATGTCCAATAGAAACAGAATCCAAGCCACATAATTTTCGGTTTTCTAGTAGCCACATTTAGAAAACATGGAATTAATTTTAGTAACATCTATTCCAATACGTCCAAAATATTGTATCACTTTAAAATGTCAATATAAAAACAATTAGATGTTTTTACATTCTTTTGGGGGGTACTAAGTCTTTGAAATCCAGTGTATATTGTGTACTTACAGCACATCTCAATTTGGACTAGTCATATCTCAGGCACCCAATATCCACATGTGGCTAGTGGCTACCATATTGGACAGTGTGGGTATAGAGGTCTGAGGGTAGTAGAGGAATATGGTCAGCTGGTCACTCTCGTGAGATGGCCATACCTTGGCCTATATTTAATGTGTACAGAAAGTCTGATAACTCAGATCCTTAAAAATTCAGGCCCACTGTTTCAGTACATAGAGAGTGGAACTATCATGGCAAACCCACATTAACCAAGCTCACAGTAACTATTTTTTTAAAACACTATCAATATTTTAATTTACAGTGAGAAATGTAACTATCAATTATTCTCTCCCTTTAGGCAAATCTTCCTGGGAAGCCAAATTATGAGCAGCTGGTGAGCATGGATTCTGAGCAAGGGAAGCAAGTTGCCTCGTGCACCCATGTCCCTTTGGGTGCACAGAAGACCCATGTCTTCTGTGATATTCATGTTTGTGGACCAGGGTACCCTCTTCCCCTGGAAGGTGCTAGAGATTCTCTGCCAGTAGTTGCTTCTCTACATCAGCTTCTGATTGGCACATGCATTAAATAACGTCATTACCTCAAGCCTTGTTTCAGTTGAGCTTACCTGGGCTCCATTCTGCCTGTATACATGATTGCTTCTGCTCTGATCCATTGTTTCTCTTATAGTTTGAAACTGAAAAGATCATCCTATTTCCACATTCTCAGGGGAACTGTGGGTGTGGCTCCCATTTCCTGCCTACACATATAATAAACCCATTGAAAAGTTGTTTTATTATGTATATGTGGGAATCACCTTCTATAGCCCTTTTGTTTTTTTTTTTTTTTGAGACAGGGTCTCGCTGCTAACTAGGCTGGAGTGCAGTGGCATGATCACTGCAGCCTCCACCTCCTAGGCTCAAGCAATCCTCCCACCTCAGCCTCCTGAGTGCCACCACACCACCCAGCTAATTTTTTTTTTTTTTTTTTTTTTTTTTTTTGAGACAGAGCCTTGCTCTGTCGCCCAGGCTGGAGTGCAGTGCCGCGATATTGGCTCACTGCAAGTTCCGCCTCCCGGGTTCACGCCATTCTCCTCATTCTCCTGCCTCAGTCTCCCAGGTCGCTGGGACTACAGGCGCCCGCCACCAGGCCCTGCTAATTTTTTTGTACTTTATTAGTAGAGTTAGGGTTTCACCATGTTAGCCAGGATGGTCTCAATCTCCTGACCTCGTGATCCGCCCGCCTCGGCCTCCCATAGTGCTGGGATTACAGGCGTGAGCCACCGTGCCCGGCCAGCTAATTTTTTAAGAACATTTTTGTGGCCGGGCATGGTGGCTCACACCTGTAATCCCAGCACTTTGGGAGGCTGAGGTGGGTGGATCACCTGAGGTCGGGAGTTCGAGACCAGTCTGGCCAACATGGTGAAACCCCATCTCTACTAAAAATGCAAAAATTAGCTGGGCGTGGTGGCGCATTCCTGTAATCCCAGCTACTCGGGAGGCTGAGGCGGAAGAATTGCTTGAACCCAGGTGGCGGAGGTTGCAAGGAGCAGAGATTGTGCTACTGCACTCCAGCCTAGGTGACAGAGCAAGACTCTGTCTCAAAAAAAAAAAAAAAACTTTTTTATAGAGACAGGGTCTCTCTTTGTTGGCTTGGCTGGTCTTGAACTCTTGGGCTCAAGCAGTCCTGCCACCGTGGCCTCTCAAAGTGCTGGGATTACAGGTGTGAGACACTGCATCAGGCCTATAGCTCCACTTAAATACGACCTATATTACTGGAATATTTTTTTCTAAAAAATTTTAGGAAACAGTTAAATATTTAAAAGATTACTTTTTTAAAAAGCAAGTAAATATTACAGAACAGAATGCAAAATTTATTTTACATGGGAGACTAAAAATTTTCACACACATGGCCACCCTTTGGGCCTCTTGGCTCAACATTTCAGGGGCTGAGGGAGTCTCTGCTCTAGGAGTAAAAGGTCCTTGGAGAGAAAATTTTGACAAGTCCTAACTTTAAAAAAGAAAAATTGGTTCCTGGTCAATATTTGTACTCACTGTAAATGTGATGGTTGGTAATGATACTCTGTATAAAAGTAAAAATCATATTTTATGTCCTTTGCAAACAAATATATTTGTACCTGAGGTACAGATTAGAGGTGCTAGTAATTCCTTGAAGATTCTGAAAATGATCTTTTTTTCCAAAATGCTTTCTTGGTTTTTATTAAACTTTCTATTTTCTTAAAACTCTCACATCAGGTATTTCCAGTGTTTTCAAGCATGTATAAATATTTTAATGTATAAATGTTGTTTAAAATCCCCTCAATCGGTATCTCCTGATTGAGAAAATACACAGTGACCAATAGCTAATAGGAATTCAGTATTGCTTTCAAAGAAATGTGCATATTAATCACTGTAGCATCTGCATACATTTGAAACACGGAGTAATACAGGTCTGTGCAAGAATTAGCAGCTTGTTCCTTGCTAATAATGACTTGTGTCATCTGGAAGGCCCCCAAGAGCCCATGGTCTACAGGTGGAATGACCACCACTTGGGAGTGAGCTGATGGAGAGCACCCAGCAGGTCTCCTCCATCTTCCTGGTTCCTGTGCTCACCATAGGGCTGGTGTACATTGGGCCATTAATAAACGTTTGTTGAACAAATTAATTTGGAATTAATGTGTTCCCTTTTTAGCTATCGATTTATTACTAAGAGATTATATTGAAACTCTTCCGTCTATACTGGAGTCATGTGGTAAGCAGTATCCAAGTTTCTGTTGTGTGCAGAAGATGGCACTAGATATATAATAAAGGGGGGCATTAAAAATTACAAACCTTGGTTTCTGTTCTCAACATGTCTGGGTGACAGAATAATAAGTGCAACATGTTATATAATATGGCGGGTTTCTGTATGGTATCAGTAGTGTTGGGTTGTTTAGGAGAATGTAGGGTTTTGTTCGGGTAATGATAAAAATGACACCATATCTAGTAATTCTTGTATTTTTAAAATTGTTGGCTGGGTGTGGTGGCTCACATCCATAATCCCAGCTCTTTGGGAGGCTGAGGCGGACAGATCACCTCACGTCAGGAGTTCGAGACCAACCTGGCCAACATGGCGAAACCCCATCTCTACTAAAAAAAAATACAAAAATTAGCCAGGCATAGTGGTGTGCGCCTGTAATCCCAGCTACTGGAGAGGCAGAGGCAGGAGAATCACTTGAACCCAAGAGGCAGAGGTTACAATGAGCTGACATTGTGCCACTGCACTCCAGCCTGGGCAACAGAGTAAGACTGTTTCAAAAAATAGTTAACATCTATGACCGATAAAGTTACTTAGCCTTCAAATTTGATTCTAAAATAGTTTTAAATGTTCAATATGCTACTTTAGGTAAAATACTTTCATCAATTACATATTTTAGTCTTATACCTACATGTCCTAACTTGTCCTGAAACCCACCTTAAAGTCTGATAGGATGGTGGGGGAAAGAGAGAAACACATTTTTGTTTTTGTTTTGTTTGTGTGTGTGTGTGTGTGTGTGTGTGTGTGTGTGTGTGTGTGTGTTTGAGATGGGAGTCTCCGTTGCCCAGGCTAGAGTGGAGCGGTGTGATCTTGGCTCACTGCAACCTCCACCTTCCAGGTTCAAGCAGTTCTCCTGTCTCAGCCTCCCGAGTAGTTGGGATTACAGGTGTGCACCACCACGCCTGGCTAATTTTTGTATTTTTAGTAGAGACAGGGTTTCACCATGTTGGCCAGGCTGGTCTTGAACTCCTGACCTCAGGTGATCCACCCGCCTCAGCCTCCCAAAGTGCTGGGATTATAGGCGTGAGCCACGGCACTCGGCCACTCCTGTTTTTAATATTAGATTTCTTGTTGGCTATAATTTAAAATTGAAGCACAGTGATGTAATTGGTTTACTGAAGCTTTCCACTGGTCCCATCAATAAGTCTTTGCCAAGACATTCCATCTTGTATTACAACACCTATCTTTAAGCTGTACATTTATTTACATGACATTTCGGAACACAGATTTGAAGTATTTATTGTTGAGCCATGTCCTGTAAAGCAGCAGGAGACTGTAATGATTTCCCAAGTTCCCTTAACTTAGTTGAAATCAGTAAAAGAAGTTACAGATCTAAAGATGAATTTTTTGAAGGAAATACTAGAAAGGATAGTGCTTCCCTTAGTCCACTCAGGCTGTTAGAACAAAGAACCAGAAACTAGGTGACTTATAAACAACAGTTATTTCTCACAGTTCTTGAGGCTAGAAATCTGAGATCCAGGTGCTGGAATGGTCAGTTCTGGTGAGCACTGTCTTTACAGCTTGTCAGACCTAGGTTTGGGTCCTTAGGCAGGTTACCTAATCTTCTGAGTGGCTCCCTAACCTATAACATGTCTGTTCCTTAAAGTAAAATTAACTATTGATATATGGTAAGTGCTAAATCAAAGGTTACTATGGCTATTCTTTTTAGTTCATTTCTTGATAATTTCTACTTATATAAACACATGGATACAATTGTACCTCATAACATCTTTATTTGAGCTCCTGGCACTGATTCACTCTAGAGGCTTCCTACTCAAATTCATGAGGGAGAACCTGATTGGAAAAGCTCATCAGGGCTGTGTCCTGGGTTACAGAGCAGTCTCTACATTACCAGGCGTGCCCCTTGCAGAAGGGAAGGCAGGGGTTGGGGGGATCTGGACAGCTCAGCCCCCGCGGTCAGTGCCTTATGCACTTCCCTCCCCTTGTACTCAATGCTAGTATTTCAGAATGATTTCCAACCATGCTCTAGCTGTATCCTTTTTCACCCTTAAAATGATACCTAGTTTCCACAACATAGTACCTGGGGAATACGCTTTCTTTCACCTTTCGATAAAAAGTGTATCTGGCTAATGAAGAGGGGTGACCATTAGGCAACATTAACAGAATGTTTTTATACCTTTGGTTAAAATCTTGTTATGAAGAGTCTGGCCTTTCTCCCCAAATTAAGGCTTTTCCAATTGGGTTATGGAGGACTGCCCTGGGATAACCATTTGGTATGATCAGGAGGCACTGTTTGAGCTGTCTTAACATTTACCCTCCTGAAAATGTCTAAAGGACACTTGTGTTCTACTCTGCCCTTATCGAAGGAGCCCTCTGTGACCTTAACAAGGGGCTGGAGAATGTATCAGAGAAGTTCCAGCTTTAGGAACATTAAGGCTTCTAGACCATATGAACTAGACTAAGGATAATAATAGTCTTGGAAGGAAGAAGTGTGCAAAAGTTATAGATCCTTACTTGGTTATGCTATTTTTATTATCCCATCCTCAAAGGATGGCTACCAAGACCAAGGAAGAGCTAGATTGTTTATAAGGTTTACAAGGCAAGTCTAAGAAGAATCCTAACAAATAGGATCAATAGGGTAGCAGAGAAGAATGCTAAATCTCTAGGATGAGAAAGGGAAAGAGGACACAGAAACAGGAACCTACTGCAATTGAAACCAAGTGCCTCATTCTATCTATCTGGCAATCCCAGCGCTGACTTTGTTGGGCGAACTCCTGAAAGTTTAAACTTCTGTCTGCCAGATTCTATCCCACAGAGAGAACTTCTATTTATTTCTGGGGAAGTTATCAGAACTATGGTTTTTTCAAAGTATTTGTTTCTGCTAGTTATTACCACGTGTATTCCTCTTCACCAGAGAGACAGACACATAGGCATTCCTAATACAGAAAGAAGACACAAGTCTTATGTAGAAGGGCCTGGGACTGGGGAAACAACCAGAACTAAAGACTGCAAGTCCTACCCCTCCTATGCCAAGCCTGCACAAGCAAGTGCATAGGATGATGCCTTTTACAGGTGCCAGGGACCACTGGAGAAATCATTTTATTGGAAACTACAGAGACCCTGTGTAAAATAATGCAAAAGTAAAGATAAATTATTTAACAGGGGATCATGTAAAGCTCCAAGTCCAGTGTTCTCTGACTCAGATCTTCCCATTCTGTCTTGTATTCTCTCTCTCTCTCTCTCTCTCTCTATATATATATATGAGAGTCCCTCAATCAGAACTCAGACAAAACATAGGAAAGTTAGTTACCTTTCTTTCTCATACCTAGCTGAGGTATAACTATTCTTAAGGTCTTTTACTTCAGGTGTTGTGTTGGGTGAAAGAACTAGAAACTGAATGACGTGGGTGTGGGAGAAGCTGGGAAGACAAATTTCACCAATCTCAGAAGTAGATTATGGGTTTGAGAACCCTGAGTCAACTGTGATACCTCATGACTGTCCTGTTTTAATGCTGAGATCTCTTTATATGAGAAAAAGTGAATGAGAGGTGATTTTAAGAGCTTATTTTAAGGAATATAATTCCACTTGAAAAATGCAGAAAGAAAATTATTCTAAAGAAGCTACGTGTGCAAAAGAATCTTACCTATTGTGAAAAAAGAAAAAATGGAAGCACTATGGTCCAAGGAAAATAAAACAGTTAGTTTGCTTTATTTTAAAACAGTAACTTCCTTATATGGGGGCACTGTCCAAAATTCAATACTGATACAAAAATATGTTTCTTTTAGGTCAAAATACGTTTCAGGTGAATTTTCTGAATTTTGTTAAAGAGAATTTTAAACCATATAAAACAGGTGAATGAGAGGTGAACATGAACATGTGTAACATAAGCCACAGTACAAATTTAAACAGAACAATCAAGCCATGTCATTTCCCCAAATCATTTTTGTTAATATTTAGGAGAATGCATATATTTTCAAGAACTTAAAAGTGAATCTCTACTCCCATCTCCTAATACTCCCAGCCAGGAAGTACAACTTTCTTCTTTTACTAGATTTAAATATTCCAAATATTACTCCTGGTAGGATACTCTGGTATTAACTATAGCTGAGTGTATCAGAAATAGAAAAACCATGAAGATTTATAAAGCATTTAAAAAATAATCATTTATAGCAAGTCCTTAAAAGCCCCAGATGAAAAAGGCAGTTCTCCACTTCTAATAACACCTATGGTTTATGTTGCGTAATATTATTAAACAAAACAGCATTCTGACCAATGATAATTTATAGGAAATTCATTTGCCAAGTCAATGTTTCATTAAAGTTAATATTTTGGCTTATATTAAAAAAATTTTTAACTCTATTAACTTAGCAAAGTCATCTTTATGATGCCATTTAATAAACTGAAAGGAAACAAGATGGTACATTCTGAGTTTTTACTTCTTAAGAAGAAATTTAATTCAATAATTTGATTCATCACTACTGGAAAACTACATCTTTCTTCCCTGTCAGTACTGGATGGCAATGACGTGAAAGCAGCTTTCCTGGTTCTCAACTTCCCTTCAATGGGAAGCATTATGGAATTTCAGCAGTGAACATCATCTGGTTCCTATTCAAACCCCAGCTCCAAGAAAATGTGAGAGAGAATCTAAGATATAAGTTCTGTTCAAGGCAAGAAGTTTCCAATCTCAAATATTTCATGCCAACAACTTATGTTATACCAGCTGTTCCATCATTGAATGCTAAATGATCATTGAAAACAAACGAAGATAACAGTGCCCTCGTTGCCATCATTCATTACTAATTTTACATAAACTGTTTATGTCCAAAAATATGCATATAAAACACTTATACAGATAAATTAGTGTTAAGAATTTAAAATGTGCAGTAACATCCACAAATGTCCTTTTTGTGTTGTGAAATCTATACAATTGTTTTCAAAACTGGAAATCTGAACGCCCTGGCCACATATTAGAAACATGTCAGAACACACATGTTGTGGAGAGCACCAAAGCTGACCATCTCACAAAAGCAAAACCAAACTTAGTGCTTTCATTATTGCTTAATCCACTAATTAGCCTGAAAAGAAGACCACTGAATACTAAAGAGGTATTTACTAAACAGTGTCGATTTCTACTAGCAAACTTGGCCCTCACAAATCAACAGGGGAACCAGGAGTCTTTTCGCAGCTCATTGTCTATTAGGAGTCTGATACATTTTCAATTAAAGCCTTCATTTTTCCTGTTGGCTTCAACATGTGTGGCCCAAACTAGAAACAAACAAAAAGTATAAATAAAGATATTGGTTCAAGTAACAGTAACGATACGCCCCCACCTCCCAATCATGGATTAGAGGGCTGGGTATGTTCTGCATGAAAAACCAAGCAACTACTGGGAATATTAAAACCTTTACAAATTGATGGGTTGTTATGAACACAGAACATATCAACAGAATGAAAGGTAAAGAAGTAGCCAAACTGCTTCCTCTAAATGAAAACTACAACCATCTTGGCAATACCCTGCTTTTGTTAAATTTTACTTCTCTGAGTAAAGAGAGAAAGTACAAAGTTTCCTTTCCAATGTCTTAAGAAGTTTCAAAGGTGCTGGAATTTCTGAGATGCCTGCCTCTCTGGAATAGATTAGCACACACACGCCCCAGGACAGTAATGTTAATAAAGGGAATGTATCAATTATTATGTGGGAGCTTCCATGAAATGTACCCAGTCTCCACCTTTGACATGGTACACATCCTCCAAGGCCCACATCAAATGTCACCCTCTTCAGAAGACTTTCACAGGGTGCCCTGAGAGAAAATGATCTCACTGTACTTTGAATTTCTATGTCACAAAATATACATTGTTACTATACTGAATTTCACTTCACTATGCTTAAATAAAAATATAACCCTGCATAGAAAATGTAACATTGGAGATTACTTAGTAGTGAGCTCAGGGGTTAACTTTGGCTTTCTTCTTTCTGCTCTTCTACAAGTTTCAAATTTCCAAATGAACAACTATTATTTTCATAGTTAGAAAAGTAAAAGTGTAAATGCTAAGCAAAGATGTCATCCTTTTCCCAACCAGCCGTGATCTACTTGTAAGGCAGGGACCAAATCCTGTATCACCTCCCTTTGGAACTTACAGATGACACAGGTGAATCACTTGCAAAATGCAAGTGCTTGGCAATGGGATGGATTTCTACATAACAGGAAAGAAATCTGGGCAAATAACTCACCAACACTCTCTCTGAGGTGGCCTCTGATTCAGACTTTGGAATTCCTTTTTCAACTTCATCTTGGCTATCACTTCGATACCGATAAGCAAATTTCTTTTTCAGAGCCTCTGCTATGAGGGCAGCAGGGTCAGTAGCATCCACTGGCTTGGGCTTCACATCTTGCTCTGACCTTAGAGAAGTGAACACAAACCAAGGGGACAGATCAATACACTGGCCACCCTCAGGGAAGTACTTTGTCAACCTTTTGCCTGACAGCACCTCTCCAGCATCATAGCTACTCCATAGAGACCTGATAAATACTGCTAGCATTGAGATGGAAGCCTAGAGCTAATGCTCAACAAAAGCACACAGAAGTCCAATAAAGGGCCATGTAATATGTCTGCAGAACATGGACTCTACTCTCCTTCAGGGCAAATAGAGTTCCCTGTTCCATGCATGTCTAGTGACTATGCTAGTGGTACACAGCACGCCTTTATTGAATTAGTGAATGCTCACTGAGCAACTGCAGTGAAGACTTTACATGAAAAGGCTGATATTTAAATAAAATGGGAAAACTAAAAACATCACCTGGGAAATGTTAGCTTATTTTGCTAATCTCTTAGCTACTGTGTATAGAAGCCACTGGGGCTCATCTTTTTTTTAAACTAAAAACTATTCATGGCAGTCATGTTATAAACAAAATTCCTCAAGAAGCCTGGTACTTTGGTTTTATAAGACAAACAAATGGGGAAGAAAGAAGGTGAATGTATCCTCACCTCTTCACTGACCGAAGTTTTACACTGTTCATCTCTTTAAGGATCTCTAGCATATTTGGCATTTCAGGTTTCTTTGGATTGTTCTTAACCAAAGTCTTTCCAGCATTGGCTCTTTTCTCTCTTCGTTCTTTAATCAGATCAACAGCAGATGTACTTTGGTGGAGCCCCAGTGCAGGGGGAGGCAGGGGCGGTGGGGGAGGTGGAGGGTGTGGTGGTATGGTACCAAATGTGGTAGAATCTAAGTCACCTACAGAAACAAAGGAAAACAAACTTAATCCCACTGGTATTAAGCAAAGAAAATATCAGTTTTTAAAAGCAAAATGATGTTAAAGATTTTTGTACCCCTAAAAACAATATTCTTAACGTTTCAGTTATGTAAGAAGCAAGACAGTTTCAGTTACTTCATGAGAAATGCCTGAATCTCAGCCACTGTATCATTCAATCCAAAACTATCCAGATGGAAAATTTCTATTTAACTTAACAGAGGTGTTTTTGTGATATCAAATGTTCAAGTTTGACTACAGCACAGTTTGTAATCACTTTTAACAGAAATATAAAACAAAGTACTGCAAAAACAAGTCTACATTACATACAATTTGACAATTTAGTATTATTTTAATGATTTGAGAAAACTAACAAATTTGTGACTCATTTTAAGTATATTTTCATATAAGACTTACTAAGCATTAAAAGCCTGCACTGGGCTGGGCTCAGTGGCTCACACCTGTAATCCCAGCACTTTAGGAGGCCAAGGCAGGTAGTTTGAGCTCAGGAGTTCAAGACCAGCCTGAGCAACACAGTGAAACCCTGTCTCTAAAACAAGAAGTAACTAAGAGTTATGGAAATGAAGTAAGGACCTAAAAATCCTCTTTCTGCATAACTGGAGGTTAGAAAGTTGTTTATTGGGTGAACTAGTTTGATTGGGGAGGTGTTGATGTAAAAGATTTTTACTCAAAAGTTTCAGCTTATAAATAGAGCTTCAAAATTATCTATTTATGGTAGCACTTTCCCAGTCAGCCAGAAGAGGGAGGTAAAGCAAAAGGAAAAATCAATTTAAGACAAGAAAAAGGTAGGAGTGGAGAATTTTAGCAAGTTACAGGCATAAGCACAGTCCAGCATCAGCGCCCAGAGTGCCTCCACCCCCACCCACCTCTGCCATGCCCAGGTCAAATGAGGTTTCCATGCTGGATTACGTTAAACTCCAGAAGTATAAGCCAAGTGGCTCAGAGGCAGGGTAATTAATTGTCCTTATCCAACAGAGCTGGTTAATACTGAGTCTTGCCAGGCCTTGGAAACAACAATAGGAAAATAACCACTACTTGCCAATAGGTTAGTGGGCTAGAATTTCAAGGCTATAGTTTCCTCCCCAATGTGAGAATGTCACACTAATAAACCCAATGGTGTTAGACCAGAAGACTTGAATTCAGGTTCTACTCTGTGCAAAAGGAAGAAGAATAACTATTAAATAGCTGCTTTGTGTTAAAGGCATTTTATATACTTTCCATATTTATTCTCACAATAACTCAGTAACATAGGTACTATTATCCCCATTTTAGAGCAGTAAAGGCAGGTGAGATGTCAAGTGCTTGCATCAAGACATGCAGGTAGTAAACACCACTCAGTCCAACACGTACCACACAGAAACCCAGGCTCCTTTCACCAAGTAGATAGCAACCCATGGCATTACCTCATGTCTGATATGGTTGGTGCCATTATCCTAGACAACTAAGTTTCCCATTAGAAAGGAAAGCATCCACTATATAGCAATTCAACTGTATGAATTCCAGTGTTTTCCAAAAGATACTTCCTAGTCATCTTCTCTGACAGCACCAAGATTGTTCAAAATGAACACCATCTAAACCTGACCTGGTTGTTGTTGGACTATGCAAAAAGGACTGACACCTGGTTTTTTTGTTTGTTTTTTGTTTAGTTTTGAGAAGAAGCCTTGCTCTGTCGCCAGGCCGGAGTGCAGTGGCATGATCTTGGCTCACTTGGTTCTCCACCCCCCAGGTTCAAGAGATTCTCCTGCCTCAGGCTCCCAAGAAGCTGGGACTACAGGCACATGCCACCACGCCCAGCTAATTTTTATATTTTTAGTAGAGATGGGGTTTCACCATGTTGGCCAGGATGGTCTCGGTCTCCTGACCTCGTGATCTGCCTGCCTCAGCCTCCCAAAGTGCTGGGATTACAGGCATGCGCCACCGTACCTGGATGACACCTGGTTTTCTAAGAACCCCAATAGCTGTTACTAATTGATTTTAAAGTAAGTAGCATTCTCCTAACTTCTAGTTTGCAAGTTAAAACTAACAAATGTAGGACTTACAGACCTGCAGTGAGATTTTGCTGCTCCTGCTGGGTCACAATTTTGGCAATCTGAGCTCTGAGAGCAGCAAGTTCATTTTCGAGAGCGCAAATCTTCTGCAGTGCTTCCTCATTTGCCAGCGCTGGGGTCTTCAGCTGAGGCTCTTCTTGAGACAAGTCTGGTAAGGAAATCTGTCTGCTTGGGGCCTTCTCAAAGAAAAGAAGGTCATCCTGAAGGGGTGGCCTTGATCTGACCTCTGTCCTGCAAGGAAGACATAAGGTGGGCTGTCACAGGCTTTGTAAGAGAACGTGAAACACCATCCTCACCTGACAGTGTATCCGCATTAACACCCAAGAACCTCTTTTCAGGCTGATCTTACATAAGTCCCTTCGTGTAAGGACAAAAACAGCAAAGCATTTGTCAACCTTATGTAGTTACATACCACAGCTGGGGTTCTTGCTGCCATCATTTTTCTTAGTCAATCTCTACATAATATGCACAAACCAACTCCATCAAGAGGCATCACAGATTTTAGCAAAGTTTTTGCTAATTGACGTTTTCTTTTGATTTGAACTAAGAAGAAGCTTTTTATGCCCTTCAAAGTGGTTATGTCTGAAAAGGATTAACTTTCTATATCTCCCCATACCTTGCATGATGAATTTTTATCTTTTTGCTTTTTTTACTGAAAATAAAGGACAAATTACTCTTTAATCTTGAACACTATTGTGCCAGGGTAAGAGCAAAAAAGTTTAGGACCTTTGACAAAACAATTTAATTAACAGTGAAGAACTGTACTTTATACTACTTTTCTGTCTTTAATTATATAATTCAGCATTTCCTTATGTGAAATACTTTAATATTTATGGGCTCAAACATAGTAATTATAGGACCTATGAAGGTTTAAGAGCCCAGATAGGGTTTCCCTATGTTGCCCAGGCTGGTATAACTCCGTGGCTCAAAGGATCCTCTAGCTTTGGCCTCCCAAAGTACTCGAATTACAAGCATGAGCCACCGAGCCCTGCGTTATTTTTTAAGACAGTCAACAAACCATTCATTCTTAAAACCAATCTGTTTTGCTATCCTTAAGAACAGAGGGCTATTAAGAACTAGATTACAAAGACAGAATAAATCCAAAATAAGGATAGACTCTTGCAAGAATTTTTGTAATTCATAGAAATTTTAAGAAATAAAAACAAATACAAAAACAAAAATAACAAAGAGGCCAGGTGGGGTGGCTCACACCTGTAATACCAGCACTTTGGGAGCCCAAGGTGGGTGGATCACCTGAGGTCAGGAGTTAAAGACCAGCCTGGGCCAACAGGGTGCAACCCTGTCTCTACTAAAAATACAAGAATTAGCTGAGTATGGTGGCAGGCACCTGTAATCCCAGCTACTTGGGAGGCTGAGGTACAAGAATCACTTGAACCTGGGAGGCGGCAGTTGCAGTGAGCCGAGATCACGCCACTGCACTCCAGCTTGGATGACAATGCAAGACTCCATCTCAAAAAAAAAAAAAAAAAAAAAAAAAAAAAAAACCAGAGACATCAAGCATGGATGTACCAAAAACAGAAGATAAACAGCCAAAGGGTGATGTTTCTCTTTTTGAGACAGGATCTCGCTCTGTTACCCACACTGCCAACTCCTAGGCTCAAGTGATCCTCCTGCCTCAGCTTCCTGAGTAGCTAGGACTATAGGTGCGTGCCACCCATGCCTGGCTAATTTTTTTCTTTTCTCTTTTTTTTAAGAGACAGGGTCTCACAATGTTGCCCAGGCTGGTCATGAACTCCTGGCCTCAAGCCTCCCAAAGTGTTGGGATTATATATTATGCAGGCCTGATATTTCTTCCTTTCCTTTTTTTTTTTTTCCATTACCTTAAACGTTTAACAGTTAACTGATGTTTCTTAAAACCATTTTCTGGATACCAATTTCTGCTAGTGAGATTTCTACTGGTTTCATTCATTTGTTTTGGTTATATTTTGTTTATATTGGGTCCAAAATTCCCTAAGGCACACAGGTTCTTACTTAGAATAACACTACACTGAATTATCTAGCTCTCTTTTTTCCTTGTTACTGTCAAGGGAAGCCACTTTTGTAGCACAATTTACATAAATGCAAAGGCCTTTTTAGCTCCTCACCCATATCAAAGAACCCTAAGTTAAATATAATACACCTCTGGGGTCCTGTCCCCTCATCTCACAGGTAAGGGAAACTCAAAATCTGACACAGTTTTAAATTAGATGTGCCCTATTCCCAAAATGATTTCTACTGACCCTCCCTCATCTTTTTAGTTTACAGAACAACCTTGAAAGGTAAAAAAACATACTCTATTGTCCTAGAATCCAGGGAAAAAAAACTGGTAATTTAGTTTCCTGAAATATAAAGTTGGTAGAAAACGAATAATCTGAGGCAGGCGGATCACTTGAGGTCAGGAGTTCAAGACCAGCCTGGCCAACATGGTGAAACCCCATCTCTACTAAAAGTACAAAGATTAGCTGGGTGTGTTGGCGGGTGCCTGTAATACCAGCTACTTGGGAGGCTGAGGCAAGAGAATCGCTTGAACCCGGGAAGTGGAGGTTGCAGTGAGCCAAGATCATGCCACTGCATTCCAGCCTGGGCAACACAGCAAGACTCTGTCTCAAAAAAAAAAAAAAAAAAAAGAAAGAAAGAAAGAAAAGAAACAAAGAAAAGAAAACTAACAGTCTTTTCAAAGTGGGCAAGTGGCTGGATAAAGACAACCAGAATGGGAAATCATTTTGACAGAGGAAGCAATCCATGAGAAATCTACAGTGGGAACAGGCAGGAGTGTTGTAGGCTACAGACCTAGAAAACTAGTGGGATTCCCTCATTAGCTGTTTTAGGCTCTGTTCAACACAACCCTTCTGTTGTTTTATATTTCAGAAGTTCAATCTTCCTAAAAGTGGTATTTAACAAAAATAATCTTTCTCCCTTGAATATACTATTTTAATAACATATGTTTATCAGTTCATGTCTACTGTCAAGTAATGAAGAATAAAATAGAAACCAGTAACATCTGCAGATTGATGTGCTGTGAGTAGGAAACCTTGCTCTGATCCACCGAGTCTCCTGGCCTACTCTTGCACCTCTGGCACTGTGGAGCCAGCCTGCTTGCTTGTTAAGTATTTCCTATGGACTCTTGCTACTCTGTCACCCTCTAAGAGGTTGGGGATCTTCCCTGACACTCCTTAAAAAACAGCACATTCCATCTTATACTTCATGCTGACACTTGAAAAATTAAGCTGGATATCATCACCTCAGTCTCACTTTATTCACTATCCTTATATTACAGACTTTTATAAGTATGTTCATCTTCCTCATTAGATTGCAAGCATCCTAGGATAAGGAAAACAGCTATCCGAAACATTTTTAAGCCCTATGAACCTATAAATTTGTATTTAGTAAGTGAGCTTGATATTGTGACACTCTACAGAAGAACTGGATACAACTAGAAATTAATATATTAATATAGAATGAACAAATTAAACTTGAAATATTTCAAAACTCCTTAGCTGCTCTTCTACTTTGGAACCAATCAAACGCTTGATGACAATGTCTATGATGTCAACTAAAGGCTTCAGAGATTACAGTCTTTAATTTCATCATACAGTACAAATGTTATACTGTATATTTATCCAAAGACTTATAAACCAAAAAGTATCTGAGACAGGTCTCAAACAATTTAGAAGTTTATTTTACCAAGGTTAAAGATGTGCACCTGGGAGACAGATCAGTGCCTTTCTCCAAAGATGATTTTGAGGGCTTCAATATTTAAAGGAGAAAGGGCAGATATTAGAGAAAGAGGAAGAAATTTTTAAAAGGTGGGGGTAGATAAGAGACAAAAGTTTACATTCTTTTAAGTCTCTGATCAGCTGTTCACATGTGAGGGGCAGTAGAGGAATAGTCACGTAGGCATTCCTCTAGTTCAGTAAATCTGCATTTTTACATAAAATAAACATAGGGCAGAGGAAGCAATCAGATATGCATTTGTCTCAGGTGAGCAGAGGGGTAACTTTTGAGTTCCGTCCTTTTCCAATACCTGTGAAGAAAAGCTATCAGTTCACATTGTCAGAGTCAAATTTAGCAGAACTGTTTTAGGGTAAGGATCTTGGGGCCCACAAGGAATTTCCTAGCAGGCAAATTGTAAGAGAGGTATGTAGCTTTTTTATAATGTAGCTATCTTACATAGCTACAGAGGCAGCTTTGCTCTGATGCAAAGCTTTGGGAGGCAGGTTTGCCTGATGCAGTTCCCAGCTTGACTTTTCCCTTTGGCTTAGTGATTTGGGAGTCCCAAGGTTTATTTTCCTTTCACAGACTATACGTTCTCCTTAGAATACTACTATGAAAGAGAACACATTATCTTAGATGAGATTATCAGTTATCAGGATGTCAATGCTTCTGTTAGTTAAAAAGGAAATGAAAATGTGTACAGAAAAGAGAAAAAACAATGAGGCCTTACTTTGTGCATGCCACTGTACTAACAGTTTTCTCATGTTATTGAAAATTCTCTTCTCAAAGTAGAATACTTCTATTCCACAGAAATATGCTGCCCTTTTTTTTGTTTTCTTTTTTCTTTTTTTTTTTTTTTTTAAGATAGGTCTCGATCCATTGCTGAGGTTGGAATGCAGTGGTGCATTCATGGTTCACTGCAGCCTTGACCTCCCAGGCTCAAGCAATCCTACCACCTCAGCCTCTCAGGTAGCAAGGACAACAGGTGTGTACCACCACACCCAGCGAATTTTGGTATTTTTTGTAGAGATGGGGTTTTGCCATGTTGCCCAGGCTCGTCTTGAACTCCTGGGGTCAAGCAACCCACCCACCTCGACCTCCCAAAGTGCTGGGATTATAAGCATGAGCCACTACACTCGGCCTGTACTTCTAGTTTATAAATAAAAATCTCAAGTTCGGTGCATTTGAAAAAAATCATTTCTATAATAACCAATTATGAAAGACTCATATGTATCCTGTTTTCCTGGAGACATAATAGTATGACATTATAAATAATTGTTATAGAAATGTCATCAACATAAATTTCAAGGAAGAAATATATTGAAGAGCTTCAGCTTTCATACAAATATAAATATGAGAGGCAGAAAAACAAACTGCAACATATGAACAGTCTTAAATAGAATTTGTTTCTATAGGGACTTAAACTGTAAGTTATAAACACAGAAGGGTAGATTCCATTCGGGGAAGATGGCAGAGAGCAGGCAGGACTAACTTGCGGCTCCCACTTGGACAAACAGAGCAGCGTGTAGAGATCCACATGGTGAACTTTTGCTCCAAGAACTACTGCAGGAACATACCAGGAAAGCCAGAGAATCCACAGACACTTTGAAGGAGGTGGATTGCAGCTACAGGCTCTGTGGGAAAGCTGAGGAACTCCAGAGACAAAGGACATAATTGCTTGGGAGCTTTATGGCCCTGCCCACTGCCTGAGATGCTGGTGCGGTTGCAAAGAAGGGGAATACTTATACCCTGCTGGTGGGAATGTAAATTAGCTCAGCCACTGTGGAAAGGAATATGAAGATTTCTCAAAGAACTTAAAAGAGAACTATTGTTTGACCCAGCAATCCCTCTATTGGGTATATACCTAAAGGAAAATAAATCATTCTAACCAAAAGGACACAAGCACACGTGTTCATCACAGCACTGTTCACAACAGCATAGACACGGAACCAACCTAAATGTCCATCAGTGGTAGACTGGATAAAGAAAATGTGGTAGATAGACACCATGGAATACTACACAGTCACAGAAAACAAGGAGATCATTCCTTTGCAGCAACATGGATGGAGCTGGAAGCCATTATCCTAAGCAAACTCACACAGGAACAGAAAACCAAATACCACATGTTCTCACTTGTAAATGAGAGCTAAACACTGAGTGCACATGGACAAAAAGAAGGGAACGGCTGGGCGCAGTAGCTCACACCTATAATCCCAGCACTTTGGGAGGCCAAGGCAGGTGACCACCTGATGTCAGGAGTTCGAGACCAGCCTGACCAACATGGTGAAACCCTGTCTCTACTAAAAATTCAAAAATTAGGTGGGCGTGGTCGTGCACGCCTGTAATCCCAGCTGCTTGGGAGGCTGAGGCATGAAAATCGCTTGAACCCAGGAGGTGGAGGTTGCAGTGAGCCGAGATCGTGCCATTGCACTCCAGCCTGGGCAACAAGAGTGAAACTCTGTCTCAAAAAAAAAAAAAGAAGGGAACAACACACTCCAGGGCCTACTTGAGAGTAGAAGGTGAGGATCAAAAAACTACCTATTGAGTCCTATGCTTATTACCTGAGTGATGAAATAATCTGTACACCAAACATCCATAACATGCAATTTACCCATGTAACTAACCAGCACATGTACCCCCGAACCTAAAAGTTTTTTTTTAATTCCATTTTTAAAAAATTTGGAGTTTGGAACACTTCTGATTTTGGATTTTCAAATTAGGGTTGCTCAACCTGTATGAAAAAATTAACTTGAAAAGAATCACGAATTTAAGGCTGGGCACAGTGGCTCATACCTGTAATCCCAGCACTTTGGGAGGCTAAGGTGGGCGGATCGCTTAAGCTCAGGAGTTTGAGACCAGCCTGGGCAACATGGCGAAAACCCATCTTTACAAAAAACAGCCAGGCATGGTGGCATACACCTGTAACCCCAGCTACTTAGGAGGTTAAGGTGAGAGGATCGCTTGAGCCCAGGAGGCAGAGGTTACAGTGAGCTATGATCATGCCACTGCACTCCAGCCCGGGTGACAGAGCCAGATCCTTCTGAAAAAAAAAAAAAGAAAAAAAAAAATCATGGACTCAAATGTAAAATATAAAACTATAAACCTCTTAGGGAAAAAGAAGTCTCAGGATCTAGGGCTAGGCAAAGAGCTCTTAGATTTGACACCAAAAGCACGATCAATAAAAAAATACATAAATTAGACTTCATCAAAACGAAAAACTTTTGCTCCATGAAAGACCCCATTAAATGTATGAAAAGACAAGCCACAGAGTAGGAGAAAATATTTATAAACCATATATGTGACAAGGATTCATATCTAGAATATACAAAGAAATCTTAAAAATATCCAGTTAGAAAATAAGCAAAAGACACGATACGTTTTACCTGAAAGAATACACATATGGCATAAAAAGATGTTTAACATCATTAGCTATTAAGGAAATAACGCAGAGAAACTGAATTAGCCATATACTGCCAGAGGGATATGAAATAGGCTCTAGAAAACAGCTTGTCAGTTTCTTGAAAAACTAAGTAACTACTATTTGACCCAGCAACTGCACTCATAGACATTTATCCCAGAAAAATGAAAACTTATAGTCAGTCACTCAAAAACCTATACACAAATGTTTATATACTAACTTTCTTTAACAGCCAAAAACTGGAATCAACCTAGATGTCCATCAACTACTGCATGATTAAACAAACTGTAATACATCCATACCAATGACTACTACTGAGCAATTAAAAAGGATCAAGCTCTTGATGCACACAACAATTTAGATGAATAGCCAGAGAATAATGCTGAGTTTAAAAAGCCAGTCCTGCCCTCTTCAATAGCTCAGCTGGTAGAGCGGAGGACTGTAGGTGCACGCCCGTGGCCATTCTTAGGTGCTGGTTTGATTCCGACTTGGAGAGACACCTTTGTTTGGCCAGGCGCGGTGGCTCACGCCTGTAATCCCAACACTTAGGGAGGCTGAGGCAGGCAGATAACCTGAGGTCAGGAGTTCGAGACTAGCCTGGCCAACATGGTGAAACTCCGTCTCTACTAAAAATACAAAAATTAGCTAGGCATGGAGGCAGGCGCCTGTAATCCCAGCTACTTGGGAGGCTGAGGCAGGGGAATCACTTGAACCTAGGAGGTAGAGGTTGCAGTGAGCTGAGATCGCACTACTGCACTCCAGCCTGGGTGACAGAGTGAGTCTCTGTCTCAAAAAAAAAAAAAAAAAAGCCAGTCCCAAAAGGTTACATATTGGCCAGGCACGGTGGCTCACACTTGTAATCCCAGCACTTTGGGAAGCCGAGGCAGATGAATTACTTGAGGTCAGGAGTTCAAGACCAGCCTGGCCAACATGGTGAAATCCCGTATCCACTAAAAATACAAAAATTAGGCAGGTATGGTGGCACATACCTGTAACCCCAGCTACTTGGGAGGCTGAGGCAGGAGAATTGCTTAAACCCAGGAGGCGGAGGTTGCAGTAAGCCAAGACTGCATCCCCGCACTCCAGCCTGGGTGACAGAGTGAGACTCTGTCTCAAAAAAATAAAAAAAAAAGTTACATATTACATGATTCAATGTATGTAACATTCTTTAAATGATAAAATAGTTAAAATGAACAGATTAGTAGTTGCTAGCCATTAAGAAGGAGTTGAGGTTGGGGATGGAAGAGAAGTATGTGTGGCTATAACAGGGCAACTGGAGGATCTCTGTAGCATGGAAATGTCCTGCATCTTGACTTATCAACATCAATACCCTGCTGTGATATTGTACTATAGTTTTGCAGGATGTTACCATTGAAGGAGACTGAGTGAAAAGCATGGGGAATTTCTCTGTATTGTTTCTTATAAATATGCATGTGAAGAATCTACAATTATCTCAAAATAAAAAGTTTAAATAAAATAAACATCTTAAAAAAGAAAGGCTCTTTACCTGCTAATCCTGCAATCCCTGTGTTTATCTACTGCTATGTCCTTATTTCTATTTGTCATTCAAATCAAATTCCTTGTTTGCTCTTATTTTATTCTTATTTTATCCAGCTAATACTACTCAAATGAAATTACTCTTGCTGAAGTCAATGATAATCTTCCAACTGAAAAACAAAATTGAAACTTGCTAGTTTTTCTATTTACCCAGCCTCTAAGTATTTGACACTGATCACTACTCCTCTTCAATAAAAACTCTACCTCCTCTGCTTCCATAACAATACCCTCTACCAGGTCTTCTCCTGCCGCTTAGCTCTTTGGGTGATGGGTTGGGGTTGGGGAGGGTGATGGGGGAGGAGGCTTTTTCTTTCCTTTAACTTCAAAATGCTGGCTTCACTCAGGGTACAAATGCTCTTCACGTTCTATACATGCTTCTTGGGCACTCTCATATTCAGCCGTTCTATCTAAATGTTATAGAGTATAGGCCTTCCTTACCAATATCCATTCACATAAACTGTTTCTAGATCAAGGTGAATATCTCACAGAAAACTCAAACATAATATATTCCAGACTAGACTACCCTCTCTTATTACCCCCAGCCAAAACAATCTGTTTTCCTATATTCCTATACATTATAGCTAGGTGCGGTGGCTCACGCCTATAATCCCAGCACTCTGAGAAGTCAAGGCAGGTGGATCACCTGGGGTCAGGAGTTCAAGACCAGCCTGGCCAACGTGGTGAAACCCCGTCTCTACTAAAAATACAAAAATCAGCTGGGCATCATGGCAGCCACCTGGAATCCCAGCTACTCGGAAGGCTGAGGCAGGAGAATTGATAGAACCCGGGAGGTGGGGGTTGCAGTGAGCCCAGATCGCACCACTGCACTCCAGCCTCACTCGGGCAACCAAGTGAGGCTCCATCTCAAAAACAAAACAAAAAAAAAAATTGTTTCACCATCCTTATAATTATCCTACATGGAAACCTGAGAATTTAGGATAACTAGACTCTGACTACGTAGGCTCTTCCTTCGTTAATCTCCATATCTAATAAGTTTCTATGTCATTTTAATTCTTATGAATCTCACTTGGCTTTGAACCTCTTCTGCCAGTTTCTTAATTCAGTTAAATTCTGATCATCTCCTAGTTGGTCTATTTCTTGGTCTGGCTCTTTTCTATTCTTCATACTGTTTACATGTTGATTTTACTAGTGCTCAAATTTCTTCCATGGTTCCACACTGCTTTCAGGTTCTATATTGCTTTCCACAAACGTGAACTTTTCTATGTTTCTTAGAGTCACGTGTAAGACCTTCAAACCTCTACCTACTTCTCGTCCTCATCTCCCACAGCTTATCCTTCTTTTCTGCTCTCTAGTCTCATTGAGCCATCTGGCAGTTCCCAAACATGCCACAATGTCTCCTGGTTTTACCTTTAAACAAGTTCTTTACTCTTCCAGGAATACCAGCCTTCCATTTACTTGGCTCCCACTCAGCCCTCATGATGGAGCTCTAGCATTTCCTCCTGAGAAGTCTTGC
This sequence comes from Homo sapiens, assembly GCF_000001405.40. Taxonomy (NCBI): domain Eukaryota; kingdom Metazoa; phylum Chordata; class Mammalia; order Primates; family Hominidae; genus Homo; species Homo sapiens. Next base: position 65,694,761 of record NC_000008.11, on the reverse strand, counting down.
TGAACATCTCTCATCCTGCAGTGACCATCTGTAATTACTTTGTAGACTTTACAGTATCAACTGATTTCCTTCTTAATCTCCTTTTGACTCAAAATTTTTAGGAAACATTCTCCAATTACACAAATTCTCTACTATGATCCAGATTGATCCCTTTGCCCCAATGAGACCATTATAATTACTGTACTTATCTAAAAATTAATGATCATTGTTTCTGGTCTCTTACATTAGAATGTAAACTGCTGAAGGACAAAGAATTCTGTCAATGAGGACTTAGGACATAATTATATGTCTCTAAAAACTTTATAAATACTAGTCAAGTCTTGAAAACGAACAGACTAGCCTAGGCAACATGGTGAAAACTCATCTCTACAAAAAAAGTAAAAAATAGGCTGGGCGTGGTGGCTCACGTCTGTAATCCCAGCACTTTAGGAGGGCAAGGCGGGTGGATCATCTGAGGTCAGGAGATCAAGACCAGCCTGGCTAACATGGCGAAACCCCATCTCTACTAAAAATACAAAAATTAGCTGGGTGTGGTGGTGCGTGCCTGTAGCCCCAGCTACTCAGGAAGCTGAGGCAGGAGAATCGCTTGAACCTGTGAGGTGGAGGTTGCAATGAGCCGAGATCACGCCACTGCACTGGAGCGTGGGTGACAGAACAAGACTCTATCTAAAAAAAAAAAAAAAAAAAAAGAATTAGCCAGGGTTGGTGGTGCATGCCTGTGATCCCAGCTACTTGGGAGGCTGAGGTGGGAGAATCACATGAGCCTGGGAGGTCAAGGCTGCAGTGAAGCAAGATCACACCACTGCACTCCAGCCTGAAAAACAGAACAAGACCCAATCTCAGAAAAAAAGGAAAATAAACAGAAAAGAAGACTGTTCAAGAAAAAGAAGAGGGTGCATTACTAGAGATAAAATTAGGCTATTAAAAATAAGTACTGCAAATAATATCATTCTTTAAAAAAATAGATATTGCATCTCAGTTCTGATAGCCTTCCAAACTAACCTTAGTCTTGCTGAACACTCTCCTTCTTCTTTGGCTACCCATCCAACATCAGCAAAAGACGCCACTGCATCCTCTCCTGGGTGGCTGGGACTCCATTCTGTTGCATGGCTGTTAATCTGTAAGTTATAAATAGGGAAAGTTCTTCACCAAAGATGGCACCAAAATGTTAAATTTTTTTTACTCACCTAAAGGAAAATCGTCAGCTCTGGTGTTAAAAACACATGAGTGGTTTCTAACTCTTCCACTGAAGGTCTCCATGATTAATAGTCATAATCATATTGTTGCCTAATAGTATATGACAATCTCAGAACTATAACTTTATTCAGTTTTCATTTTATAAGTTGATTTTTTTTTTTTTGAGACAAAGTCTAGCTCTGTCGCCCAGGCTGGAGTGCAGTGGCTCTATCTTTGGCTCACTGCAACCTCCGCCTCCCGGGTTCAAGCGATTCTTCTGCCTCAGCCTCCTGAGTAGCTGGGACTACAGGCACACGCCACCATGCCCAGCTAATTTTTGTGTTTTTAGTAGAGATGAGGTTTCACCATGTTGACCAGGCGGGTCTCGAACGCCTGACCTTGTGATCGGCCTGCCTCAGCCTCCCAAAGTGCTGGGATTACAGACGTGAGCCACTGTGCCCAGCCTATAAGTTGATTTTTTAAAAAACTATCCTAGAAAATTAAGAAAAATTTTTGAATCTAAGCATGAGAAACCACTTTTTTCTAAAGAGATTTTAAAAGGTATGTGTAGGCGGGGGGTATAAGAACAAGCAAACCGGGAAGTGGAGGTTGCGGTGAGCCGAGATCGTGCCACTATACTCCAGCCTGGGTGACAGAGCAAGACTCTGTCTCGGGGGTAAAAAAAAAAAAAAAGAACAAGCAAAAGACCAACTTGAGCTAAATCCAGGAATATTTTTAAATGGCTATTATATAGCTGTTTTGTTCAATGTTTTTATATATGTATATATTATAATGTTGAAAATGTTTTTTAAAACTCCTTAAATCCCCTAAATTTTAAGTAAAAGCATTAAAGAACAAAAGAACAAACAGCAGAACAGAATTCTCTACCTAAACTTAACATGGATGCAAACAGAATATTTTGAAATAAATACAAAAAAAAAAAGACAGCCAGGTGCAGTGGTTCCTGCCTACAGTCCCAGTACTTTGGGAGGCCAAGGCAGGCGGATCACTTGAGGTCAGGAGTTCGAAACCAGCTTGGCCAACATGGTGAAACCCCATCTCTACTGAAAATACAAAAAAATTAGCCAGGCGTGGTAGCACACACCTGTAATCCTAGCTACTCAGGAGGCTGAGGTGGGAGGATTACTTGAACCCGGGAGGCGGCAGTTGCAGTGAGCCAAGATTGCACCACTGCACTCCAGCCTGGGTGACAGGGTGAGACAGTCTCAAAAAGAAAAAGAAAAGACAAGCAGGATATCTTGAAATTTATCTTGAAAAACAAAAAAGATAACTGAGTTAAATTTAGATTTTGTTATACATATAATAATGCCTGAGTCAAAAAGTCAACGAATAATAATTTTTAAATAAAGTTATCAGATTAATACTTACTAAAAGTATGAGTGAGGTTTAAATAAAAAAGAAAAATAATCAATCCACACTTTTTAATTAAGGAAAAAATGAAAAGGCCAAAGAGATTCAGTCATTAATATGTTTATCAAAAAGGTTACCCTTGGGACTCATGCATTGTTCAAACCTCCTCAATGCCATCATTGCCAAGTCAAACTTTTGGAAGATATACTTAAATAATGCCTCTTCCTTAAACACAAAATATATCATGTGACACATAATACTAACATTGTTGAAAGTTTAAAATATCTTTAATGTAATATTATGAATAAAACTTTAAACATATCAGTTGTTGGTATGTGTACTCTCCTGGTATAATTATCTAATCAACTTAATAAAGTAGCATTAAAAATAACATTTTAAGGGCTGGGCGTGGTGGCAGGCGCCTGTAACCCGAGCCACTAGGGTGGCTGAGGCATGAGAATCACTTCAACATGGGAGGTAGAGGTTGCAGTGAGCTGAGATTGCGCTACTGCAATCCAGCCTGGGCGACAGAGCAAGACTCGGTCACAAAAAAAAACCAAAATCCAAAAACATGTTAACAATAAAGTACTAAGAACATCGAGTATCTAAAGCACCTTAAATTCAGCCAGGTGCGGTGGCTCACGCCTGTAATCCTGGCACTTTGGGAGGACAAGATGGCGGATGGCTTGAGGCCCCAGGAGCTTGAGACGAGCCTGGGCAACATGGCAAAACACCTGTCTCTACTAAAAATACAAAATAATTAGCTAGGCATGGTGGCATGCACCTGTAGTCACAGCTACTTGGGAGGCTGAGGTGGGAGAATCATTTGAACCCAGGAGGCAGAGGCTGCAGTGAGGCATGATCGCACCACCACACTCCAGCCCGGGCAACAGAGTGAGACTCTGTCTCAAAAAATAGAAATTTTAAAATCTTGCCTTCCACAAAAACAAAAACAAATAAACCTAATAATGAAATTATGATAAAAAGGCTTTCAAAATACCAATTTGCATGTAGTGGAAGTAATTTGTAGTCAGATGAGGAAAAAAGCATGAACTTCAGTAAGTAAATTCTCAAGGTATAAGATCAAAGGGAAGATTTTTGTACTTCCCTTTGTAGTTCAGAAACTTATCCAAACAGATATTCAGCAAATGGGTATCTCATACAACTTAAATAACACAACTGGGTATCATATTTGATCTCAAGAGTTGAGAAATCAGGTAATGTTCTGTTCCTACCCATTACTGAAAACAGAATGGTATCCTGATATTCCCATAACACTGTAATAAGGAGATTCTAAATGGGTTATGTGGCTATCCTTCAGCAGGAATGTTCCCCAAGCCCTGTGAGGCTCCTAGCAGAGATGGTATTTAATGGGCTGTTTTGTATAAGTGTTAGACAAATCCTAAGACTAAAATCTGAATGGTGCCTTCCTAAGGTGCTATTTCATGAGATGATCAATCTGATCATGACCCTTTGTTTAGAAATAAAAATTCTGTTCCAATATAATGACTAGTTGGTAGAAAGTTAGGCATATTTAAGACAAAGACTTCTTACTTTCCTACAGAAGTTACAAAAATAGCTGTTTTCTTCTAAAACATCTATAAAAGGAAACAAAGTGTGGGGAGGAGGGAAGAAAAAAAGAAAAACAAAAAAACAAAGTACTACTTTTCTTTTTTGTTGTTGTTGAGACCAGGTCTCACTCTGTCACTCAGGTTGGAGTGCAGTGGTACCATCTCGGCTCACTGCAACCTCCCGCCTCCCAAGTTCAAGCAATTCACCTGCGTAAGCCTCCAGAATTACTGGCACACACCACGACACCTGGCTCATTTTTTGTATTTTTGGTAGAGATGGGGGGTATCGCCATGTTGCCCAGGCTGGTCTCAAATTCCTGGGCTCGGGGGTTCCACCTGCCTCAGCCTCCCAAAGTGCTGGGATTATAGGTATGCACCACCACGCCCAGCCAGTACTACTTTTCTAAGAATACATATTCAAAGAAATATAAGTTAACTCATTTTCAGGATATCATAAATAGTAATTAAGGATTAAACACATTTCTCAATTTTACATCTATAAAATTAAATAATGCCTCCATAAAATTAATATGTTAAACATAAAATGCCAGCTTTTGCACAAACTTTAAAAAAACAAAACAACAAGATACAACAAACTATTCCACGGACTTAATTTGGATCTTACTTAAGCCTTAATTAGGCAAATGATACCAAGTCCATAATATGTGCTCAATAAGATGAAAATGTTAATGATGCTCTCAAGAACCAATTCCAAAACTGATAAGATGTATGTCATTTGTACTTGAAATCCTGTCCCACAAAACAAAATAGTTTTGGCATTTAAGTCAAACTCATTCAAAAGACAAAATAAAACTAGAAGAAAATCTTCTTTATAAAAGGCCGTTTCAGGTGTTGGTGAGGGAAGCATTCATTGAGTGACACAGGCATGGGATGCAAAGGACAATTTCCAGGACAATGCACTTAGTAAAGTACAAGTCAAGGTGAAGTCAGCCCTGGCAAGGACTGACATTAAGAAATTCTTGGAAATACGATTTAGACACCACGACATGCATGGGAAGTTTGAGAAAGAAAAGGACAACTTACTGAAGGTTCCCAGCAAGGTCCTGTCCTACTACAGCTATTATTAGTGGAAAAAGAAAAAAAAAGTGAAGAGATAGAAATTTTTTTTCAAAATCACATTTCATTCAGAGCAAAAATTCAATAATAACACTAAATTACCCAAAATTCAATTTTATTTTAGAAATCTTACTGAAGCAACTTTAATTTAAAATATTCTGATAATATACCAAAAAAATCAGTTCATTTAATAAAGTGCATATTAGTAAAATACAAATGTTGTACAATAGTAGAAAAGCTTAGAATAAAAATGTTAGAAGTACTAACTTCATCCTCTTGTGACTTCATAAAATAAACACAACAGTGCTGGGAACTAGGATTCTCTGCAAAGGGCATAATAGTAAATACACTCATTCTAGTTTACTACCATTTGTTTATAGCCAAATGCATAACATACACGGATTCTTTGTTTGTTTGTTTTTGAGACCAAGTCTTGTTCTGTTGCCCAGGCCGGAGTGCAGTGGCGCAATCTCAGTTCACTGTAACCTCCACCTCCCAGGTTCAAGCAATTCTCCTGCCTCAGCCTCCTGAGTAGCTGAGATTACAGGCACCCACCACCATGCCTGGCTAATTTTTGTGTTTTTAGTAGAGATGGGGTTTCACCATGTTGACCAGGGTGGTCTTGAACTCCTGACCTCAAGTGATCCACCCGCCTCAGCCTCCCAAAGTGCTGGGATTACAGGTGTGAGCCACCACACCCAGCCCACATATACATATTCTTAATAGCAACATAGTAAAATGATAATCTCTAGCTTTTTACCTACATAGATTTAATTATTTCTCTTTTACCAGTTGCTTCCATGCTAAGAAAAACTAAAAGCAGGCTGGGCGCGGTGGCTTACGCCTGTAATCCCAGTACTTTGGGAGCCTGAAGGCGGGCGGATCACGAGGTCAGGAGATCGAGACCATCCTGGCTAACATGGTGAAACCCCGTCTCTACTAAAAATACAATTAGCTGGGCGTGGTGGCGGGCGCCTGTAGTCCCAGCTACTCAGGAGGCTGAGGCAGGAGAATGGCGTGAACCTGGGAGGCGGAGCTTGCAGTGAGCCGAGATTGCGCCACTGCACTCCAGCCTGGGCGACAGAGCAAGACTCCGTCTCAAAAAAAAAAAAAAAGAAAAGAAAAACTGAAAGCAGAATTTCTGGGGTTTTTTTTGTTTGCTTGTTTAAGATGAAATCTCACTCTGTCACCCAGGCTGGAGTGCAGTGGTGTGATCTCGGCTCACTGCAACCTCAGCCTCCTGGGTTCAAGCAGTTCTCCTGCATCAGCCTCCCAAGTAGCTGGGATTATAGGTACCTGCCATCACACCCAGCTAATTTTTGTATTTTTAATAGAGTTGAGGTTTCACCATGTTGGGCAGCTGGTCTCAAACTCCTGACTTCAAGTAATCCACCTGCCTCAGCCTTCCAAAGTGCTGGGATTATAGGTGTGAGCCACCATGCCCGGCCTGTTTTTTTTTTTTTTTTTTAGACGGAGTCTTGCCCTGTCGCCCAGGCTGGAGTGCAACGGCACAGTATCAGCTCACTGCAACCTCTGTCTCCCAGGTTCAAGCGATTCTCCTGCCTCAGTCTCCCGAGTAGCTGGGATTACAGGCACGTGCCATCACACCCAGGTAATTTTTGTATTTTTAATAGAGACAGAGTTTCACCATGTTGGCCATGCTGGTCTTGAACTCCCAACCTCAGGTGATTCACCTGCCTTGGCCTCCCAAAGTGCTGGGATTTTAGGTGTGGGCCACCGCGCCTAGCCGAATTGCTGTATTTTAATACAGTATAGTGACATACAGTGACACCATCAACTTCCCAGGTGATATACCTGTGTAAAGAACAACAGTCTGAAAGACAGAACACTAAATTCAATATTCTAGCCCAGACTCAGTCACTACTATTTCTGAATGTGATTACTTTTTAAAAATGTATTCTGGCTGGGTGCGGTGGCTCATGCCTGTAATCCCAGCACTTTGGGAGGCCGAGGCGGGCGGATCACGAGGTCAGGAGATCGAAACCATCCTGGCTAACATGGTGAAACCCCGTCTCTACTAAAAATACAAAAAATTAGCCGGGCGTGGTGGCGAGTGCCTGTAGCCCCAGCTACTTGGAAGGCTGAGGCAGGAGAATGGCGTGAACCTGGGAGGCAGAGCTTGCAATGAGCCAAGATCGTGCCACTGCACTCCAGCCTGGGTGACAAGTGAGACTCCATCTCAAAAAAAAAAAAAAAAAGTATTCTTTAAGATTACAAAGCTGTATATATTTATTATGTTTGAAATATGTGCAGTGGTTCAACTGAATTGGATTACCTCCAATTCAATTTTTTCTGGTGAAAACACTTAAAATCTACTCTCTCAGTGATTTTCAATATACAATACATTGCTGTTAACTATAGTCACCATGTTGTAAATGTATCTCTTGCATGGTCACTATTTTAAGTGAACATTTATTAAAAGTTTCTATACGTAACACACTTAGAATAGTAGAAGGCAAGAGAACAAAGCCACCAGAGGGAGGAAAATGTGTCTATTTCTGAAAATAATCTTTAAGGGTAAGCAGCAGTATCCTTGTGGAAATACAAGACTTTTAAGAGATCAACTGCCTGAGATGAATAAAATGGCCACAAACATTTGTTGGTTACTTTTTTTTTTTTTTGGAGATGGAGTCTTGCTCTGTCGTCCAGGCTGGAGTGCAGTGGTGTGATCTTGGCTCATTACAACCTCCAGTTCCCGGGTTCAGGCAATTCTTCCTGCCTCAGCCTCCTAAGTAGCTGGGATGACAAGAACTTGCCACCACGCCCGGCTAATTTTTGTATTTTTAGTAGAGATGGGGTTTCACCACAGTGGCCGAGCTGGTCGCAAATTCCTGACCTCAGGTGATCCGCCCGCCTCAGCCTCCCAAAGTGCTGAGATTATAGGTGTGAGCCACCCCGTGCCCAGCCATACTCAGTTAGTCTCAAAACTACTATTTCACAGTGCCTTTTTTTTTTTTTTTTTTTTTGAGACGGAGTCTCGCTCTTTCGCCCAGGCTGGAGTGCAGTAGCATGAACTCGGCTCACTGCAACCTCCGCCTCCCAGGTTCAAGAATCAAGCTGATTCTCCTGCCTCAGCTTCCTGAGTAGCTGGGATTACAGGCACTTGCTATCATGCCTGGCTAATTTTTGTATTTTTAGTAGAGACGGGGTTTCACCACATTGGCCAGGCTGGTCTTGAACTCCTGACCTCAGGTGATCCACCCGCATTGGCCTCCCAAAGTGCTGGGATTACAGGTGCGAGCCACTGTGCTGGGCTCCACAGTGTCAAAATTTATAAAACATACTATTTGTTGCTGGATTCAGTAATCTTTAAGGGCCAACTGACTATAAAATTATAGCTAAAAATAAAAAATGAACATCATATACAGTATGACATCACATGCTAGCATATTCCAAATTATCTAGTAGTTATTGAAACACACGGTTAAATTTAACAGTTATTTTACATATTAATCCAGGTATGCATCTTCAGACAGCTCAGATGTTCAAAGATCACTATACCATACTACTACGTCTCCCACTTTAATAGTTCCTGACTGACTGGAACCTTCTCTTGGTTCCTCAATTTCTATCTGGCCTTAGGATCTCTACACATGCTATTCTGTCTGCACACAATGACTCCCTCAACCTCTACTTGTCTCCTCAACCCTGTAGAGCAGGCTCTTTGTAATCCTTAATTGTCATTCCTTTAGAGAGACCTTCCCTGAGAACTCCTGATCTTCTCCCCCATGCTATACTACTTCATACTATATGGCATTTATTACAAATGATAATTATACCTTTATTAGCATATTGACTTTTTAAATATCTCTCCCACTGAATCATATAACCAATAAGGGCAGACATACATGCTGTTTCATTCACCACTCAATACCAACACCTAGCATAAAATATGAATTTCAGGTTTACTTGCTATATAAAGATGTGCCATAACAAATGGCCATTTTACTTCCAGATTTAATCACCATGTGTGAGCTTTAATTGGAATCTCATTCATTACTTTTTTGGTTACTAAACAGTCCTTTTCCACCACCAATTCCAAAAACCACTCCTTGCAGTCCAAGAAAATAGCTTGGGTTAGGTTTACCAGAGAGAAAAATGTGAAATTACCCAATAGAGTTGGTATTCAAACTACTATAACCACACAGCCAAGTTCCCAACCCAGGTTATTCTGAATTGACTGTATGACTGTCCTGTTCTCAGTTTAATCCACTTCACCTTGGATATGGTCTCAGTATAATGATGTCCACTTGCCCTGTGCCCCATACTAGACTCTCAGTCTCAGACTTTCAATAATAATATTTACCCACATTGGACTCCAGATAGCCTGGATATATTCCACATCAGTTAGCCCCTAAATGAGCTACAAAAATAGGGGAAAAAAATGCATTTTCAATTTTCTTACTCAAAACTGCCTCCTGTATACATTTTGAAGACTACATCTTTTATATTTCTGATAAACAAAGAAGCAGTGGAGATACAGAAGGATGATAGCATATGTAAAACATTTAAGTAGCAGACAAAATGCTTTTTATTTTTTTGAGACAGAGTTTCACTCTTATTGCCCAGGCTGGAGTGCATTGGCACGATCTCGGCTCACAGCAACCTCCAACTCCCAGGTTCAAGCCATTCTCCTGCCTCAGCCTCCTGAGTAGCTGGGATTACAGGCGCCTGCCACCATGCCCAGCTAATTTTGTATTTTTAGTAGACATGGGGTTTCTCCATGTTGGCCGGGCTGGTCTCGAACTCCCAACCTCAGGTGATCCACCCACCTCAGCCTCCCAAAGTGCTGGGATTGTAGGTGTTGGCCACAAGACAAAACACTTTAACACCGATGTTGAATTTTAAAAGACTCAGTATGGGCCAGGTGCGGTGGCTCACGCCTGTAATCCCAGCACTTTGGGAGCCTGAGGCGGATGGATCACCTGTGGTTGGGAGTTCGAGACCAACCTGGCCAACACGGAGAAACCCCATCTCTATTAAAAATACAAAATTAGCCAGGCTTGGTGGCACATGCCTGTAATCCCAGCTACTCGGGAGGCTGAGGCAGGAGAACTGCTTGAAGCTGGGAGGCAGAGGTTGCAGTGAGCCGAGATTGTGCCATTGCACTCCAGCCTAGGCAACAAGAGCGAAACTCAGTCTCAAAAAAAAAAAAAGACTCAATATAACTGGAAATACAAATCTATAACTATAAACAAATGGCTTCCGTCTCTCACTACATTCTCAAGTAGGTCATCAATGTTTCTCGTACCTTACTCTTCTCCTTATGTTAATCCATTTTTTTCAAATGCAGTTAAAATTAGTTAAATCTAATACTCTTTTTCTGCTCATACCCTTTTAAAAGACTGATAACATCGAGAAAAAGAATTCTCCCAAGTAAATGTACTTGACTCTAGTACTTCAGTCCATTGACTGTCAAGGCAGACCTGGGGGTTGCAATCAGAAAACGTTAGATATCTCTACGTCTCTAGCTATATGAATGCAAACGCTGAAGCACATTTTCCTGGAACTAGGAGGGAGGTAAGATAGTTAACCAGAAAGACATTGATGGAATTGAACAATCAGAAAAAAGTTTATAAAACTTAGTTAACATAATAGCTATTTGAAGGAAACTGGCAAATAAGAGCAGTTCATGTCTAAATGAATTGAATTCTTGGAAAGTACTTGAGAGACTTACTACCACAGATTTCTTCATTTTGATTATTAAAAAGAAAAAAAGGCAGCCGGGTGCAGTGGCTCACGCCTGTAATCCCAGCACTTAGGGAGGCAGAGATGCGCAGATCACCTGAGATCACAGGGCAAGACTCTGTCTCCAAAAAAAAAAGAAAAAGAAACAGATTTCACCTCCATTTACCAGGAGGAGTGATTTAAGAACATGACATGTTATCAAACGGGTACACATGGGCACTTCTGAATTTCTAAATGATGAGTTAAATACATCTTCCACATCTCCACATGTTAATCTATTATTTAAAAGTGGCAGAGATATCTGTTGAATTTTATATTATTCAATGTTGAACTGAAATGTTCTTACATTATGGTTGTAAAGAATTGCTAAAAAAAAGAACAAAGTTATGTGATAAATGTCTAATACTATAATAACAATAAGAAAACAAGGCCAGGCACAGTGGCTCACACCTGTAATCCCAGCACTTTGGAAGGCCGAAACAGGCAGATCACAAGGTCAAGAGATCAAGACCATCCTGGCCAACATGGTGAAACCCCATCTCTACTAAAAACACAAAAATTAGCTGGCCGTGGTGGTGTGCACCTGTAGTCCCAGCTACTTGGAAGGCTGAGGCAGGAGAAGTGCTTGAACCTAGGAGGCAGAGATTGCAGTGAGCTGAGATCCTGCCACTGCACTCCAGCCTGGCAACAGGCAAGATTCCATCTCAAAAAAAAAAAAAAAAAAAGAAAGAAAGAAACAAAAGTACAAATCAAGGAAAATAGCAATATCTCCAAGCAAAGAGTAGAGTTGCTCCAGATTTGGTGCTAAAAGAGAATACTGTACTAAGACCTTCAAAAGTTCTAAGACTAAGACTTTCAAAAGTTCTCCTGATTCACGGTTTGACTATCACCTCACTGCGAAAACCACAATTACCTTTTTGTCTTGACACTGTCATTGCCAAGGCAATGGATCCTATAATTAATGCTGATCTTGAAACCAATGACGGAAAGCAACTTATATGGCATCCACAGAGATCTAAAAATAAAGCAGGGGAACAGAGTGGCTATCCAAAGAGGAAGGTATAATTACAGAAGAAAAATAATGGTGGTACATGAAGCACCTGGAATAATATAAAGCCTATGTTTGAGGTCACCTAGGAATTAACAACTGCTTAGCTTATTATATGCTCCTAAATCTTCACATATGCATCCTTAAGAAGGATAAATATCTTAAAAATCTCAATCACGTCACAGAGAAACTAAAATTAGAAAGGCTTTACTGTGGTTTTTAATCCTCTTCTATTGTATTGATAGTGGCATCAATTGGTGAAAAGTCTCAAAAACAAAATGCTTTTAAAACCATCTTGCCTATTTATATTTCTAATGTACATATTAATAAAATACTTAAAATATATAAAATATAATACCTGAAACTGAACTCTTGGACACTGAATCAGAGACAAATTAGTACCAATTTTCCTTACGATACTTCGAGACGAACCATATGGCTTCCTAGACCAAAGTACCTGAGGAAGTAGGAAAAACCGAAAGCTTAATTACAAGATGTACAGAACTGTTAAGACAAAGCATTAGACAATTATTTGTATGACATACTAACACATTAATTACAGGATCAGAATGCTCTAAATGTTATGGCAAATAAGCTAATGTTTCTCAATCCAAAAATAAAGAATATATAGATAGATAGAGAGATAGATATTATTAATTCAATAAAGTTTAATGTAAAGTATTATATAAAAATATAAACTAGCCAGTAATTTTTAAATACTATACTTACAGTAAAAATTTTATTTTCATCAGGTTTTCATACTATTCTGCAACAGAAACACTATTTTATCTCTTCTGCTATATTTTTAGTTTTAGAATTTTGATATACATAGTTTTTATTAAATGTATGTTACTTTTGCTGTTACACACTTTTCAAAACAATCCCAAATTAGTACAAAGTTCAGAATCTGAATGTGTACCATGCAGGGTGCTCCATGTTGTTTGCTGCACAAGAATGCTTGGCCAAGGGTGAGCAAAGGCTGAAATCCAGGCATATTGCTCTTGGGAGGCCTGCTCCCCAAAGGAAAGGTAAGAAATTTCATCTGAGCAGAATTTCTCAGATGAAATCATAATAAAACAGGACATTATGCTATGCTTAAAGACAAAAACAAACCCTCAAAGCAAAAAAAAAAAAAAAACAAAAACAACAAAAAGCACATGTGTTGAATGTTAGGTAAATCATTATAAATTGTACCTTGAAACTTCTCCCCAAGTATATGACCCCTCTTTAAAGGAAAAACTATTCATCTGTTTTGAGTGCTACACTTGAAAGCCTGGACAGAATAAGTAAAGAAAGGTAGTATGCTATTAAAAGCAATTTTAAAAGAAAAGAGTAAGAATTATATGACTATTATACTTAATTCATCAAACTTTAACATTCAGTTATGTAAGGCCAGGTGCGGCGGCTCCTGCCTGTAATCCCAGCACTTTGGGACACCAAAATGGGCGGATCACCTGAGGCCAGGAGTTCAAGACCAGCCTGGCCAACATGGCAAAACCCCATCTCTACTAAAAATACAAAAATTAGCCAGGCATGGTGGTGCACACCTGTAATCCCAGCTACTTGGGAGGCTGAGGCATGAGAACTGCTTGAACCCAGGCCGGGCGCGGTGGCTCACGCCTGTAATCCCAGCACTTTGGGAGGCCGAGGCGGGTGGATCATGAGGTCAGGAGATCGAGACCATCCTGGCTAACAAGGTGAAACCCCGTCTCTACTAAAAATACAAAAAATTAGCCGGGCACGGTGGCGGGCGCCTGTAGTCCCAGCTACTCGGGAGGCTGAGGCAGGAGAATGGCGTGAACCCGGGAGGCGGAGCTTGCAGTGAGCCGAGATTGCGCCACTGCAGTCCGCAGTCCGGCCTGGGCGACAGAGCGAGACTCCGTCTCAAAAAAAAAAAAAAAAAAAAAAAAGAGAACTGCTTGAACCCAGGAAGCGGAGGTTGCAGTGAGCCAAGATGGCACCACTGCACTCCAGCCTGGGTGACAAAGCGAGACCTTGTCTCAAAAATAAAACAAAATAAAAACTCAAAAAACAATTATATTCTAAAGACTAAAAAGAACCAAATCAGCTGAGTATGAATTCTGGAGAAATGGATACTACCACTTTTTTAAGATCAATCCGTGATCATTCTACTTTAAAGAATGAAATTACCCCAATATAAACAAACAGCATAACCAAACAACGGTTCACTGTAAACAGTGGAGGCTCCAAAACCTAACTCAAACTAGACCCTTAGATAAAAGCATATACAACTTATAAAATGAGCACAGAAACTATCTGATTTCTTAAATTTTAGCAATCAAGTCCAATTCAAGGATAACAGTATGAGTCAGTGTGGGGTTCAGGGCTGGGCACAGTAGCTAACATCTGTAATCTCAGTGCTTTGGGAGGCTGAGGTAGGAGGATCATTTGTGGCCAGAAGTTTGAGACCAGCCTGGGGTCTTTTTGTGAGACCGCCATCTCTACAAAAAATTGGAAACTTAGCCAGGGGTGGTGATGCATGCTGTCATCCTAGCTACAGGAGAGTCTAAAGCAGGAAGGTCCCTTGAGCCCAGGAGTTCCAGGCTGCAGTGAGTTAGGATTGCACCACTGCACTCCAGCCTAAGCAACAGAGTGAGACCATGTCCCCCCGCCCCCCAACCCCTGAGAAAAAAACCAACAAAGTGGAAATCATAGAAGGATATATAATACCCCTGGCACCTGCCATAGCTTTCATATAATTTTTATCACACATTTTCCAAAGTTTCACTGAATCTTACCTAGAAGAGTTCCAAAAAGTACTTATAACCTATACTGACTCCAATAACCAACAAAAATGATAGCTCTTGCTTCGGAAATGTAAATAAAAAGGATGGCAAAGATTAGAAAACTGGTAAGTAGAAAGGAAGATAAAAATATTAAAATATGAATAGTATACAAAGAATGTTAAGAAGCAAAGTTACTCTGAAGCTTAGAAGAAAACATCATTCACATCAATAATCATACAGGATTATGACACAAGTAGTCTTAATAACGTGAGGACTAAGGGAAAGGAAAACATCTGACTAGAGAAAAATGGGAAGCCTCGCAAGTTCTACAATGTCAACATCAGACTACCCACCAAAAAAAGAACAAACATGGGCAAATAATTCTAAGACAGTATTTAAGCAAACTTTTTACCTTATTACTATTATGTATTTATTTTTGAGATGGAGTTTCACTCTTTCGCCCAGGCTGGAGTGAAGTGGAGCAATCTCGGCTCCCTGCAACCTCTGCCCCCTCCAGGTTCAAGTGATTCTCCTGCTTCAGCCTCTTGAGTAGCTGAGATTACTGTAGCTGGGATTACAAGTGAATGCCACCATGCCTGGCTAATTTTTTTGTATTTTTAGTAGAGACGGGGTTTCACCATGTTGGCCAGGCTGGTCCCGAACTCTTGACCTCAAGTGATCCACCTGTCTTAGCCTCCCAAACTCCTAGGATTACAGGCGTGCACCACCGCACATGGCCCTACCTTATACATTTTAATAGATCCTGTTCTTTTACAAATAAATCCATAGGGCAAAAGTAAGTATACCATTCAGTCATTTCTCTTCTTGAGTCTTCTATTTAGTCACAAGTCAAAATTCTCCTATGATGTAGTACAAGTGGAATGCTATTTGTGCATTACAACGTGACAATTAGACAGTCTAAAGTGAATCTTTCTCCCCTCCAGCAAGCAAAGGTCTTGTCTGGAGATGAAGAGGACAAAAAGCTCACAAAGAAAAATTTAGAAAGGATTTGCCAAGGTCAGGAACTATGTTTCTGCCTGCTTTTAGCATTCTTCACTACGCATGTTGCAGGGTGAAATGTCAACTATTATGTTTCCATCTGTTTAATATCAGAAAAATACTAGGTGCCTTCAACAAGAGAAGTGGCCAATGATTCAGCTTTTTTTTTTAAATTTTTTTAGATGGAGTCTCGCTCTGTCACCCAGGCTGGAGTGCAGTGGTGCGATCTCGGCTCACTGAAACTTCCATCTCCTGGGTTACAGCAATTCTATCTAGCTAGAATTATAGGCAGGTGCCACCATGCCCAGCTAATTTTTGTATTTTTAGTAGAGACGGGGTTTCACGATGTTGGCCAGGCTGGTTTCGAACTCCTGACCTCAGGTGATCTAATCGTCTCGGCCTCCCAAAGTGCTGGGATTACAGGCATGAGCCACAACGCCCAGCCGATTCAGCTTTTAATTATAAGGAATAAGTAGATTATTTAGGTATCTTCTACAAAGTTAAAGGAAGGAAAAGAACAGATTGCTTTATGTGATTATTTTTTCAAGCATACACAGTAGACTAACATAATGTGTTCTTCTGTTACTTGTGAATTACATAGTACTTAGCACCAATAAATATCAAATAAGGGTCTGTGTAAACTAATGACTGAAATATTTAGAATGAAGAGCCATAACCTTTATTGGATGGTAGGAAAAAGTGAGGGGAAAGAATAGCTAATTTCCAGGAACTCTAAAACTAGGTCTGACTACTTTTCTATTTTTTTCTATTCAGCCCTCATAGAGGGGGAGAAATTGTAAATGGCTGTACAGAAACAGTGAACAGATGGTACTGAAAAGTCACCATCTGTGCATTGGGAGGCTGTATGACCCAAGTGCATCTCCTACCGTAACTTGTGGCTGAACTATGTCTTGTCAGTATGCTAGTTTAGAGAAGGAAAGACTTCCTCTAAAGACAAACTGTCATTAATATTTCTTTAGATGAAAGAGAGAAGGCAGGGAGAAGAAAATGGTCATAAAATAATCCAATTTCTTTTTTTTTTTTTTTTTGAGACAGAGTCTCCCTCTGTTGCCAGGCTGGAGTGCAGTGGCATGATCTCAGCTCACTGCAACCTCTGCCTCCCAGGTTCAAGCAATTCTCCTGCCTCAGCCTCTCCAGTAGTTGGGACTACAGGCACGTGCCACCACACCTGGCTTATTTTTGTATTTTTAGTAGAGACGGGGTTTCACCATGTTGGCCAGGATGGTCTCGATCTCTTGACCTCATGATCCACCCACCTCAGCCTCCCAAAGTGCTGGGATTACAGGCGTGAGCCACCAAGCCTGGCAAGATAATCCAATTTCATTTAGAAAATAAGACAATCCAATGCCATTAAGAAATAGCTGGCTGGGCGTGGTGGCTCACGCCTGTAATCCCAGCATTTTGGGAGACCGAGGTGGGCGGGTCACGAGCTCAGGAGTTCAAGACCAGCCTGGGTAACACGGTGAAACCCTGTCTCTACTAAAAATACAAAATTAGCCAGGTGTGGTGGTGCACGCCTGTAATCCCAGCTACTCAGGAGGCTAAGGCAGGAGAATAGCTTAAACCTGGGAGGCAGAGGTTGCCGTGAGCTGACATCGTGCCACTGCACTCCTGCCTGGGACAGAGCAAGACTCCGTCTCAAAAAAAAAAAAAAAAAAGAAACAGCTAAACAGGGCCAGGCGCAGTGGTTCATGCCTGTAATCCCAGCACTTTGGAAGGCCGAGGCGGGTGGATCATCTGAGGTCAGGAGTTCGAGACCAGCCTGGCCAATGTGGCGAAACCCCGTCTCTACTAAAATATAAAAACTTAGCCAGGCGTGGTGGCACACGCCTGTAGTCCCAGCTACTCAGGAGGCTTGAGGCAGAATTGCTTGAACCGGGAGGTGGAGGTTGCAGTGAGCAAGATCGCGCCACTGCACTCCATCCTGGGTGACAGAGCGAGACTCTGTCTCAAAAAAAAAAAAAAAAAAAAAAAGAGAGAAATAGCTAAACAGAAAAACCATGCTTTATCTATGAAAACTGCTTTTTTAAATAATCTAACAGTGAATCTGTGTGTGTGTGTGCGCGCACATGCATGTCTGTGTCTAGTAATGACAGTCCATAACATTTAGCAACAGTGTTTGAAAGTGATGACAGCAAGGAGGAGGATGACAACAGGAAAGTAGTTTGTTCTTTTTTAACATTGTGAAATGCTATTGTAGAAAGTGTTGACGTGTGAGGCTGGAATCTGAAGCTGTCATCTGTCTCATCCATGATGACTGCACTCAAGCTGTATGTGGTAATTCATTTATTATAGACTAGTTTTACATACATTATTATTTGAGGGCAACTTTTAGCAGGAAAAACTATAAATTTAACTCTAAGAAAAATATGTTTTTCTGGCTGGGTGTGGTGGCTCACGCCTGTAATCCCAGCACTTTGGGAGGCTGAAGAGGGTGGATCACTTGAGGTCAGGAGTTCGAGACCAGCCTGGCCAACATGGTGAAACCCTGTCTTTACTAAAAATACAAAAATTAGCCAGGGGTGATGGCGGGCACCTGTAATCCCAGCTACTCAGGAGGCTGAGGCAGGAGAATCACTTGAATCCGGGAGGCAGAGGCTACAGTGAGCCAAGAATGCGCCACTGCACTCCAGCCTGGGACACAACAAGATTTCGTCTCAAAGAACAAACAAAAATAAATAAAATATATTTTTCAAGACAAGCTATGTGATATTAATGCATTAATGCAGAGGTTCATGTATCCCTAAAATTACACACAAAATTGTGTATGTGTTACTTTTCTGGGAAGAGCATCCATACTGTTAATCAGATCTTTAAAAAGTTAGGACCCAACAAAATGTAAATTCTTAATTCTCAGGGAGCTAAGGGAAAATTAAAAGTGTGTGTTGGGAAGGGGGAAGGAGTGAAAATGGGAAGATGAAATTCTGTAACAATTTTTAAATCCTTAACCAAAGATTAACACTTCCCTCAGTTCTCTTCTTCCTTACTCACATTCCTCCTCCAAAGCACCAAAAGAAAACCAGAGTACAATAATACAAATTATTATAGATACTTGCTATAGTAACTTTTCTTCCAATATAAAATACTGAAATTAATCAGAATCACATTAGCTTCACACTATTCTCACTTCCTGCAATTTAAAAAACATTTTTGCTTAGGGACATAAAAAGTTTGGAGATATGTGAGCATGTAGTTTTAAATTCAAACAAATGTTGAGGGAAAATAAAAGACAGTAAAGAGAAAACAGGCCATTATAGCATATAGGCCTGGCTTTAAAATTAGCCTCTACGAATTTACTGCCTGTATAAAGCTGGCCAAATTATTCACCCCTCTATGCTTCTGTTTTCTCACCTATAAAATGGAGATATTATCTGCTTCATGAGCCTATGAGCATTAAATGAGTTAAGGTATTTATAATGGTTTTGTTGTTGTTTGTTTGTTTTTTTGAGACGGAGTCTTGCTGTTGCCCAGGCTGGAGTGCAGTGGCGTGATCTTGGCTCACTGCAAGCTCTGCCTCCCAGGTTCACGCCATTCTCCTGCCTCAGCCTCCTGAATAGCTGGGACTACAGGTGCCCACCACCTCGCCCAGCTAATTTTTTATATTTATTTTTAGTAGAGATGGGGTTTCACCGTGTTAGCCAGGATGGTCTCGATCTCCTGACCTCGTGATCCACCCGCCTCGGCCTCCCAAAGTGCTGGGATTACAGGCGTAAGCCACCGCGCCCGGCCTTTTTGTTTTGTTTTGTTTTTGAGACGGAGTCTTGCTCTGTCGCCCAGGCTGGAGTGCAGTGGCGTGATCTCGGCTCACTGCAACCTGTGCCTCCCGAGTTCAAACCGGATTCTCCTGCCTCAGCCTCCCGAGTAGCGGGGACTACGGGCATGCGCTACCATGCCCAATTAATTTTTATACTTTTAGTAGAGACAGGGTTTCACTATGTTGGTCAGGCTGGTCTCGAACTGCTAACCTTAGGTGATCTGCCTGCCTAAGCCTCCCAAAGTGCTGGAATTACAGGTGTGAGCTACTGCACCAGGCCATATATAATGCTTTTAATAAACATTAACAGTCATCTTTCCCTTCTAAGGGTAGCAAAGTACACTGAAAAGAGAAAGGATTTTGGAATCAGAATTGGGTTCACATTATAGTTCTACTACTTAGGTAACTTTGTTCAAGGCAGTTAAACACTCTGAACCTCAGGTTTCTCATCTGTAAAGTGCATTGTTCTATTGAATATAGGCAATTTATGTAAAAGCACTGGCCACAGTAAGCACTGGCATAGTAAGCCAAGCAGGGATGGCTATTACAGTAATATTAGTGTGCAGAGTCAAAGACAATGAGCCAATCACCACTGGCTGTTCTAATGGGAAAAATGAAACAAAACAAAATCTAATCTAAAAGCTTGCAATTTCTTCTTTTTATTTTTTATTTTTTGGAAGCAGGGTCTCACTCTTATAGTCTACGCTGGAGTGCAGTGGCATGATCTCAGTTGACTGCAATCTCTGCCTCCCAGGGTCAAGTGATCCTCCCACCTCAGCCTACCAAGTAGCTGGGACTACAGGCATACACCACCATGCCCGGCTAATTTTTGTAATTTTTGTAGAGATCGTGTCTCACTGTATTATCCAGGCTGGCTTCAAACTCCTGAACTCCAGTGATCCTCCCACCTTAGCCTCCCAAAGTGCTGGGATTACAGGCATGAACCACCGTGCCAGCCTTTTTTTCTTTAAAAAAAAAAAAAAAAGATAAAATAAAGGATGAAGGTAGTTTTCACTCTTGGAATGCTTTAAAGCACAGTATCAAATTCATTTAAAAGGACGGACGCAGTGGCTCACGCCTGTAATCCCAGAACTTTGGGAGGCCAACGTGGGTGGATCACCTGAGGTCAGGCGTTCAAGACCAGCCTGGCCAACATGGTGAAACCCCATCCCTACTAAAGATACAAAATTAGCTGGGAATGCATTTCACTTTCCTGCAATTCAGAGATATTGTTCTTTTTACAAATTTAAGGTTTGTGGCAACCTTGTGTCAAGCCAAGTCTACTGACGCCATTTCTCCAACAGCATGTGCTCACTTCATGTCTGTGTCATGTTTTGATGATTCACACAATATTTCAAACTTATGCATTACTATTTTTTTTTTGAGACGGGGTCTTGCTCTGTTGCCCAGGCTGGAGTGCAGTGGCACAATCTCGGCTCACTGCAAACTCCGCCTCCTGGGTTCAAGCGATTCTCCTGCCTCAGCCTCCTGAGTAGCTGGGACTACAGGCAGGCACCCACCATCATGCCTGGTTGATTTTTGTATTTTTAGTAGAGATGGGGTTTCACCATATTGGCCAGGCTGGTCTTGAACTCCTGACCTTGTGATCCACCCGCCTCGGCCTCCCAAAGTGCTGGGATTACAGGTGTGAGCCACGATGCCTGGCCTATTTTTTTTTTTTTTAATTATACTTTAAGTTCTGGGATACATGTGCAGAACGTGCAGGTTTGTTAAATAGGTATACATGTGCCATGGTGGTTTGCTGCACCCATCAACCCGTCATCCAGGTTTTAAGCCCCACATGCATCAGGACAACGCATGCATTGTCCTAATGCTCCCCCTTCCCTTGCCCCCCACCCCTCTACAGGCCAGGCCCTGACTTATGCATTCTTATTATATCTATTATGGTGATCATGATCAGTGGTGATCTTTGACGTTATTTGTTACTACTTTAATTGTTTTGGGGTGCCATGAACCAAGCACATGTAAGATGGCAAACTTAATCGATAAATGTTATGTGTTTTTTGACTGTTCCACCCACCAGCTATTCCGCAATCTCAGACCTCCCTATTCTGAGTCAAAACAACACTGGAATTAGGCCAGTTTAACGCTACAATGATCTCCAAGTGTTCAAGTGAAAAGAAGCACTGCATGTCTCTCACTTTAAATCAAAAGTTAGAAAGTATTAAGCTTAGTGAAGAAGGCATGTTCAAAGTCCAGACAGGCTGAAAACTAGGTCTCTGGCCCAAATAGTTAGCCAAGTTGTGAATGCAAAGGAAAAGTTCTTGAAGGAAATTTAAAGTGCTACTACAGTGAACACATGAATGATAAGAAAGCAAGAAGGCCTTATTTCTGACATAGAGAAAATAAATATCAAACCAGCCACAACATTCCCTTAAGCCAAAGCCTAATCCAGAGCAAGGTTCTAATTCTCTTCAATTCTGTGAAGGCTGAGAGAAGCAAGGAAGCTACAAAAGAAAAGTTGAAGCTAGCAGAAGTTGGTTAATGAGGCATAAGGAAAAAAGCCATCTCTATAACATAAAAGTGCAAGATGAAGAAGCATCAAGTGCTAACATGGTGAAACCCCATCTCTACTAAAAATATTAAAAAATTAGCCTGGTGTGATGGCACACACCTGTAATCTCAGCTACTTGGGAGGCTGAGGCAGGAGAATCACCTGAACCCAGAAGGCAGAGGTTACAATGAGCCAAGACTGCGCCACTGTACTCCAGCCTGGGCAACAGAGTGAGACTGTCTCAAAGAAAAAAAAAAAGTGATTCACTGTATTTCACTATCACTTTATTGTGGTGATCTGAAATGAAATTCATAGTATCTCCAAGCTATGCCTGTATATATCAGATCAATGGGAAAATACATGTTAATCACTGAAAGGTAGAGCTAAGAAAGCTTCTTTTATTTTCTGGTGCCCAAATATAAAATCTTGAAAGATTCCTTTGTATTTTTATTCTTAGGCAACAAGCTAAAAAATACTGGAAATTAGTTAACCCCAAAAGATCACATTGCTTTATGTTAGAAGAAAATTTGGTTTTATATGAATTTTCAGCTAACTGATTAAAGTTTACGATTATATGCTAGCTTCAATAAGTTAAAAATAGATCTTGCTAATCCACCATTAGTAGGAAGGACTCTCAGTTGTAATTACAATATTTTGAGCAAGTTAATCCTCCTTTAGCTGGTCCATTCTTTGATGAACGGCACCCACTTTCCAGCTTAAAGTGAACAAGCTAAATAAAGCGTGCTATCTGTGCCTGAAACAGAATTCTGCACTTTGGCCTCAATTAGCACTACTCATATTGACCTGTCTTGGGGTGGGAGGCTGGTAACAGCAAAAATCTAAGAAACTATTATTGAATGTATCTACACTGTACAAGCCACTGTGCTAGATGCTTTACATACTCTGTCATTTAATCCACAGGTAACAATTCTTATAGCAGTAGCAATTCTTACAGCTACTTTGCAGACGAAGGCAATAACTGACAGAGACAAATTTCAGATTCAAGTGTGTTTAAATCCAGGACCCACAATCTTACCATTAAACTATACTTCTTACTAAAATTACAATAAATAGAAATTATAAAGCTTTGGTTTTTGGAAATCATAAATAACAAAAACTTCCCTTCCTTGTGCAAGCAAGAGAAAAAGAAACTTTTGCTGTCATTACTAAAATGTCAATCCACACTATGATAAAACTGAGCTAAGTGAAGTTCTTTTTTTTTTTTTTTTTTTTAAAGATAGGGTCTTGCTCTATTCTATTGCTCAGGCTGGAGTACAGTGGCACAATCTCAGCTTACTGCAACCTCTGCCTGTCAGGCTCAAGCAATCCTCCCACCTCAGCCTCCCGAATAGCTGGGACTAGAGGTACGTGTCACCATGCCCAGCTAAATTTTTTAAATTTTTTGTAGAGATAGGGTCTCACTATATTGCCCAGGATGGTCTCGAATTCCTAGGCTCCAGCCATCCTCCTGCCTCTGTCTCCCAAAGTGCTGGGATTACAGGCCTGAGCACTGCGACTGGCCACTAAGTGAAATTTAAAACATAGCAACATATATCTGAAAGATATGAAAATACCAATAAATTTACAAGTCATTTTCCTATTGCTTATCCTCAAGCTAATAATCTCAAAATTATGCAGCTATAAACAAAGATAATTTTATTTGGTTCTCTACTTTTTAATCTCCGAAGAAAACAGATGTAACCTTGGAAGTTGGGGAGATTCAAAGTTCAGGCACAAAAACAAAAAAGTAAAAGTGCACTAAAAAGTATACCCATATTCTGCCAGGCACAGTGGTCCACGTCTATAATCCCAGCACTCTGGGAGGCCAGGGTGGGCAGTCAGGGGTTCAAGACCAGCCTGGCCAACATAGTGGAACCCCATCTCTACTAAAAAATACAAAAATTAGCTGGCCGTGGTGGTGTGAGCCTGTAATCCCAGCTACTCGGGGAGCTGAGGCAGGAGAATTGTTTGAACCTGGGAGGCAGAGGTTGCAGTGAGCCGAGATTGCTCCACTGTACTCCAGCCTGGGCAATACAGCAAGACTCCCTGTTCAAAAAAAAAAAAAAGTATACCCACATTCAAATTATGTAACCTGCCTGTATCTTCAATAAATAAAATTTAATTCTATGTCATAGCCATGAAAAAAAATGAATTTCAAAATGTAAAACAAAATATTCTACAAAATGTACTTGGCACAATACTTGCTCTAATAATTTATAGGTCTAAACAAACTTTATATATCAGTAGAAAATACTTATAAAAAATGTCAAGGTAAAAACTAATATCTCTAGCATAGAACAATCATTATAGTAACTTTTTTTTCTTCTTATCAATAGTTGTTATTTTTAAGAGACATAACTTACCTTTTAAACAACTGTGTTGTTTAAACACATTATAACAGCATTCAATGTTAATGATTCTACAACATTAAGAGCGCTGTCAAGTGTTGGCCAAGCATATTTTATGCAATGATTTTTCTGCTTATTTAAGCCTTTTCCTCACTAATAACAAATATATTGCTCTTAATGGTCACATGAATACTGGTAAGTTTTCAATGTAACCCAGAAAGTTACTTCCTTACTTCAGATGCTGAGAAAAGATTCACTTCTATGATTTAAATAGAAAGCAAATTAAACAGTACATAAACATATTGAATTCAAGATGTTGGTCATATATAGATTTATTTCATTTTCTCAGAAAAAATTCTTAAAATATCTAAATGTCGGGATTTAAAAAATGAATTTTGAGCACTCACCGATTGCATGCTTACTCCAACTTGTTGAAAAACCATCCTAATTAGGCGCTTAATCCAGCCAAGCATTTATATGGCAAAGTCTCCCCAAATTTGCATTTCAAGTACTTCTTCAGGCATACATAGCAGCACATGGTCCATAAAACACACTGAAAATTTAAAATGCAAATACTAAAATGAAATCATTATTATTTAGAATTTGTACTGTCTACATGTCTCACAGAGCAAGCCTAAAACATTTTTAAAACTTCATGTGCAGCCTGACCAACATGGAGAAACCCCATCTCTACTAAAAATACAAAATTAGCCGGGCGTGGCGGTGCATGCCTGTAATCCCAGCTACTCAGGAGGCCGAGGCAGGAGAATCGCTTGAACCCAGGAGGCGGAGGTTGCGGTGAGCCAAGATCGCGCCATTGTACTCCAGCCTGGGTGACAGAGCGAGACTCTGTCTCAAAAAAAAAAAAACCTTCATGTGTAATTTAAGAGAAAACAAGATTTGCTTGTGATCAGCTTGCTTAAAGTAACTGTAACAGTATAAGGTGTTTTGTTTTCTTTTGTATTTTTTTCAGTCAGTATTCTTAGCTGGAAGCAACAAAAACCTAGTATGGCTAATTTAAGTAAAAAATACATTTATGAAAAGATATCTGGTGGATAATAATCTTCAGAGAAACTAATTTATAGGCTACACAACCAAGGACGTTCAAAACTGCAGCAGACTTGGCCCTGGGAAAACACCACTGCATTTGCTACTACCACCACAGACAGGGTCCACGCAGTTCCTCCTTTTCCATGTCCCCAACTCCAAAGATGCTGTCTGTACTGGTCCATTTGCTAGACCAAGTCCACAGCTCACGTGTCGTAGCAAAAGGGAGGCTGACAAAGCAAGTACCTGGCTATTGTAACAAGCAGGTTAAGCTTCCCACCAAAAATCATAAAGGAATGAATTCCAGAAATACAGAACAGAAATTCAGATGCTGAAAGGCCAAAACCAATGAATAAAGTCTTTTAATATTCACTAGCACCATAACCCCTGCCATTCATTCTCTGCCCCACTCCCCATCAATCTACTGTATATCTGACAGAATTACAATGTTAACTTGTATGGTATAGACGAGTTTACTGGAAGTGTTGGTCTCTAACAAGATAAAGGAGTTTGCACCAGAACATGAATCAATACACTGCTCTCTCATCAATAAAAACTTGCTTAAGGCCGGGCGTGGTGGTTCACATCTGTAATCCCAGCACTTTGGGATGCCAAGGGAGGCGGATTGCTTGAGGTCAGGAGTTTGAGACCAGCCTGGCCAACATGATGAAACTCCAACTCTAATAAAAATACAAAAGTTAGCTGGGCGTGGTAGCAGGAACCTGTAATCCCAGCTACTTGGGAGGCTGGGGCAGGAGAATCGCTTGAAGCCAGTAGGCGGAGGATGCAAATAGCGCCACTGCACTCAAACCTGGGCAACAGAGTGACTCCGTCTTAAAAAAAAAAAAAAAAAGAAAAAAGAAAAACAAAAAAAAGAAAATCTTCCTTAAAGGCTGGGTGCGGTGGCTCATGTCTGTAATCCCAGCATTTTGGGGGGCTGAGGCGGGCGGATCACTTGAGGTCAGGAGTTTGAGACCAACCTGGCCAACATAGTAAAATCCCATCTCTATTAAAAGTACAAAAAAAAAAAAAAATTAGCTGGGTGTGGTGGAGCACGCCTGTAATCCCAGCTACTCAGGAGGCTGAGGCAGGAAAATCACTTGATCCCGGGAGGTGGGGGTTGCAGTGAGCTGAGATCACGCCACTACACTCTAGCCTGGGTGACAGAGCAAGACTCCCTCTCAAAAAAAAAAAGAAAAAAAAAAAAAAGAAAATCTTGCTCAAAAAGTCAGCTAAACCAAACAGTATGCTGTATGCCATAGTTGATTTACATAGTGATGTAAGCCCTTTATCTCATCATGACCAGAAACAGTTTGTGGTCTACGTTGTGAGAAGAGCTTTATAGATAACAACAGAGAATAGGAAGAAAAAGTAAAGGTGCCACAAATATGCCAAGTGCTGGGTGAAAATAAACTGAAAAGAGCTGGGCGCTAATGAAAGGAGGATGAGCATCATGGGTAAAAATGAACAGCAGTGGGGGAAAACAGGATGAAGTATAACAGGGTGTGAGTTCATATGAGAATCTGAGCTAAAAGCTTATATTGGGAAAAAGGGAAAAAGAAACATAAATCCTATTAGACAAACCTTGAACCTAGGTAGAAGAGTTTGACTCAATATGGTAGAATAGTTGTTTTAGAAAGTTTGCTGAATTTGGCCAGGTGTGGTGGCTCACACCTGTAATTCCAACACTCTGGAGGCCAAGGCAGGAAGATTGCCTGAAGTCAGGAGTTCAAGACCAGCCTGGCCAACATGGTGAAACCCCATCTCTACTAAAAATACAAAAATTAGCTGGGCATGGTAGCATACACCTGTAATCCCAGCTACTTGGGAGGCTGAGGCAGGAAAATCGCTTGAACCCGGAATGCAGAGGTTGCAGTGAGCTGAGATCACGCCACTGAACTCCAGCCTGGGTGACAAGAGCATAACTACATCTCAAAAAAAAGAAAAGAAAAAAGAAGAAAGTTTGCTGAATTCACCAAAGTTTAAATTAAGTATTATTTTTTAATCCTTTGAAAAGCTGTAAAAAAAAAAACAG
This sequence comes from Homo sapiens, assembly GCF_000001405.40. Classification (NCBI taxonomy): domain Eukaryota; kingdom Metazoa; phylum Chordata; class Mammalia; order Primates; family Hominidae; genus Homo; species Homo sapiens. The sequence continues at coordinate 65,667,343 of NC_000008.11, read as the reverse complement.
TATACACATTTGGCTCTATAGAAAATTTTAACATGATGGAAAGTTCTAACTTTCCTTTTTTTTTTTTGAGACGGAGTTTCACTCTTGTCACCCAGGCTGGAGTACAATGGTGCAATCTTGGCTCACTGCAACCTTTGCCTCACGGGTTCAAGCACTTCTCCTGCCTCAGCTTCCCAAGTGGCTGGGAGTACAGGCATGCACCACCATGTCCGGGTAATTTTGTATTTTAGTAGAGACAGGGTTTCACCATGTTGGTCAGGCTGGTTTTAATCTCCTGACCTCACCTCAGGCGATCCACCACCTCAGCCTCCCAAAGTGCTGGGATTAAGGTGTGAGCCACCGCGTCTGGCCGGAAAATTCTAATTTTCTAATATGTTTTTCACTTACCTTTATAAGTATAATTCTATCAGATATACAGTATGTGTATCTGGGTATGGGAAGTGGGGCACAGAGTGAATGGGAGGGATTATGGTGCCAGGGAGTGTAAAAGAACTTTTGATATATATTTGAATTAGTGAAATAATGCTTTTAGTCTCCTTTATTTATTGGTGTTCCAAACAAGAGCCCTTAGCTAAAATGTCCAAACACCACTAAATTATATTAATAACGAGCTAACTTCACAGAACATTTGTTATGTACCCGGGATTATCAGGAACATTTTTATGCTTATTAAGTCATTACATATAAAGTCTCAATTATCACAAACCATCTTATTAAGGTAGATATCAAATTATCTTCTATTTGTAGAGGGGCAAACTAAAGCATAGTTAGTATAACTTGAGTAAGGGTCACATGTTTATAAGTGGCAAAGTTAGGACTCAAACTAGATGTTTCTGTAAGTCTGTGCTTTTATCCACTACACCATGTAACTAAACAAAAAGGGAGTAGTTTGAAAAACCTATTCGAAATTTTGAGCGTTTTGTTTTTGTTTTTGTTTTGAGACAAAGTCTCACTCCATCGCCCAGGCTGGACTGCAGTGGCGCGATCTCAGCTCACTGCAACCTCTGCATCCCAGGTTCAAGTGATTCTCGTGCCTCAGCCTCCTGAGAGCTGGGATTACAGGCATGCGCCACCACACCCAGCTAATTATTGTATTTTTAGTAGAGATGGGGTTTCACCATGTTGGCCAGGCTGGTCTCAAACACCTGACCTCAGGTGATCCACCCACCTTGGCCTCCCAAAGTGCTGGGATTACAGGCCTGAGGCACTGTGCCCAGCTGGGTGTTTTCTATTTTAATATTTTCATATTGTGATTACACTCAACTTTCAACACGTTTATATTCTAAAGCTAATGACATAAAATATTGAAGTATGAAGGCTCTGGACTTGAGTTTGTACCCTTGTTGTGCTACCTACTAAATGGTAAGTATTAACAAGTTATCTCTAGATAGGAACAGTACTCACAGAGTTGTAAGAATTAATAGAGATTAATGCATAAAGCCATTTTAGTAAAAAATCCTAAAAAAGTAGGTTAATGCTAACAGGAATGGAAAAGAATAGATGGATTCAATATGCCAATAAAAGAATTAACCAAAGTTGGTAAAGTAGCTGGTAAAGCTGGGTGTGACGTTGCATGCCTGAAGTCCCAGTTACTCAGGAAGCTGAGGGAGGAGGGTCCCTTGAGCTCAGGAGTTAAGAGTCAACAAAGCGAGACCCCATCTCTTTTTAAAACAACAACAACAAACATAAAGTGGCTGGCTAGCGCGATAAGGAAGAAGAGAAAAATCAAATTACTCCAAGGTTTTGATTGGAGATGAGAGAAATTATGACTATCATATAAGGAAATGCTGGAGAGTAAAACTCTTTAATGAAGGTGAGTCTAAGATGACAGAAGTGTATCTAGATGAAACTATGTGGTAGAGTGCTAAGCACTGGCAGGAATATATATTTATTGATTACTAAAAAAGGTCTGTGACTATATCTTTAATCAGGCAGATATATCTTAATGTTACCAGGATCTATTATCAGTTTTATAAATGAATCCTCTGAGAGCCAATGGTGAATAAAAAGAGCAAAGAACCAAAAATGATGTCAAAGCTGGAAATAACTGGCAAAAAAACAGGCAAGGAGAAAGGATGGTTTTATGTGGAGTTTGAAAACCTATCATTAAAGCCCAGGCATGGTGGCTCATACCTGTAATCCCAGCACTTTGGGAGGCTGAGGTGGGCGGATTATGAGGTCAAGAGATCGAGACCAAACTGGCTAACATGGTGAAACCCCGTCTCTACTAAAAATACAAAAATTAGCTGGGCATGGTGGCACGTGTCTGTAGTCCCAGCTACTTGGGAGGCTGAGGCAGGAGAATGGCTTGAACCCGGGAGGCAGAGGTTGCAGTGAGCCGAGATCATGCCACTGTACTCTGGCCTGGTGACAGAGCAAGACTCTGTCTAAAAAAAAAAAAAAAAAAAAATTTTTTTTTAAAAGCATGAAAAACTAAAATGTCAAATATTTCTTTGGCTGGGGCACGGTGGCTCACGCCTGTAATCCCAGCACTTTTGGAAGCCAAGGTGGGCAGATCACCTAAGGTTAGGAGTTCAAGACTAGCCTGGCCAACATAGCAAAATCCCATCTCCACAAAAAATAGCCGGGTATGGTAGTGTGTGCCTGTAATCCCAGCTACCTGGGAGGCTGAGGCAGGAGAATAGCTTGAACGCGGGAGGCAAAAGTTGCAATGGGCTGAGGTTGTGCCACTGTACTCCAGCCTGGGAGATGGAGAAAAAAAAAAAAAAAAAACAAAGGAAAACCTATCATTTTTATTTAAATTGAGGTATAACCTACACAGAAAAATATACACATAAGTGTCCAGCAAATTTTTATATATGTATATACCTTTGTAACCACCACCTAGATCTAGACAGAAAACAGTTTAAGAACTGAGTCAATATCCATGCCTTGCCTGTCTAACCACCACTATTCTAACATTTGCAACCATATATTAGTTGTGCCTTCTGACTTCTATAATTCAACACGGTGAGATTCATTCATGTTGTTTACAAATTACAGTTCTTTTTCATTGCTGTAAAGTATTTCATTATATTATTGTAACACAATTCATGTACTCATCTGTCTGTTTTTAGCTATTACAAATAAAAGTGCTAAGATAATTCTTACACAAAGATAGCAAGGTACACGTAAATGCTCATTTCTCTTGAGCATTCGCTTGAGTACCCAGGTATAAAACTGTTAGATCATAGGATATATATAGTTTTAATAGAAACTGCCTAACATGGCCGGGTGCAATGGCTCACGCCTGTAATCCTGACACTTTGGAAAGCTGAGGTGGGAGGATCACTTCAGGTCAGGAGTTCGAGACCAGCCTGGCCAACATGGCGAAACCCCGTCTCTACTAAAAATACAAAAATTAACCAGGTGTGGTGGTGCCTGTCTGCAATCCCAGCTATTCCAGGAGAATCGTCTGAGCCCAGGAGGCGGAGGTTGTTGCAGTGAGCCGAGGTGGCGCCACTGCACTCCAGCCTGGGTGACAGAGTGAGGCTCCGTCTCAAAAAAAAAAAAAAAAAAAAGAAAAGAAATTAAAAAAAAGAAGGAAGAAGAGAAGGGAAGGGAGGGGAGGGGAAGGGGAAGGGGAGGGGGAAAGAAACTGCCTAACATTTCCCAAGGTAATTGGACCAATTACACTCCCACAAGTAATTAAGAGAGCTCCAGGTACTCTACATCTTTGTCAGTAATAATTGGTATTGTTAGTACTTTTTTATTTTAGCAATTCTAGGGTTTTCTTCACATTTTGGGGGTATTTTGAGATCTTATTTTGTGAAGTATCTGTTTAAGTCTTTTGCTCTTTTTTTTTTTTTTTTTTAAATTGATCATTCTTGGGTGTTTCTCGCAGAGGGGGATTTGGCAGGGTCACAGGACAATAGTGGAGGGAAGGTCAGCAGATAAACAAGTGAACAAAGGTCTCTGGTTTTCCTAGGCAGAGGACCCTGCGGCCTTCCACAGTGTTTGTGTCCCTGGGTACTTGAGATTAGAGAGTGGTGATGACTCTTAACGAGCATGCTGCCTTCAAGCATCTGTTTAACAAAGCACATCTTGCACCACCCTTAATCCATTCAACCCTGAGTGGACACAGCATATGTTTCAGAGAGCACAGGGTTGGGGGTAAGGTCACAGATCAACAGGATCCCAAGGCAGAAGAATTTTTCTTAGTATAGAACAAAATGAAAAGTCTCCCATGTCTACCTCTTTCTACACAGACACGGCAACCATCCGATATCTCAATCTTTTCCCCACCTTTCCCCCCTTTCTATTCCACAAAACCGCCATTGTCATCATGGCCCGTTCTCAATGAGCTGTTGAGTACACCTCCCAGACAGGGTGGTGGCCGGGCAGAGGGGCTCCTCCCTTCCCAGTAGGGGCGGCCGGGCAGAGGCGCCCCTCATCTCCCGGACGGGGTGGCTGGCCAGGCGGGGGGCTGACCCCCCCACCTCCCTCCAGGACGGGGCGGCTGGCCGGGCTGGGGCCTAACCCCCCCACCTCCCTTCCGGACGAGGTGGATGGCCGGGCGGGGGGCTGACCCCCACCTCCCTCCCGGACGGGGTGGCTGCTGGGCGGAGACGCTCCTCACTTCCCAGACGGGGTGGCTGCCGGGCGGAGGGGCTCCTCACTTCTCAGACGGTGTGGCTGCCGGGCGGAGGGGCTCCTCACTTCTCAGACGGGGCGGTTGCCAGGCAGAGGGTCTCCTCACTTCTCAGATGGGGCGGCCGGGCAGAGACGCTCCTCACATCCCAGACTGGGCAGCCAGGCAGAGAGGCTCCTCACATCCCAGACGATGGGCGGCCAGGCAGAGACGCTCCTCACTTCCCAGACGGGGTGGCGGCCGGGCAGAGGCTGCAATCTCCGCACTTTGGGGGGCCAAGGCAGGCAGCTGGGAGGTGGAGGTTGTATCGAGCCCAGATCACGCCACTGCACTCCAGCCTGGGCACCATTGAGCACTGAGTGAACGCGACTCCGTCTGCCATCCCGGCACCTCGGGAGGCCGAGGCTGGCGGATCACTCGCGGTTAGGAGCTGGAGACCAGCCCGGCCAACACAGCGAAATCCCGTCTCCACCAAAAAAATACGAAAACCAATCAGGCGTGGCGGCGCGCGCCTGCAATCGCAGGCACTCGGCAGGCTGAGGCAGGAGAATCAGGCAGGGAGGTTGCAGTGAGCCGAGATGGCAGCAGTACAGTCCAGCTTCCGCTCGGCATCAGAGGGAGACCGTGGAAAGAGAGGGAGAGGGAGACTGTGGAAAGAGAGGGAGAGGGAGACTGTGGAAAGAGAGGGAGAGAGAGAGGGAGAGAGAGAGGGAGAGAGAGGGAGAGAGAGAGGGAGAGAGAGAGGGAGAGGGAGAGGGCTTTTGCTCTTTTTGTTTGTTTGTTTGTTTTGAGACGGACTCTTGCTCTGTTGCCCAGGCTGGAGTACAGTGGTGTGATCTCAGCTCATTGCATTCTCCACCTCTCGAGTTCAAGCGATTCTCCCACCTCAGCCTCCCAAGTAGCTGGGACTGCAGGCATATGCCACCATGCCTGGCTAATTTTGATATTTTTAGTAAAGATGGGGTTTTGCCATGTTGGCCAGGCTGGTCTTGAACTCCTGACCTCAAGTGATCCTCCCGCCTCGGCTTCCCAAAGTGCTAGGATTACAAGTGTGAGCCACCGTGCCTGGCCTTTTGCTCATTTTTAAAAACAGAGTTTATTTATGTATTTATGTATTTATTTTTGAGACAGAGTCTCGCTCTGTCACCCAGGCTGAAGTGCAGTGCCAGGATCTTGGCTCACTGCAACCCCCGTCCCAGGTTCAAGCGATTCTCATGCCTCTTAAATAGCTGGTATTACAGGCATGCACCACAGCACCCGGCTAATTTTTGTATTTTTAGTAGAGACAAGGTTTCACCATGTTGGCCAGTCTGGTCAGGAACTCCTGGCCTTAAGTGATACACCCCCTCAGCCTCCCAAAGTGCTGGGGTTACAGGCTAAAACAGAGTTTATTTTTTAGAGCAGTTTAAATGTACAGCAAAATTGAGTAGAAAGTACAGATTTCTTAATTGGGCAGTCTTCCCACTATCAATATCCCACACAAGAGTGGTGCATTTATTCCAATGGATGAACCTACAGTGACACATCATCATCTAAAGTCCACAGTTTACCTAACAGTACACTTTCATTACTGTACATTGTGTGGGTTAAGGCAAATGAATAATGATATGTATCCACCATTGTTATATCATACAGAATAGTTTCACTGCTCTAAAAATCCTGTGTTCCACCTATTAATTTACCCTCCTTCCCAACCCCTGGCATCTCTGATCCTTTTATTGTCTCCATAGTTTTGCCTTTTCCAGAATGTCATGAAGTTGGAATCACACAGTATATAGCCTTTTCAGAATGGCTTCTTTGCCTAGTAATATGCATTTAAGGTTCCTCCATGTATTCTCATGGTTGATAGCTCATTTCTTTTTAGTGTGGAATAACATTCCATTTTACGGAGATACCACAGTTTATTTATTCCTTCCCCTACTGGAGAACACCTTGATTGCTTCCACATTTTGATAAACTATGAATAAAGCTGCTCTAAACATCTCAGTGCAAGTTTTACTCCTTTCTTAAACAGTGTATTTAGTCAGGGTTCTCCAGAGAGAACCAACAAAATATAGATACATAGAAACAGATTTATTATGAGGGATTGGCTCATGCAATTATGGAGGCTAGAAAGTCCCACAGTCTGCCGTGTGCAAGCTGGAGGCCGACAGAGCTAATAGTGTTAAATCTCAGTCTGATGAGAAGGCCTGAGGGAGGGCCTGAGGGATATCCAAGCTCAAGCTGAGTACAAATTTGCTCTCTCTTTGTCTTTTATTTTATTCAGGCCCTCAAGGGATTTGTGATGCCTTTATTCAGTCTATATACTCAAATGCTAATCTCTTCCAGAAACACCCTCACAAATACACAGCAGTAGTGATGTTTTACCAGCTATCTGAGCATCCCTCAGACCAGTCCAGTTGATATATAAAATTAACCACCACAGATGGGTTTTTTTTTTGTCTTTTTTTTTTTTTTTTTTGAGACAGAGTTTCACTCCTGTTGCCCAGGCTGGAGTACAATGGCATGATCTTGGCTCACCACAACCTCCACCTCCCAGGTTCAAGAGATGCTCCTGCCTCAGCCTCCCAAGTAGCTGGGATTACAGGCATGTACCACCATGCCTGGCTAATTTTTTGTATTTTTAGTAGAGACAGGGTTTGGCCATGTTGGTCAGGCTGGTCTTGAATTCCCGACCTCAGGTGATCCACCAGCCTCAGCCTCCCGAAGTGCTGGGATTACAGGCGTGAGCCACGATGCCCGGCCCACAGATGGTTTTTTTAAATTATTATTTGAAAAATCATCCTTATTTGCCAGGAAAAGATGTTTCTTAAGTGTCGGCTAGAGATAAAGAATACAGAGCACTGGCTAGAAAAAACAGATGAAATGAGTTAAATCATATAGAGTAAGAAGGGAAGACTGGACAGAAAGCTCAGGAAATATTAATACTTTTAGAACAAACAGAAAAAAATAAAAGACACTGTAAGATACAATGAATCAGTTTATCTTCAAAGGTTTAGCCTGTTAACTTCCTTGTCCTTTGTTCTCAAACTCAACTTTCTCTTTCTACATGTCTCCTTGCCCCTAGTTACTGTAAACAGCCTACCCGCTTCCTGTCAGATCTAATCAATAACTCACATCTGTTCCCTTGGTTACCTGCAATATTGTTACCCCGAAACTGCACATCTCACCACTGTACCTCACGTCCCCCTTCTCTTCCATATTTAGAAAAATATTTGCAAGTAGCCAATCAGGTCAGCTCAGATTGCGTGGTCCGACCCCAGCCTATGGGGGAGTGACACAGAGGCAAAGACTACGTGTCAGGGATTGAAAAAAAAAAAAAAAAACCTCTCCTTTGTTCAGTGATCTTGATTGTGATCTTTTGTGATCTTGATTGATGCAAGTGGCACCCTTCTGCAGCAGTAAATTGCCTTGCTGAGAAAACTTTTGCCTGAGTGCTGGTTTCACTTTGTAGCACCGAGAATTTATTCCTAGAGCATTTTTATATCCAACAGACACTAACCAAAAAAAGATCAAAATAGTAGTAGAAAAATAAGAGTGGTATTATCACCAAAAAGGAAAATTTTGAGAAAGGTAATGGTCCTTGTTAAACACAGAAGGGAGGTGACATAGACGGTGGACTCCTGCTGCTACCCCTTCCTCCAAACTTCTTCACAGTGCTCTCTGGTACTTGTTTGTCTATAAACATCCCCCAACTCTGTATCTTATCTTCAACAGATTCACTCACTACTGAACTCCCCTGGCTTACTTCCCTCCCCGTGATGAAACTTGGCTTCCCTTTAGAATACTGCTTCTCCTACAGCTACTGCCTTCTCAAAGGGTTTCTGCTTGCTTATTCTCTTACACTTTACATCAGTGCTGTTTCCTGTCACCTATTTTTCTAAGCTCTTTTAGAAGCTCTTGCTCAAAAGCAAAACTACCCCAGAGTGCAGACAACATTCTATTTCTTAACCTGGGTGGTCATTACATGGATATTTGCTTTGTGGCAATTTATTGAGCTGTATTTATGTCTGTACTTTCTTCTGTGTTACACTTCAAAATAAATAAGGTTTTTAAAAAAATTGCTAAGAATCAGGTGGCATTTTGTTTTCTAGGTTCCTTATGAATCAATGAAAATGTGTGTGTGTGTATATGTGCATGCACACATGTGTGTGTATTCAATTCCTACAAGTGTTATGAAGATGGTATAGGCTTATATTCTAGACTATCTACTCTACTCTAGCATAGAGTATAAGAAATAGCAAATTAATTTTGGTTGGCAGCTGGTAGAAGAGAAACCCAGATAAATATTGGAAATAGACTTTCTTTTTCTTCTACCAACACTGTGAAAATATATAATAGTATGTAGCTCGACTAAAATTTATAGCAGTCAAATTGAAAATAATACAAAATAATACTGTCTTCAACTAATGTAATATCTGTTTTTGAGATAGTTATAATAAAAAGTTATCAGCAGTAGTTTCATAATAACTCTGTTAGCAACAATGACAATGTTGTCACTACATTTAAGATGCCAAAAATTTACAAAGTTATAACAGCATGGTGGGGCTTATTTTTAGAAGGTTTTTGAGAACTATTCAAGGAAATGGCCATTTAACTATATTTTCATTATGAAAGATGGGAATGACTCATTTTAGAGTTGGGGAAAATAAGAAGATTAATAGAATATTCTTAGTTATGTGGCTGGCATTTTGTTTTCTAGGTTCCTTATGAATCACTGGAATAATGTTTACTATTCTCAGAATGCTAACAGATAAGGCAACACAGATGACAGTCCACATTTTAAGGCCAAATGATGGAAAATAAAAATAAGGACTATGATACTGAATGTTGCCAACACAAAGAAATGATAAATGTTTGAGATGATGGATATGCTAACTACTATGATCTGAGTACTACACATTATATGTATTGCAACATCATAATGTATCCATAAATATGTACAATTATTATGTGTTAAATTAAAAAAGGAACGTGAAGTTATTGTTCTCTCTACCACTCAGAGGAAGACAATCATTACCCAATTAGTGCTTTTTTTTTTTTTTTAGAGACAGTCTCACTCTTCTGTCACCCAGGCTGGAGTGCAGTGGCATGATCATTGCTCACCACAGCCTCAAACTCCTGGGGCTCGAGTGATTCTCCTGCCTTAGCCACCTGAGTAGCTGGGACTACAGGCATGCACTACCATGCCTGGCTATTTTTTTAAATTTTTTTTAGAGACGGGGTCTCACTACATTGCCCAGGCTAGCCTCAAACTCCTGAGCTCAGGCAATACTCCTGCCTCAGCCTCCCAAAACATTGGCATGAGCCACTGTGCCCAGACCATATAAGTGATTTAGTTTGAACCCTGCTATGGTGTGAATATGGTTTTTCCTCACCAAAACAACAACAAAAACAAAAACTGCTCTAAAAATAAAATCTTGTTTAAAACAAATAAATAGACTGGGCGCAGTTGCTTATGCCTGTAATCCCAGCACTTTGGGAGGCCAAGGTGGGTGGATCACATGGGGTCAGGAATTCGAGACCAGCCCGGCCAACATGGTGAAACTCCATCTCTACGGAAAATACAAAATTAGCTGGGTGTGGTGGTGCATGCCTGTAATCCTAGCTACTTGGGAGGCTGAGGCAGGAGAATCACTTGAACTCAGGAGGCGGATGTTACAGTGAACAGAGATTGCTCCACTGCACTCCAGCCTGGGCAATAAGAGTGAGACTCCGTCTGAAAAAAAAAAAAATAAGTAAATAAATAAATGAGGATTATGAACTAAAAAAAAGAACAAAAAAGTATTCAGTTGAAAGTTACTGTCCTGCAGGTGTGGTGGCTCACATCTATAATCTCAGCACTGTGGGAAGCTGAGGCAGGAGAATCACTTGAGGCCTGCAGTTCAAGAGCAGCCTGGGCAACATACTGAAACCCCTTCTCCACAGAAATTTTTTAAAAATTAGCCAGGCAGCCGGGCATGGTGGCTTATAGTTGTAATCCCAGAACTTTGGGAGGCTGAGGCAGGCGGATCACCTGAGGTCAGGAGTTTGAGACCAGCCTGGCCAACATGGTGAAACCTCGTCTCTACAAAAATACAAAAATTAGCCAGGCATGATGGTGGGTGCCTGTAATTCCAGCTACTTGGGAGGCTGAGGCGTGAGAATCGCTTGAATCTGGTAGGCGGGGGTTGCAGTGAGCCAAGATCGCGCCATTGCACTCCAGCCTGGGCAACAGAGAAAGACTCCATCTCAAAAAAAAAAAAAAAAAAATTAGCCAGGCATGGTGGTACATGCCTGTAGTCCTACTGACTCAGGAGGCTGAGGCATAAAGATCTCTTGAACTCAGGAGTTTGAGATTACAGTGAGCTATGAGTGCACCATTATACACAAGCCTGGACAACAGAGCAAGACCCTGGCTCTAACAAAAATAAAAAATAAAAATTAAAGAATAAAGTTAATGTCCTTTATTTTGAGACTATGTCCTTCCTATGCTTATGGTGTAAACGCTACTTTCCTTTTATGATACAGGGACAGTAGATGAATGTTGTTTGTTTTTGTTTTGTTTTGTTTTTTTGAGACAGAGTTTCACTCTTGTTGCCCGGGCTGGAGAAAAATGATGTGATCTCGGCTCACTGCAACCTCTGCCTCCTGGGTTCAAGCGATTCTCCTGCCTCAGCCTCCTGAGTAGCTGGGATTGCAGGCATGCACCACCATGCCTGGCTATAATTTTTTTTTAAATGTCCTTGTCACAATGTTTAGTTGTCAACCCTACATCAACCCACTACCATATATATATATATGGTATATATATATATATATTTTTTTTTTTAAGACAGAGTCTTGCTCTGTCACCCAGTGCAATGGCGTGATCTCAGCTCGCTGCAACTTCTGCCTCCTGGGTTTAAGTGATTCTCATGCCTCAGCTTCCCAAGTAGCCAGGATTACAGGTGCGCACCACCATGCCCAGCTAATTTTGTATTTTTAGTAAAGACAGGGTTTCACAATGTTGGCCAGGCTGGTCTCAAACTCCTGACCTCAGGTTATCTACCTACCTCAGCCTCCCAAAGTGCTGGGATTACAGCCTTTAGCCACTGCACCTTGACCCTATACTACCTTTTGAAAATTAAACTTTGAAATTCAAGTCCAGGGACCACTGCTATCCTTCACATCAGTCCAGTTGATACTTAAGTCAAAACACTTTACCATACTATAAAACAAAATATAGTATTCAATCTGTGGGTACAATTTACTGGTAGTAATTTTGAATTAATATTCCATATGGCTCATGCAAAATTAAGTACACTGCTACTCCCAGTACCAGCACAGGATCGGACATATGTCATTTTTTCAGTCCACAAGGGAATAAATCTCATGACCTATACTACCACATCTCTCAACAAAAACAAAAACTAGTAAGATAAGAGGTCCATGAACACAGGCTAATCAAACTTGGCGCAAATTCTTTCAAGCTAATGCAATTTAGATATAAAATTAAACTTCTGAAGGACATTTTTAGATGTTATCTTTATGATTTAAAAGAAGTTAGAGACAGAGATCATATTCATATTTGAACTAAAGGCTGACATTTTCATGTGAGAATCTCTGAAATATAACCCCACAGTGATTGACACAGAATATTTTAAGCAGCCACATGCAGATGAATTAAGTACTGAGGCATAAATTTTAAAATAATCTTTTGAAAACACTATTCAAATATCTTAAGTGATCCTGGGCTGGACATCAGTAGAAGCAAATAAAGTACTTGGCAGTCAACAATGACTAAAAATGTTGCCCTTAGGCCCAAGGAAGTGATGAAAAATCACTATAAAGTTGATGTTGATAAGTTGTGTAATAGTTACTGTCCCCTGCATATTATGTGTATAAAAAATTGCCAGGCCAGGCACGGTGGCTCACACCTGGAATCTCAGCATTTTGGGAGGCTGAGGCAGGAGAACTATTTGAGCCAGTAGTTCAAGACCACCCTGGGCAACATAACAAGACCCCATCTCTACAAAAAATTTAAAAATTAGCTAGGCACAGTGGTATGCACCTGTAGTCCTAGCTACTCAGGAGGCTGAGGCAGAAGGATCGCTTGAGCCCAGGAATTTGAGGTTACAATGAGCTATCAGTGCGCCACTGTACTCCACTCTGGGTAACAGAGTGAAACTGTCTCAAACACAACACAACACACAAAAAAATTGCTTTAATGGAAGAACTCAGTAAATTATACCTTTCTCCAAGGAGAAAGATGTTTAGTTTTTGAAAGCTGGCAAGGGTATTCACTGAAACATTACTGTGAAAGAGAAAATCCAAAGGTAATCTAAATGACCATCAATAGGGAAATGGTTAAAATTAATTCAATAAATTAAATATGCCCATTCTAAGTTTACAGCCATTAAAACAAAAAAGATAGAGCCATACATGAAACAATTTTCATAATAAAATGCTGAATGAAAAAAGTTACAAATACATATTAATTCCATTAAAAATAACTAAAAAACAATAAAGTAACAGAAACAGTGGTGAAATAGAGGAAAGATCTGAAAACTTACCAAAACTTAACACTTACTATATCTGAGGGCTTGGTGGTGAGACCCTCCACTTTTATTATACACTTATGCACTCCTGTATTGTTTGTATGTTTTCTTTCCCCCCAATAGGATACATGTACTACTTTTGTGATTTTCCTTTTTTTTTTTTTTTTTTGAGAGACAAAGTCTCACTCTGTCACCCAGGCTGGAGTGCAATGGCACCATCAGAGCTCACTGCAGCCCTAAGCTCCCGGGCTCAAGTGATCCTCCTGCTTCAGCCTCCCAAGTAGCTAGGACTATAGGCATATCATCACATCCAGCTAACTTTATACTTTTTTGTAGAGATGGGGTCTCACTATGTTGCCCAGGCTGGTCTCAAACTCCTGGCTTCAAGTGATTCTCCCACCTTAGCCTCCCAAATTGCTGGGATTACAGGCATGAGCCACCATACCCAGCCTACTTTTGTAATTTTTAAAGACTAGTAACATTTTCTAAATTAAATAACTGAAATCTAAAAAGTAAAAACATAAAAATTATTCTAATTTGGACCATCTAAGTAAATAATAAACATTAGCAATATATAAACTTTGGGAACCCTTACAGGCTATACTAGTATTTCTCAACTTCAAACCTTCATACTTGGTTTATGAGTTTTGTCATATCTGGATGCTCTTAATGTTTTAATTTAAATTAACTGTTTTTTTCTTTCTTTCTTATTTTTATTTTTTGAGACAGAGCCTTGCTCTGTTGCCCAGGCTGGAGTGCAGTGGCACGATAACAGCTAACTGCAACCTCCACCTCCCGGGGTCAAGCGATTCTTGGGCCTCAGCCTCCCGAGAAGCTGGGATTACAGGTGCAGACCACCACGCCCAGCTAATTTTTGTATTTTTTGTAGAGACGGAGTTTCACCACACTGGTCAGGCTGGTCTCGAACTGCCTGGTGATCGAGGTGATCCACCCACCTCGGCCTCCCAAAGTGCTGGGATTACAGGCGTGTGCCACTGTGCTCGATCTTAAATAAACTCATTTTTTAAAAATTAAATAAACTTAGCCTCATGCCAAGCAATAATACTGATGCAATCAAAGTTTGTTCCAGGATATACTTTAAAGTACTTAACTATACATTGTACTCCCTATCTGAGCCAAAACAGACAGAAAAGGATATCTTGACTAAAATAAATACAAAGTTGATTCTTGTTCCACCTAAAATCATCTCTTTAGGAAAGCAGTTTACCCTCCTGCCTGTACACATTATACACTTGTCCTTCAGTATCCACAGGGGATTGGTTCCAGGAATCCCATGGACACCAAAATCTACAGATGCTCAAGTGCCTTATATAAAATGGCATAGTAAAAAGTCCTAGCTAGAGCAATCAGGCAAGAGAAAGAAATAAAGGACATCCAAATAGGAAAGGAAGAAGTCAAATTATCCTTGTTTACAGATGATGTAATCTTGTATTTGGAAAAACCTAAAGACTCTACCAAAAAACTATTAGAACTGATAAATTCAGTAAAGTTACATGATGCAAAGTCAACATCCAAAACTCAGTAGCATTTCTATATGCCAACAGTGAACAATCTGAAAAACAAATCAATAAATTAATCCCATTTACAATAGCCACAAATAAAATTAAATACCTAGGAATTAACCAAAGTGAAATCAAAGTGAAAGATATCTACAATGAAAACTCAAAAGCAATTTAAGAGGGTCAGGGTGGTGGCTCATGCCTGTAATCCCAGCACCTTGGGAGGCCAAAGCAGGAGGATCACTTGAGCTCAGGAGTTTGAGACCAGCCTGGATAACATAGGGAGACCCACCTCTACAAAAAAACAAAAAATTAAGGGCTAGATATGATGGCTCACAGCTGTAATCCCAGCACTTTGGGAGGTGGAGGCAGAGGCAGGAGGATCACTTGAGGCCAGGAGTTTGAGACCAGCCTATATTTTTGTACTAAAAAATACAAAATTTGCCGGGTGTGGTAATGCACACCTGTAATCCCAGCTACTTGGGAGGTTGAGGTACGAGAGTTGCTTGAACCTGGGAGGCAGAGGTTGGAGTGAGCTGAGATAGCACCACTGCACCCCAGACTCCAGCCCGGGCGACAGAGTGGGACTTCGTCTCAAAAAAAAATTAGCCAGGCATGGTGGCATGTGCCTGTAGTCCCAACTACATGGGAGGCTGAGGCAGGAGGGCCTCCTGAGCCCATGAGCTGTGATCATGCCGCTGCACTCCGGCCTGGATGATAGAGCAAAACCTTGTCTGAAAAAAAAAAAAATTAAAGGGGGCACACACAAGGAAAAAATATTCCATGTTCATGAACTGGAAAAGTCAATATTGTTAAAAGGTCCATACCACCCAAAGCAATCTACAGATTCAATGAAATATCTATCAAAATGTCTATCAAAATATCAATGACATTCTTCACAGAAATAGAAAACATAATCCTAAAATTTATATGGAACCACAAAAGACCCAGGATAGCCAAAGCTATCCTGAGCAAAAAGAAAAAAACTGGACTTCAAATTATACTACAGGGCTATAGTAACCGAGACAACATGGTCGTAGCATAAAAACAGACACATAGACCAATGGAACAGAGTAGAGAACCCAGAAATCAATCCATAGGTCTACAGTAAACTCATTTTTAACAAAGGTGCCAAGAACATACATTGGGAAAAGACAGTCTCTTCAATAAATGGTGCTGGGAAAACTGGATATCCACATACCGAAGAATGAAACTACAACCCATCTCTTGCCATATACAAAAATCAAATCAAAATGGATTAAAGACTTAAATCTAAGACCTCAAACTATGAAACTACTGCAAGAAAACACTGGGGGAAACTCTCCAGGACATTGGTCTGGGCAATGATTTCTTGAATAGCACCCCACATGGGGTATTAGGCAATCAAAGCAAAAAAAGGACAAATGAGATCACATCAAGTCAAAAAGCTTCTGCATAGCAAATGAAATAATCAATAAACTGAAGAGACAACCCACAGAACGGAAAAAAAATTTGCAAACTATTCACCTGACAAGGGATTAACAACCAGAATACATAAGTAGCTCAAACAATTCAATAGGAAAGAAATCGAATAATCTAATTCAAAAATGGGCAAAAGATCTGAATGGACATTTCTCAAAAGAAGACTTACAAATGGCAAACGGGTATATTAAAAAAGTGCTCCAATCATCAGAGAAATGCAAATCAAAACTACAATGACATACCATCTCACCCAGTTAAAATGGCTTATATTCAAAAGACAGCCAAGAATGAATGCTGGCAAGGATGTGGAGAAAAGGGATCCTCATATCCTGTTGGTGGGACTGTAAATTTGCTCAACCACTATAGAGAACGGTTTGGAGGTTCCTCAAAAAACTAGAAATAGAGCTACCATATGACTCGTCAATCTCACTGGTAGGTATAGACCCAAAAGAAAGGAAATCAGTATATTGAAGCAATATCTGCCGTGCCATGTTTGTTGCAGAGCTATTCACAACAGCCAGGATTTGGAAGCAACTAAATAAATGTCTATCAACAGACAAATGGATAAAGAAAATGTGATACATATACATAGCGGAGTACTATTCAGCCATTAAAAAGAATGGGATCCTGTCATTTGAAAATAACATGAATGGAACTGGAGGATATTATGTTAAGCGAAATAAGCCAGGCAGAAAAAGACAAACTTCACATATTCTCACTTATTACGGGACCTAAAAATTAAAACAACTTAACTCATGCAGATAAGAGTATAAGGATGGTTGGCTAGGCGCGGTGGCTCACACCTGTAATCCCAGCACTTTGGGAGGCCAAGGAAGGTGGATCACAAGGTCAGGAGTTCAACATCAGCCTGGGCCAAAATGGTGAAACCCCGTCTCTACTAAAAATACAAAAAATTAGCTGGGCATGATGGTGGGCGCCTGTAATCCCAGCTACTCGGGAGGCTGAGGCAGAGAATTGCTTGAACCTGGGAGGCGGAGGTTGCAGAGTAAAACTCTGTCTCAAAAAAAAAAAAAAAAAAAAAGAGTATAAGGATGGTTACCAGCAGTCTGGCCAACATGGCATAGCCCTGTCTCTACTAAAAATACAAAAATTAGGCTGGGCATGGTGGCTCACAGCTGTAATCCCAGCAGTTTGAGAGGCTGAGGTAGGCAGATCACCTGAGGTCGGGAGTTCGAGACCAGTCTGGCCAACGTAGTGAAACCCCATCTCTACTAAAAATACAAAAATCAGCCGGGCGTGGTGGTGGGCGCCTGTAACCCCAGCTACTTGGGAGGCTGAGGCAGGAGAATCGCTTGAACCCAGGAGGCAGAGGTGGCAGTGAGCCGAGATCACGCCACTGCACTGCAGCCTTGGTGACAGAGCGAGACTCCATCTCAAAAACAAAACAAAAAAACCCAAAAGGATGGTTATCAGGTGCTGCAAAGGACAGTGTGGGGGGGTGGGGGGAGATGGAGTAGGGATGGTTAATGCATACAAAAATACAGTTAGAATGAATAAGACCTAGAATTTGATAGCATCACAGGATGACTATAGCCAACAATAATTTATTGTACATTAAAAAATAACTAAAAGTATAATTGGATTGTTTGTAACACAAAGAAAGGATAAATACTTGAGGTGGATACCCCATTTACCATTTACCCTGATGTGATTATTACACATTATATGCCTGTATTAAAATATCTCACGTACCCCATAAATACATATACCTATTATGTACCCACAAAAATAAAAATAAAGATAAAATGGGCCAGGCGCGGTGGCTCACACCTGTAATCCCAGCACTTTGGGAGGCTGAGGCGGTGGATCACCTGAGGTCAGGAGTTCAAGACAGCCTGGCCAACATGGTGAAACGCTGTCTCTCCTAAAAATACAAAAAATTAGCAGGTCGTGGTGGCGGGGTCCTGTAATCCCAGCTACTCGGGAGGCTGAAGCTGGAGAATCACTTGAACCTGGGAGGTGGAGGTTGCAGTGAGCCGAGATCGTGTGTGCCATTGCACTCCAGCCTGGGAAACAAGAGCAAAACTCCATCTCAAAAAAAAAAAGAAATATAAAATGATACAGTATTTCCATATAACCTATACACATCCTCCCATATACTTGAAGTCATCTGTAGATTACTTGTAATACCTAATATAATGGAAACAGTTGTCTACTGTATTGTTTTATTTGTATTGTTTCTTATTGTCATATTGTTATTTTATCATTGTTTTTTCAAATATTTTCTATCTGCGGATACAGAACCTATGAATCCAGAAGGCCGACTATATATCAAATCGGCCATTTCAAAAAGTAACCAAGGGAGGGAGGTGAAAAAAATTAATAAAATATCTTAGAGCTATGATAGCATCACTGCACTCCAACCTGGCAACAAAGAAAGACTCTGTCCCTAAAAAAAAATCTTAAATGTTTAAAAAGATCTTAGTTATACTGCTTTATATATATATTTATATGTACATTACAATGTATGTTTTTTCAATCATGGAAACTTAACTTTCCTGTTTAACTTGTCTGACTGTTTACATTTTAACCACAACCAACTCACACCAGTCAACTCCAGTTGTACAAATTATACGTTAAATGATATCTCCCGGTGGAGTCGGAGCAGAAAAAAAATTTTTTAATGATATCAACTATTTACACAAAACAATTTATTTGGTAAAAATGACTTGCAGATTGACTGGTTGACAATAACTTCAGTATCATAAATGAAGGAATTGTTTCAGAGGTGGAATGTTCTGGTCCCTAAAACAGCAGCCCTGAGTGCTCTCCCAGCTGACATATTTTTCATTTTACTAGCCACTCTGAAGATTTTGAGAAGAGCCATGTAATTGAGAAACCTATTTGCAACTTAATGTAACAAATGGTTTATATCCCTAATGAATATAAAGTGCTTGCAAATAAAGAAACAAATGGGCCAGGCATGGTGACTCACGCCTGTAATCCCAGCACTTTGGGAGGCCGAGGTGGGCGAATCACGAGGTCAGGAGATCGAGACCATACTGGCTAACACAGTGAAACCCCGTCTCTACTAAAAAATAGAAAAAATTAGCCGGGCTTAGTGGCGGGCGCCTGTAGTCCCAGCTACTCAGGAGGCTGAGGCAGGAGAATGGAATGGCGTGAACCCGGGAGGCAGAGCTTGCAGTGAGCCAAGATCGCACCACTGCACTCCAGTCTGGGTGACAGAGCGAGACTCCATCTCAAAACAAACAAACAAACAAACAAACAAACAAATGATCAAAAGCCCAATGGAAAAATAGGCATAGTACGTCAGTAGGCATTTTACAAGTAGAAATACAAACAGAAAATAAAATGTGAAAAATGTCCAACAGTAATCAAATAAATGTTAACTAAAACTGTTATCACCTTTTCCCCATCAAGTGGTTATCTTTAAAGGGTAGGATTATAGTGTCATTTTTTTTTTTGTTGCTTATCTAAATTGTGTAATTTCTATCAATAGTATCTAATAAATATATAAAAGAATAGTTCAGTAGCTGGGCAGTAATTACCACTTCAAAGAACAGTGATACAGTAAAAACTCATCACCAACTCATCACCAGGATGGCCCAAGAAAACAAACCCATGGAAAATGAAGTCTATCATCACTTCAAAACGTACTATAGGCCAGACATGGTGGCTCACACCTATAATCCCAGCACTTTAGGAGGCTGAGGCAGTTGGATCAACTGAGGTCAGGAGTTCAAGACCAGCCTGGCCAACATGGTGAAACTCTGTCTCTACTAAAAATACAAATTAGCTGGGCGTGGTGGCCTACGCCTGTAATCCAGCTACATGGGAGGCTGAGGCAGGAGAATCGCTTGAACCCAGGAGGCAGAGGTTGCAGTGAGCAGAGATCACACCACTGCACTGCATCCTGGGCAACAAGAGTAAAACTCCATCTCAAAAAAAACAGAAACAAAAACAAAAAAAATCCTACTATATACCATTCTCTTTTCTCTGTTTCAGGCTGTATTCTCTGTCTGGTCCTTTCCTCATATCCATAAATTTGCCAGTTCCCCACGTCTATTTCCTTTATATTTATCAGGTCAACCAACTGCTAATCCTTTCACATGACTGGTAAAGCCACCTTTGACAGTACCAGCTATCTTCCTGTATCTATCTTCCTGTAAGATAACTTTGATCATGTCACTTCTTTGCTCATTAAGTTTAAACTCTTTAAGTGGCACTCAAGTTCCTTCACAAAGGATTCTGACCTGACTTCTGGACTTCTGAATTACTCCTATCCAGTAGGATTCCTAAACTCCAAGCTAATAGTCCTTCTCTACTGTCCTTTGAATAAGTAGAGGAGGCCCAGCTGTTTCTATCTCATTCCTTATTCATCTAACACTATTTGGATGAAGATGTTGTCTTAGTAGTTTAAGATTGGGAGGATGAAGGATATAGATGAAATATTTAGTATTAATATCCAATATATGCTATGTGCTAAAGGAGTGGTAGAGGCTATTCATTGATGTATATTTTCCTTTTCTCTCTAACTGGTTACATATTAAAGAATAAAATGTTTATTTTACTTTTATTTTTTAAATACAGTGTCACACTATATTGCCCAGGCTGGTCTCAAGGGGTCCTCTTGCCTCGGCCTTTGCAAAGTGCTCGGCTGAGCCATGCATCTGGCCAAGAATAAAATTTTTAGCACTTGTATTTGTTGAGCTATGTTTTCTCAGGACATCAAATTTAGTTGTAATAATCTTTAACTTTTCAAAGAACAAACATACCTCTCTCACTATTGTTTGTATTTGTGTAAATTTTCAGGCTTTTTTTTTTCCATTACTGATTTGTGGCTTAACAGAAATAATTTTCCACAGCAGTTCCATTTATTCCACAACTCCTAGGACATTGTTACAGTTAAAAGAGCAAGAACTTTGCAATGACAAAGGCCAAGAGTAGCATTCTGAATTCTACCCCCACCCCCATCCTTTCAGCAGTGTGACTTCAGGTAAATTGTGACCTCTCCAAATTTCTTTCTCCTAACTCTAACATGGGGATAATAATACCTACTTCATAGGGTTATTGCAAAAATTAAATGAGTAGGTGGAAACAACTTCACAGTCCTTCATACATACTAAGAACTCGACAAATAGAAATTATCAATACAATTATTACTATTCAAAAGCAAGAGCACTACTGTCTAGATTATCTGGTAACTCTGATTTTGAAAACCTGAGCACAAGATAATGAAACTGCACTGTAGCAGTTACCTAAATTCTGGTAGTACAAACTAAATGAGCACTGTCTACACTTTAATATGTCCCTTATTTTACTTGACCCCTCTAGAAAGCAAATTATTATATGTATGATTATTCATCATGACAGAGGCATAGAAATATGTAAAATAATTGAAATTATATAATGTCTGGGATTTGCTTCAAAATAACCCAGGATAGCCGGGTGCGATGACTCCCGCCTGTAATCCCAACACTTTGGGAGGCCAAGGAGGGAGGATCGCTTAAGCCAAGGAGTTCAAAGATAGCCTGAGCAACATAAGGAGACCCCATCTCTACAAAGGGGGGGGGGGGGGAAAGCCGGGCGTGATGGCGCCTGCCTGTAGTCCCAGCTAGTGGGGAGGCTGAGGCGTGAGGATCGCTGGGGCCCAGGAGGTGGAGGCTGCAGTGGGTAGAGATCCCGCCACTGCACTCCAGCCTGGGTGACAGAGACCCTGTCTCAAAAACGCAAAATAACCCGGATTAGGGGAGCAAGACTGCCCACGTATTGATAATTACTGAAACTGGGTAATGAGTACAGTGAATTCCTTATATCCTTCGTTCAATTTCTCCACAGTTTGAAGATTTCCATAATAAAATGCTGCTGTTGTTAATGCCCAAAGGCCGGCTTTGGGGTTTCCTGCAAACCCTGGTCATGGTCAGAAGATACACTGGGAAGTTCTAGGAGGCGAAAAGCGACACAGCAACCACAGGAAGCTGGTTAAACTTCCCGGCGGATCAGCCAGCGCACTGCTCCTCCCGGAGGCCGGCTGGCGGTGCACCCGCGCAGTCCGGCTCCTGAGCCCGTTAAGGGCGCAGCACCCAAGGGAGCCGCCGCGAAGGGCGGTCTCCCCAGGACCGCCGCCTGGCGGCCGGCGCGGGAACCGGGGGTCCGAAAGATGGACCGAAGGTCGGGGGAGGGGGCAGGAGGTGTAGGGGTAGATTGGCGGGTGGGCGAGTCTCAGCCTTCAGGGCAAGTCAGCCGACTTCCCTCAGCTCCTCCGGAGCCCCCGACCCACGCGCCCTCAGCCGAGGCAGTCTCTGCCTCCCGGCCGCGGGGCAAACACTCAACCGGCCCAGGATCCCGCCGGCCTCCCTGCGTTCCCGAACCGAGCTCCTTCAGCTCCTGTTCTGACTGTTTCCAGGGCATCCCATCGCCGTCAGGCCTGCAGCCGACTTCATCACCCGCTAGCCAACCGCTTTTCCGAGTTCCCACCCTACTCACCTCGGCCGCGCGGCAGCCAGCACCCTCTCCGGCTCCTCAGGCTTCTAGCTTGGCTGTCCCGTGGCGTTGCTGCCAATCAGCCAATCCCCGCCCCAAGCCTGAGCCAGGCTGATCAATCAGCTGTTTCCTCAGGCTCGGAGGCGGGCACAAGAAGCTCGGCAGAGGACGCGGCAACCGCTCCGCAAGCCGGCTGCTGAGAGTCACAGTCGGTGTGCGCACGCGCGGAGCTCTGAGAGGGGCGTGTGCTTTTGTGCGGACCTTGCTTTGTGCCTTCACCGTCCTGTCCTGGGAAGTGCTTTTGTCAGCTTCATGCTTTAGGGGTTTAGGGACACCCACATTCTGAATGTAGCCGCAGATGTGTATTACCTTGAAAAAGGCTGCGAGTCGTAAGCTTTTGTTAACCTAACATGTGGAGCCCATTTCACCCCACGCTGTAGGGACCTGTGTCCACCCGGCAGATCTAATGCCTATGCGGACCTCACATCCGAGATGTTTCTCTTTAGGCAGAGCAGGAGTGCGGGGATTACAAAGTGCCTCATGGATAAGTATTTTACTTTACCATGTTCGGTTCCAGCGTCTGTTCAGTCCGATTCATTTGGGGCACGTGCTTTCTAAAGATTTGAATACTCTAGGACACTCTGGATTTCAAATAATTGTCGTGAAAATATGATTATTACATTTCTAGCTAACTTATGCAGTGTAGTAATGTGCGTAGGCGTGATGAAAGATTCCTATGTAGGGTAGGAAACCTGTCCGTATTTTTGTATGGCTTTTGAAGAGGCTGTTGCTGATTGGCTGTCTCTCTTACCCTCCCATTGCAATTGATCCCGGAGGTCGCTGGGCTGTCACTGGATCTCTGATGTTCTTGCCCCGGGTGGCACAAGTCTCTTCCTAGTGAGGGCTTTCCTCCTTCACCCAGAGCATTAACTCATTTACTCAACAACGGCTTGTTGGGGGACAACTATGACAGCAGAAAGGTTGTTAAAAGCCTTGAGCCACGCCCTAAGTGAGCCTACAAGATAACGAGGAGATAACACAAACTAAACAAAAACACAAACTTAATCAAATATTATAATGGAATCGAGGTGGGAGCCTGGGCGCCTCCATAATGTCTCAGGGAATACTTCCTGAGAAGTGAGTGCTTGTCTGAGGCTGAATGAAAGAGCAGGAGCTTTGGAGCCGAAAGGGTGGGAGCAATGGACGGTGGCGATTCTGTCAAAGGGCACTAATTTCTTCCTCTGAGATCTTTCCGGAGGGTATTTACTGCTAAGCTAATGAAGCTTGTGTTTCAGGCACGCTGGCTTTCGCCAGCCTTTCCAAAGTCCATAGAGGAACTTTAGCATCGAGTTTACGAGATTATATGTTGTTTCCTACTTATTTATTAAAAGGAAAATGTCTTAAAGCACCCCTCAAAGAGGCATGGGTTAAGACCTGTCTTTTTTGTTTTTTTTTTTCCTTTCCAACTTCCCTTCCTTCATACTTCCTTTCATGCTAGATACGCTGGAGTGGCCTTGGACATTTTGGGGATCTAGGTGGGGAAAAGAGAGTTGAATTGAACTTGGGCCACTTCGTGATAAGTTACTGCTGTCTTTCCTGGTGCTGGATTGGCTTCGAGCAAGACATGCTCTGCCAACTCACTCAGTGCTATGATACAGGGATGGGTCCCTTGGCACCTGGCCCTAGAAGTATGTGGCTAGTGGAGGAGAAAGAAAGTTTGAGGCCAGGCGCGGTGGTGCATGCCTGTAATCCCAGCAATTTGGGAGGCTGAGGCAGGTGGATCACTTGAGGTCAGGAGTTTGAGACTAGCCTAGCTAACATGGTGAAGCCCCGTCTCCGCCAAAAATACAAAAAAGCTGAATGTGGTGGCACGTGCTTGTAATCCCAGCTACTCAGGAGGCTGAGGCAGGAGGATTGCATGAACCCGGGAGGCAGAGGCTGCAGTCAGCGGAGACCACGCACACCAGCCTGGGCGACCAAGCGAGACTCTGTCTCAAAAAAAAAAAAGGGCTGGACGCAGTGGCTCACGCCTATAATTCCAGCACTTTGGGAGGCCGAAATGAGCGGATTATTTGAAGTCAGAAGTTCGAGACCAGCCTGACGAATATGGTGAAACCCTGTCTCTGCTAAAAATACAAAAAAAAAAAAAAAAATTACCCGGGCTTCATGGCGGGTGCCTGTTCCCAGCTACTCGGGAGGCTGAGGCAGGAGAATCGCTTGAACCCGGGAGGCGGAGGTTGCAGTGGGCCGAGATCACGCCACTGCACTCTACACTCCAGCCTGGGTGACACAGCAAGACTCTGCCTCAAAAAAAAAAAAAAAAAAAAAAAGAGAGAGAAAGAGAGTTTGAAATGCACTAAGCCAGAAGCTAATCTAGGGGAGATCTTCTGGTCATCACGCTTCTAAAATTGTAAGCAGGATGCTTTGCTTTTTGTTTTTAATTAACTACTTTAGAATTATTTTAGATTTACAGAAAAGTTAAGAGTACGTAAAGTTCCTGTCTACTCCTCACCCAGTTTCCCTAATGTTAACATCTTACATTACCATGATACACTTACAAAACTAAAGAGCCAGCCAGGCGTGGTGGCTCACACCTGTAATCCTAACACTTTGGGAGGCCAAGCTGGGAGGATCATTTGAGCCCAAGAGTTCAAGACCAGCCTGAGCAATAAAGTGAGACCCCATCTCTATTTTTTAAATAAATAAATAAATAAAAGGAAAAAACAAAAAAACTAAAGAGCCAATATTGGTACATTACTATTTACTAAACTCCAGACCTCATTTGGGTTTCAGTAAGGTTATTTTTCTGTTTCAGGATCTAATCTAAGATGCCACACTGCATTTAGTCATCAAGCCTCCTTAGTCTCCTCTGATCTGTGACCGTTTTTCAGTCTTTTCTTGTTTTTCATGACCCTGATATGACCATGACAGTTTTGAAGTTTGGTCAGGTATTTTGTAGAACGTCCCTCGATTTGTGTTTGTCTGATGTTTTTCTCATGATTAGACTGTGGTTATAGGGTTTGGGGAAAACATCACATGATGAGATGACCTTCTCATCACATTATGTCAGAGGATACATGCTATCACCCCACCTTATTACTGGTGAGGCTCACACATGGTAATATTTGCTAGTTACTCCACTATAAAGATGTATTTTCCCACTTTCCATATTCGTTTCTTTGAAAACAAGTCACTAAATACTGCTCACACTCAAGTGGAACAGGGGATTAAACTTCAACTTCTGGAGTGGACAATCTATAAGCCTTATTTGGAATTCTGTGAGGAAGATTTGTCTTTCCTCATTTATTGATTTATATTCGATCATTTATTTATATAGACATATAGACTCTTGTATATTTATTTTATACTTTGTTTCATAAGTATACTATGATTTTTACTGTTACTCAAATTGTTTCAGCTTTGGCCATTGGGAGTTATTTTAACTAGGTTCATGTGGTCCTTTTGTTTTTTGATTATCTCCTTTTTTCTGGAACTATAAGATGCTCTGTGCTTATCTTGTATTTTTCCTTACCCAGCCCTAAAATCAGCCATTTCTTCAAGGAGTCCTGGAATGGTATTTAGAAACCAAGATTTAGGTACTGGATGATCTCATTGCTACTGGGATATCACTTAATTTATTATTTTATTTTATTTTTTATGGAGATGGCATCTTGCTGTGTTGCTTAGGCTGGCCTCAAACTCCTGGGCTTAACTGATCCTTCTGCCTTGGCCTCCCAAAATGCTGGGATTACAGGCATGAGCCACCATGCCAGGCCCAGGATATTGTTGAATTTAGCTTCTCTTATAAGACAGAGCTAGGAAATATATTACCACCTTGTTTTTTAATTCTTTGTTTACATCTCTGTGATAGTCAGCCTCTAAGGTGACCCCCAGTGATCCTTGACTCCTGGTATTCATGCCCCTTGTATAATCCCCTCTCCTTGAGCATCGACTTGCTTCTAGTGAATAGAATACAGCGAGAATGAAAGGATGTCATTTCTAGGTTAGGTTACAAAAAGATTGTGGCTTTCATTCTGTTTGCTCCTTCTAGCTCTCCTTCACGTGCTCTGAGGAAAGACAATGTCATATGTGAGCTGCCCTAAGGAGAAGCCCCTGTGGCAAGAAACTGAGGGAAGCCTCTGACCAACACTCAGCAAGGAACTAAGGCTCTCCTTCCATCAGCTATGAGAAACTGAGTCCTACTAACGGCCATGTGAGGCGAGCTTGGAAAAATAGCCTCTCTCACTCAACCCTTGAGATGACTGAAGCCCTGGCTGACCTCTTGATAGCAGCCTTTTGAGAGATCTGAGCCGGAGGCACCCAGCTAAGCTGCACATGGATGCCTGATGCACAGAAACTATAAGCTAGTAAATTATTATTGTGTTAAGTTGACAACTTTTGTAGAAATGTATTAGGAAGCGATATACAGGACGGGCACGGTGGCTCACACCTGTAATCCCAGAACTTCGGGAGGCCAAGGCGGGAGGATTGCTTGAGCCCAGGAGTACAAGACCATCCTGGGCAACATAGTGAAACCTCATCTCTAGAAAAAAATATACGTAAGGGCTCGGTGTCGTGGCTCACACCTGTAATCCCAGCACTTGGGGAGGCTGAGGCAGGTAGATCACTTGAGTTCAAGAATTTGAGACCAGCCTGGTCAACATAGTGAAACCCTGTCTCTACTAAAAATAAAAAAAATTAGCCAGGCGTGGTGGCAGGCGCCTGTAATCCCAGCTACTCTGGAGGCTGAGGCAGGAGAATCACTTGAACCCAGGAGGCGGAGGTTGCAGTGAGCCAAGATTGCGCCATTGCACTCCAGCCCAGGGGGCCTTGCAAGACACTGTCTTAAAAAAAAAAAAAGAAAAAAGAAAAAATATACATAAGGTAGCCAGGTGTGGTGGTGTGCATCTGTAGTCACAGCTACTCAGGAGGCTGAGGTAGGAGGATCACCTGAGCCTGGGGAGGTTGAGGCTGCCGTGAGCCCTGATCTCAACATTGCACTCCATCCTGGGTGACAGAATGAGACTCTGTCTCAAAAATTAAATTAAGTTAAATTAAATAAATAAAATTAAATACAAATGACACATTAGATAATTAATACAATTTATGTTTCCTCCACAAGATCAGTGGCTCTCAAATTTCACAATGGAGCTGTTTAAAACTATGTATGCCCAGGCCTCTACATCTGCAGGTCTATTCGGCAGAACTATGATTGTTCTGCATAGCTAGCTTTGGAAACAAATGTGGAAGATTAGAGGGCAATCCATTTGGGGATGTGAGAAGAAAATAGAATACTTTTCTTTTTAGTGTATTTGATCCTAGAGTTCTTGACCCAAGTTAAGGGCTCAGTTTTCTTGGCAGAATCTGGAATAACTGAAACTTCGTCTGCCATTTGCAGTTTTTATTGAATAGAAGAGAAAGAAACAGAGCTCTCTTACTCACTGTATGGCCTTGAAAAAGTCCCTTATCTTTTTTGGGCCTCCGAATTCTGAGTAGGAAATTAAAGGATTATAAATGCCATTATTTAGGCAAATAGATTTATTCATTGTTAGATGTATTAGGCAAAAGAAAGGTGACCAAGGCTGATTGTGAGCTTCCTTCATCATAGAGATTTAACAAAATATCAGATTCCCATTAATATTGGTAGACAATGAAGCAGTATACTGTAGTAGAAAGAATATGGGCTTCAGAGGCAGACAGACCCTTGTTGGAAATATGCCTCTGCTAATGACTAGTAGTGTGGTCTTGAGCAAGACAGTCAGCCTTCCAGGGTCTCAATTTCTTGGCTTTCACAGTGGCAGTAGTAGACGGCTCAAAGAGTAGCCTTGAGGACCGATTATGTAACATTTGTCAAATGCTCAAGGGAGTGCCTGGTTTAGCTCAAGGGCCCAATAAATAATAACCATGTAGGATATATAGTCAGCTTGGGTGGTTGCGATCCAGTGGTTAGTAAAGTAGGAACAGACCAATGTCTATGTCAGCCTGTTTCTCATATAAGGCTTAATGACAGCCCCATTTGTTGAGACAGGTTGAATAATCTGCAAAGCTTACAAAGGATCTTTCCTGGAAGTTGAGACCCTTTTCCTCTAGTTCTGTTTTTTCTTTCCCCAGCTCTAATTGCCCCCTGGAGAAAATGTAACACACTGAAATAAGCTTCAGGAGGTTCTGCATTAGAATATAGGAATGGATGGTAAAAGATTATTGGGTAGGACGGTGAAGTGCCCTTCTGAAGGGTGCTTTGAGACACAGTGAGGCTAGATGTGTCTGGGAGAGGCTGGGCTACAGGAGAGCTGGTCAAGACCAGTTAGTGGGCCAACTTCATCTCACCTGAGGCAAGAGTCAGTGATGCATGCAGTGCCCATTGACTTCAAAGCTCCTTTAATTACTAATAAAAGCACATATTGGGCTGGGCGAGGTGGCTCACGCCTGTAAAATCCCAGCACTTTGGGAGGCCGAGGCGGGCAGATCACCTGAGGTCAGGAGTTTGAGACCAGCTTGGCCAATATGGTGAAACCCCATTCCTATTGAAAATGTAAAAAGTAGCCAGGTGTGGTGGTGCATGCCGTAATCCCAGCTACTCGGGAGGCTGAGGCAGTAGAATCACTTGAATCCAGAATGCAGAGGTTGCAGTAAGCCGTGATCACACCACTGCACTCCAGTGCACTCCAGCCTGGGCGACAGAGCAAGACTCCATCTCAAAGAAGAAAAAAAAAAAGCACATATTGTTGGGAAAAGATAACATTTTAATCTGCATTTATTATCTAAATCTCAATTTGAATGAATGTTTTTACCATGGTGCCCAATGAAAAATTGTTGAGCTATTTTGTTTCAGTCATAGACTTTGGGGCATATTTGGTTGTTCTGAGTCTTGAAACAGTTTAATTCTTCTTAGATCAGTGCATAGTGACCAGAAAAAAAAAAATCTATATCCAAATAGGTTAAAGGATCACCACTTTCCAGAGATTGTGGTATTCTTTTCTATAAACCAGCTCTTGGGATTGACCCTGACCTATAGAGCTGTTTTTCTTTTTTTGAGACAGAGTCTCGCTCTGCTACCCAGGCTGGAGTGCGATGGTGTGATCTCTGCTCACTGCAACCTCTGCCTCCCGGGTTCAAGTGATTCTCCTGCCTCAGCCTCCCAAGTAGCTGGGACTGCAGGCGTGTGCCACCATGCCTGGCTAATTTTTGTATTTTTAGCAGAGACGGGGTTTGGCCATTGTCGGCCAGGCTTGTCTGGAACTCCTGACCTCAAGTGATCCACCCACCTCGGCCTCCCAAAGTGCTGGAATTACAGGTGTGAGCCGCCACGCCTGGCCAGCTGCTTTTTAAAACAAGTCCAATGTATCCATTTTTTTTCTTGTTTAACTTTTGGGTTTCCAGTTTTGTTCAAGGTTTCCCTCTGCTTCTAGGTCATATATGTAGTCTTCAAGGTTTGAGTTTTTAATACACCTGGAATTTATTTTTTTGGTAAATGATGTAATATATGGATCCAATTTTATTTTCATCTGGATGGGTAGTGAGAGCTTCAATTTATAAATATTTCTCTTTCTTTAAAAATTTCTACTTTGACATTTTCAAAACTACATATTAATTTGATAGTACATGTATAGAATTTAGGAATAAATACATATAAATATGTCAGAGCTATGTACTCGAATACATATATATAAAGCTGAAAGTGTTGCCTGATCAAAAAGTTTTGAAATCCACTGTTTCTTGAGCTCTTTAGACCATGAGCTGCTTGAGGGCAGGGATTGTGATTTTCCTTACCTTTGAATCCATAGTCAAGATTGTCTATGGCACATTGTATGCGTTCAAAAACCGGTTGTTAAATAATTAAATGAATGAAACTGCCAGTATCTGAATCATGTCTTAAGCAACACAGCTACTGAGAAACGACATTCCAGTGTCCCGTGGGAAGATACCTGAGGCTAAGAACAAGCAATGACTCACAATGGGAGGTAGTATAACTTCACTGGTGTCAAGCTTAGACATTTTTTATTTTTTTGAGACGGAGTCTCGCTCTGTCGCCCAGGCTGGAGTGCAGTGGTGCGATCTCGGTTCACTGCAAGCTCCGCCTCCCGGGTTCACGCCATTCTCCTGCCTCAGCCTCCAGCTGGGACTACAGGCGCCTGCTACCACGACCGGCTAATTTTTTTTTTTTTTTGTATTTTTAGTAGAGACGGGGTTTCACCGTGTTAGCCAGGATGGTCTCCATCTCCTGATCTTGTGATCCGCCCGCCTCGGCCTCCCAAAGTGTTGGGATTACAGGCTTGAGCCACCACGCCCGGCCAAGTTTAGACATTTTAATATGGGAATACAGATTATTAAAATCTTTAAATACCTCCCTAAGGCTTATAATCCATAGGTGCTTAGGAAACTGGTAATTATTTTTTTGTGAACACACCCCCTGCTTCTTAATAGCAGTCATCTATTCTGTAATGGCAGTGTGCAGGAAGAATTACTTTTCTCAATAATGGCAGAAGCATGATTATATTTAGTATTTATTTATTTATTTATTTTGAGACGGAGACTCGCTCTGTCTCCCAGACTGGAGTGCAGTGGCACGACCTCGGCTTAGAACCTCCGCCTCATGGGTTCAAGCAATTCCCCTGCCTCAGCCTCCGGAGTAGCTGGGACTACAGGCGCCCGCCACCACGCCAGGCTAATTTTTTGTATTTTTAGTAGGGACGGCTGACCGGGCGCGGTGGCTCACGCCTGTAACCCCAGCACTTTGGGAGGCCGAGGCGGGCGGATCACCTGAGGTCAGGAGATAGAGGCCAGCCTGACCAACATGGAGAAACTCCGTCTCTACTAAAAATACAAAAATTAGCCGGGCGTGGTGGCGCATGCCTGTAATTAGGGAGGCGGAGGTTGCGGTGAGCCGAGATTGCGCCATTGTACTCCAGCCTGGGCAGGAAGATAGAAATTCTGTCTCAAAAAAAAAAAAAAAAAAAAAGTAGAGACGGGGTTTCACCATGTTGGCCAGGCTAGTCTCGAACTCCTGAACTCAGGTGATCCACCCACCTCGGCCTCCCAAAGTGCTGGGATTACAGGCGTGAGCCCCCGTACCTGCCTTCCTAATATATTAACGTTAACAAAAATAGCAAGTTTAATTTCCTGGGATTTTTTTTTAGTTGTTTTTAATAACTATACTGAAGAAAGTAACTCAACCAAATGGGTTATGTTTAACCTGGCTGTGCCCTTTGGACTTTTTTTTTTTTTTTTTTTAGACCGTCTCGCTCTGTTGCCCACGCTGGAGTGCAGTGGCGTGATCTCGGCTAACTGCAATCTCAGCCTCCCAGGTTCAATCGATTCTCCTGCCTCAGCCTCCCAAGTAGCTGGGATTACAGGCGCCCGCAACGACGCCTGGTTAGTTTTGTTTGTTTGTTGGTTGGTTTTTAGTAGAGACAGAGTTTCACCATGTTGGCCAAGCTGGTGTCGAAATCCTGACCTCAAGTGATCCGCCCACCTCGGCCTCCCAAAGTGCTGGGATTACACGCGTGAGCCACCGCACCCGGCCTATTTGTTTTCTACTTAGCTTATTTTGCTCCTATTTTGAGTTCATTGGAAGCAAGAGGATAACCGAGAACAAGGGAACGGAAAGAAATTCAAGAAGTAGCTGCTTGGTTTTTAAATTCAAGAAGTATAGGAGATATTAGCATTGAATACAATCTGGGATATTTATTGTTATCCACACTCTTTTCCTATTAGAGGCCTCTCATATTCCTTCTGACTTTAATACATGAGCTACGTGGCCGAATCAAACTGTTATGGAGAGAATCCAGAATCTGTTTATTGGGGTTATTGACTGCAATGGATACATTATTCTCAAAGATCTGCCTGCGGGTTAAGAGTAGGTTTGTATTTAAAGAAATTAAAAAAAAAATAAAATCTATGCCTAAACAAAAACTTCAAGTGATTGCCATCCATAAAACAAGTATATAAATCCTTACTTTGATAAACTACATAGAAGATATTTTAAAATATGAATTTGAGAAGATTGTGATAATAAATTCCTTACAAGAAAAAAAAAAAAACCTCTTCCCCAAAATAAATTGCTACTTAAACGAAAACTGTACTTTGCGTCTTTCAAGCTGCTAGGGAGACAGTGGACACCAAGAAGAAATAAACGAAAATCCAAGGAACGCCTAATGTAGTGCTAACGTCCACAGTAAAACACAAAACAAAAAAAATTTATGAATTAAGACTCACAGAAGCGAATAAAATATTAGGTATTGCCTTTATTAGAATTGCAAGAGTTGCTAAAGAAATACTCAATTTGAATTACCGAATGCAGGACCGGAGAAGTCCTGCTGGCCCCACAAAGCTGGGTATTGAGGTTGTGAAGGTGTGACAGTTTCCCAGCCGGAATCAAATTTCTTCGGTTAGGGCTTGGTGGACGGCGAGTAGTTAGGGCCAATATAGTGTTCCTGGGTCCTCATTGGATCAGTCCCTTGACTCTTAGTGTATTTCCCTAAACCACCTATGAGCGCTTCACTCTAAAAAGACCTTCACTGATTGGATACTTTATCCTCACGTTGGACTCATTATCAGCCAATAGGAGGGCATAAGCGACAGAGGCGTCAGGTCACCTGGGAAGAGTCTGCAGAGCCTTTGCCCGCCAGCGCCTTCGCTCTTTGGCTCCCTGAGTTAGTCCGGTTGCTTGCGATCGCCGCGGCCGGGGCTGCGAACCGAAGGGCTCGCTCCGCGCCGCCTGGGTCTCTACCTCATCCGTAGGTGTGGCCCTGATGGTGTGGCAGGCTCTGGACTCCTAAAGCTCTGGAGCGGTATGTGGGGTCCACGGGCGGCAGACAAAGCAGTGGAGCCGGGAAGGCCGCGGGAAGCGGCCCCTGTACCGAGGCAGCGAATCCGCCTGGGAGGGGCGCCCCGCCTGCCTCTTGTCAGATCCAGTAGTGGGTCCCAGTGAGGCGCTTTAGCACGCTCTACCCCCACGTGTCCCGTGAATCTGTTAGCTTTGCTCATTTCTTCTTTGTCCCCCCTCACATCTGACTTTTACTAACCCCAGTATTATTAATGGGTGTCATCTCATCTTTTCATCTCTCCAGGTTATTCTTTGGTAACTTTCTGTTAGTTTTGTGCACCTGCGTGTCTCCTAAGAGCGGAAAGACATAGTTGTGTTAGGCTTAATTCAAGAGAGACCAGTGTTCCCATTTTTATATTTAAGACTGTGTTTTGGGAGGGCGGGGGTAGGTATTCGTGCAGTTAGCAACTCCTTTCGTGATACTTAGTGCACTGAAGTGTCAGGGCAGTGCAGAAGGTACCTCCAACACCTGGCAGGACAGATGTCCCCACATGAGCAAGTAGTATTCTGGTTTGGTAATTGCTGGTGTTTGATTTTACCATTTCGCGTTCTTACTTTAATCTGATAACCGCTGAGGATTGTTATGTGAGATAACTGAGGCTCTAAGAACTTAACTTCTCAAAGTTACAGTTAACTCTTCGAGTAAGGGGAAAGTCAGATTTAATATCAATGCTTATGTTATTTTTATCAAAGCCCACCTAACTGAATAAGGATTTAGGTTAAACGTATTCCCTCTGCATCTCTTGGCATGTGAGAATTAAATCTTTGAATTGAATGGTGAATCTTGACTGTACGAGAAGGAAAAATCTTGCAGGCATCTGCCTAATTACAGGTGTCTCACATGTATCTTCTAACTGCTTGCTTCTCAGAGTGTGACAAGTAGCATAGGCCTCACCTGGAAGCTTGTTGGAAATGCGGAATCTCAGACTCTCCCACCTACTGAATCAGCATTTGCTTTTTAACAGGAACCTTTAACTGACCAGAGTGCTCATTAAACGATGAGAAGTATTCTTTGTCATAGAATGATTTGTTTGTCCAAGTTGAACTAAACAAGAGAAAGTAAAGGTATAAAAAGTCTTTTCACATTTTCATCATTTGTTAGTGAGGCTATGGTCTTTATTTTTTATTTTTTTTTTTGAGACGGAGTATCGCTCTGTCGCTCAGGCTGGAGTTCAGTGATGCGATCCCGGCTCACTGCAACCTCCGCCTCCCGGGTTCAAGCGATTCTCCTGCCTCAACCCCTGGAGTACCAGAGGCCTTGGCCTCCCGAAGTGCTGGGATTACAGGCGTGAGCCACTGTGCCCGGCGTCTTGTAGAGTTTTATTTTATTATTACTATTATTATTATTTTGAGACGGTATCTCGCTCTGTTGCCCAGGCTGGAGTGCAGTGGCACAATCTCGGCTCACTGCAAGTTCCGCCTCCCGGTTTCACGCCATTCTCCTGACCCAGCCTCCCGAGTAGCTGGGACTACAGGTGCCCCCCACCACGCCTGGCTAATATTTTGTATTTTTAGTAGAGACGGGGTTTTACTGTGTGAGCCAGGATGGTCTCAATCACCTGACCTCGTAATCCGCTCGCCTCGGCCTCCCAAATTTTATTATTATTATTATTATTTTGAGATGAGCTGTCACTCTGTCGAGCTCCCAGGCTCAGGTGATCCTCCCACCTCAGCTTTTGTATTTTTAGTAGAGATGGGGTTTTGCCATGTTGCCCAGGCTGGTCTTGAACTTCTAGGCTCAAGAGATCCACCCCCCTGGGCCTCCCAAAGTGCTTGGATTACCGGCCTGAGCCATGGTACCTGGCCATCTTACAGAGTTTTAGAGCTTAGCATTTTATTCATATGTTCATAGCCATGTTTAAAAGAGATGCATTTATACAGCAGCATAAAGTTTTAGTGGCTCTGCCACTGCCATCCAGCCTGGGCAACAGAGCGAGACCCTATCTTAAAAATAAAATAAAAATTATTTTGCACTTTGCCAAATTGGGCATATAGTGGGTAGGATAGACTGAATCCTGAAATATTCATTTAAAATCATTTTTTCCAACCTATGAAGATAGACTTTTTTTTTTTTTTTTTAAGAGACAGGGTCTTGCTATGTTGTCCATGCTGTAGTAAAGTGGCTGTTCACAGGCAAGATCATAGCACACTGTAGACTTGAACTCTGGCCTCAACCAGTCTCCTGCCTCAGCCTCCTGAGTTACTGCACCCAGCAAAGGCGGACATTTTTATCAAACAGCTTGAGTGTGTGAAGTTGATGAAATTAACACAGAAACATAATATGTATCTAATACATGATTGGGGTTAGAGTTGTAACTTTCGTTTATCTGTTTTCAGTTTCCTAACTGTTCTATTGCTATCTCATAAAATCTGCTTTGTGAACGCTGCAATCCACAGAAATATTGATCATTTAACAGAATTCAAGCAATGGCCAGGCGTGGTGGCTCACGCCTGTAATCCCAGCACTTTGGGAGGCCGAGGAGGGTGGGTCACCTGAGGTCAGGAGTTCAAGACCAGCCTGGCCAACACGGCGAAACCCCGTCTCTACTAAAAATAAAAAATTAGCCGGGCATGGTGGCAGGCACCTGTAGTCCCAGCTACTTGGGAGGTTGAGGCAGGAGAATTGCTTGAACCTGAGAGGCAGAGGTTGTGATAAGCCGAAATCGTACCACGCCACTCCAGCCTGGGTGACAGAGTGAGACCCTGTTCCCCCCCAAAAATTCAGGCAATGTGGTAGTTAGAAATGGATGTCAGAGTAACTTGTTATCATCAAGAATATCAAGGTAAGAAAAATGAGTCTTAACTGTGAGGAGTTCTCTCCTGAAGTTTTACATAAAACCCTTCTAATTTGAGGGACAAATCACAGCTTCTGTCAGCTTTTCTTGCCTTCCTTTAAATGCCATGGGAAATGCAGTGACCACAGTTTCTGCCTCTGTTATACAGTAAACCCATGACATTGTCTGATTCAACCAAGCATGAATCGAAAATACTGTACAATAGTCTCAGGATTTGAAACCTGTGGATACAGAGCACCAACTGCATTAGCTAAGGTCTTTGATGGATCCTGTGCAGATGCTGATTTGAGCCCAATCCTTATCAGTGCTCTTTGAAGACTGGAAGGTTTTTTGTTTGTATTTTTTTTTTTAGACGGAGTCTGGCACTGTTGCCCAGGCTGGAGTGCAATGGCACTATCTCGGCTCACTGCAACCTCCGCCTCCCGGGTTCAAGCGATTCTCCTGCCTCAGCTTCCCAAGTAGCTGAGATTACAGGCACCTACCACCATGCCCAGCTAATTTTTGTATTTTTAGTAGAGACGGAGTTTCACCATGCTGGCCAGGCTGGTCGCAAACTCCTGACCTCAGGCGATCCGGCTGCATTGGCCTCCCAAAGTGTTGGGATTACAGGCGTGAGCCACTGCGCCTGGCTGAAGATTGGAAGTTTTAGTTGTTTTGATTTTTATTCATCCCAAAGGAACAGGAAAGCTATGTAACTTTTTTTCAGTATAGTTCCTACTGAATAGTTATCTAATGGCTCCTTGAATGAGAATGGAACTCTTCAGTTTCAAGGCCAGCGTTGTATGCAAAAGGCCAACACCCAGAGTGTTTGGTTCTTTTTTCCCTGATTTATTTTAAAACATTTTATTGTAAATTGGTAATTTATAGTTGTATATATTTATGGGGTACAAAATGATGTTATGATTCATGAATATAAAGTGGAGCAATTAAATCAAGCTAGTTAACATATCTATCACCTTATACTTATTTTTTGTGGTGAGACCACTTGAAATTTACTCACAGCGATTTTTTTCTGTTTTGCTTTTGAGACAGTCTAGCTCTGTCACCCAGGCTGGAGTGCAGTGGCACAATCTCGGCTCACTGCAACCTCCACCTCCCGAGTTCAAGCAGTTCTCTGGCCTCAGCCTCCCAAGTAGCTGGGATTCCAGGTTTGCGCCACCATGCCCGGCTAATTTTTGTATTTTTAGTAGAGATGACGTTTCACCATATTGGTCAGACTGGTCTCAAACTCCTGACTTCAGGTGATCCACCCGCTTTGTCCTCCCAAAGTGCTGGGATTACAGGCATAAGTCACCACCCCTGGCAACTCATAGCCATTTTAAGACCGAGAATATACTGTTTTGTTTTGATTTTTTTTTTTTTTTTTTTTGAGACGGAGTCTTGCTCTGTTGCCCAGGCTGGAGTGCAGTGGTACAATCTCGGCTCACTGTAACCTCCATCTCCCAAGTTCAAGCGATTCTCCTGCCTCAGCCTCCCGAGTAGCTGGGATTACAGGCGCCCGCCAGCACGCCCAGCTAATTTTTGTACTTTTAGTAGAGACGGGGTTTCACCACGATGGTCAGGCTGGTCTTGAACTCCTGACCTCATGATCCGCCTGCCTTGGCCTCCCAAAGTGCTGGGATTATAGGTGTGAGCCACCGCGCCCATCTGGAATACACTATTATTAACTATATTCACCATCTTGTGCAATAGATGTCAAAAAAACCCTCACTTATTCCTACTACGACTTTGTATCCCTTGATCCTCATCTCCTCATTTTGCCTATCTGCCAGCCTTTTACCACCATTCTGTTCTCTGCTGCTGAGTTCTATTGTTTTAGATTCAACAGTTAAGCAACAATATGCAGCATTTCTCTTTCTGTGCCTAGTTTACTTCATTTAGCACAATGTTCTCCAGTTCTGTCCATGTTGTCACAAGTGACAGAATTTCCTTCTTTTTTAAGGGTGAATAGTATTCCATTTGTGTCATTGTGTATGTATATCACATTTTCTTTCTTTCTTTTTTTTTTTTTTTGAGATGGAGTCTCGCCCTGTCATCCAGGCTGTAGTGCAATGGCGCAATCTCGGCTCACTGCAACCTCCGCTTCCCAGGTTCAGTCAGTTCTCCCTGCCTCAGCCTCCTGAGTAGCTGAGATTACAGGCACCCACCACCAAGCCCAGCTAATTTTTGTATTTTTAGTAGAGACAGGGTTTCACCATGTTGACCAGGCTGGTCTTGAACTCCTGACATCAGGTGATCCACCCGCCTTGGCCTCCCAAAGTGCTGGGATTACAGGCGTGAGCCACTGCACCCGGCCGATATGCTGATTTTTTTTGTTTGCTTGTTTTGAGACAGAGTTTTGCTCATGCAGTGGCACAATCTCAGCTCACTGCAATCTCTGCCTCCTGGCTTTAATAAATTCTCCTGCCTCAGCCTCCCGAGTAGCTAGGATTACAGGTGCGTGCCACCATGCCCGGCTAATTTTGTATTTTTAGTAGAGATGGGGTTTCACCATGTTGGCCAGGCTGATCTCGAACTCCTGACCTCAGGAGATCTGCCTGCCTCGGCCTCCCAAAGTGCTGGGATTACAGGCATGAGCCACCATGCCGGGCCAAAATACTGATTTTAAAACGAAAGTATGAGGCTGGACACGGTGGCTCATGCCTGTAATCCCAGCATTTTGGGAGGCCAAGGCGGGCAGATCATTTAAGGTTAGGAGTTTGAGACCAGCCTGACCAACATGGTGAAACCTAGTCTCTACTAAAAATACAAAAAAAAAAAAAAAAAAAAAAAAAAATTAGCCGGGCGTGGCTAGGAGGCTGAGGCAGGAGAATTGCTTGAACCGGGAGGCGGAGGTTGTAGTGAGCTGAGGTTGTGCCACTGCATTCCAGCCTGGGTGACAGAATGCGACTCTGTCTTGGAGAAAACAAACAAAACAAACAAGGAAAACAAAGTATGCAAAGTGGAAAGACTGCTGATGAGTTTAGGAAATAGTAAATAATATTTTAGGCCAGTTCTATGCTAACTAGATTTTGTGATGTGGGGCAAATTATTGAACCTCTCTATGACTAGCTCCTCATCTGGCAAATGAATTATGTCAAATTCTACTTCATTCTTCCTATTTTTGCTTTTCTGTTAGGCAGTAGAATATGGCATAATCAGATGGACAGAGGTATTTAGATTCAGTGTAGATTCACTATGATCTTTCACACTCTACTGGCCTGAGCCACAGGCTAAATACCTTTCCTGTCTTCTTGATTTACAGACTTCTGCCTCCTTTTTCCAAGGGCATTTTATTCTTTGTAGACAGAGTATGCTAGGTTTTTGTTCACTGATGAATAAGAAAGCTGTAAACTAGCCACTTTTCCCTCGGGCACTTGTTTTAGGGCTAGAAATAGTCTAGAGGATAAAAAGCACTGGCAATATTAACAGTTTTAGAAGTATAGCAAAGCTTACTAGCTTGAACTGTAAAGATCTTTATTGTGATTTTATTGTTAAAATATGTGTGCTAAAACATAATTTATTGGAATATTGAGGACAACATATGTTCTTTAAACATTGTGCACACAAATTTTTTCAGTCGTCTTACGTTCATTTTACTTTTCTCAAACTGTAGAGTTGCCGATTTCTAAGTTTTTATGTGATTTAGTTTTAGTTACCTGATTCTTTCTAAAGGTGTTGTAATCCTGGTTATTTCACAAGTGCTATAATATACCTCAGCAGCCTAGAACTAATTCTGCAAACCTTTTCTACAGAATTTAAGATTTTATTCATGTGCATGGCATAGAAGATGAATTCTTCCACTTCCACCATGAGTGAAGAGCCTGACGCTCTATCGGTAGTTAACCAGTTACGGGATCTAGCAGCAGATCCGTTAAACAGAAGAGCCATCGTCCAGGATCAGGGATGTCTGCCTGGCCTTATTTTATTTATGGACCATCCCAACCCTCCAGTCGTCCACTCCGCTTTGCTTGTAAGTTGCCTTTAGTAATTTCAATCTCTGTTCTATTTTTGCAGTTAAGGTGAGAATTTGGAAAAAGTGCTAGATGACAAGGTAAAAAAACGGAAAGAGAGCAATTAGTTGTTTGTATTTATGTAGGTACAAACATATGTATGTGTGGTCTGTGGTCTGTTTACACCAGTGGTAACATGCTACATTGTTTTTATTCTTTATTTTTTTTTTTTTGAGTCATCTAGGCCTGGAGTACACTGTGGCAGGATCTTAGTTCACTGCAATCTCCACCTCCTGGGCTTAAACCATCCCCCCGACCTCAGCCTCCCAAGTAGCTGGGATGATAGGCACACACCACCATGCCAGCCAAATTTTTGATATTTTGTAGAGATAGGGTTTCGCCATGTTGGCCAGGCTCAAACTCCTGAGCTCAAGTGATCCTTCCACTTTGGCCTCCCAAAGTGTTGGAATTACAGCTGTGAGTCACCATGGCCAGCCTTGTTTTTATTCTTTTATACAAATTGTTGCATACTCCATGCATGGAATGTCCTACCACTTCCTTTTCATTTAACAATCTTGAGGATTGGATCATATCATACACAGAGACACTCAAAGAGGCACTTATTTTGTTTTTATTTTATAACAGCTTTTTAAGATGTAAGCACACAGCATCATATAATTCACTCATTTAAAGTATACAATTAAGTGATTTTAGTATATTCACAGAGTTGTGTGTCACCATCACCACAACTTTTTATTTTTATTTATTATAAATAAATTTTTTTTTTTTTTTTTAGTAGAGATAGGATGTAGCTATGTTAACTAGGCTGGTCTCAAACTCCTGGCCTCAAGTGATTCTTCTACCTCGAGCTCTCAAAGTGCTTAGATTACAGATGTGAGCCACTGTGCCCGGCCCACCACAACTTTTTATCTATTGCTTCCCAGACCCCAACACTCCCTGTCCCTAAGCAACTACTAATCTACTTTTTGTATGTCTATATTTGCCTATTCTGGCAAAAATGCCTATATATTTTGCATATAAATAGGGCCAGACGTGGTGGCTCACTCCTGTAATCCTAGCACTTTGGGAGGCCGAGGTGGGTGGATCACCTGAGGTCAGGAGTTTGACACCAGCTTGGCCAACGTAGTGAAACCCTGTCTGTACTAAAAATACAAAACAATTAGCCGGGCGTGGTGGTGGGTGCCTGAAATCCCAGCTACTCAGGAGGCTGAGGCAGGAGAATCCCTTGAACCCAGGAGGCAGAGGTTGCAGTGAGCCAAGATTGTGCCATTGCACTCGAGCCTGGGCA
Source organism: Homo sapiens (assembly GCF_000001405.40). Classification (NCBI taxonomy): domain Eukaryota; kingdom Metazoa; phylum Chordata; class Mammalia; order Primates; family Hominidae; genus Homo; species Homo sapiens. Next base: position 65,625,926 of record NC_000008.11, on the reverse strand, counting down.
ACAAGAGTGAAACTCCGTCTCAAAAAAAAAAAAAAAAAAGTTGTTAAAAAAATTAATGTTTTGGAAATTTTATCTATTGCCCTTTACTTAAGGACTCGTGATGATTCCCCATTTAGTCTAATTTCACAAGTTTGTACAGAAGGCATATAGACTTTTCCTTTTGGAAAAAAATTTCTATTTTGCCTTTACAGAATGAAGTTTAGCAGTCAAAAAAGACATTGGTGTAAGAGAACAGTAGTAACAAATGGGAAAAATGGCACAGTCCCCAGTCTGGGTTCAATTTCAATAAGAAATGCAAGAAGGATGAGAAGAAAGAGGGGGTTGATCTATAGATAGGGACTTGGGGCTAAAGGAAGTAAGTCTTTTTTATTTTTAAATAGACTAGAATATGTCTAAGTTCAGAGGGCAAGGGCTACTAGAATGGGAGAGGTTTGAGGGGAAGGCTCTCATAATTGCAGAAAATAGGAAAGATTTGCTAACTGAGGAGAATGATAAAGTTGTTCAGCAGTGTTGAGGGCTGATTAGTTTGGTAATACTGAATCGATATGATTCAGGCCTGTTGTAGGCTCACAGAGCCAAGTACTTGGATTTGTCTAGAGTTGTTACTTGGCCAGGTTAAGTTGGGCAGAATGATTGTGCAAGGGAGTTTAGGATCTTGGCAGGATTGGTTGAAATGATATACAGTAGATACTAGGCTGAATAGGAAGGGAAGTATAAAGTCATGGAGGGACAGAGCTAAGGAGAGGGATCAGTGAGTGAAAGTTCCCAAGAGGCTGAAGAAAAGATTTTTTTGTTGTTGTTTTTGAGACAGAGTTTTTGCTCTTGCCACCCAGGCTGGAGAGCAATGGCACAATCTTGGCTCACTGCAACCTCCGCCTCCTGGGTTCAAGCGATTCTCCTGCCTCAGCCTTCTGAGTAGCTAGAATTACAGGCCCGCACCATCACATGTGGCTAATTTTTGTATTTTTAGTAGAGACGGTTTTTCACCATGTTGGCCAGGCTAGTCTCGAACTCATGACCTCAGGTGATCTGCCTGTCTTGGCCTCTCAAAGTGCTGAAATTACAGGTGTGAGCCACCATGCCTGGCCATTGGGTGTGTTGTTTTTATGATTTCCTTTTTTCGTCACTGTTAGCTTATTAGTATACACTTTTGTTTTTATTTTAATTTATTTAGTGGTTGCTGTAGGTTTTACAATATGCATCTTTAACTTCTTACAGCCTACCTTTAAATGAATCATACCCTTAACATGTAGTGTAAGAATCACACAAGAGTATATTTCCATTTCTTTCTCCCATCTTTTGTGCTATTTTTGTCATACATTTTACTTCTACATATGTTTAAAAACCTACAGTGTATATATTTTTGCCTTAAACAGTCAATTATCTTTTAAAGAGATTAAAAATTTAAAAATGTCTTTTTTTTTTTTTGAGATGGAGTCTTGCTCTGTCACCTAGGCTGGAGTGCAGTGGCGCAATCTCAGCTCACTGCAACCTCTGCCTCCCGGGTTCAAATGATTCTTCTGCCTCAGCCTCCCTAGCAGCTGAGATTACAGGTGCATGTCAGCATGCCTGGCTAATTTTTGTATTTTTAGTAGAGACAGGGTTTCGCCATGTTGGCCAGGCTGGTCTTGAACTCCTGAGTTCAGGTGATCTGCCCCCCTCAGCTTCCCAAGGTACTGAGATTATAGGCGTGAGCCACCATGCCTAGCAAAAAAAGGTCTTTTATATTTACCTTCATTTTTACATTTCTGGTGTTCTTTATTCCCCAATATAGATTCATTTTTGTTTTTTTGGGTTTTGTTTTCGTTTTTGTTTTGAAACAGGGTCTTGGCTGGGCGTGGTGGCTCATGCCTGTAATCCAAGCACTTTGGGAGGCCGAGGCAGGTGGATCACCTGAGGTCAGGAGTTCAAGACCAGCCTGGCCAACATGGCAAAAACCCATCATTACTAAAAATACAAAAATTAGCCAGGCGTGGTGGCTGGCACCTATAATCCCAGCTACTCAGGAGGCTGAGGCAAGAGAATCGCTTGAACTCGGGGGGTGGAGGTTGCAGTAGGCCGAGTTTGTGCCACTTCACTCCAGCCTGGGCGAAAGAACAAAAACTCCATCACACCAAAAAAAAAAAAAAAAAAAAAAAAAGATTTTACTTTGTTGTCTTCTGGCATGTACGGTTTCTAATAAGAAAACTGCCGTAATTCTTGTTCTTACCTTATATAATGCCTTTTTCTGGCTTCTTCTGGAACTTTATTAGTGATTTTCAGCAAATAATTATGATGTCTTTGATATGGATGGTGGTTTTTTTTGGTTGTTTTGTTTTTGAGATGCAGTCTTGCTCTGTCGCCCAGGCTGGAGTGCAGTGTGTGATCTCGGCTCACTGCAACCTCCGCCTCCTGGGTTCAAGCGATTCTCCTGCCTCAGTCTCCCGAGTAGCTGGGATTACAGGTGCGTGCCATCATGCCCGGCTAATTTTTGTATTTTTAGTAGAAACGGGGTTTTGCCATGTTGGCCAGGCTGGTCTCGAACTCCTGACCTTAAGTGATCGGCCTGCCTTGGCCTCCCAAAGTGCTGGGATTACAGCCGTGAGCCACTCAGCGCCCAGCATTTTTTTTTTTTTTTTTGAGACGGAGTCTTGCTCTGTCGCCCAGGCTGGAGTGCGGCAGCACGATCTCGGCTCACTGCAACCTCCGCCTCCCCGGTTCAAGCAATTCTCCTGCCTCAGCCTCCTGAGTAGCTGGGATTACAGGCACCTGCCACCATGCCCAGCTAATTTTTGTATTTTTAGTAGAGATGGGGTTTCACCATGTTGGTCAGGCTGGTCTCGAACCCCTGACCTCGTGACCCACCCGCCTTGGCCTCCTAAAGTGCTGAGATTACAGGCGTGAGCCACTGCGCCCAGCCTTTTTTTTTTTTTTTAATTTTTTTTGAGATGGAGTCTCGCTGTTGCCATGCTGGAGTGCAGTGGCGTGATCTCAGCTCACTGCAACCTCCGCCTCCCGTGTTCAAGCAATTCTGCTCCCTCAGCCTTCCAAGTAGCTGGGACTACAGGCACATGCTACCACATCCAGCTAATTTTTGTATTTTTAGTAGAGGTGAGGTTTCACCATGTTGGCCAGGATGGTCTTGATCTGCCCACCTCAGCCTCCCAAAGTGCTGGGATTATAGGTGTGAGCCACTGTGCCCACGTCGTTCCCCCCGCCACCTTTTTTTTTTCTTTTGAGGCACAGTAACTCTGTCATTCAGGTTGGAGTGCAATGGCGCAATCACAGCTCACTTCCCCACTAAATGGAATATAGTTCCATCCCTGTGAAGTGGTGAAAGTAAAACCAGAACAACCTAATTTTGACCTTGTGACTAAGTTAGGAACCTTCATTTCGAAGAGTAGATCAGCTACTACAGCTCAAAGGATCATTTCTTCCCTAGGGAATAATTCTGAATCATCTCATTTAAAGGATTTTATTCTAAAAACAAAAACCTATTTTCTCCTTTTTTGTTTTCTTGCAGTAAATTAGTAGTAGTTTCAATTTTGAATAGTCTGGACAGACGAATTAACTTATTACTTCTTCTGCTGTAGGCTCTTCGATACTTGGCAGAATGCCGTGCAAACAGAGAAAAGATGAAAGGAGAACTGGGTATGATGTTGAGCTTACAAAATGTTATACAGAAGTAAGTACAATAGACAGTGTCTCATTTATTTATATACTTACTTATATTACTTACTTACAGGGCCTCACTATGTTGCCCATGCTGGGTTCAAGCGATCCTTCCACCTTGGCTTTCCAAAGTGCTGGAATTATAGGCATGATTACTACTATTATTGGATTACTATGTTTTAATGTCCTGTAGTTAACTGTTTTTAATCATTTAGCTGGCTGAGGGAGGAGAACCGCTGGAACCCCGGAGGTGGAGGTTGCAGTGAGCCGAGATCGTGCCATTGCGCTCTAGCCTGGGCGACAGAACAAGATTCCATCTCAAAAAAAAAAAAATTTCAATTTTAGGTAGAGAAAAATTACAAATTAGTCAAGAAGTAATTTATTACTGTAGGAAAATGGTAAAACTGTGGAACTATAAAATAAGAAAGTTAAGATGGTGCTGGTAGAGGCATTTAATATTTCATACATGCTGGGCATGGTGGCTCATGCCTGAAATCCCAGCAATTTGGGAGGCCAAGGCAGACGGATCACTTGTGGCCAGGAGTTCAAGACCAGCGTGGCCAACGTGGTGAAATCTCGTTTCTAGTAAAAATACAAAAATTAGCCTGGTGTGGTGGCACGTGCCTGTAATCCCAGCTACTCGGGAGGCTGAGGCAGGAGAATCACTTGAACCTGGGAGGTGGAGATTGCAGTGAGGTGAGATCCCACCACTGCACTCTAGCCTGGGCAACAGAGCGAGACTGTGTCTCAAAAAATAAAATTTATATAACCATGGTTGCTGATCTCTCATCTGTAACTGCTTTGTTTATCTAAGTAGACAGAAGCTTGTGTGACTTTGTAATATAATTTTGTAGTAAATTCTTAAGTTTATAATTAAAATAGTGTGAGTAGCCTCAGTAGCTATACTGGCAATCATAAGCATGCATACCCCCACTTTGCACATTGTTAATATGAATATGAATACTTGGCTATTTCTCCCCTCATCCTGTTGCTGCTAATGTGGAAGCCACTAGAACTGGTTTATAAGAGAATTAAGCCCTAAAGCCCTAAGGAATCCATTGGATATAATGGATTATCTTCTGTGCAATGTATCTGGAATGGTTTCAGCTCTATACTATCCTTGGAGTAATTGAGAAAATAATAACTCTGGGTTTTTTTGTTTGTTTGGTTAGTTTTTTGAGACAGGGTCTCGCTCTGTTGCTGAGGCTAGAGTGCAGTGGTATGATCATGGCTCACTGCAGCCTCAACCTCCCAAGCTCCAGCTATTCTCCCACCTCATCCTCCCAAGTAGCTGGGACTACAGACATGTGCCATTATACCTGGCTAATTTTTAAATTATTTTGTAGAGACATGGTCTCACTATGTTGCCTAGGCTGCTGTCCTGGGATCAAGCAATCCTTCTGCCTCAGCCTCCCAAAGTGCTGGAATTACAGGCATGAGCCATCACATCCTGCCCAGATAGTTGTGTTTTTTTTTAAATGGAACTAAATTCTTTTACAGGACCTCAGTTCAGAAAGGATGCTAGAGAAGTGATTAGTCAGAGGGATAGAAGCAGTGATTAACCAGGAAGAGGAGCGCTGGCTTAAGGATGACAACAGAAGCATCTTCCTTTTTTTTCTGAAACGGGTCTAGTATGGTAATCAATAGCAACATGTGGCAATTTAAATTAATTAAAATTAATGGCAGGGAGTGGTGGCTCACACCTGTAATCCCAGCACTTTGGGAGGCAGGTGATCACCTGAGGTAGGGAGTTCGAGGCCAGCCTGGCCAACATGGTGAAAACCCATCTCTACCAAAAATATAAAAATTAGCCAGGTGAGGTGGCGGGCACCTGTAATCCCAGCTACTCAGGAGGCTGAAGCAGGAGAATCGCTTGAACTCGGGAGGCAGAGGTTGCAGTGAGCCAAGATCGCACCACTGCACTCTAGCCTGGGCGACAGAATGAGATTCCCTCTCAAAAAAAAAAAAAAAAAAAAAAAAAGTAATAATAATAATAATTAATTAAAATTAAAAACTCAGCTCCTCAGTCACATTTGCCATATTCCAAGTGTTTAGTCATGTGGCTAGTGACACTATTTCCATCATCTCAGAAAGTTCTGATGTAGAGTGCTGCTCTAAAATTTTTCTTTTCTTGTCTTTTTTTTTTTTGAGACCAGGTCTCAATATGCCACCTTGGCTGGTACGATGTTAGCTCAGTGCAACCTCTGCCTCATGGGCTCAAGTAATCCTCCTGCCTTAGCCTCCTGAGCAGCAGGGACTTAGGCCATCATGTCCTGCTAATTTTTTTTTTTTTTTTTTGAGTCTCATCCTGTTGCCCAGGCTGGAGTGCAATGGCGCGATCTTGGTTCACTGCAACCTCTGCCTCCTGGGCTCCAGCAGTTCTCCTGCCTCAGCCTCCCAAGTACCTGGGATTACAGGCACGCACCACCATGCCCGGCTAATTTTTGTGCTTTTAGTAGAGACAGGATTTGACCATGTTGGCCAGGCTGATTTTGAACTCCTGACCTCAGGTGATCCGCCCGTCTCAGCCTCCCAAAGTACTGGGATTACAGGCGTGAGTCACTGCGCCTGGCCTAATTTTTGTATTTTTTTGTAGAGATGGGGTCTTGACATGTTGCCTAGACTGGTTTCGAACTCCTGGACTCAAGTGATCCTCCTATCTCGGCCTCCCAACATGCTGGGATTACAGGTGTGAGCCACCATGCCCAGCTGCTCGAAAATTTCTTTTTTTTTCTTTTTGAGACAAAGTCTCACTCTCACCCAGGCTTGAGTGCAATGTCTGTGATCTCAGCTCACTGCAATCTCTTCCTCTCGGTTTCAAGCGATTCTCCTGTCTCAGCCTTCTGAGTACCTGGGACTACATGTGTGTGACACTGCACCCATCTAATTTTTGCATTTTTAGTAGAGATGGAGTCTCACCATATTGGCCAGGCTGGTCTCGAACTCGTGGCCTCAGGTGATCCACCTGCACTCGGCCTCTCTATAAGTGCTGGGATTACAGGGGTGAATCACCACCCCTGGCCTGCTCTAAAATTTCTTTGCTTAACTGCCTCTAGGGCTTTTTTTGTTTTTGGATTATTTTTGTTTCATGGACTATTTTCCTAACAGATTTTACTGGCGAATTACTAAGTCAAAGATGTAAATATCTTTGTCTTTGTATCCCTGTTTTCAAATGATACCTATGATGCTTTTACCAGCAGTTGCCTTTTTCTGTTTGTTTGTTTGTTTTTTGTGAGATGGAGTCTCGCTCTGTAGCCCAGGCTGTAGTGCAGTGGCGCGATCTCGGCTCACTGCAACCTCCGCCTCCCGGGTTCAAGCGATTCTCCTGCCTCAGTCTCCCAAGAATCTGGGACCACAGGTACGTGCCACCACGCCCGGCTAATTTTTTGTATTTTTAGTAGAAATGGGGTTTCACTGCATTAGTCAGGATGGTCTCGGTCTCCTGACCTCATGATCCGCTCACCTCGGCCTCCCAAAGTGCTGGGATTACAGGTGTAAACCACCGCCCCGGCCCGACAGTTACCTTTTTATTAGATTTTTCCAAACATTGGGATGGTTTCTTGACATCATAGTTCTCCTTCCCTGTTTAATTTGAAATCAACTTTAAAAACAATTTAAATGTCTGTGTTGAGACTGTTAGAAAATGGATGGTTTGGGTGGGGACATAATTCCACTGAAATTGATGTGGAAAACTTTTCACTTGGAGTTTTCTGGTGAGACACTTTACATTAGGTTCTTTTTTTTTTTTTTTTTTGAGACTGAGTCTCACCCTGTCACCCAGGCTGTAATGCAGTGGCCCAATCTTGGCTCACTGCAAGCTCTGCCTCCCGGGTTCAGGCCATTCTCCTGCCTCGGCCTCCCGAGTAGCTGGGACTACAGGCGCCCGCCACCACGCCCGGCTAATTTTTTGTATTTTTAGTAGAGATGGGGTTTCACCGTGTTAGCCAGGATGGTCTCAGACTCCTGACCTTGTGATCCACCTGCCTCGGCCTCCCAAAGTGCTGGGATTACAGGCGTGAGCCACTGCGCCTGGCCTTACATTAGGTTCTTAAAGGGATTAATGGCTGGGTGCCGTGGCTCATGCCGGTAATCTCAGCATTTTGGGAGGCCGAGGCGGGTGTATCACGAGGTCAGGAGTTCGAGACCAGCCTGACCAACATGGCGAAACCCCATCTCTGCTAAAAATATAAAAATTAGCCAGGCATGGTGGTACGTACCTGTAATCCCAGCTACTCACGGGGCTGAGACAGGAAAATCGCTTGAACCCGGGAGGTGGAGGTGGCAGTGAGCCAAGATTGCGCCACTGCACTCCAGCCTGGGTGACAGAGTGAGACTCTGTCTGCTCCCTCCCCCCCCGCCGAAAAAAGGATTAATTAGTATACTGCCTTAATTGGCTAAGAACTACTGTTACAGTTTTTTTTTTTTCTTTTTAATAATTTCAACTTTTATTTTAGATTCAGGGGTACATGAGCAGGTTTGTTACATGGGTACATTGCTTGATGTTGAGGTTTGGGCCATGAATTATCCTGTCACCCGGAGAGTGAGCGTAGTACCCAACAGTTGGTTTTTCAACCCTTGCCCCTGTCTAGTCGTTCCCAGTGTGTGTTGTTGCCATGAATTAAAGGTATATTTTAGGTGTGATTAATTTTTTTTTTTTTAATTGATCATTCTTGGGTGTTTCTCGCAGAGGGGGATTTGGCAGGGTCAGAGGACAATAGTGGAGGGAAGGTCAGCAGATAAACAAGTGAACAAAGGTCTCTGGTTTTCCTAGGCAGAGGACCCTGCGGCCTTCCGCAGTGTTTGTGTCCATGGGTACTTGAGATTAGGGAGTGGTGATGACTCTTAAGGAGCATGCTGCCTTCAAGCATCTGTTTAACAAAGCACATCTTGCACCGCCCTTAATCCATTTAACCCTGAGTGGACACAGCACATGTTTCAGAGAGCACCAGGTTGGGGGTAAGGTCATAGATCAACAGCATCCCAAGGCAGAAGAATTTTTCTTAGTATAGAACAAAATGGAGTCTCCTATGTCTACTTCTTTCTACACAGACACAGCAACAATCTGATTTCTCTATCTTTTCCCCACATTCCCCCTTTTCTATTCGACAAAACCGCCATCGTCATCATGGCCCGTTCTCAATGAGCTGTTGGGTACACCTCCCAGACAGGGTGGCCGCCGGGCAGAGGGGCTCCTCACTTCCCAGAAGGGGCGGCTGGGCAGAAGCGCCCCCCACCTCCCGGACGGGGTGGCTGGCCGGGCGGGGGCTGCCCCCCGCCTCCCTCCTGGATGGGGCGGCTGCCGGGCGGAGACGCTCCTCACTTCCCAGACGGGGCAGCTGCCGGGCGGAGGGGCTCCTCACTTCTCAGACGGGGCGGCTGCCGGGCGGAGGGGCTCCTCACTTCTCAGACAGGGCGGCTGCCGGGTGGAGGGGCTCCTCACTTCTCAGACAGGGCGGCCGGGCAGAGACGCTCCTCACCTCCCAGACGGGGTCGCGGCTGGGCAGAGGCGCTCCTCACATCCCAGACGGGGCGGCGGGGCAGAGGCGCTCCCCACATCTCAGACTATGGGTGGCCGGGCAGAGACGCTCCTCACTTCCTAGACGTGATGGCGGCCGGGAAGAGGCGCTCCTCACTTCCCAGACTGGGCAGCCGGGCAGAGGCACTCCTCACATCCCAGACGATGGGCGGCCAGGCAGAGACGCTCCTCACTTCCCAGACGGGGTGGCGGCCGGGCAGAGGCTGCAATCTCGGCACTTTGGGAGGCCAAGGCAGGCGGCTGGGAGGTGGAGGTTGTAGCCAGCCGAGATTACGCCACTGCACTCCAGCCTGGGCACCATTGAGCACTGAGTGAACCAGACTCCGTCTGCCATCCCGGCACCTCGGGAGGCCGAGGCTGGCAGATCACTCGTGGTTAGGAGCTGGAGACCAGCCCGGCCAACACAGCGAAACCCCCTCTCCACCAAAAAAATACGAAAACCAGTCAGGCGTGGCAGCGCGTGCCTGCAATCGCAGGCACTCGGCAGGCTGAGGCAGGAGAATCAGGCAGGGAGGTTGTAGTGAGCCGAGATGGCAGCAGTACAGTCCAGCTTCCGCTCGGCATCAGAGGGAGACCGGGAAGAGGGGAGAGGGGAGAGGGAATTACTGTTACAGTTTTTATGCAAAACAGAAAGATAATTTATGTTTTAGTATTTTAATATTTTTTGTCACTATTGCTTCATTAAGCATATTAAACAGTTTTGAAATAATCCAGGTTTTCAAAAAATGTATGACAGTTATTGGATGTTTTATTATGTGTTATGATTCATTTTCTAGTTGATGCAAAACTATTGACAATGGAAAGGAGTAACAATAATACAGTTTTTCTTTCTTCTTTTTTTTTTGTGACGGAGTCTTGCTCTTGTTGCCCACGCTGGAGTGCAATGGCATGATCTCGGCCCACTGCAACCTCCGCCTCCTGGGTTCAAGTGATTCTCCTGCCTCCACCGCCTGAGTAGCTGGGATTACAGGCACCCACCACCACACCTGGCTACTTTATTTTATTTTATTTTATTTATTCATTTTTTCTTTTTAAGAGGGAGCCTCATTCTGTCACCCAGGCTGGCGTGCAGTCGTAGGATCTTGGCTCGCTGCAACCTCCATCTCCCAGGTCCAAGTGATTCTCCTGCCTCAGCCCCCTGAGTAGCTGGGATTATAGACACCTGCCACCACGCCCAGCTAGTTTTTGTGCTTTTTTAGTAGAGACGGGGTTTCGCCATGTTGGCCAGGCTGGGCTCGAACTCCTAACCTCAGGTGATCCACCCACCTCAGCCTCACAAAGTGTTGGAATTACAGGCATGAGCCACTGTACCCGGCCCTGTTTTTTTTTTTTTTTTTTTAACTTAAGTTCGTAAGTTTCTCTAATCATTGTCTCTTCATGCTCTTTATAACTTGTTCTTGGTTAATATTTAAAATATCTGAGAACTGCAGTGACTTTTCAATAAACTCTAAAATAGCTATCAATAAAAATGCTGAGGCAACTAATACAAATTAGTCCTTTTGATAGCTTTCTGTAACACACGGCTAAAGTCACCCAAAGTAACTTATCTCTGTGGTCAACAGTGGCTCAGAAAAGCACTTGATATAGTAATTGAGTGTCTGGAATACTGTCAGATTATCACCCCTGGAATTAAAGCTCTAAGTAGCTAGAACATATACAATCTGAGTATCAGAAATTGAAGTATTCCTACTCATTCACTAAATAACTTGCAAACATTTTTGTTAGGTTCTATGGAAGGTACAAAAAGGATACCTTCCTCCTCTTAAAGAGTTCATATACTTATAAAAGAAATAGAAAATTAAGATCAGTAGTATAAGTACAAGCATAGTACTCTGAATGCAAAGGGAGAATTGGGTTATTAGGTAGAGGCATTATATAGAAGGTGTTGGTCAAGCTGACCCTTCAAGCATTGAAATAAGAGTTGGAAAGCCTGCAGTCTGGGTGAAGCTCTTCCAGCTAAGGAAAGACCTGAACAAAACTTAAGGGTAGAAAGCATTCTAGAACAAAGAACATATAAAAATGCATGGTCTTTGTAGGAGATGGCCAAGTGTCATAGTCAACCCAAAGAATAATAGAAGGACAAAATGAGCTGATGGAGATAGCCAAATGGGGCCAGATTTTAAGGCCTTGAGTGTACATTAAAGGGTTTGGACTTAGTTGAGCCCATTGATAGGTGAAATGAGGATTCTTTTCTTACAGTTACATGTACTTACTCTTTGTTCAGTTCCACTAATAAGAGCCATTAGACTGTGCTGTCCAGTATGGTTAGCCACTCACTCTGTTTGGCAATTTAAATTAATTAAAGGTAAATTAATTTTTTTTAGTTGCACTAGCCACATTTCAAGTGCTCAGTAGCCTCATGTGAGTGGAGAGTGCAGCTATAGAACATTTCTATCATTGCAGAAAGATTATTGGACAGCACAGTCCCCTAGATGTTGATGTGAGGATCTGTAGTAGGATTTAAAAGCTTAAGAATGAAAACTTTTGTTAGAGCTGTGGTTTTATGATAAACACATAATTTGTAATATGTAAAAAATGTAAATTAAAAAATTGGTTTTAACATACAAAGAAATCTTGAAATTAGTTGATAGTATGAATGATCCTTTTCAAATTTGGTTTCTCCTTTTGGATTTTTATATGTTGTATTTTCTTAAAAGTCAAGGTACTTTCAAATTGAGAGTTGAATGTTAGTGATAATACAGGAACATGTTACAACCTGATCTTGTTAGTTGATTTTGTATTTGATTATTTTTATTAAACGTGTGGTTTTTTTTTTTTTTGAGATGGAGTCTCCCTCTGTCACCCAGGCTGGAGCCCAGTGGTGTGATCTGAGCTTGCTGCAACTTCTGCCTCCCGGGTTCAAGTGATTCTCCTCTCTCAGACTCCTGAGTAGCTGGGATTACAGGCATGCGCCACCACACCCAGCTAATTTTTGTATTTTAGTAGAGATGGGGTTTCAGTATGTTGGTCAGGCTTGAACTCCTGACCTCAAGTGATCCACCTGCCTTGGCCTCCCAAAGTGCTGGGTTTACAGGCATGAGCCACTGTGCCTGGCCAAATGTGTTTTTATACCTCTATAGTGTTGGATTTTGAATCTCAATGAGCCACGGGTTTAAAATGAAATTAGAAGATTATTATAGACAAGATGCTTTTTCTACATTATTGATTATTCTAGGATTCACTGCTATTGCTTTTAAATTGAACAAGGCATTAGAGTAAAAGAAACAAGGCTCCTTTTAGTGGAGAAATAAAATTACAGAATCAGTAGAAGTGACAAGACTAATTATATATGTGTTTCTTTTCAAGAACTACAACTCCAGGAGAAACAAAACTTCTGGCCTCTGAAATCTATGACATTCTTCAGTCCTCCAATATGGCAGATGGTGATAGTTTTAATGAGATGAATTCACGTCGAAGGAAAGCTCAATTTTTTCTGGGAACTACAAACAAACGTGCCAAAACAGTGGTTTTGCATATAGATGGCCTTGATGATACGGTAAGGTCTGTTAGATGGGAAAGAGAAATCATGTTTACTGAATAGTTTCTTCAGTGCCACTTGCTAACAGTCTTTGAGAATAAATCTCGATATCAGTATTTTACTGATAAAAAGGGTCATTTTGTGCTAAAGAGGTCAGTTAATCATAGGATATAAGAATTTAAAATATGTATGTCCCTAATAATAGAACATCGAAATATATGAAGTAAAACTTAGAGAAATGGGGAGAAATAGAAAAATCCACAGTTAGAGATTTTAACACAACTCTCTCAATACAGGAAGCATACAGAAAATCAGTAAGGATATAGAAGACTCAAATAATGCTATCAACCAATTTAACCTAATTTTTATTTTATTTTATTTATTTTTTTATATATTTTTTGAGATGGAGTCTCACTCTGTCACCCAGGCTGGAGCACAGTGGTGCAATCTTGGCTCATTGCAACCTCCGCCTCCTGGGTTCAGGTGTCTCTTCTGCCTCAGCCTCCCGAGTAGCTGGAATTACGAGTGTGCACCACCATGCCTGGCTAATTTTTGTGTTTTTAGTAGAGATGGGGTATCACCATGTTGGCCAGGCTGGTCTCAACTCCTGACCTCAGGTGGTCCGCCTGCCTCAGCCTCCCAAAGTGCTCGATTACAGGGATGAGCCACCATGCCCGGCCCAAAGCATGTTCTTTGAGCACAGTGAATGCAAATTAGAAATCAGTAACAGAAAGATATCTGAAAAATTTCCCCCACATTTGTAAAACTAAGTGACACATTTCTTTTTTTTTCCTTTTCTTTTTTCAGGGACAGGGTCTTGTTCTGTGGCCCAGGCTGGAGTGCAGTGGCACAATCATAGTCTACTGCAGGCTCGAACTCCTGGGCTCAAGTAATCTTTCTGCCTCAGCCTCCTGAGTAGCTGGGACTATAGACATGTGCCACCATGCCTGGCTAATTTTTAAGTTTTTGCAGAGATGGAGTCTTGCTGTGTTGCCAGGTCTCAGACTCCTGGCCTCAACCAATCCTCCTGCCTCAACCCAGCAAAGAGCTCGGATTACAGGCATGAACCACTGCACCTAGCTAAATAGCACATTTCTAAAGTAATCTATGAGTCAGTAAATAAAAGAGAAATTAGCATTTTGAACTGAATAAAAATAAAAATGAAAGTGAACTGAATAAAAATGAAAGTGTAGGCCGGGCACGGTGGCTCACACCTGTAATCCCAGCACTTTGGGAGGCCAAGGCGGATGGATCATGAGGTCAGGAGTTTGAGACCAGCCTGGCCAACATAGTGAAACCCCATCTCTACTAAAAATACAAAAATTAGCTGGGCATGGTGGTGCGCCTGTAGTCCCAGCTACTCGGGAGGCTGAGGCAGGAGAATCGCTTGAACCCAGGAGGTGGAGGTTGTGGTGAGCTGAGATCACGCCACTGCACTCCAGCCTGAGTGACAGAGTGAGACTCCGTCTCAAAAAAAAAAAGAAAAAAAAAGTGAAAGTGTAATAAAAGTGAAAGTGATATATACATGAAAATGTAGCTGAAATTTGTTGGAAGTAGTTAAACAAAGTTTAAAGTGGAAATTCATTAGCTCCAGATGCCTAACTGTTTATATACAAAAAAGAAAGGGTATCAAGTCAGTGACTTAAGCTTCTACCTTAAGAAAATAGAAGCAGCTGAAGGGGATCACTGGATCCCAAGAGTTCAAGGTTATGGTGATCTATGTTCGTGTCACTACACACTCCTGGATAGGCAACAAAAACCCTGTCTCAGAAAAAAAAAGAAACTAGAAAAAGAAGAACAAATTAAAGCCACAACAAGCAGAAGAGAAGAAACAAGAAAGATCAGGGAAATGAAAAACAATAGAGAAAAACCAATGAAATCAAAAGCTGGTGTTTGACATGATTGTTAAAATTGATAAGCCTCTAGTCAGACAGATCAAGAATAAAAGAGAAAAGTCATAAATTATCAATATCAGAAATGAGAGAGGATACCACTATAGATCCTACAGACATCAAAAGGGTAAGTGAGGGCCGGGCATGGTGGCTTACGCCGGTAATGCCAGCACTTTGGGAGGCTGAGGCAGGTGGATCACTTGAGGTCAGGAGTTTGAGACCAGCCTGGCCAACATGGTAAAATCCCATCTCTACTAAAAATACAAAAATTAGCCAGGTGTGATAGTGTAGGCCTGTAATCCCAGCTACATGGGAGGCTGAGGCAGGAGAATCGCTTGAACCCAGGAGGCAGAGGTTGCAGTGAGTGGAAATCACACCACTGCACTCCAGCCTGGGTGACAGAGCACAACTCCATCTCAAAAAAAAAAAAGGATAAGTGAATATTTTAAATACCTTTATGCCAATAAATTTCATAATGTAGATGAAACAGGTTTCATGAAAGACACAGATGACCGAAGCTCACTCAAGAAGAAACAGATGACCCAATTAGTTGTAGATCTGCTAAAGAAATTGAATTTGTAGCTAAAAGTCATGCCATAAATAAAACTTCAAGCCCAGATAGAAGCATGTTTTCTGGTGTCTGGAAATCATTGGTTTTTAAATTTTTTTTTTTTGAGACGGGGTTTTGCTCTTTTTGCCCAGGCTGGAGTGCGATGGCACAATCTCGGCTCGCTGCAACCTCCACCTCCTGGGTTCAAGTCTTTCTCCTGCCTCAGCCTCCCAAGTAGCTGGGATTACAGGTGCCCGCCACCACACCCAGCTAATTTTTTTGTATTTAGTAGAGACGGGGTTTCGCCATGTTGGCCAGGCTGGTCTTGAACTCCTTACCTCAGGTAATCTGCCTGCTTTGGTCTCCAAAGTGTTGGGATTACAGGCATGAACCACTGCAGCCGGCCTTAAATTTTATTTTGTCAGCTGGGCACAGTGGGTCACGCCTATAATCCCAGCACTTTGGGAGGCCGAGGCAGGTGGATCACAAGGTCAGGAGTTCAAGACCAGCCTGGCCAACGTGGTGAAACCCCGTCTCTACTAAAGATACAAAAAATAAGCAGGGTGTGGTGGTGCACGCCTGTAATCCCAGCTACTCAGGAGGTTGAGTCAGGAGAATCGCTTGAACCTGGGAGGTGGAGGTTGCAGTGAGCTGAGATTGCGCCATTGCACTCCAGCCTGGGCGACAGGGCGAGATCCCGTCACACACACAAAAAAATTTTAATTTTGTCTATATTTTTAGTTGTTTAATTCTAGAGGCTAAATCTGGTCCCTGTTAATCCATCTGGACTGCAGCTGGAAGTTCCCCTGAAGTTACCTTGCACAGAGAGAAGTTATATAACTTTACATATTTAGGGGTAGCAGTTGGTAGATTACCACTTACCTCTTTAGCAATGCCAGGTAGGTTATATTAGATTATTCACAGCTTTTTTCTTTTTCTTTTCTTTTTTTTTTTTTTTTTTTGAGACAGAGTCTTGCTCTGTCCCCCAGGCTGGAGTGCAGTGTCGTGATCTCGGCTTACTGCAACCTTTGCCTCCCAGGTTCAAATGATTCTCCTGCCTCAGCCTCCCCTGTAGCTGGGACTACAGGTGCCCGCCACCATGCCCATCTAATTTTTGTGTTTTTAGTAGAGACGGGGTTTCACCATATTGGCCAGGCTGGTCTCGAACTCCTGACCTTGTGATCCACCCGCCTTGGCCTCCCAAAGTGTTGGGATTACAGGCGTTGAGCCATGGCGCCTGGCCCACAGCTTTTTCTAGTTGTGTTTAGGTGCTTAGGCTCAGGATATGGGGTTTAGTAAATAAGCCTTCCATATGCATATTGTCAGACCCAAATCAGTCCACAGCTATCTTACTGGAAGTGGGGTCACAAGGCAATTTCTAGAAAGCAAGTTCTGATAAAGGTAAATTGATTCACTGGAAGATCTTAAGATATATAAAATATCTCCAATACCATGTGTTTAATTTTAGTGAATAAGAATAATATAGTTTCTTTTTAAAGCTAGCACAAATCAAGTAATAAAACCCAGCAAAGCACACACAAAAATATAGGCTAGCCAGGTGTGGTGGCACATGCCTGTAATCTCAGCTATATGGGAGGCTAAGGCAGGAAGATTGCTAGAGCCCAAGAGTTCAAGACCAGCCTAGTCAACATAGCGAGATTCCGTCTCAAAAAAAAAAAAAAAAAAGAGCAGAAACCAAACAAACAAATATATAGGCCAATATATAGTAAAAACATGATTACCAAGTCCAAAATGAAATATTAGCAAGTTAATTCTAGTACTGTACTATCATGTTAACTTTTTTTGGTGACATAGCCTGGTACTAGTGATAAGTTTATTTCATCGATTCTCTCATTTGTTTCTGACAGCACAGAGAGATGTATATCTTCTTTCTTTCTTTATTTTTTTTGAGACAGAGTCTCACTCTGTCGCCCAGGCTGGAGATCAGTGTGACACGATCTTGGCTCACTGCAACGTCCACCTCCCAGGTTCAAGCAATTCTCCTGCCTCAGCCTCCCAAGTAGCTGGGATTAAAGATGCCCACCACCATGCCCGGCCAATTTTTTTGTATTTTTATAGAGACGGGGTTTCACTATATTGGCCAGTCTGGTTTTGAACTCCTGATCTCAAGTGATCTGCCTGCCTTGCCCTCCCAAAGTGCTAGGTTATAATAGAAGGGGAAGTTGAGTTTAGAATGGTCAAATAACTTAACTGTTTACTCTACCTATGTAACTTTAGCTTAGTCAACATTTTTTGGACTAGGTAGTGTGACTTCAGAATTGAACTCTTTTTCGAGACAGAGTTGCTCTTTTGCCCAGGCTGGAGTGAGGTGGCGTGATCTCAGCTCACTGCAACCTCCACCCCCTGGGTTCAAGTAATTCTCGTGCCTCAGCCTCCCAAGTAGCTGGGATTACAGGCACCCACCACCACGCCCCGCTAATTTTTTTGTATTTTTAGTAGAGACAGGGTTTTGCCATGTTGGCCAGGCTGGTCTTGAACTCCTGACCTCAGGTGATCCACCTGCCTCGGCCTCACAAAGTGCTAGGATTACAAGTGTGAGCCACCGCGCCTGGCCCAGAATCGAACTTTTAATCACAATATTATAATTTCCTAGAAACAATCTAGTTTTATCCTGGAGTTGTAAATATGATTTAACATAGTGAAATATTTTAGTATAATATCAGTAAGTCAATAATTTGATAATTTGCTATTGATATAGCTGTAAATATAGAAAATCCAGGAGAATGATCTGAAATTTCTTAAAAATATTTTAAAAATCCAGTGACATTATTAAATATATGGAAATCAGTTACTTCTTAAAAGGAGAAAAGTAGTTTTACTCTCCCAAACAAAACAAACAGCTAGGAAGAGTGCAGGGGTATTTTTTCTTTTTTTCTTTTTGTTTTTTTAAACTTAATGACCAGTGTGATAGTAGCAAGGGTATTCTTAATAAGAAAATACAAGACTTAATAAAAAAAATTAAAGGTCTTCAGTATTATAAGAAGACTGGAATAAATGGAATGAAATGCCTGTTTCTGAAAGTTTGTAAGGATGTTAGTTCTTCCTAAATTTGTGGACTTAAAATAATGCCAATCAGTCTGATGATTTTGGAACTTTATTTCCTGATCTGAAAGTTCACATGGTAGAATGTACTAATTTTTACAATAAAAAGGAGCACCTAATGTTAGGCATTATTTTAGATACCAGGGATACAGCGATGACCAAAAAGCAAAACTTTTTGCTCTCTTGGAGCTAGCATAGTTGGAGGAGGCAGGCAATAAGCTTGCTAAAAAAGTGTGTTAATTTATGTTAAAATAAAGATAAATTAGACTTATGAATCTCGTTTCTCACTGTTGCATGTGGTTGGCATTTAGTACCAGACTCTACCTGTGGTAAATCAGGCAAGTTGTTTTTCAACTTTTCACTTTCCTCACATTTAAAATAAGGGATCAGATTAATAGTATCCTAACTTATATATATTGTGTGAGCTTTACTTCACTTTCAAGTTTACCTGGTGTTGAATATGTGGAAGAGATAAACATGGTGCTATTTGGCACCAGTCCTCTAAGGGGCTTCACCAAATGCAGGCCCCTGCAGAGCAGGGTCCAGACACAGTGCACTAGATGAGCCCACTGTGGGCCTGTGCTGTGCCACAGACTGACGTGTCCCACGTCTCCCTGAGTAGTGTTGAAATGCAGAAGTAGGGAGATGAGCAATGGTGTGAGCAGTTGTTTTGAAGGATGTGGAAATAAGTTTGAAAACTGGATATAGTCTACAGATTTGGCACGTGGGTCAGTTGCAGATTGACCCCTCAGAAATATAAATCAAAACTTGGTCTCAATACAGAAATCAGAAAATGTAGAGAGTGTGATTTGGTGTGTGGGCCAGAGGTGGAGGGAGCTATGAGGAGAAAATGCAATTACTTTTTCCATTTTCACTTTGGATCTTGTATTGAGATGACCACTTGATGGTCAAGTGGATATGTCTGACAGACAAATAAGAAAGTCATATTGGAGTTAGTAATGTTAGTGATGGCTAAAGTGATGAGAATAGTCTTCTGAGGTTTGAAGCAGAAAGAAAATCAGTTTAGGAACTGGACTTTGGAGTTAAGGTGAGACAAAGCTGGAATAATCAGTGGGAAAGTGGAAGACCAGGATAATGTAGTACCCTGCATTGAAGTATTGAAGGGTACATGTTATATTGTGTTTTGAAGAGTATTAGGAAAATGAGAACCACACAGAGGGTATGTCTAACCCTTGAGAATGCAATAGTAACCATAAGAATGCCATAAATGGATGATGCAGTGATATTTGTAATACCAGGTGATTTAAGGAATAGTGACTTAAACACTGAATGCTCACTAATTCTAACTTCAGTCTATTGGAATTTATCCCTGGAGATTTTTAGGCTAGTGTGTGGATCATAAAACTTTTCTTTTCTTTTCTTTTTTTTTTTTTTTGAGATGGTGTCTTGCTCTGTCGCCCAGGCTGGAGTGCAGCGGCATAATCTCAGCTCACTGCAACCTCCGCCTCCCGGGTTCAAGTGACTCTCCTGCCTCAGCCTCCCGAGCAGCTGGGACTACAGGCACACGCCACCATGCCCAGCTAATTTTTGTATTTTTAGTAGAGATGGGGTTTTACCATATTGGCCAGGCTGGTCTTGAACTCCTGACTTCATGATCTACCCGCCTCAGCCTCCCAAAGTGCTGGGATTGCAGGCATGAGCCACCGTGCCTGGCCAAACCTTTTCTTTATAGGACCAGAAAGTAAATATTTTTGGCTTTGTAGACCATGATGGTCTCTGTCATAACTACTAACTCTGCCTTAGCGTGAAACTAGCCTCAGATAATATGTTAACAAGTGGGTGTGCTTGTGTTTCAATAAAACTTAGTTACAAAAACAGCTGGTGGACTATAGTTTTCCCCACCCGTGAGCTAGAAGAACCTCTGCTTTTCTTCTTTTTGGTATTTTTTCCCCCTGTGTTGTGTTCTGCTTTATTTAAGATGTAAATTAACATTGGCTAACTTCTTTCTGATAAAAAATTATTAAAACTACATATTAGTATTGAAGCTTTAAAAATTTAGCAGGAATTACTATTCTGTTGATCCTGTAAAATTTAAAAAATTTGACTAAGCACTCCCCCACTCTGTGCCCTGAAATAAGATGGTAAAACTGAAATAGGTCATTTGCTCTCTTCCCCCCTCCAAAATATAGCTTGGTTTTCACTGATTTATTACCTTTTATTTACCTATTTTCATAACAATTTGCTTTTACTTTTTCAGTCTCGGAGAAATCTATGTGAAGAGGCTTTGTTAAAAATTAAAGGTGTTATTAGCTTTACTTTTCAAATGGCTGTTCAAAGGTGTGTGGTGCGAATCCGTTCAGATTTGAAAGCTGAGGTAAGTATTTTAAAAGACTGAATATGCTTGAGATTACAGGTAAACAAATCAATTTCAAAATTGTTCCTTTTTATCTTGGCTTAGGCTTTGGCATCAGCAATAGCATCAACCAAGGTTATGAAAGCTCAGCAAGTTGTGAAAAGTGAAAGTGGAGAAGAGGTAAAAGTTGTGTTTAATTTTCTTTATATCCAACTCACTCTCAATTATTTTTTATGGCTAGCAGATTGCCAGTATTTCTAAATTAATAGTGCCAAGTATGTAAGGATGTGCTGTTTCTTGGTTAACAGTTAACTGTTTTAGAAATATAGAGAGATCTTTTGTGGATATCAGAGTCTGCTCTTGCTGATTTTACATGGAAATAAAGGATATGTGTCTTCCTTGCATTTATTTTTAAATACTTTCTTCCTAATCTTAACTAATCCTGACAATCCAAAAAATAAAGGTGTAACCACTGGGCAAGTAAATAGGGTGAAAATCCTTGTCTGTTGCTACTCTTTTCACTAGCTTTGTGATGGGGGAAACAAATATACCTTGAGCTCATTTGGGTTCCCATCTCATAGATGGGAGGTTCCATGGCTATCCAGTGGCTGCAGTGGCTAGACACTTGCTTTAGTCATTATTACACAGAGAGCGGTTGCTCATTTACTCCTAGAATTTCAGCAGATCAACTTCTGAGTTCTTATTTGTACTCTGCTTACTCCTTTCTGTATTGACACAGTGCTCAGCAATTGGGCCTACTGTCATGTAAGAGGAAAATTTACCCTGAGAATAACCACGGTAATTAGAATAAGGAGTAAAGTTGATTTTGTAATAACTCTCAATATTTTCTGTATCAGATGTTGGTCCCATTCCAAGATACTCCTGTGGAAGTTGAACAGAACACAGAGCTACCTGACTACCTGCCTGAGGATGAGAGTCCCACAAAGGAACAGGACAAAGCGGTGTCCCGGGTCGGCTCACACCCAGAAGGTGGAGCTAGCTGGCTTAGCACAGCTGCAAACTTTTTATCCAGATCATTTTATTGGTGACTTCACTTTTGGGCTCAAGGACTGTGTGAACCAACAAGGGGCCAGTTTTCCATTGTTGTGGTGAACTGTCAAGTGCAATTTGCAATAAGTTATCATGAAAAGTTTTTAGATTACACGATCGCATATGCTGCATTTCACGTTTTATTGGACATTTTACCCCACTGAGTGGTAAAAAGGACAGAGGCTACAGATGGAGTTGCTTTGTTTATGAAAGTATTTTGGTTTGTTTTCTTTCATTTAATTGCCTCATATTTAAAAACCATGGGTCCACTGTTAAAACCACATGTGTATGTGCAGCTTTACATTTTATTTTACGTGAAGCATGTGATTAGGAAAACTCATTTTCTTTTCAAGCCTCAGGACCTACCTGAAGAGAAGTTTTCTTGTAGCTCAAGTTGTGCATGAATTACTGAATATTTTACTGTGCTTTTCTTCATGAAGGGTACATGCTTTGTACTCTTCACTGAAAGCTGAAAACATTTCTTGTTACCCTCTTTTGTGCCTTTTTATTTTGCCAACCGTGTTTATAGAAAGGACATTACTAATGACATTTTGCAGATTAAAAACATTCATTTGAACACAGTAGTCCCCTAGAAAAACAACTCTACAAAAATTTTGCAGCCTTATTCATTATAATTTTGATAAAATTAACACAAAATCAGTCAAGAAGGAAACATGTATATTAGTGAAGTGTTTTTGGAGACTGTTTGAATGTGACCAAATGTGGTTCTAGTTGACTTCTTTTCACTTTGGCTTATATCAATTCTTGAGAGTTAATGTGATCATGATATTGCAAACAACTATAAATGGTCTCTAGGCCTTACTTTGTGATTATACGTTATCTCCGGCTAGAAAAAAATAATGGTAGTAAAGAAACTGACAAACTGAAAATAAGAAAACAAAAATCAAATGCCTATAATACCATAATGCCAGTTTGGTATAGAGTCCAACTTTAAAACATGAATTGCTCGACAGAGTTCTATTCAGTAGGTGTTTCTTTGTATTGTCTTTTGTGAATTTATTATGAAAATGCTGCGTTGTGTTGAATGAAAAAGACCCAAATTACTGCTTATGAAGAAATAAAGCCAGCATTGATCACTTAATCCTGTTTCTCATGTCCAGCCAGAAAAAAGAACTTCAGTGAAGGTAAGATAAATAAATACATACACATATGTTTTTTTGGTAGATAAGTGCTAATTACATATATGTAATGCTTTATTAAATTTCTGAAATATTTGGTAACTAAAATTTTCTTTTTGGAAATTAATAAATCCAGATACATATTAATGTTGATATGAGTAAAAACAAATAGGAAGAAATTGAAATTTCTTTTCATCAACATGTAGAGCTGCTATTTTACTATTTGGAGAATATGATGTGAAAATTGGACCTCAAAGGGTTTCCTTGTGTTTTCATTGTAAAATACCATCATCAGTGAGAGTCTTGAGTTCACTAACATTGTCACCTTCTGGAGAGAGAGTTAATGGGGGGCATTGAGGATGATATTTTTTTACATGTGTTTGGTTTCTGATTCAAGTGACACGCACAAACTGAAAAAAAAAAAACAAAAAAAGCAACAATAACTTTCAGGGCACCTATTGCTCTAAATGCATAATATAACTTGCTGCCAGAACCAGATGTGTTTAAAAAAGAAAATAAAACCACCTTCTTTCTATAGCCATTAAAGCAAACTTTACTGTTCTAACAAATTTGTATTTTATTTTGCATTGCCACACATCTGCTTATTTAAAAACTACATCCCTTTGGTAGTAATGTTTCAGGACAAGTAGGTATTACAGCTTGATGTTTGTGTGTTCTAATTCTAAGAGTTCTTTATTCCAGATCATATAGAGTAGTTAAGACAACTGTAACAGCATTTTTTGAAATACATTGTAAAATAATAAAAGGTAACATAATTAAAATCGAGTGGATATTATATACTTGTGGTATAAGCATTATTGATTATTTATTTTTAAATTTTATTTTAAGTTCTGGGATACATGTGCTGAATGTATCATAGGTATACATGTGCCATGGTGGTTTGCTGTACCTATCAACCCGTCATCTAGGTTTTAAGCCCCGCATACATTAGGTATTTTTCCTAATGCTCTCCCTCCCCTTCCCCCCACCCCCTGATATGCCCTGGTGTGTGATGTTTCCCTATGTTGATTACTCTTAAGCCTGTTTGTACACACGTTGCCTGGCACACTTTCCCAGTTCCCTGCAGTTGTGCTACCTGACTAATTCCCATGCATCTTCCATTCGTTTCCTTCCTGACACCACACCTGCCTCTCTCCAGATTGGATTGCTGCTCCTGTGCATATACTCATTGTAGCATCTATCACATTATATCAAAATTGCATATTTAACAGTGTCTCTCCCCTGCTAAGCTCTCTGAGAAGAGAATCTTTTTTAAGTTTTGTTTTGCATTGACACATAATATTTGTGCATATTTATGGGGTACAATAATGATGTGAGTCTTCACATTAACCTTGTAGCTGTGCCTGACTTATAGTAAATGCTCAGATTTTTTTTTAGGGGGAATGAGCAAAGTTTTTTTAAAAATCAGTAAAACATAAATATACTTGTTGGGCAAAAGGAAAAATGTTATATGTATTTTTTCTGGGCATGCTTATTTCTGATTTATCAATATTTAACAAATTTCAGCCAGGCACAGTGGCTCATGCCTGTAATCCCAGCATTTTGGGAGGCCAAGGTGGGAGGATTGCTTGAGCCTAGGAGTTTGAGACCAGCCTGGGGAACATGTGAAACCCTGACTGTACAAAAAAAAAAAAAAAATTAGCTAGCTGTGGTGGCAAGTGCCTGTAGTCCCAGCTACTTGGGAGGCTGAGGTGGGAGGATTGATTGGGCCTGGAAGATTGAGGCTGCAGTGAGCTGAGATAATGCCACTGCACTCCAGCCTGGATGACACAGCGAGATCCTATCTCAAAAAAAAAAAGCAAGTGTCTCAAATGTCTTCATTTATTTTGTCATTTGGTTTTTATTTTTAAAAAATGGGAGGGGGCATAATATTTGCTCCATTGAATGGAGCTAGAATTATCCTGATTCTTACAGAATTTTTACAGGAGAATATGATATATATAAAATAGTGGTTTTGATTTTCTGTTTTATAACTCATGAGCTGTGTGATTCTAGGCAATATTTTAATCTCTAAACTGGAGATTTATTTAATCTCTAAATTGGAGATTTATTAAAATGGAGATGATTCCTCTGCCTCATGGGGCCGTTAATTAGGATCCAGTGAGAGATGAGTGCTTTGAAAACTAAAAATTTACCAGTGTGCAATGGATTTATTGTTACTAGAAGTTTCTCAAGTGGTAACCTTTTTTTTTTTTTTTTTTTCCGAGACAGTCTTGTTCTGTCGCCCAGGCTGGAGTGCAGTGGTGCGATTTTGGCTCACTGCAACCTCCGCCTCCAGGGTTCAAGCAATTCTCATGGCTTATCCTCCCCAGTAGCTGGGATTACAGGCACCTGCCACCAAGCCTGGCTATTTTTTGTGTTTTTAGTAGAGACAGGGTTTCACCGTGTTGGCCAGGCTAGTCTTGAACTTCTGACCTCAAGTGATTTGCCCTCCTTGGCCTTCCAAAGTGCTGGGATTACAGATGTGCGCTACCACGCCTGGCCTTCAAGTGATACACTATTCTAATCTTGCTTTATCTGACTCCTCATCTTCCCGTCTTCCCACATCCAATCAGAGAGTTTTTGTTTTTGGCGGTTTTTATTTTGTTTTGTTTTTTGTTTTTAGATTTAGTCATCTGCTCTTTGATTTTTATCTAAATTTTCTCCCTTGGATAATTCATTTATTGTCAGGATTTTATTACCTTTTTGTAGATAATTTCTAAACCTCCACTCTACTGTCAACTTTTGATTGCTCTTTTTTTCCTTTGCAGTACCTATCAAATGTAAAGTCTGAATTTTAATTTTTATTAGAACTGAGCTCATGGTAGGCATGCAATAAGTTTTAACAAAAATGAATTCTCTGCCAGGCACTATACTAATGCTTTACAAATATTTATTCAATGAACCCTAGACCACTATGAGGTAGGTACTCTTAAATCACAGTTTTACAGATGGGGAAAAACGAGACAGAGATTAAGTAGCTCATTAGTGCCAGGTTATGGACCTAGTAAGTGGGGAAGCCAGGACTCAAACCTGGGCATTCTGGCTTCTGAGTCTCTACACCCCCAGGAGGCAGCCTGCATCTTGTGTTCCCCCACTGTGCCTTTCCAGATCTACCACCACCCTTCTAGTCCAGACCCTTTGGCTTGTATCTGGTCTGGTGACTTAATTCAGGTACCTGTTAGCAGTCAGAAACTCAGTGTCTGGAGACCAGAAAAGTTAGGTACATGAAAGCAATAAGCCTAGTCAGGCGACAGCACAGGAAAACACACAGAAAGCACCTGTCTAAAGGAAACCACATTATCCTCATATGGGCGGTTGGCTTTGAGAATGCACAGCTTTTGGACTTTCTGGCTCTTCCAGACCCATCAGACACTACCAGAGCCACATAAGAAATGTCTGTCGGCCAGAAATAGGCTACTCTTCCTCCTAGAATGGCCCATTCTGTTATATCAGTTTAATCTTAATAGTATTTTCATCATTCTCAGCTCTAATGTCAACAAAGGCCTATGGACTGAAGTTTAGACTGCTTTGTGCAGCATCAAAATAGTCGCCAGCCTAGCCTTTCACAGTTTTGCCAGGATTAGTTCAGACTATGAAAGGCACAGTTGTATATCTCATTGTTAGAATAACAGTCTGCTTTATTTAGCCTTGCCTATTATAGCATAAATATTCTGTATTCATCCTGCCCTCTAGATCTTTTTTTGTAATCTTTTTGGGAATTTCCTCCTTTATACTCTCATCTTTAAAATATTTTATTATGAAAATAAGCTCAATATATTACAGAAATGCATAAGAAAGCACAAACCACCTGTCATGTCACAACATGGACAGTCTAGGTAACTGTGAACTTCTTGTTTCATTTTATTTTCATTTATCTTTTTACAATTTTTTTTTTTACATTGGCAACATTTTCAAAATAGGCATCCAGAACTGGGCGTGGTGGCATATACCTGTAGTCCTAGCTACTCAGAAGGCTGAGGCAGAAGGATTGCTTGAGTACAGGAGTTCAAGTTTAGCCTGGGCAACATGGTAAGACTCCGTCTTGTAAAAATAGGCATCCAGGGCTGGGCGTGGTGGCTCACACCTGTCATTCCAGCACTTTGGGAGACTGAAGTGGGCAGATCACCTGAGGGCAGGAGTTCGAGACCAGCCTGACCAACATAGTAAAACTCCGTCTCTACTACAAATACAAAATTAGCCAGGCATGGTGGCACATGCCTGTAATCCCAGCTATCGGGAGGCTGAGGCAGGAGAATTGCTTGAACCCCGTGGGGCGGAGGTTGCAGTAAGCCGAGATTGTGCCATTGCATTCCAGCCTGGGCAACAAGAGTGAAACTCCGTCTCAAAAAAAAAAAAAAAAAACAAGGCATCCAGCGGAAAGTCCTGCTTCTCTTCTTTTGAACCTTAGTTATTGGTTCCTCTAATCAGGGACAGCCATTTTTACCAATTTTGTATGCCCATCAGAGATATTATACAAATTTACTATTTCATATATTTTTCCCACGCAAATGGTAGTATGATATCCTGCACCTACTTTTTTCACTTAAAGTATATCTTAGAAGTTACTGTATATTCATGTATAAAGCAGCTCCCTTCTTTTACAGCTTCAAAGTATTACACTGTATTAATGTTCCATGATTTATTTAGTGCTTTGTAGTCTTTTGCTCTTAAAAAAATAGTGCTATATAAGTATAGCTGTAGGAAGGATTCCTAGATATGTAAATGGGCCAAAGGCTAGGTTTTTAATTTTGATGGTTCTTTCCTCCTTAGAGAGTATTCCAGCAAGGTGTGAGAGTGGTTCCCCTCAACTTCTCACTGTGTTATCCCATGTTGGCCAGGCTGGTCTCAAATTCCTGACCTCAGGTGATCCACCCGTCTCGGACTCCCAAAGTGCTGGGATTATAGGCGGGAGCCACTGCGCCCAGCCTTAATAACTTTTAACATTACTTGAGCACTTATTATATCCCACACTATCTGTTGGACCTTTACTTGTGTTCTCCTTTAATTATCACAGTGGTCCAGTGAGGTGGGCTTTTTCTTACCCATTTTACGTAGGAAACTAAAGCTTAGAAACAAAGTAACTGGTCTATGGTCATATCATCCTAAACGTGCCCGATCTCGTCTGAAATAAAATAACTGGTCTTAAATACACTTAAAAACTAATCAGTGGTAGGGCTGGTATTTAAATCTCAGAGGTCCTTCTTAGTGACCTTTTAGTCTGTTGCCCAAATAATTGCTATGACTGAGAGTGAGCCCAGGTTGAGAAGCATGACTTAGTTCTTGCACATTTAAGATTTTTGTTGTTAGTTTTTTTTTGTATTCTTTTCAACATTTTCAGGTTTTTCAACACCAGCTATTTGATTTTTTTCTACTCTTCTGCTCATAAGCATTTAATGGCTTACTGTGTCAAATCTAAATTCTTATGTTTTCAGGAATCCCCTTAACCTGCTCTCCTTTCCTGTGAATTGACCTGACGCTCATATTTTTACTTAAATTGACATCTTTAAACTTCAGTAAATGCATTGTGTGCTTGGGAGTCCACTCATTCTCTTCTCCTCAACTTAAAAAATTCTATCTGTTCTTCAAGAACTGGCTATTCCATGAAGCTGTCCGTGTTTGTTTTGGTTCTTGCTGATCTATTTCCCAGTTGTTCAAACTTTTCCAACACTTAAACAGTCTGCTGTATATTTAGACACTGATTTTGTGTCATTTGTGTCTTCATTACTTAATGGGTTCATTATGTAGATTATGACAGCAGAGATCTCTTTCAAACCCTGTGCTTCCCCTTTTCTACTGCCCCCTTCCTTATCAAGCCAAATTGAAGCCTAACCCCAAGCCTCCTCTTTACTGGTGGCTTCAGGACCAGCCTGTATCCTGAGGTTCTTTCTGGCCCTTACTGACTCTGAAGTCCTTTTCTAACCAATTCCTGTCTGGTAAGGAGTTTAAGCTGATAAGTTGTGTAAGTACTGTTTTTCTCATGTTTAGTTATTTCTGGTGGAAGATAGTACATTAGAACACAACGCTAATACTCTGTGTGTGATCTGTAGCAAATAGAAATATTCCAATTATGCAGAAGGAGCAAAATTGGGCAATGGAAAAGGCACTTTCAGGGGAAAAAGTATTTATGTGATTGGTTGAAAAGGAGAAATTTTACTTTAGAAATGAATTAGAAAACCGATAGGTAAGAAAGTGGCATAGAATGAATTGAAGATGATAGTAGGGAATAAAAGAAGATGGAAAAAGAAATGAAATACATGGAAAATCAACTTTACCTACCTTAAAACAGTTATAGCAAATGTGGATGAAACCATAAGGCAGACTGAGAAAGAGCTGAGCCAGAAGCCAGACTCAG
Organism: Homo sapiens; assembly: GCF_000001405.40. Lineage (NCBI taxonomy): Eukaryota > Metazoa > Chordata > Mammalia > Primates > Hominidae > Homo > Homo sapiens. The sequence goes on along the minus strand of NC_000008.11, from coordinate 65,596,898 downwards.
TTTTAGGAAATAAACTTCAAGGGAAAAATGAGTCATCACCTCTCAGTGCAGAAGCTCAGAGAAAAAGTACACTGCTTTAAGATAACTTGTATGTAAAAATAAAGATGTATACAATAAACTTTTGCTTATATGGGTATTTAAAATACCCATATAAGCTTATATAGGTACATAAAATATGCTTATATGGGTATATAAAATACCCATAAAGATGTATACAATAAACTTTTGCTTATATGGGTATTTACACTTTTAGTTTTGATTTTACTTCTTTTTTTTTGAGATGGAGTCTCGCCCTGTTATCCATCCTGGAGTGCAATGGCGCGATCTCGGCTCACTGCAGCCTCTGCCTCCCAGGTTCAAGTGATTAGCCTGTCTCAGCCTCCCGAGTATTTGGGATTACAGGTGCGTACCACCATGCCCAGCTAATTATTTGTATCTTTAGTAGAGATGGGGTTTCACCATGTTGGCTAGGTTGGTCTCGAACTCCTGACCTCGTGATCCGCTTGCCTCGGCCTCCCAAAGTGCTGGGGTTACAGGTGTGAGCCACTGCGCCCGGCCTGATCTTTTACTTAACTTTCTTTTTTCTTTTCTTTTTTTTTTTTTTTTTTTTAGATAGAATTTCGCTCTTGCTGCTCAGGCTGGAGTGCAGTGGCACGATCTCGGCTCACTGCAACCTCCACCTCCCAGTTTCAAGCGATATTCTCCTGCCTCAGCCCTCCTGAGTAGCTGGAATTACAGGCGCCTGCGACCACGCCCAGCTAATTTTTATATTTTTAGTAGAGACGGGGTTTCGCCATGTTGGCCAGGCTAGTCTCGAACTCCTGACCTCAGGTGATCCACCCGCCTCAGCCTCCCAAAGTGCTGGGATTACAGGAATGAGCCACTGCTCCCAGCCCTTTTATTTAACTTTTAATGGAAGTAGTATATATAGTAAAACTCTTGGAGATGGAAATCTACAGGCATCTATTCTCCTGTGATTCAATAGTAAATAACAAGTATAGGCAACTGTAAGGTAATGAGTTAGAGAAAAATTGAGATCCTGCTCAATTAGTTACAGTCTTTAAGATGGGAAAGCAAGTCAATATTTTTCCTTCACTATAAAGTTTCCTAATGTTATAATAAAATAGGCCAAGGGCTGGGCACAGTGGCTGTTAAAGCACCTTTAAGTATAGCACTTAAAGGGTATCTTTTTTTCAGTTATGTCATTAAAGTCGGTTATCAAATATTTGAAAACCTATATTGTTCCATTCATGGTGCTACTCGGTGGAATTATAGACAAGATCTTCACAGGATTCATAGTCTCGTGGGAAGGAAGATCATAGGACAGATAACCACAAATGTGTCGTATCAGGAAGTTGCACAGTAGGTTTGGAAGACCTAGTGTTTGTGGGGTTGGGCAGTGGGAAACTCAGGGTAGGCTTTCTGGATAAATTATGGTTTCAGCCAGAACTTGAAAGATGAGCAGGAGTTAGTTGGCCAAGTGGGAGCAGGGAGAGCATTCCAGGCAAAGGGACCCCCATTGTGACAGCTTTGAGTGAGGCTGCTGGGTCAAATCTAAAATGATACTGAAATGTTGGTGGAGGCCAGGTTAAACAAGATTTTGCAGGCTCTTCGAGTCCCTGAATATTATAGTATTTCTTCTCCTAATGTCAGTAGTTCAACTGGTATTAAATGTTTGGATGTTAAACTAATAATAGCTACCATTTATTATGCTTTGCAGTTGCTAAGTGGTTTTGTCTAGTATTTGATCTTCTCAACAATCCTATGAGCTCTGTTTGAAGAAAAAGTGGACTTCACATATGGGAAACATGGAGCATGGTTCAGTACTTGCCTAAGATGAGACTAGTCAGGCTACAGTGTGGGGAGTGGATTGGAGAGGAGAAAAGTGGATATGAGGCTACAAAGTTACAAGGCTTTTACTAACACATACAGTACAGGGGCAATGCTGGATGGTAAGTAGCAGTGAATGTGGAGAGAGGTGACATGTTTGGGAGATTATATTTTAAGGCCATATCACAGAAGAATGTGATGATTTGTTGTGAGGGAAGACTCCCAGGATTCTCAGTAGCTGCGCTGGTGGTCTTGTTGCGCACTGAGCAAGGAGACACTGTTAGGATAGGATTGTAGGCAAGGTTACCAATAGGGGGTCCAGGGATGCATGTTTTAAGATGGGGGAGAGACAAGTATTTAAATGCTGGTGGGATGGATTCAGGAGATAGATCAGATATAGAAGAGAATGTTTGGCCGGGCACAGTGGCTCACGCCTGTAATCCCAGCACTTTTGGAGGCCGAGGTGGGTGGATCACATGAGGTTAGGAGTACGAGACCAGCCTGACCAACATGGTGAAACCCCGTCTCTACTAAAAATACAAAATTAGCTGGGTGTGGTGGCACATGCCTGTAATCCCAGCTACTCGGGAGGCTGAGGCAGGAGAATCGCTTCAACCCGGGAGGCAGAGGTTGCAGTGAGCCTAGATCACGCCATTGCACTCCAGCCTGGGCAACAGGAGTGAAACTCCATCTCAAAAAAAAAAAAAAAAAAAAAAAAGAAAATTAAGCACAGTGAGAATGTGTTCAATTTTAATAATTTAGTCACTAATATTTTTTACATTAGCATGAATGAAGTAATTTCCATGACAGATCTTCAGATTTCTAGATTGTCATCTGCTTTCTCTTTTTTTTTTTGAGACAGAGTCTCATTCTGTCGCCCAGGCTGGAGTGCAATGGTGCGATCTCAGCTCACTGCAATCTCTACCTTCCAGATTCAAGTGATTCTCTTGCCTCAGCCTTGCGAGTAGCTGGGATTACAGGCATGTGCCACCATGCCCAGCTAATTTTTTTTTATTTTTTATTTTTAAAATTTTTGAGACAGGGTCTCGCTCTGCCACCCAGGCTGGAGTGCAGGTGGTGTGATCTTGGCTCACGGTAACTTCCACTTCCTGGGTTTAAGCAATTCTCTCGCCTTAGCCTCCTCAGTAGCTGGGATTACAAGTGCGTGCCACCACACCTAGCTAATTTTTGTATTTTTAGTAGAGATGGGGTTTCACCATGTTGGCTAGGCTGGCTTCAAACTCCTGACCTCAAGTGATCCACCCACCTCGGCCTCCCAAAGTGCTGGGATTATAGGCGTGAGCCACAGTGCCGGCCCTTTCTTTTATCTTTTCATTTAATCCCTTCATTTAGTTCAGTGGGTCTCAGCCCTGTTGATACATTAGAATTTCCTAAATGCTTTGTGTGTGTGTGTGTGTGTGTGTGTGTGTGTGTGGCTTTTTTTTTTTTTTTTTTTGAGATAGGGTCTGTCTCTATTGCTTAGGCTGGAGTGCAGTGGCACAACCATGGCTTACTGCAACCCCAACCTCCCAGGCTCAAGCAATCCTCTTGCCTTAGCCTCCTGAGTGACTGGAACTACAGGTGCAAATGGCCATGCCTGGCTAATTTTTGTATTTTTTATGTAGATAGGCTCTCACTACATTGCCCAGGCTGGTCTTGAACTCCTGGGCTCAAGCAATCCTCCTGCCTTGGCCTCCAGAACTGTTGGGATTACAAGCATGAGCCAACACACCTGGCCAGCATATTTTTAATAAATAGCAGTCTGTGTTCCCACTGCAGACAACTGAACCAGAGTTTCTAAGGATGGGGCAAGGGCTTGGGTATTTTGTAACCATGTTGTGGTTATGCTTATATGCAGCCCAGGTTGAAAAGCATGACGTAGTTCTTGCACATCAAAGATTTTTATTTTGATTTTTTTCTTTTTGTATTCTTTTCAACATTGTATTAACATACAGTGCACATCTAAGATTTAAAGATCTTCTGAGACCTGTTACCTTAAACTTTTGCTCCATTTAGTAAAGCTCCTTCTTCCAGCCAGCTTGTTTCAGAAACTACACAAATCATGAATTAGAACAAAAACATGTATACAAAACCTTTGATTGTTAGTTGGATATCTTTGCTATTTCATTATTTACTAGGCGTTGTATGGCTTTTAGTGTGCTCATTTTACCCTTGTGCTTATGTCTGATCAGCTATTTGACAGCAGATACTCTTCTAGATTTGAAATTTCTTTCAATCTTTTTTGTAGATAAGTCTAGATAAGTGAAGCAGTGGGAATGCAGAAGGAACAAAGAAATCTGTAACTGGTTGTGAGGTGTAAACATCACTGCACTCAGACCATAGATTTGAAGTTTCTTAACCTCAAAACTCTATTTTAGCTCCAACTAGTATTATTTTAAAATAGGTGGTTTAGCAACACATATATCCAAAAATGGTTAGATTCTCCAGATATCCAGAATCTAAACCATCATCAGAGTAAAAAGGTAAGAATATACTTCAAAGTTTTCTCAAGACAATCCTGGCCAGAATGCTTAAGTTTGAGTAGTCAAATACTTAACAAAATGAATATAAAAAATTTAGCACTAGCAACTAATCAACAAACATGAATATAAATGCTTTAGTATGAAGAAGCCATTGATAGTTGTAATAACTTTGCATTGTTAATTGGTATCTTACAAATTACAACTTATGCAAACAAAATTATGTTGGTCTATAAATATTGGTTAAATGAACATGTTTCCTGTACATTTATAAATTCTCCATATGAAAAATACTCATCTGAAATGCTAAAAGCAAAAATGTTATCAGTAGAAAAGCAGCTATTTTATGACTTTTTAAAGCAAGTTATGTCTGTTATTTTTCACCTGTTTCAAAGGAATGCATAAGATGCTTTTATAAGTGTTTTTGTTCATGTATAACATACTTAGCACTTACTACAGATGAATGCTGTAGACTACTTAATTTCAAATGCCTACATTTTCAAAACAATGAAGACATATTACTGACCATAAAATGGAAATAGCAACCATTCAAAATAGTTGAACATTTATTGTGTCATTTACTCTACGGAGGCAATCTCATTATTAAAGAAGTTATAGCCAGTTTATGTGCATATGTAGGTGCAAGTATCTATAATGTACATTATAATTTGTAACTATCAAATATGTAAGTGTAATGAATATCGGTTTATTTTGAATACAAGCTTATATAAAACAAAGATTCGGTGCCTGTGTGCTCTATAAGGAATAGTTTCTATTTCACCTAAAGACTTGAAAGTTGTTTATAAAATTTTACCTCTTTTTGTTTTGAGATTCTGTCTGGCTCTGTTGCCCAGGCTGGAATTCAGTAGTGCCATTTTGGCTCATTGCAACCTGTGCCTCCCGGGCTCAAGTGAACCTCCTACGTCAGCCTCTCAAGTAGCTGGCTAATTTTTGTATTTTTTATAGTTACGGGGTTTCACCATGTTGCTCAAGCTGATCTCGAACTCCTGGGCTCAAGTGATCTGCCCACCTTGGCCTCCCAAAGTGCTGGGATTACAGGCATGAGCCACTGCCCCTGGCCCTGACATATCTTAAAAATAAATATTTTTGCTTATAAATTTGCCTGGGCTTATCTTTTATTTGTAATCTGAGCATGTCAGTGACAGAATTTGGTACCAAGAATGGGATATAATAAACTATTTTAAGATCTTTATTTTGTTACTAGTTTCTTTATGATCATAGTCCCATCTGAGGCATATTTGAGGTTTTGGAATCCAACTATATGTGCTGGGGCTGAGAGAAAGAGAGAGAAAGGTTGAGACTTTAAGTTGTGCAGTCACTTCTGCCTGCCTATCTCTCTGAAGAGTATTTCCCAGCGTAAATGTTAAAAGGGAGACATTAATCTGCTGTTCCCTCAATTGGTCATAGATTCTTTGTGGCGTGCAGTGTGAGCTTCTCACTGTGCAGAGTGTGATTCTAGTGTTTAAAGATAAGGATTTTTTGTACAAGATGGCCTCAAAAGCAAGCCAACTACTTCATCTGGTGCTCACCCAAAGAATGAGCCATCTGTTTGAACACTGAAAGAAAAACTGGCTGTGTTGGACATATTGAGAATCTGCCTCCAACATAGTCTGTAAATGTTGTATACTGTATTTTAAAGGTGACTTAGATTTTCAAGCATAATTTGGACTCCATGAGATTTTTTTTCTTGTGTGTACAACTCTATGAGATGCAACCACTATAATAAATGCTGCATCCTTCCAATTTTCCTTTGTTACCGGTTAACATAGACAATCAAAAAAGCTCTTTATCTTCCAAGGTGAGTGGATACCTCTTTAAAAAATCTTTTCATAGGCTGGGCGCGGTGACTCATGCCTGTAATCCCAGCACTTTGGGAGGCCAAGGCGGATGGATCATGAGGTCAGGAGTTCGAGACCAGCCTGGACAATATGGTGAAATCCCATCTCTACTAAAAATACAAAAATTAGCTGGGCGTGGTGGTGCGCACCTGTAGTCCTAGCTGCTCGGGAGGCTGAGGCAGGAGAATCACTTGAACCTGGCAGGCGGAGGTTGCAGTGAGCCGAGATCGTGCCACTGCACTCCAGCCTGGGTGACAGAGTGAGACTCCATCTCAAAAAAAAAAAAAAACAAAAAAAACAAATTCATTAAGAGAATTAAGTGATCTGAATATAAAGCAGGGCTTTGTGCAAACATTTAAAAAACTACATGTAACTATAATGACTCATACAAAGTCATTTATAAAATTAACAAAGTAAGCCCTGGTCATGGCAGCAGCCTTACAGAGTTATCATCTGTAATTGTCCATTCCAGGAGGCTATGTTGACAGGGCTGGCTGTGGACTAGAAGATGATGCTCTGCAGTAGAGATCAGCACACTTTTTCTGTAAAGGATCAAAAAGGCTTTGCAGGCCGTAAAGTTTATTGCAATTGCTCAGTTCTGCAGTTGTACTGAGAAAGCAGTCACAGACAATATGTAAACAAGTTAAGTGTGGCTGTGTGTGAGACAGTAGAAACATCACTCACCACTTCACCTTTGCTCACCAAAATGTGCGGGGATTTCTTCCCACCAACAACCAGTTCTCCAGTGGACACCAACTTTGTGTCCTATAATTCAGTTCAATTCTGACACTATACCTAGAGATAGTGTTGGATCCCACAGGTTAAGGCTCAAGTCCACAAGACTGCTCCAACGTTAGATACCATTTGTAAGTTCCAGGTTTTAGCCTGTATTTCTGATCAACTGGCCATAAGTTGGGATTCCCATGACCCCCTCTTAGCAAATTTGATTAATTTACTAGGACAACTCACAGAACTCAGGGAAACACATTTATCAGCTTATCATATTAATATTGGATATAACAAAGGATATAGATGAACAGCCTGATAAAAGGATGCATAGGATGAGCTTTGGAAGGGTCCCAAGAGCAGGAGCTTCTGTCCTCATGTAGTTGTTCACCCTTCAGCATGTGGATGTGTTCATCAATCCAAAGCTCTCCTGATTCCATTTTTTGGAGGGTTTTAATGGAGGCTTCATTACATAGCCAGATTGAGCACAGGCCATTGGTGATCAACTCAACCTTCAGTGCCTTTCCCCTCCCCAGAGGGTCAGGGAGTGGGGTTGAAAGTTCATACCCTCTAATCACATAGTTAATTCACCTGGCAACCAGCCCCTCGCTTTGAGGCTATCCAGGAGCCCACCAAGAGTCATCGCATTAGAACAAAAGATTGTCCTACCATCCAGGAAATTCCAAGAGATTTAGGACCTCTGTGTCAGGAACTGGGAGAAGAGACCAATATATATATTATTATTTCATTGTTACAATAAAACTTTATTTATATGAACATGTGACAGATTGGATTTGACCGATAGGCTTTTCAAGAGCTAGAAAATGATTCCCTAAGCAGTTCTCAAGGTGTAAGTCCCGGACCAGCAGCATGGTGTCACTGGAAACTTGTTAGCAATGCACATTCTCAGACCCCACTTGACAGTTGCTACTGAGTCAGAAACTCTGGGGACAGGACCCAGCATTTGGTGTTTTAACAAGTGCCTCAGGGGATTCTGATGTATATAGTGCTGAAGTTTGAGAACCGCTGCTCTAAAAATCTAGACCTCTTTAAGGCCAACCCTAAAACTATACAAATAGCTACTTTTGGCAATGTTCCCATTGGTGCACATGATAGTAATTTGAGCACTGAAATAGCTGTAAGCACTCAATAGAGTCAGAAAATAGTTTTAATACTTCTAGTAAGGAAATGTTTGCTTTTCCAATTTCTGAAGTTGACTTTTCTGTTTAATATGTTTGAATGCATCTAAATTTCTCTTGAAAGTTTCTCCTTAAATTTGAGACCAGCTTTCATTTGTGCTATTAACATATATACTAAAAACTATGAAAATAGTGTGGCCGGGCACGGTGGCTCACACCTGTAATCCCCGCACTTTGGGAGGCTGAGGCAGGTGGATCACTTGAGGTCAGGAGTTCGAGACCAGCCTAACCAACATGGCTAAACCCTGTCTCTACTAAAATTACAAAAATTAGCCAGGCGTTGTGGCGCATGCCTGTAATCCCAGCTACTTCGGAAGCTGAGGCAGGAGAATCACTTGACCCCAGGAGGCAGAGGTTGCAGTAAGCCGAGATTGTGCCACTGCACTCCAGCCTGGGTGACAGAACAGGACTCTATCTTGAAAGGAAAAGAAAAGAAAAAAGAAAAAGAAAATAGCGTGAGGTTTCCTGTTGTTAGAGTGAGACCTAACAATGCAGTATTGTTGCCTATGAGCATTTCAAGTGTGGTTTCAAAAGACCTATGTCTGGCTGGGTGTGGTGGCTCACGCCTCTAATCCCAGCACTTTGGAAGGCCAAGGTGGGTGGATCACTTGAGGTCAGGAGTTCAAGACCAGCCTGGCCAACATGGCAAAACTCCATCTTTACTAAAAATACAAAAATTAACCAGGCGTGGTGGCACACGCCTGTAATCTCAGCTACTTGGTGGCTGAGGTGGGAGAATTGCTTGAACCCAGTAGGTGGAGGTTGCAGTGATCCAAGATTGTGCCATTGCACTCCAGCCTGGGTGACAGAGCAACTCCATCTCAAAAAAAAAAAAAAAAAAAAAAAAAAAAGACACATGTCTTACAAATACCTGTGTCAGGATATTCAATGGGGCCTGCTATGGTTGGAATATGTCTCCCAAATTTCATGTGTTGAAAACTTAATCCTCAAATTTATATACTGATGGTATTAGGAGGTGGAGTCTTTGTGAGGTAACTAGAATTAGGTAAGGTCATCAAGGTTGGGTCCCCATGGTGGTACTTGTGGCTTTATGAGAAAGGAAGAGAGACCTTGAGCTGGCATGCTCTTTCTTCTTCTCTCAGCATGTGATATCTTGTGCCTTGTTATGGCACAGTAAGAGGGCCCTCACCAGATACAGCTTCTTGACCTTGGACTTCCCAGCCTCCAGAACTGTAGGAAATAAATTTCTTTTCTTTATAAATTATCCAATCTGTGGTAATCTGTTATAGCTACAGAAAATGAACTAAGATGGGCCTTTCTTACTATTCTGGAATTGCTGGCAAGGCCCAAAGCTGAGAGCAACGGGTTCTAGATTCTCTCGTTTCTGTTGCCCAGCACTGCCGAATTCCAAATTTACATTATAAACCACTTCCTTCACCCCCAGGTGTATATAAGGAAAGTCTTGGGAAGGAGGAGTGACACTTTGGCCTTGGGGGAAAACAGTTTCTGTAGCAGAAGGCCACTTCCTCTCCTCATGGGGAGAACAGTGAGGGTTTTCCCCAAGCCCAGGAAGTGGGGAGGGTGGCTTCAAGAGAATCAATCTTGAGACCAAGAGTGCTTACAGGCCCTTCTTGTATTGTCACTTCAGTGGAGATGGACAGAGCCTAGAGAGAGCTTGCAATATATCCCATATGAATTTGGGGCAGTAATGTGTACATAGAAACCAATACCCGTGTGTCTATCCAGAGGCTTCTGAAGATGTGAGATCAGTACAAGTAGCCTGTGTCAGCAGAGCTTGAAAGGACCTTGATGTGGCATGCCTGGATAGAAGGTGGCAACTGCCACCCCATTCCAAGTGTCCATAGTCCTCAGAGTCTCTAGAAGAGGTATCCAGAGGTTATTTGGGCTCCTTGTGAAGGAGCTTGGAGGTTTAAGGAAGGGCAGGAACTGTAGAGTCACCTAGGTCAAGTGAGAAGGCAACCCACCTCAAGAGGGGGTTGGGACATTACCACTCTCAGGGTCAAAGGGGACTAGGCTTTTCCTTCCTGAGGGGCTTCTCAGCAACCAAAGGAGCCATGGTGAAGTTTACAGTAACCCAAGAACAAACAGATAGCTGTTTGGAGACCACCAGCATCAGGGAGAACCAAGTCCAATCATGAGGGCCCCTTCCTACCACCATGAGGCAGGCAGGCAAGTACATCACATTTTGGTCTCCGTAATCCTTCCTCCCCCCAACTCCAGCCTTAAGATGAAAGGAGAGAAGGTGTTACAAAGACAGACAACCCTGCTACGAGCCCCTGGAGTTGGCATCCAGTCCGTGATTGAGATGGTCATAGGAGTAGGGATGGGTGGAGATTTTGCATCAGATATGAGCCGAGAAGTATGAAGGGTATGATTTTACCCAACTTACTAGCCTACTATGATTTCATATCTGCTAGCAGAAGATGTCAGACTCCTGGGTCAGAAACAAGTGGCTTTTCATACTCACAGCATGATGAAAGCATGAGCCTCAGGGTATTTGTTGGTTTTTCTTGTTCCCAAGTCCCATGAGGGTGATTTCATGGGCTGAGATAACACAAACACTGGCAGTGGGTTTTGTTCCAGGAGAAGCCAGGGCCAAGAGCCCAGTGCTTTTTGATCAAGCAGCACACATCGTAGCAAACCGCAGGCAAGCTGGTTCCCCTGGCCTCAAGAATGAGCAGTTAGGTGGTGGTCATCCGCTCTGGGATGAGGATGAGGCAAGGGATGGTGCCCAAGGCAGACAACATAAGGTGGTACTCACTCTCAGGTTTGTGCAAATGCAGAATTGGCACCTGAGAAGGAGAGCTTCCTTAAATCTTATGCCCTGGGGGACTTGCTTGCCCTACCCTCTTCCTAGCTCTGCTTGTCCTACTGGACTTCCCACTGACTTACTGACTTATTCAGCTGCCTGTGAGACTAGCTACAGAATTTTCTGTGTCAAAGGACATGTAGTCCTGGCAGTCCAGTCCACTTAGCAGGAACATGTCGGGGCTCTCCGGGCCCAAAGCGCCTATCCTAACAATGAGATTGAAGCCCAAAGCTGAGCTGTTTTAATAATTTAATAACCCATGGGCCAGATGCAGCCCAGCTCCTGGTTCTGACATTTTTAGAGGATTGTAAAATAAACAAGAATATGCAATAGAGATCATATGTAGCCCACAAAGCTTAAAATGTTTACTATCTAGCTCTTTACAGAAAAACTTTGCTGACCCCTATAACAACTGAAAGGCATTTAATCTGTGCATATTTTTAAAAGATGAGAGGGAGGCTCAATGTAGTACAGCTTGAGGCAGTCATTTGAAAAAAAAAAAAAAAAAGATTATTTTACATTTATTTCCCCAAAGAGGTGAGTATCTTCAATAAAACTGTTATGCAGATGAAAGGCATTAGTGCTCTTTCACCCAACTTTAGTTAAAGCCAAAAAGAATGCATCAGTTCCTATAGATAAATTGCAGAAAGGGCAGACATAGAACCTGCCCCAGGGTCCACTGGATCTACAGATGTAAAGGCCATTGGAGCTTGTGCACATGTTGGCTTCATTTTTGCCTCTATAGATTACTGTGGAAGGGCTTTTCCCAAGTGGTGGGGACCAATGCTCAGGCCATCTACGGCTGCAATCTGGGAGGCAACAGGAGGCCCACTTCTAAGCTACAGGTTGGCCATTGTCCAACCCTGCCCAGCAATGTGGCTGGGATGCAGAGGGGCTCTGGGATTAACCTAACCATGTGCCCATCTCTGGAGCCGGGAAGAGGCAAGAACTTTTTACCAGAGAGCAGTGAGGAGCAGTGCACAGACGCGACCCTGTGTGTACACGCTGGGGACAAACTGGGGCAGCTGCCAGCGATCACCCAGGGTCACATCTGTGCCACTGCTCCTCATTGCTCTCTGGTAAAAGGATAAGCATCCTTTAGTTAGGAATAATGTGAGATTCTTAGGCCCTGTCTTCTATATCTGCAGTCAAGGATCTTCACCTATATGATTTTCCTGGGTTTAGAATTAGTTGCTATGTGTCTGACTGATGCATTAGATTGGCCTCTCTCCCTTGTTTCTATAGTAGTATCACTTTGTTTGGAGGTGTGTTTTGCTGTGACTATGCCTTGCAGTACTTCCTCTTTTAGGTGGGCTGACCCCAGAATAGTTTTTTAGGGGCATCTTTGTTATTTCTTAGTTTTATTTTTTGAGACAATGTCTCATTCTGTCACCCAGGCTGGAGTGCAGTGGCATGATCTCAGCTCACTGCAACCTCTACCTCCTGAGTTCAAGCGTTTCTTCTGCTTAAGCATCCCGAGTACCTAGGATTACAGGCACCCATCACCACGCCAGGCTAATTTTTGTATTTTTAGTAGAGATGGGGTTTCACCATGTTGGCCAGGCTACTGTCAAACTCCTAACCTCAAGTGATCTGCCTGCCTTGGCTTCCCAAAGTGTTGGGAGTACAGGCGTGCGCCATCACGCCCAGCCTTAGGGGCATCTTTGATTAATTGTCCTCTTATGGTCAGAATCTCATCGTGTCCATATGCATGGCCCAGCCAGATAATTCAATGGCAAACAGTATGTTCCTGATTCTAGACTCTCTGCGTCCTATCATCACAGTGAGGCTTATGTTTTGCGAATTAACTTCTAGTGTGGGTTTTAGATGATGTTCATGAAAAAAGTGAAATGTGACAGCCTTATAATCCATAAAGAAGCCTGAAAAAACAAACCCTCTAGAGGGTTGACTATATTTGGGAGTTAATGCCAAGTTGATCCTGGAGCCCTAAAAAACTTGCACTGCCCCTTCCTCAGGGAGGAAGCTTGCACTGGGTCCTTCACATTCCTGAGGTCTAAGCAGCTACAGCAAGGTGTCATTTTATTATTTTGTTTTGGGGATTCCCTCCTTTTTAAATATATTTTTTATTGCTCAATTGATTACTTTTTTCCCACTCTTTCAATTTCTTTCTTTTTTTTTTTTTTTTTTTTTTGAGAGAGGGTCTCACTCTGTCACCCAGGCTGGAGTGCAGTGGCTTGATCTTGGCTCACTGCAACCTCCACCTCCCCAGCTCAAGCCATCCTCCTGCCTCAGCCTCCCAAGTAGCTGGGACTACAGGTGCGCACCACCACACCTGGCTAATTTTTGTATTTTTTTGTAGAGACAGGGTTTCATCTTGTTGCTCAGGCTGGTCTCGAACTCCTGAGCTCAAGCAATCCACCTACCTTGGCCTCCAAAAGTGCTGGGATTACAGGTGTGAGCCACTGTGCCCAGCCTCAATTTTTTAAAATGAAGGGTTAAATGTTAAATTGTGTCTAAATTTACAGAGTACAAGTGCAATTTTGTTAAATGGATATACTGCACAGTGGTGAAGTCTGGGCTTTTAGCATAACTGTCACTTGAACAGTGTACATTGTACCCACTAACTAACTTTTCATCTCTCACCTCCTCCCGCCCTTCCACCCTTCCAAGACTCCAATGTCTATTATTCCACACTTTATGTCCATGTATACATATTATTTAGCTCCCACTTGCAAGTGAGAACATGTAGTATTTGGCTTTCTGTTTCTGAGATTTTTCACTTAAGATAATGGCCTCCAGTTCCATCCATGTTGCTGCAAAATACATGATTTATTTTTTTTAAATGACTGAATAGTATTTCATTGTGTGTGTATATAATAAATACACGTGTATTTCTTTTTAGTAATTTTTTAATTTTTATTTTTTTAAGATGGGGATCTCATTCTGTTGCCCAGGTTGGAGTGCAGTGGTGTGGTCACAGCTCACTACAGCCTCGACCTCCTGGGCTCAAGTAGTTCTCCCACCTCAAGCCTCTCAAGTAGCTGGGACTACAGGTATGTGCCACCACACCTGGCTAATTTTTTAATTTTTTATTTTTTGTAGAGATGGGGATCCCACTATGTTGTCCAGGCTGATCTCGAACCCCTGGACTCAAGTGACCCTCCTGCCTTGGCCTCCCAAAGTGCTGGGGTTACAAGTGTGCCCGGCATAGTTCTTCCTCTTTCTCTTCTTCTTTCTTCTTTCTTCCCTCTCCCTCTCCCCTCCCCTCCCCCTCCTTTTCCATCTCCTCCTCCTCCTCCTTCTTCCCCTTCCCCTGCCTCCTTCTCCTTCTCCTCCTCCTCCTCTTCTTCTTCCTCTTCTTCTTCTTCTTCTTCCTCTCCCTCTCCCTCTCCCTCTCCTTCTCCTTCTCCTTCCCCTTCTTCTTGTCTCATTCTGTCACCCAGGCTGAAGTGCAACCTTTGCATAGTTCTTCTTCCTCTTCCTCCTCTTCTTTCTTCTCTCTTCCCCCTTCCCCTGCACCTTCCTCCTCCTCCCCCTCACCTCACCCTCCCCCTTCTCCTCCTTCTTCTTCTTCTTTCTCTTCTCCCTCTTCCCCTTCTTCCCTTTCTTCTCCTCTTCCTCCTCCTTCTTCTCCTTCTTCTTCTCCTTCTCCTTCTCCTTCTTCTTCTTCTTTCTCCTCCTCCTCCTCCTCCCTCTTCTTCTTCTTCTTCTTCTTCTTCTTCTTCTTCTTCTTCTTCTTTCTTCTTCTTCTTCTTTTTCCTCCTTCTCCTCCTCCTCCTCCTCCACAGAGTCTCATTCTGTCACCCAGGCTGGAGTGCAACCTTTGCCTCTTAGGCTCAAGTGATCCTTCTGCCTAAGCCAACTGAGTAGCTAGGATTACAGGGTTTCACCATGTTGGCCAGGCTGGTCTTGAACTTCTGATCTCAAGTGATCCACCTGCCTCAGCCTCCCAAAGTGCTGTGATTAAAGGCATGAGCCACTGTACCGAGCTGCCTGGCATATTTCTTTATCCAGTAATTTATTGATGGACTGTTAGGTGGATTGCGTATCTTTGCTGTTGCAAATAGTACTGATACACATACAAATACAGGTAGCTTTTTGATATAATGATTTTCCATTGGCTAGTGTGATTGCTGGATCAAATAGTAGTTCTATTTTTATTTTTATTTTCAGAAATCTCCATACTGCTTTTGATAGAGATTGTACTAATTTACATTCCCACCAACAGTCTATAAGTGTTCCCTTTACTCCACATCCTCACTGATATGGTTTGGCTCTGTCCCCACCCAAATCTCAATTTGAATCGTATCTCTCAGAATTCCCACATGTTGTGGGAGGGACCAAGGGGGAGGTAATTAAGTCATGGTGGCTGGTCTTTCCCATGCTATTCTCGTGATAGTGAATAAGTCTCATGACATCTGATGGGTTTATCAGGGTTTCTGCTTTTGTTTCTTCCTGATTTTTCTCTTGCTGCCACCATGTAAGAAGTGCCTTTCACCTCCCACCATGATTCTGAGGTCTTCCCAGCCATGTGGAACTGCAAGTCCAATTCAACTTATTTTTCTTCCCAGTCTTCAGTATGTCATTATCAGCAGCATGAAAACGGACTAATACACTTGCCAACATTTGTTATTTCTCAACTTTTTAATAATGGTCATTCTCACTGATGTACGATGATATCTCTTTGTGGTTGAAATTTGTATTCCTCTGATGGTTAGTGGTGTTGAGTATTTTTTCATATGTATGTTGGCTATTTGTGTGTCTTCTTTTGAAAAATGTTTATTCATGTCCTTTGCCCACTTTTAATGGGGTTACTTGTTTTTTTGTTGTTATTGAGTTGAGTATATTCTGAATATTAGTCCTCTATTGAATGCAAAGTTCTTCCATTCTGCATGTCGTCTGTTCACTCTGTTGACAGTTTCTTTTGCTGTGTAGAAGCTCTTTAGTTTAATCAAGTCCCATTTGTCCCTTGTTTTTATTGTTTATTCTTTTGAGGTCTTAGGCACTCTAAGACCTCCAAACGCAATTCTTTTGAGCTCTTAGGCACTCTAAGACCTCCAAAGGCAATTCTTTGCCTAGACCAATGTCCAGAAAAGTTTTCCCCTAGTATTTTTAAATAATTTCAGGTCTTACATTTAAGTCTTTAATCCGTCTTGAGTAGATTTTTGTATATGGTGACAGGGATTTAGTTTAATTCTTCTGCATATGGATATCCAATTTTCTCAGCACCATTTATTGAAGAGGGTGTTCTTTCCCCGGTGTGTGTTCTTGGCACCTTTGTCTAAAATCAGTTGGCTGTAAATATGTGGCTTTATTTCTGGGTTCTCTATTCTATTCCGTTGATCTATGTGTCTATTTTTATGCCAGTACTATGCTGTTTGGGTTGCTATATCCTTGGAGTATAATTTGAGGTTGGGTAATGTGATGCCTCTAGCTTTGTTCTTTTTGTTCAAGATTACTTTAGCTATTTGGACTCTTTTCTGATTCCATGTGAATTTTAGGATTGTTATTTCTAATTCTATGAAAAATGACATTGGGCGGGGCACCGTGGCTCATGCCTGTAATCCCAGCACTTTGGGAGGCCAAGGCGGGTGGATCACCTAAGGTCAAGGGTTCAAGACCAGCCTGGCCAACGTGGTGAAACCCCGTCTTTACTAAAAATACAAAAAAAAAAAACTAGGCAGGTGTGATGGTGGGCCTCTGTAATCCCAGCTACTTGGGAGGCTGAGGCAGGAGAATCACTTGAACCCTGGAGGTGGAGGTTGCAGTGAGCTGAGATTGCACCACTGCGCTCCATCCTGGGTGACAAGAGCAAAACTACGTCTCAAAAAAAATAAATAAATAAAAAATAAAAAAAAGAAAAATGACATTGGTATTTTGATGGGGATTGCATCGAATCTATAGATTGCTTTGGGCAGTATGGTCATTGAAATGATATTAATTATTCTAATTATGAGCATGGGATTTTTTTTTCCAATTAAAATTTGAGATTTTTAAATTATACTTAAGTTCTGGGATACATGTGCAGAACGTGCAGATTTGTTACATAGGTATACATGTGCCATGGTGGTTTGCTGCACCCATCAACCCGTCATCTACATGAGGTATTTCTCCTAATGCTACCCCTCCCCTTTCCCCCTACCCCCTGACAGGCCCCAGTGTGTGATGTTCGCCTCCCTGTGCCCATGTTCTCACTGTTCAACTCCCACTTATGAATGAGAACAGAGCATGGGATGTTTTTTGCGAGGTACCATTTTAGAATGCTATCCTCAGTAGATTGCCTGGAGCCCAGTGGTGCTGGGCTAAAGTGCGAGAGAAACACAGGCTGTGGCTTTGGGGCTTAGGTGCAAGCAACTGTAGCTACTGCACTGGGGGTGAAGACATGGCTGAGGTGTGCAGCTGCCTTTAGGACTGAGGTGCAAGTGAGGTGCCATTTTAGAGCCCCATCCCCAACAAACTTCACTGTTCTGGAGCCCACTGGTGCTGGGACTGAGGCGTACAAGAAGAACTGGCTGTTAACCCTTGTGCTTAGGTACAAGCAACTGTGGGCTGCTGCACCAGGGGCTGAGGCATGAATGGCATGTATGCTCCCCAGCTGCTGGCCTAGGCTGCTATCACCAAAGGTAGCACTCCCTTACACCCTGTGGCAGAGCAACAGCAGAGCTGCTGCTGTCTGCCACCCGAGCATTCTGCTGGTGGCTTAGAGATTGCCTTGTCGTTATCTACCACATCCAGCTCCTGTACGCATGATTGGGGGTTTTGAGAACAAGTCATCCCACCTCATACCAGAGCACCCAATCAAAGCCAGGTTATTACCCAGCCCAGCCCACCATCATTGGTACCTGAACACTCCCCTGAGGGTCTGAGATTGGGCCTACACACCTGGCCACTAAAATCACAGCTGGCACTTACCTGCATGTGCCACCTGTGGGCCTGGAGACTGGCTTGCCCAGCCCATTGCAGCCACCACCAACATCAGTGCACACTGCATGGCATTAGACCTGGAGGGTCATCCTGTCACTGCCACAACCCCCACCACACTGCCTGCCCAGGGGCCTGAGAACCTGCCTACCTGCCTGGTCCATGGATGCCACCACCAGCATCTGAGTAAGCCATGTGGAGGCCCCAAAATTGATCCACATGTACCTGCTACACTGGTGCCAGCATATGCCACCAAAGGACAGGCGTGCTCAGCCCATGGCTCCCACCACTAGAGCCCAAAGACTGGGCTACCTGACATCCCAGTCCCTAGTAAAACTGTACACAGCCTCCACAAATACCACACTATAAGCCACCAAAGAAATCTTGGTTACCCCTGATACTGTTTACAGCAAAAGAAATCATACAGAGACTACATTATTGCACAGACCCAGAATAAAAGTCAAAGTGTTTTACCCAGCTGACATTATGGATTCATCCTCAGGAGAAAGTCCTCCCCTATGAAAGCAAATTCAAAAACCTGGAAGAAGCAGCTAATAAGCCAGATGTGCAGATATTAACATAAGGATACAGGAAGCATGAAGAGCAAGAAAGTGTGATAACTCCAAAGGAACACAGTAGTTCTCCAGGAATATATCCAAATCAAAAAGAAATTCATGAAAGCCTGTAAAAAGAATTAAAATTATTGATTCTAAAGAAGCTCAGTGAGATACAAGAGACTCTCAGGTGCAAGCAACCATAAGCCATTGCACCAGGGGCTGAGGCACAAGGCTAGACCAGCAGGTGGCTTGCACCTAACTGAAAAAACAATACAAATACAAATAAATCAGAAAAACAATTCAGGATATAAATAAGAAATTTACCAAGGAGATAGATATCATAAAAGAGAACCAAACAGAAAATCTGGAACTGAAGAATTCATTTAATTAATCACAAAATACATTTGAAAGCTTCAACAACAGAGTAGATCAAACAGAAGAAAGAATCACTGGGCACGGTGCCTCATACCTGTATTCCCAACCTTTGGGAGGCCGAGGTGGGAGGATCATTTGAGCCCAGGAGTTTAAGGCTGCAGTGCACTCTAGCCTGGGTGACAGGTGAGTCCTGTCTCCAAAAAAGAAAAAAAAAAAAAAAAAAAAGAGAAAAGAATCTTAGAACTTAAAGACAGATCTTTTGAAATACCCTAGTCAGAGAAAAATAAAGAAAAATAATAAAAAGGAATGAACAAAGCCTTCTTGATACATGGGAGACCATAAAGTGACCAAATAAAGAAATTATTGGTATCCTGGAAGGCGAAGAGAGAATGAAAGCATTCAAATATCAATGTGATGAAATAATAGATGTAAACTTCCCAAGTATAGCAAGAGATTTAGACATCCAGAAACAGGAGGCCCAGTAATCCCCAAACAGATACAATGCAAAAGATCTCTACAGCACATTATAGTCAAAATGTTGAAAGTCAACGACAAATTCTAAAAACAGCAAGAGAAAAGTGTCTAGTTACCTTTAAAGGAACCCCCATCAGGCAAACAGATTAATAGCAGGTTTCTCAGCAGAAATGTTATAGGCCTGGAGAGAAAAGGATAATGTATTTGAAGTGCTGAAAGAAAACAACTGCCAGCCAAGATAACATATACAGCAAAATTATCCTTTATAAATGAAGGAGAAAAAGTCTTTCTTACACAAATAAAAGTAGGAGAATTCATCACTAGCCCTGCAAAAATGCTCAAGGGATTCCTAAACCTGGAAGCAAAAGGATGACATTTACCATCATGAAAACACACAAAAGTATACAACTCACTAGCAAAGCAAACACATACATGAGAAAGAGAAGGACTCAAATGGTACCACTATAGATAACCACCAAACCAATAAGAGAAAAAGAAAGGAACAAAGAATGTACAAAACAACCAGTGAATAATAAAAAATATAACAGAAAAAAACCTCACATAACAATAATAATCTTGAATATAAATGGATTATATTCTTCACTTAAAAGATATACACTGGCTGAGTGGATTAAAACAATGATCCAACTATACACTGTTTAGAAGAAATTGATTTTACTTGTAGAGATATGTATAGACTGAAAGTAAACAGATGGAAAAAGGTATTCTATGCAAGCAGAAACCAAAAGCAAGCAATAGTAAGTATACTTATATCAGGTAAACAAGACATTAAGCTAAAATAGTAAAACAGACAAAGAAGGTCATTATATAATGACAAAGGGATCAATTCACCAGAAGGAAATAACAAGCAAAATATATATGCACCCAACAATGGAGCACCCAGATTCATAAAGCAAATATTACCAGATCTAAAGAGAGAGACTCCCGTACAATAATAGTGGGAGACTTCAACACCCCACTTTCATCATTAGACAGATCATCCAGGCAGAAAATCAACAAAAAGCAATGGATTTAAACTGGACTTTGGACCAAATGGTTCTAAACAGACATTTACAGAACATTTTATTTAACAACTGCTAAATACACATTCTTTTCATCAGCACATGGAACACTCTCTAGGATAGACCATATGTCAGGCCACAAAACAAGTCTTAACAAATTTAGAAAAACTGAAATCATATCAAGTATCTTCTTAGACACAGTGGGATAAAACTAGAAATCAATACCAAGAGAAACTTTGGAAACTATACAAATACATGGAAATTGAACACATGCCCGTGAATGAACATTGAGTCAATAAAGGAATTAAAATGAAAATAAAAAAATTTCTTGAAAATGAAAATCAATAGACTATAATCTGTGCAATACAGCAAAGGTAGTACTAAGAGGATAGTTTATAGCAATAAACATCTATATCAAAAAGTAAAAAGATTTCAGATACACAATCTAATAATGCATCTTAGAAACTAGAAAAGCAAACAGACCAAATCCAAAATTGGAAGGAAAGCAATAATAAAGATCAGAACTAAATAAAATGGAGACTTAAAAAAATTTCAAAGAATCAATGAAAAAAAGCTGATTCTTTGAAAAGATAAATAAAATTGATAAACTGCTAGCTACACAAACCAAGGAAAGAAGAGAGAAGACCCAATAAGCAAAATCAGAAATGGAAAAGGAGACATTACAATTGGCACTATGGAAATACAAAAGATCACCAGATACTATTATGAACATCTGTACACTAAGAAACTGGAAAACCTAGAGAAAATGGTTAAATTCCTTGAAACGTATAACCTACCCAGATTGAATGAGGAAAACATAGAAAACCCGAGCAAACTAATTATGAGTAGTGAGATTGAATCAGTAATAGAAAGTCTCCCAGCAAAGAAAAACCTAGGGCAGGATGAATTTACTGCCAAATTCTACCAAACATAGAGAACTAATATCAGTCCTCCTAAAATTATTCCAAAAAATTGAAGAATAGAAAATTCTTCCTAAGTTATTCTGTGAGGCCAGCATTACCCTGATACCAAACCAGAGAAGGATACAACAAAGAAAGAAAACTACAGGCCAATATCACTGATGAACATAGATACAAAAATCCTAAAAAAATACTGTCAAATCGGCCAGGCACAGTGGCTCACACCTGTAATCCCAGCACTTTGGGAGGCCAAGGCGGGCAGATCGCTTGAGGCCAGGAGTTTGAGACCAGCCTGGCCAACATGGTGAAACCCCGTCTCTAGTAAAAATACAAAAATTAGCCGGGTGTGGTGGTGCATGCCTGTAATCCCAGCTACTTGGGAGGCTGAGGCAGGAGAATCACTTGAACCCAGGAGGCAGAGGTTGCAGTGAGCCTAGATTATGCCACTTCACTCCAGCCTGGGTGACAGCGAGACTCTCTCAAAACAAAACAAAAACACAAGAAACCAAAAACAAGCTGTCAAACCAAATTCAACCGCATATAAAAAGATAATGCATCGAGACAATTTGGGATTTATGCCAGGGATGCAAAGATGGCTTAACATATACAAATCACTATTTTTTATTTTTAGATTTTTAATTAAAAACTTTTTTTAGAGAGGATCTCTCTCTCTCGCCCAGGCTGGAGTGGAATGGCATGATCATGGCTCACTTTAGCCTCAACCTCTTGAGCTCAAGTGATCCTTCTGCCTCAGTCTCCTGAGTAGCTGAGACTACAGATGCACACCACCATGCCCAACTAAATAAAAAAAAATGTAGAGACAGGTTCTTGCTCTGTTGCCTAGGCTGGTCTTGAACTCCAGGACTCAAGAATTCCTCCTATCTTAGCCGCCTAAGGTGCTGGGTGTGAGCTACCGTGCCCAGGTGCAAATAAATAAACGTGACACATCACATCAACAGAATCAAGGAAAAACTATATAATCATTTCAATAGATGCAGAAAAGCATTTAGTAAAATTCAACATTATTTCATGATAAAATGCTCAACAATGTAGATATAGGAGGAACATACCTCAAATAATAAAGACCATGTATTACAAACCCACAGCTAATGTCTTAGTGAATGGGGAAAAGTTGAAAGCCTTTCTTCTAAGAACTGGAACAAGACAAAGATGCTTACTTTCACCACCCCTGTTCAACATAGTTCTGGAAGTCTTAGCCAGAGCAATCAGCAAGAGGAAGAAATAAAAGGCATCTATGTTAGTCCATTCTTTCATTGCTATAAAGAAATACCTGAGGCTGGGTAATTGATAAAGAAAAGAGGTTTGATTGTCTCATGGTTTGCAATCTGTACAGGAAGCATGTTGCCAACATCTGCTCCTGGTGAGGGTCTCAGGAAGCTTTCAATAGTGGTAGAAGGCGAAGCGGGAGCAGACGTATCACATGGTGAGACAGGAAGCAAGAAGAGGAGGGAGATCCCAGGTTTCTAAGCAACCAGATCTCATGTGAACTCACTGAGCAAGAACTCACTCATCACCAAGGGGATGGTGCTAAGCCATTCATGAGGGATCTGCCTCCATGATCCAGACACCTTCCACCAGGCCCCACCTCCAAAATTAGGGATTATATTTCAACATTAGATTTGGACAAACATCCAAACCATATCAGCATCCAAATTGGGAAAAGAGGAAATCAGCCAGGTGCAGTGGCTCATGCCTATAATCCCAGCACTTTGGGAGGCTGAGGTGGGCAGATCATGAGGTCAGGAGATCAAGACCATCCTGGCTAACACGATGAAACCCCGTCTCTACTAAAAATACAAAAAATTTGCCAGGCGTGGAGGTGTGTGCCTGTAGTCCCAGTTAATGGGGAGGCTGAGGCAGGAGAATCACTTGAACCCAGGAGGCAGAGGTTGCAGTGAGCCACGATCATGCCACTGCACTCTACCCTGGGCAACAGAGTGAGACTCTGTCTCAAAAAAAAAAAAAAAAAAAAAAAAAAAGAAATCAAATTGCCCCTCTTTGTGGATGACATGATCTTATATTCAGAAAAACCGAAAGATTCCACCAAAAACCTCTTAGAACTGATGAACAAATACAGAAAAGTTTCAGTACACAAAATCAACATATAGTGTGTCAGTAATTTCAGTTACTTGGGAGGCTGAAGTGAGAGAATCGCTTGAGGCTAGGAGTTGCAGATGAAGTCAACATTACAAAAATCAATAGCATTTCTTTATTTTTAAAATTCTAAAAAATCCAATGGTTGTTTTAGAGACATCAGTAGTACTTCTATACACCAATAATGAAATAGCCAAAAAAGGAATCAAGAAGGCAATCTCATTTACAATAGCTACAAAAAAAGCCTAAAAGTAAATTTAACCAAGAAGGTGAAAGCCCTCTACAAGGAGAACAACAAAACACTGATGAAAGAAATTAAAGAGGACACAAGCAAATGGAAAGACATTCCATGTTCGTGGACTGGAAATTACCACATTGACCAATTAATAAAATGACTATATTGCCTAAAACAATCTACAGATTCAATGCAATCCCTATGAAAATACCAAAGTTACTTTTCACCGAATTAGAAAAAAATAATTAGAAAATTCATGTGGAACAACAACAACAGAAAGAGCCCAAATAACTAAAGCAATCCTGAGCAAAAAGAACAAAGCTGGAACATCATACCACCTGACTTCAAAAATATATTACAAGGCTACAGTAACCAAAACAGCATGTTATTGGTATAAAAATAGATACACAGATCAATGGAGCAGAATAGAGAACCCAGAAATAAAGCCACATATTTACAGCCAACTGATCTTTGACAAAAGCACCAGGAACATGCACTGGGGAAATGACACCCTCTTCAATAAATGGTGCTGGAAAAAATGGATATCCATATGCAAATGAATAAAGCTAGACCCCTCTCATCACATACGAAAAAATCTACCAAGATGGATTTAAGACTTAAACATAAGACTTGAATCTATAAAACGAATAGAAGAAAACATAGGGAAAGTACTTCAGGATACTGGCCTATGCAAAGATTTTGTGATTAAGACAAAAAAAAGACAAAACACAGACAACTAAAACAAAAATAGACAAATGGGACTTAATTAAACTAAAAAGCTTCTGCCAGCAAAGGAAACAGTCATAGAATGAACAACCTGTAGAATGGGAGAAAATATTTGCAAACTGTTCATCTGATAAGGGACTAATATCCAGAATATACAAGGAATTCAAGAAACTCAATAATAATAATATCCCATTAAAAACTGGGCAAATACATGAATAGATAATTCTCAAAAGAAGACATACAAATGGACAACAGGTATATGAAAAAATGTTCAACATCACTAGTCATCAGGGAAATTCAAATCAAAGCCACCATGAGATACCAGCTTATCCTGTTAGAATGGCTATTACTAAAAAGTAAAAAAATAATAGATGATGGTGAGGATGTGGAGAAAAGGGCATTCTCATACACTGTTAGTGGGGATGTAAATTAGTACAACCTCTATGATAAGCAGTATGGAAATTTCTCAGCAAACTAAAAATAGAACTACCATAGGTTCCATTAATCCCACTCCTGGATACCTACCCAAAGGAAAAGAAATTAGTATATCAAAGGGACGTGTTTATTGCAATACTATTCACAATAGCAAAGATATGTAATCAACTTAACTGTCCATCAATGGATAACTGGATAAAGTAAATGTGGTATATATACACAATGAAATACTATTAAACCATGAAAAAATCATGAAATAAGGCTGGGCTTGGTGGCTCACACCTGTAATCCCAGCACTTTGGGAGGCCGAATTGGGAGGCTCACTTGAGCCTGGGAGTTTGAGACCAGCCTGGCCAACATGGTGAAACCCCATCTCTACTAAAAATACAAAACTTAGCCAGATGTGGTGGTGGGCGCCTGTAGTCCCAGCTACTGCGGAGACCAAGAAGCACAATAATTGCTTGAGCCTAGGAGGTGGAGCTTGCAGTGAGCCAAGATTGTGCCACTGCACTTCAGCCTGGGCAAAAGAGCAAGACGCTGTCTCAAAAAAAAAGAAATCATGTCATTTGCAGCAACATGGTGGAACTGGAGGTCATTATGTTGAATGAAATAAGCCAGGCCTAGAAAGACAAATATTGCATGTTCTCATTTGTGGGAGCTAAAATAGTTGATCTCATAAAGATAGACAGTAGAATGGTAGGTTTCAAAGGTGGGTGGGTGTGGTTGGGGTATGAAAAGAGGTAAGTTAAGGGGTACACAAATACAGTTAGATAAAAGGTAGAAGTTCTATTGTTCCACAGCAGAGAAGAGTGATTATCATTAACATCAATGTATTGTATACTTCAAAGTGGCTAGAAGAGAGGACTTGAGTTCTTTCCAATATGTAGAAATGATAAATGCTCAGAGTGATGGACGACACCTCAATACCCTCACCTGACCTGATAATTACACATTCTATGCATGTTACAAAATATCACATGTACCCCATTGATTTTTAAATATTATATATCAATAAAAAAATAAGCCGGGCATGGTGGCTCACACCTTCAATCCTAGCACTTTGGGAGGTCTGGGCGGGAGAATCACTTGAGCCCAGAGTTCAGGACCAGCCTGGGCAACATGGCGAAACCCTGTCTCTACAAAAAATTAGCCAGGCATGGTGGAGTGAGCCTGTAATCCCAGCTACTTGAGAGACTGAAGTGGGAAGATCGCCTGAGCCTGGAGGTCGAGGCTGCAGTGAGCGAAGATTGTGCCACTGCACTCTAGCCTGGGTGACACAGTGAGACTCTGTTTCAAAAAACAAAAATAAAATAAATAAGCCAGGTACAGCCAGTACCTGTAATGCCAGCTACCTAGTAGGTTGAGGCAGGAGGATTGCTTGAGCCCAGAAGTTGGAAACTGCAGTGAGCTATGATCATGCCACTGCATGGGCGACACAGCCTGGGCCACACAGTGAGATCCTATCTCTAAAACAAACAAACAAATAAACAAGTTAGAAATAAATACAGCATTTAAATTATTAGCATTATGAAATTTAAATATATAGTCTCATTATGTAAACATGTAATATTATTTAACACTGAGTCAGTAGGATTGGAACAGCAGAGAAGGACATATACTCCTGCTTCACTAAACCTGTGCCTTTGAAGGAGAATGCTTCCTATTTGGCTGATGACTTTTTTGTAATTTCTCAAATTTTTCTCAGAGTTCTAGTGTGGCTTTTTAAATTCTTGTTGAGAAAAAAATAATTCTTCTTGGCCATCTCACTAAGTTCTTTCAGCCTCCTAATCTATGATTTGTAGAATGAAGTCCATTCCGACATTGAAGACGTTCTTTTTTTTTTTTTTAATACTTTAAGTTTTAGGGTACATGTGCAGGTTTGTTACATATGTATACATGTGCCATGTTGGTGTGCTGCACCCATTAACTCGTCATTTAACATTAGGTGTATCTCCTAATGCTATCCCTCCCCCATCCCCCCACCCCACAACAGGCCCCGGTGTATGATGTTCCCCTTCCTGTGTCCATGTGTTCTCATTGTTCGATTCCCACCTATGAGTGAGAACATGCGGTGTTTGGTTTTCTGTCCTTGCGATAGTTTGCTGAGAATGATGGTTTCCAGCTTCATCCATGTCCCTACAAAGGACATGAACTCATCACTTTTTATGGCTGCACAGTATTCCATGGTGTATATGCGCCACATTTTCCTAATCCAGTCTATCATTGTTGGACATTTGGGTTGGTTCCAAGTCTTTGCTATTGTGAATAGTGCCGCAATAAACATATGTGTGCATGTGTCTTTATAGCAGCATGATTTATAATCCTTTGGGTATATACCCAGTAATGGGATGGCTGGGTCAGATGGTATCTCTAGTTCTAGATCCCTGAGGAATCACCACACTGTCTTCCACAATGGTTGAACTAGTTTACAGTCCCACCAACAGTGTAAAAGTGTTCCTATTTCTCCACATCCTCTCCAGCACCTGTTGTTTCCTGACTTTTTAATGATTGCAGTTCTAACTGGTGTGAGATGGTATCTCATTGTGGTTTTGATTTGCATAGACATTCTTTTTATACCTTCTAACTTCGTGTTCCAGCCACAGAGCTGCCATCTGGGCATTTCTTCTCATTGCACTCCCTGGGTTGGTGTCATTTTTTTCAGATGCTATGTAATTTTTCCAGAAGGGTGTGTCAAAATAGTACTTTTATATCTATAAAGCGTTTTTTCCTCACACTTGATTTTGTTGCTGCTGTGAACGGTAGCTTACTTTCAGTTATCTTTTCTAAATGATGAGTGCAGAACAACACTATTGATAAGTTGATCTTTTAGTTGGGAACTTTGCTCAACTCTCTTATTAGGTCTAAGAGTTAACTGCTTTGGAGATAAAAGCATCTACAAATAATCAGTTTGATCTTTTTCCTTCCAGTCCTTATTTTTTTTTTGTCGCATTGGTCAGAACGTCCAGTACTATGTAGGATAGAATTGTAGGTCCATACGATTTTTTTTCTTCCTAATTTTAAAGACATTGTCTTCTAATATTCAGGGACCCTGTTGAGAAATCTAATATTACGTAAAATTCCATTCTTCTGTAGGGAAACTGTTTTTAGTCTAGAAGCTTTAGGATATTCACCTTTTCCTTGGAGTCCTGTAGTTCTATAAGGATACACTTAGGTATAAATCTTTTTATTTATCCTAACGGCATTTTGTGCTGTACACTTACATCTTTTTAGCTCTAAGAATTTTCTTCTATTTTCTCCCAGTTAGTTGTCTCTTTTTTCCTCCTGTAATGACTATTTGACTAATATTAGGCTTCCTCAGTTGATCTCCATTCTCCAACTTTTTTCTTGTATTTTCCATGGTTTCATCTTTCTGGTTTACATTCTGAGACATTTTCCCAACTTTCTCTTCTAGGCCTTTTATTGAAATTTTAATTGAGGAAACGATACTTTTGATTTTAAGGAATCTTTCTGGCACTTAGTCCTGTTTTTTAGAGGGGCATATCTCACCTATTGTCTCAGATATTCCTAAGTATACTAATGATATCAACTTCTTTTAATTGCAAGTGATAGAAAATCACTTCCTACACTGCATAAGGAAAGAAGGAACTTAATGCTCACAAAACTAAAAAGTTCAGTAGTAGGGCTTACTTTGGGTATAGTTTAGTTTGATATAGGAGCTTAAATGATGTCACAAGGACCTGATTTCCATTTTCATCTTACCTTTGTTTGTTGTAGCTCCATTCTCACTCTCCCTTCATGGTAGCAATAGGCAGCAGCAGGCTCAACCCACACAAGCTAATATTCCATGAGAATGAGTGAAGTCCTTTTCCTAGAGTTCCCAGTAGGGGTCTCATTGCAGTGTGCTGTCTCTGACTGGACACATTCCTAAACAAATTCCAGTTGCTGTGGGAATGGAAGTGGGAAGGTGTACACTAGTGCAGCCATAGTCATCTTTCTTCCATTAGGGAAGAGCCTGTCTGACCATAGAGTTTTGGCCTAGGTTGCAGAGTAGATTCAAACACAAAGGCTGACTGTAGCAGGATACGGCCGAACAGAGCAAAATGGGGTAACCTCAGGACAGGGAGTCCTAGCCATAACACATAACAAATACTTTCTGCAATAATATAATATAGATAAATATTGGGCGTTTTGAATAAGTAGGGGCAAAAGGTAAATGAGTATTGGGCATTTTACTGAGATGGAGGGTAGTAAACTGGGGAGTGGTAAGTATGTACCTTAAAAATTGTCCAGAGGTCCCTTATATCTCACTGTTACAGATGTATGTGAGTATGTGTGGAGGGGTAGGCAGAGAAATAAACCTTTTGTGTGTGTATGTGTGTGTGTGTGTGTGTGCGTGTTTGAGACAGTGTCTTGCTCTGTTGCCCAGGCTGGAGTGCAGTGGAGCATATACAGCTCACTGCAGCCTTGATCTCCTGGGCTCAAGCCATCCTCCCACCTCAACCTCCCAAAGAGCTGAGATTACAGATGTGAGCTTCTGCATCCAGCCTAAACCCTTGATGATTAAAAGTATGTCTGTGTTTATATCTGAAATTTCACCAGTTTTTCTAGAACAGGGAGGTGCTACTGGGTGGATTGAGAAGGTTGAAAACTATTAATCACTCACATTTTATTGAGAATGGTCTTAATCAATTTTTCTATTTCTAGAAGAGATCAGCCTATGCTATACTTACACATATGGGAACATGGGAGAGAGAGAGAAGACTTTCTCAACATGACATCAAGGACTTCAAAGAGGAAGATGTCCTAGGGAAAGGGAGACTGGAAGAACTGGAACTAAGAGGAAAATGAAGACATATCCTCTACTACTTTGATGCCATTTTCTCCTTTTCTCAGAGACTGGATCTCAGCTCTATTCTTTCCTTTTCCCCCTCTTTATTCTTTTAAGTTAACGTAACAAGTAGGACTTTTAGCATAAATAACTAACATGAGTAGTTTATCAGTCCATGTCTACCCTCTACCTGCTTCTGTGAACTGTCAACACAATGTGAATTTTCCTGGTTAGTTTGTATCAAAGTCCAGAGATTAGCCTTTAGAAGCAACTATATGAGGACAAAGGATGGGATGAGTAGATTTTATTTGCTGAATAAGGTGGAAGCATCACCTCCGATGTTAATAATTTTTTTTCCTTTACTTTCCTAAGCTCACTCTGCATGTTACTTTGGTTGGAGTGTTAGTTCCAATTTAGGCAGCAGGCTTTCTTGTAACTCTTTTTATAATTCTCTCTGCTTTAATAGTTTTGGTCGCTGGAAGGATGAATTAATAAATTATTTGGAAACTGAGATATGGGCCAAACCATCTTCATTGTTAGACCTCACCTAAGGAAGCAGCAGCTAGGAAAAACTCTAGATGAAGTTTGTAGACTAGGAGTCAGCTGCTTTGATGACTGCTGGCTGGGGGATGGCAGGCTTCTGTTTCATAAAACGCACATGCTAGATGAGATCTCCAAGGTTATTACCAGCTTTGACATTTTATTTTCTGGCAGACAATGTATAGGTTCTGATGTTTACCAAGAATCAGTGCAGACAGTTCTAGTCTATTTCTTTTAAATAAATCTCTTCACCTGATAGTCACATCTCATTAGTGATGAGACCAGGCACTGTAGGCTTTACTAGGGTGCAGGGGAGAGGGGAGAGGACAGGATGAAATCCCCATTTCCTTTATATTTCTATTTATATCACATGTTCGCCATCTCTTTTTGTCTCTTTCCTCTACTAGACTGTGAGCTTCTTGGGAACAGGGGCTGTGCCTTGTTCATCTTCTTCCCCGTGTCCAGCATGGATGGTGCCTATCTAACATGGTGCTTACCAAATATCTGAATGCCTAAACTAGATAATTCCACCAACCTTCAATTCTACCGTTAAATTATAACCTTGATATAATTTGCCTTGTTTTTTCCCCATAATATTTGGAAAACCTCTTACTCAGTGTATTCTTATGCTATTTTATCTTTTTATAATTTAATTAAAAAAATTATTTTGTAAAGAAAGGGTTTGCCCAGGCTGGTCTCAAACTTCTGAGCTGAAGCAATCCTCCTGCCTGGGCTTCCCAAAGTTCTGGGATTACAGGTGTGAGCCACCACGCTGCTATTTTATCTTAATGATTAAAAAATAACTTTATGTGAGAAAGAGAACCAGTCTATTTTTCCTAGTTGCAATATCCATTTTCTTTAACTGGCATCAACAGTACTTTGGGGAAGGAGAAAATTTATGTGAGGTTACTAGATAAAATTCAGGATGTCCATTAGAAATTTGACTTTCAGATAAATAACAAGGATCTTTTTAGGGTAAATATGCCCCAATTGTTTGTTGTGTTTCTGAAATTTTAATTGAACTGGGTGTTCTATTTTTTCCCCCTAAATCTACCAATCCCAGGCTCTACTCTTGGAGTATCCAATATTCCATGTCGAAGCCTTCCAAACTTAGGTTCTAGAATATAATGGAGAAATAGAATCTTGGAGGCCAGGATCTAGCTCAGAAGACATGATCTGTTAGGCCAACACCCTTCTCTTACCACAGAACCATCTAAATTACAACCAAAGGTAAAGAAATATCCAACTGAGAGCACACAGCAGCAGCGCTCTGCTTTCCCCCCTTTTTTTTTTCTTTTTGAGATGGAGTTTCGCTCTTGTTGCCCAGGCTGGAGTGCAATGGTGTGATCTCGTCTCACTGCAACCCCCACCTCTGGGGTTCAAGCGATTCTCCGGCCTCAGTCTCCTGAGTAGCTGGGATTACAGGCGTGTGCCACCACTCTCGGCTAATTTTTTGTGTTTTTAGTAGAGATGCGGTTTCACCAAGTTGGCCAGGCTGGTCTCAAACTCCTAACCTCAGGTGATCCACCCGCCTCAGCTTCCCAAAGTGCTGAGATTACAGACGTCAGCCACTGCACCTGGCCTCCCATCTTTCTTTAAAAGGGATTTATTGTATATATTATGCCTGAGTAGCAACCCGCTCAAAGGTGGTAGTGGGACAATAGGTGTAGAAATACTGAATGGGCAGAAACTGGAAGCATTCCCTTTGAAAACTGGCACAAGACAGGGATGCCCTCTCTCACCACTCCTATTCACCATAGTGTTGGAAGTTTTGGTCAGGGCAATCAGGCAGGAGAAAGAAATAAAGGGTATTCAATTAGGAAAAGAGGAAGTCAAATTGTCCCTGTTTGCAGATGACATGATTGTATATTTAGAAAACCCCATTGTCTCAGCCCAAAATCTCCTTAAGCTGATAAGCAACTTCAGCAAAGTCTCAGGATACAAAATCAATGTGCAAAAATCACAAGCATTCTTATACACCAATAACAGACAAACAGAGAGCCAAATCACGAATGAACTCCCATTCACAATTGCTTCAAAGAGAATAAAATACCTAGGAATCCAACTTAAAAGGGATGTGAAGGACCTCTTCAAGGAGGACTACAAAACACTGCTCAATGAAATAAAAGAGGACACAAACAAATGGAAGAACATTCCATGCTCATGGATAGGAAGAATCAATATTGTGAAAATGGCCATACTGCCCAAGGTAATTTATAGATTCAGTGCCATCCCCATCAAGCTACTTTAAAGTTCAAAAAACTACTTTAAAGTTCATATGGAACCAAAAAAGAGCCCACATTGCCAAGACAATCCTAAGCCAAAAGAACAAAGCTGGAGGCTTCATGCTACCTGACTTCAAACTATACTACAAGACTACAGTAACCAAAACAGCATGGTACTGGTACCAAAACATAGATATAGACCAATGGAACAGAACAGAGCCATCAGAAATAATACCACACATCTACAACTATCTGATCTTTGACAAACCTGACAAAAACAAGAAATGGGGAAAGGATTCCCTATTTAATAAATGGTGCTGGGAAAACTGGCTAGCCATATGTAGAAAGCTGAAACTGGATCCCTTCCTTACACCTTATACAAAAATTAATTCAAGATGGATCAAAGACTTAAATGCTAGACCTAAAACCATAAAAACCCTAGAAGAAAACCTAGGCAATACCATTTAGGACATAGGCATGGGCAAGGACTTCATGTCTAAAACACCAAAAACAATGGCAACAAAAGCCAAAATTGACAAATGGGATCTAATTAAACTAAAGAGCTTCTGCACAGCAAAATAAACTACCGTCAGAGTGAACAGGCAACCTACAGAATGGGAGAAAATTTTTGCAATCTACTCATTTGACAAAGGGCTAATATCCAGAATCTACAAAGAACTCAAACAAATTTACAAGAAAAAACCCCATCAAAAAGTGGGCGAAGAATATGAACAGACACTTCTCAAAAGAAGACATTTATGCAGTCAACAGACACATCAAAAAATGCTCATCATCACTGGCCGTCAGAGAAATGCAAATCAAAACCACAATGAGATACCATCTCACACCAGTTAGAATTGCAATCATTAAAAAGTCAGGAACCAACAGGTGCTGGAGAGGATGTGGAGAAATAGGAACACTTTTACACTGTTGGTGGGACTGTAAACTAGATCAACCATTGTGGGAGACAGTGTGGCGATTCCTCAGGGATCTAGAACTAGAGATACCATTTGACCCAGCCATCCCATTACTGGGTATATACCCAAAGGATTATAAATCATGCTGCTATAAAGACACATGCACACGTATGTTTATTGCGGCACTATTCACAATAGCAAAGACTTGGAACCAACCCAAATATCCAACAATGATAGACTGGATTAGGAAAATGTGGCGCATATACACCATGGAATACTGTGCAGCCATAAAAAGTGATGAGTTCATGTCCTTTGTAGGGACATGGATGAAGCTGGAAACCATCATTCTCAGCAAACTATCGCAAGGACAGAAAACCACACACCTCATGTTCTCACTCATAGGTGGGAATTGAACAATGAGAACACATGGACACAGGAAGGGGAACATCACACATGGGGGCCTGTTGTGGGGTGGGGGGATGGGGGAGGGATAGCATTAGGAGATATACCTAATGTAAATGACGAGTTAATGGGTGCAGCACACCAACATGGCACATGTTGTAACAAACCTGCACGTTGTGCAGATGTACCCTAGAACTTAAAGTATATATAAAAAAAGAAATACAAGTCTTAGATCTTGTTCATGGGCTTCTGAAGAACAAACTTGAAGTGTCTCAAAAAGATTTAAAATTTCTCATATAGAATTGAAAATTCTTCCCAAATGGAAAATTTTTATACATTTCTGATTTATTACGGAAATAATTGAGGGGATAGGTAGACAAAATTTTTTTCCAGTTTTTTTCCTTGATTCTCTAATGCATGCATTATGACTGACAAGGATTTCTACTTTTCCCCCCCTTTATTCCTTTCTGGGTTTATTGCTGACTCTAAAACTTGGTTACTCCAAGGAGTACCTGAAGATCCAGGAACGGTTTGGAAAGTGCTGCATGAATCATTAACACTGCTTGATAGTGGGTGTGACAGCCACTTATTAAACATATCCCCTCTCATCACAGTAGCATTTGCTACTGGGACCATGTTCAGAATCTGACCAGGGATGGCCCCTTTCCCATCCTTCTCTGGTCCCAGCCTTTGCAGAGGAGAGCATCTGTGAAGTCGAGATAATGCCACCATTGTGTATTGTGCATTGTGAACACCCTTCTCTTCCCACAGAACCATCTAAATTACAACCAAAGGTAAAGCAGTGCCCTGTTTCCTATCTTTTTTTTTTTTTTTTGAGACGGAGTTTCGCTCATCTCCCAGGCTGGAGTGCAATGGTGTGATCTCGATACTTTTAGTGATTATTACATAGAGATATAATGTCTTTTGTAGTAATTATTGCTTATGCAATGGCAAAAGCATTTTGTTTTCTCTATCAAGGTTAACAGCATTTAAAAGTGAAAGGATCTTAAACCTTGTTCTTAGGATGAGGTTTAATATGTTATATGTAGCATGCTATATACATTAAGTTATGTTGTGTTCTGTCAAATAAATGACTAAGTAATCAATATGACTTTTCACATCCGGTAAAATTTTAGTGGGATTTGCCTTTGCCTTTGAGTACATTACCTAAATAATCCACGAGATGGCAGCAGAGAAATGTTCATTTAAATTTATCATCTATGGAGAGGTTGCTACAAGTGCACTTTAACAAAAAATAGACTAACCTTTGTAATTTGGTCCTTTCTAAACATAGAGTAACCAGTTAGAATTTTTAAGTCATTTCTCATGTCTTTTATAAGAGACGTAATGAGAGTTTTATTTTATTTTAATTTTTATTGGTCTTAAAGTTGTTTTCCTTGCTCACTACATTTTGCAGCAAGAACCAGGTCTAAATGCTTGGAAATGTACTTGCCGGGCTATGTTTTTCTTTCACAGTGAGCATTCTCATAAGTAATCTTGGAAAAGCTGGGAACAATAAATTTTGGGACATCACTAAGAGTGTTCTTTGTGGTGATTTACAACCTGATGCCACCATCCTTTAGGAACAAACAAGAAAGTGAAAAGAGATGGTTTTCAGGTATTGGAGCCTGAGTTTAGGTGGGGGAGTGGGTGGTGAGTGGGGTAAGAAGAGAGGGAGTGTGTGGGGAAAAAGGATATTTCCATAGAGACTGCAGTTTTCACCTAAATTTGTATTATATTTACATTACCAGCTACGTTTTCACTTATTTGTTAGAGGGAGTAATTGGAGTTAACAATAGATAGTTGCAGGTGCTTTTTATTCAGAAGAAAAATTGTTTTCCTATAAATGACCTCAATTTTCTAATTTTAGTGTCATGTATTTCTTATGAAGTGATAAAAGGCACAATATAAGTCTGTTCTATAGATATAATTAATAACAAATTAATTACCACTACTCTGTATCATTTATTACTTTGGATTTCATTATGCCTGAAGCTTGGAAACTTAATTACACACACACACGCGCACACACACAAGCACACACACACACACAACACATACGCACGCTTGAATGTGCTTTTTGTTTATATAAATAGGACATGCTTGTTGCAAACTTTTAAATCATACAGGAATATATGAAATAGAAAATGAAGAGTCCCACAATCCCTTGAGGTAGTTTGTGAATATTCTTGCAGATATTTCTCTAAGGAAAGATGAACACATTTACATATTTTAACAAATGAGATCATACAGCACTGATACTGCGTTGCAACTTAGGTTTCAAATTTACTCTATAATGGACATCTTTCCATGTTTGGTTTTTATAAGCCACAGATTATTCCATTACATGTTCGTGACATAATGTTTTAAACTAACTCTATTGATGGATATTGTTTTCCATGTTTTTTGTTGCTATAATTACAATGCTGCACGGAGCAATTTTGTGTTTCTCTGTGAGTATTTAAAATCTAAACTTTTGACCAAATAGCATTTTCAGAAGTGGAACACCACAATTGAAATTAGTAATAAAATCCTATGATGACACCCATATGGGCAGAGCTGGTACATTACACGTGGGAACATGTTGGTGAAGCTCTCTTCTTTTTAAGAGCACTAGGAGGAAGCCTGTGTGTGAACAGCGGCAGCGCGCGCCCGCTCTAGGCTTGCACCAGGCACTCCGTGGCCACGGCTTCCCCAGAGCTTGGCCCTCCGCTGCGGTCTTCACACACCTGTGAGGCCCCGATAGTACTGGCTCCAGGCGCACCTCGCTGCGCCAGCAGGTGTTGGCTTTTATCTATTCAGCCAGGCAGGAATGAAATGCGCTGTCCCTGGGGACCCTCTTCCTCTTCGATTCCTCCACGGTGCCAGAGATCAAGGAGGGGAAGGTCTGAAGTCTGGGAAGCCAGGGGCAGGGCATTGTCAAGGAGGCACGCAGGACTCTGGAATGCGCTCCGCCCGGGTCCAGCAGGGCCGGGACTGTCTGCCTTCGGGGCACAACGGAGGCCCCATCTGTTTGCTCCAGCGTTTTCCTGAGTGGTCGCCTTATGGCGGCCCCCTCACCCGCAGGCCCGCCGAGCTGCGGAGATCATCTCATCATCTCTGCCACTTCACACGGAGGGGCGAACGCTGGCAAAGTATTGTTTTATGACAGAATTTCTCAGCCAAGGGATTCAGACTCTTATTTATTTCATGAAAAGGAAGGAAAACATTTTATACAAATAATGGAAATTCAAATATAAGACAACAGGTGTAACATTTCACATTCAGAACTCCTTTTCAAGTCCCAAGAGTGTTTTTTAATCGAATCTTGTATCCCAGTCGTTATATAAACCGAGTATCTGGCCTTTTTGGGGGGTCTGGAGGGTGTCTCTGGGATTGCAGCAATGGATGATCTCAACCTTTATCAACTAGGTGATATTTAAAAATATCCTGGGTAACTAGGATCTTGAAAAAGATCCGGACTCTTCCATTTATAAGGTCCTAGGATTTGTAAACAAGACCATTAGACACAACTTTTTCTTACCATATAAGGCAGCCATTTTCTCATTATTTCTATATTTTATTTTTTATTTTTTTGAGACGAAGTCTCACTCCGTTGCCCAAGCTGGAGTGCAGTGGCTTGATCTCGGCTCATTGCAACCTCTGTCTCCCAGGTTCAAGTGATTCTCCTGCCTCAGCCTCCTGAGTAGCTGGGACTACAGGCACGTGCCACCATGCCCGGCTAATTTTTGTATTTTTAGTAGAGATGGGGTTTCAGGATGTTGGCCAGGCTGGTCTTGAACTCCTGACCTCATGATCTGCCCGCTTCAGCCTCCCAACGTGCTGGGATTACAGGCATGAGCCACCGAGCCTGGCCCTCATTATTCTTTTACAATAATGTCTGCCTCTTCTTGCTCCATTTTGAACTGCGTCTAGTTTTGTAGACTGGACTCCTAGATGTGGGTCTAGTGTTTAAGAGGCACCCTTTAGGTTCTGAAGGCAGCAAATGCATTGTTGGTGACTGCAGAAAAGAAAAAGCAATATGGTTTTGCTGCTTATGAGCAAAACATTGGAAAGTTAAAGCAGTGAATGTGCCCTCTGCACTGCAGAGGCTGTGTTTTATATGTTCTGTATCTCTGTGAAGTTTGAATAGTAACAATAGCCAAATAGTAACAATGGCCAAATGTTCTGTATCTCTATGAAGTTTGAATAGTAACAATGGCCAAATAGAAAACTTGTAGTAAATTAATATTTTGAGTTCATTCATTCAACAAGTTTGCATTGAGAAATTGCTGTATGCCAGCTATTGTTCTTGTCACTGTTTTATGAGCAAAAGAGATAAAACTTCTTGCCCTCAGGGTACTCAATTTTTAGTACATAGGGACAGTAAGCAAATTAACCATTCTTAGTATATGAGGTGGTGATCAGTGCCAAGGAGAAAAACAAAGCATGGAAAGGGGATGAATTGCATTGTTAGGTGGGACGTCAGGGTAGGCTTTACTCATGGATGAGTGGGATGGCATTTGAACAATGACCTGAAGGAATGGATGGAAGGGAAAGCAGTGCCCCAAGCAGGACGGATGGCAAATGCCTGGCAAGTATGAGGCCAGGCCTTTGTGGTGGGAGTGGATTGCAGAAGGAGAGAGTATGATGCCAGCTCAGGGAGGGAAGAGGGCTGGACTACATGGGCCTGCGTAGTCTGGACAGGACTTTGCCTTTACTGTGAGTAACCTGGGGGAACGATTTTGGATTTTAAGTGGAGGAGTAAAGTGATTTGATTTGATTTTTAAAAAGGTTATTGGAGCTGCTGTATTGAGGACAGACAGAGGGGCAGGAAGGGAGACCTATAGAACTGATTGCTGCAGTCCTAGAAAGACATGACCGTGGCCTGTCCTGGGGGTAGCAGTGGAAACAGAGATTGTGCCTGTATTTTGAAGGTGATGCTGACCTTCCAAATCAATTTTTCCTGATAGTCCAGGATCTACCTAGCAAGCCTCCAAGGAAGGAGAGAATTTCTAAAACAATTTAAGTGAATGGAGAAGCAGAAGAAAAAACTTAAAAGAGCAGAGTGGGGTGGGATCATTAAGGAGATAATCCTGTCAAGGGAGGGAGAGTTTTGGGAGGAGGCTAAGAATTCAGGTAATTCCTAGCATCTTGATGAAGCACACGGTAAAGACTTTTGATGTGATCGAAAGGCCTGTGCGATTCCATTATGGTTTAAGAGTGAAATAGCCCCCAATTTATAGCAGAACGTGGAGAAAATACCTTCGTCAGCAGTAATAAGGCTAGTCTAAAGGCAAAGAGTGTTGGAAAAATATAAGAAACTCAACAAAGCTTTCGTGAGCGAGGGATAGAAGGGAAGGGGTAGTTATGAAAAATTTGTTACAGAAAACATTGGCAGAACTTGGCAACTAATTTAGCATTCTGAGTATGGGCTAGGAGATGAATTCAATACTATTCCAAGGTTTCTACTTTGTAGCTTTGAAGAGATGCTGGCAGTCTTTCCAATACTTGGAAACTAGAACCAGGGAAGGGCCACGCATGAAGAGTAGGTAATGTGTCTCTTGAGAAATGCTTAATATAACAGTTCTTATAGAAAAAGCACTAGGCAGAGTACATAAACTCATAGTATGAAAATTCAGGATAAAGGAGATTGGGGGGTTTAGTGGGGTCAGGCGAAGTAATAGCCAAAGAGCAAATGATTTTCTCTTATCCTAATTAGAAAAAGGAAATGGTCATTGCAGTGCTCTTAGATGATAAAAAGCTTCCGGGAGAGGACAGAAAGGCTGAGGGAGGCCGCGATCCAGGCCAAAGTTTCACTGGGAACCAGCTCAAACAGGATGCTGAGAGGCTGATGGTGCCCTGTGGTGTCACAAGTTACAGAGAAGTTTGATGTGGGGTCTCTGGACCATGGGCCATAACAACCCAATTGGCAAGGAAGCTAGACTTTTGTCTTGTCCTCCGAGGATACCAGCAGGATTGGAGATTATTTTATTTTTTTCAGTATTGCTGGGAACAAGTTTTGGGCGGAAAAGAAAAAGAGAAAGATGCAAGTGTGAATTAACATGAGAGAAGAGACCTCCATGAAGTTCCTATCTATTTTTGTATTTTTATAAATAGCCAAGTGATGAATAAAACCGACGAAGTGTTTGCTATAACAGGTCATACAATTGACATTACTGCTATATTTTCACAAAGAAAAGAACTCTGTGCCTTCAGTAACTGCTTGCCTAAAATCCATAATTCCTTATTTGACAAAACTCACATGGCTCTGGTTCTGTGTCATTTGTCAAATTAGATTCTAAGAATACAAAATTGCCAGGCGCGGTGGCTCACGCCTGTAATCCCAGCACTTTGGGAGGCCGAGGCAGGTGGATCACGAGGTCAGGAGATCGAGACCATCCTGGCTAATATGGTGAAACCCCATCTCTACTAAAAAATACAAAAAATCAGCCGGGCGTGGTGGCAGGCGCCTGTAGTCCCAGCTACTCGGGAGGCTGAGGCAGGAGAATGGCGTGAACCCGGGAGGCGGAGCTTGCAGTGAGCCGAGATCGCACCACTGCACTCCAGCCTGGGCAACAGAGCGAGACTCCGTCTCAAAAAAAAAAAAAAAAAAAAAAAAAATTCAAAATTGAGCAAGATATGAATCTTATCCAAAAGATCCTTACAGTTTAACTTGGGAGAGAGAGACATTCAAACAAGCAATTGCAACACGGTGTGATAAGGTCAATAAAGTAAAAAAAAAATGTCTTGGGCTTTGTAGTCGCACAGATAAGCTGCGTCACCACTGCCTTCCTTGTGTAAACTTGAGAAATTTACCTCTGATTTTCAGTCTCCTTATTTGAAAATGGATATAACTTTTGCCTTGCATTTCGGGGGAACAATATAGGCCACAAAACAGCATGGACAGTAAGAAGTTTGAGAAAATCAGATATGAGGTTTTCTGAAAGTAAATTTTTACAGTAGGGAATCAGGGAAAGTAGACAGAGGAAAGAGGCCTTTGATCTTTTAAATTTGGTAATGTCTTTATGAAAAATACTGCTATCTGCTAAATACATTACTACATATCATTCCAGGCCCTGGCTTTATAAGACAAGTAGAAATCTCACATTTCAAGCAACTTGACTCTTTCCTGTAGTCTTTATTTCAGCCAGACTGCTACTGTTTCCCTACATGCCTTGCTCTTTCCAGCTTTGGATCTTTTATTTGGCTGTTGTCACCGTACCACTTCCTTGCAAATATCCCATTCATCATTTGAAGCCCATTTCAAATGCCACACAATCTAGGAGAATTTTCTTCGCCCCCAGCCGTCTGAGCCCTCTCACCCCTTTGACCTTCCTTAGCAATTTTCTGCTTAGTGGACTTTCCCTACCATAATTTGCATGCCCGTAGCCCTGGATGAAAAGTTCCTTGGGATCAAGAATGATGTCTTTTCTATCTTTGCATGCCCTCAGACCTTAGCTTCTTGTCTTACACATCTCACACATAGTCGATGACATCTAAATATTTGTGAAATTGAGTTTGGTTAGTGAAACAATTTCTTATAGCCACAGAAAAAGAGCTAATCCATAGTTGTAAGAGGTTCCGGATCATTGAATGAAAGCTGCTCGTTCAGCAGATCATAATTGTGAAAAACTGTTAAGTGTATACTTTTGATGAACAGGTTTTGCTGTGTTGCTGAGTTCATGTTGCCATGACAACCTTAACTTTTGGCACTTTCTGAATTTAGTGTCCTACTTAATTTCCTGTACTTGGCTCTGAGAGCCTTATTGTTCTGTCCCTTGTGCTTGCCTATATGAATCTTTAAACTGAGAGTCATTTATGAATGTATCTTATTTTGCTTTATTAGGTAATACATTCTTTAAGATTGGGAACTTGGTCTTATCCTTATGATCCTGACAATACCCAAGTGTGCCTTGTACATTTTAGATAGTCAATCTGTCAATACATATTTTAGATGAATTGAGAAATCATTGATGTAGTAGGCTGTTACAGTGGCCACCCAAAGATGTTCATGCCCTGATGCTTGAGACCCATGAATATGTCATCTTATATAGTAAAGGGGACTTTGCAGATATGGTCAAGAATTTTAAGATGAGATTATTCTGGATTATCCAGATGAGCCAATGTCATTGCAGGGGTCTTTATAAGAGGGAGGCAGGAGGACCTGAATCAGTAGTAGGAGATATGATGATGGAAGCAAGAAGTTGAAGTGATGTGAGAAGGGGACCACGAGTCAAGGAATGCAGGTGCTTCTAGAAGTCCTGCAAGGAAAAGGAAATAAACTGTACCCTGATGCCTCCAGAGGGAGCATAGCCCTGCTGACACCTTGATTTTAGACTTGTGACCTCCAGAACTGTGAGAGGTTACATTTGGTTGTTTTAAGCCAGGTAGTTTTTGGTAATTTGCTATAACATGCAGTAGAACATGAATACAATTGGGCCACTCATTTTAATAAGTTTCAAAGACCCCTGAGAGGAGTTGTTAAGCACCAGTCCAGTTAGAGGTATTATTTTGGTCAGGCTCTAGATAATACTACTTCTAATAGTACAAAAGGATGAAGTGAGAAAGAAGCATAGAGATTATCTTGCTAATTTGAACGTAGTCACTGTCAGAATTCCAATAATATATAAAATAGATATAGAGTTATCTACAACTAACCCACAAAGTTTGAAAATGCCATTTATTCAAAAAACTTACACTGAGTGTCAAATGAGTGCCTTGCATTGTGCTAGAATACTGGACCTATTCAGCACCCAGGTCAGATCTCACAGAAGTCTTGATGGAGATTTTCTGTGGTTAGAGAGGACTTGTACCTTCTGGCCACCTATGGCCTAGTACGTACATATGGCTTCAGGGAGGAATGAATAAGATTTGGTTTATTATGGAGTAGAAATTATTAGGTCAAACCACGTGTCAAAATCCAGAATGGATGGTGTCTTCAGAATCCATGTGAACTTTCCACAGCAGTTTTTCTCAATGTTGACTGGACGTCAAAGTCTTCGATGTGTGTGTCAGGAGGTACCAGTCCATGAGTGGGGAACTGCAGTGATCTTAAACTCACTTGTGATTCATCAATTCAGAAACAAATAAACAGATGTCACAGTATTTTTCTAACCAAGACAGCGAAAAATGGGACACTTCCTCAAATGAGCAGTACCTAATTAAAGACCCTTAATATTACTGAAAAAAAAAGTATAAGTTTTGGCCGGGTGCTTTGGCTTATGCCTGTAATCCTAGCACTTTGAGAGGCCAAGGCGGGCAGATCACCTCAGGTCAGGAGTTTGAGACCAGCCTGGCCAACATGGTGAAACCCCGTCTCTACTAAAAAGACAAAAAAATTAGCCGGGCATGGTGGTGTGTGCCTGTAATCTCAACTACTCGGAGGCTGAGGCAAGAGAATCGCTTGAACCTGGGAGGCGGAGGTTGTAGTGAGCTGAGATCGCACCACAGCACTCCAGCCTGGGCGACAGAGCGGGCCATCTAAAAAAAAAAAAAAATGTGTAAGTTTTAACAATCACAGAATCACACAACTTCTATCAGGTGGTAATCCCTATATTGGTCCCGGATGGGAGGGCTGCTGTTCACGCAGTACTCACTGCTGACCACATACCCTGCATGCTTTCTCTCATTTCCATTGACGGCTACTCATATTACCACTACCGTTTTAAAGATTAAAAAAAAGAGGCACAGAGGTTAAATGGCTTGGCTGAGATAAAATACCTATCAATTCCACATCTGTTGTTCCATGGAATACTGTGTGTTTTATGTGCAGTGCATCATTTAATCCCTCTACAAAATGTACAGGGGAGGAATTAATGTGAGTAAACTTGTCTCAAGTCTCAGCTCATATATGACAAATCTGAGACTGTCTCCACAGATGCATCCTCCCCACGACTAGGGCACCCCACTTTTGTCTTCTTTGGGTTGGTAGGGAAAGGAAAAGTGTTTTGTGTTTCAACAAATGGTGGCAAAACAACCGGACATTCACATACCAAAAAGTGAACCTAGACACAGACCTTCACCTCTTCGTGAAAATTAACTCAAAATGTATCATAGACCTAAATGTACAATACAAAACTATAAAACTACTAGAAGGTAACAGGAGAAAAATCTTGATGACCTTGGGTTTGATGAAGACTTTTTAGACAGAACACCAAAGGCATGATCCATGAAAGAAAGAATTGATGAGCTGGACTTCGTTAAAATGAATAATTTTGGCTGGGCGCAGTGGCTCATACCTGTAATCCCAATACTTTGCGAGGCTGAGGCAGGATGATCACTTTAGCCCAGGAGTTTGAGACCAGCCTGGGCAACATCAGGTACCCTGTCTCTACAAATAACAACAAAAAATAGCTAGGTGTGGTGGCACATGCCTGTAGTACCAGCTTCATGGGAGGCTGAGGTGGGAGAGTTGCTTGAGCCCCAGAGGTCTAGGCTGCAGTGAGCCATGATTGCATCATTGCACTCTAACCTGGGTGACAGAGTGAGGCCCCATCCCCAAAAAGAAAAAAAAAAAAGAATATCTGCTCTGCAAAAGACAGTAGACAGTGTCAAAAGAATGAAAAGATAAGCCACAAACTGGAAGAAAATATTTGCAAAAGACATATGTGATGAAGGACTGCAATCCAAAATATACAAAGAGCTCTTAAAAACTTAACAACCCAATTAAGCAACCTGATTAAACAGCCCAATTAAAAAATGGGCAACAGATCTGAACACACACCTCACCAAAAAAGACATACAGATGGCAAATAAACATATGAATTGATGCTCCACATTACATCTCCTTAGGGAAAGGCAAACTAAAAATAACAATGCGATATCACTTCACGCCTATTAGCATGGCCAAAATCCAGAACACTGACAACACCAAATGCTGGTGAGGATGTGAAGCAACAGGAACTCTCATTCGTTGCTGGTGGGAATGCAAAATGGTACCCCAACTTTGGAAGGCAAGTTGACAGTTTCTTACAAAACAAAACACACTCTTACCATATGATCCAGCAATTGCACTCCTTGGTATTTCCTAAAGGAACTGAAAACTTAGGTCCACACAAAAACCTACACACATATGTTTATTAAACCTTTATTCGTAATTGTCAAAACTTGGCAACAACCAAGATATACACCCAATCAATGGAATATTATTCAGTGCTAAAAAGAAATGAGCTATGAAGCCATGAAAAGACATGGAGGGAACTGACATGCATATTACTAAGTAAAAGAAGCTGTATGATTCCAATTAGATGAAATTCTTGAAAAGGTGAAACTATGGAGACTGTACAAAAAAGTCATGGGTGCTAGGGGTTTGGAGGAGCACCATGTGGAGCACAGAGGATA
Source organism: Homo sapiens (assembly GCF_000001405.40). Taxonomy (NCBI): domain Eukaryota; kingdom Metazoa; phylum Chordata; class Mammalia; order Primates; family Hominidae; genus Homo; species Homo sapiens. The sequence goes on along the minus strand of NC_000008.11, from coordinate 65,552,077 downwards.
TTTAGGGCAGTGAAACTGTTCTTTATGATACTACAGTGGTGGACATATGTCATTACATTTGTCCAAACTCATAGAATGCACAACACCCAGTCTAAACTATAAACCTTGGTTGATAATGATGTGTCAATGTAGGTTCATCAGTTCTAACAAATGTTAGAACTGTTAGAACCATTCTGGTGGAGGATGTTGATAGTGGGGGAGGCTGTGCATGGGTGGGGGCAGGGATATATAGAAAATCTCTGCACTTTCCACCCAATTTTGCTATGAATCTATAACTGCTTTAAAAAATGATACCTATTAATAAAACTTTTTGTGAATGATAGCTTCACATTATTCTTTAAAATGAGGCTTGAAGATTCACATGTAGAAAGCTGTACATAATCAGATACAACTCTTTAGTAAACAACAAAGCTGCCTCTGCCTGTCTATTTGTCTGTCATTTAATCTATCAGACTCTAGCTGGTGAAAATACTTCAAGATCACTCAATAGAAATAAAAACAAAACCAGAAAACAATTGATAGAGGGGCTAATGTGAAAACCAAGAACCATAAAAATTAGCTTATCCTATCACCTCTGATTTCTTAACCCACATGCATGGGACCATTTGCTGAGCTAGGAATCTGGCAGTAAGTCTCAAGGTTCTTCTTACATATTTGTCCCATCATTAGTAAATATCTATCAAAAACATATATATATATAAAATATATATACACACACACCCATATATACACACATATATACACACACATATATATTATACACACATATATATATATCTGTGTAGCCAAAAAATTTATACTCACTTGGCTGAGTTACAAATACAATTATAAATCCGTTATTCATTTCTGGTGTTGCCACCAATACTGCATAAGGGCTGAGCTTTGGAAGTTATGAAGATGATATCCCTTTCCATGTGATTTTTATACATCTTCTGTGTTGAAAACCTTTCTTCTCCAACTCAGTAATATGATTAGTATCAAAATGTGCAGGTCTGAACTATGTTGCCGTTTGCCACTGGTTCTTATTATGCATGGAAACCCCAGATGATTTCAGTAGGTTTCCTACATGCGGCTCTACCTCCTTGCATTCATTCTTCACTGTTCCTGCCAAAATAGTTTCCTCTGTTTACTGTTTTGATTTGAGAAATGCATTCATTATCTATTGCTGGGTAACAAGTTACCACAAATTTAGAGGCTTAAAACAGCACCCACTTATTAGCCCACAGTTCTGTAAGTCAAAGTCCAGCATGGCAAGGTGGGGTTCTCTGTGTAGGATGAACTCAAGGCCAAAATCAGGGTGTCACTTGGGCTGAGTTCTTGTCTGGAGGCTCTAGAGAAAAATCAACTTTTCAGTTTTTGCTTGTTGTTAGCAGAATTCCCTTGGTTGCAGTTGCAGGACTAGGATTTCCACCTCCTCGCTGGTTGTCAGCTGGGGCTGCTCTCAGCAACCAGATCCTGCTCACATTCCCTGCCACGTAGCCCCTCCATTTGCAGACCTGCAATGATGAAGCAAATCCCTCTGATTCTCCCAGTTTCTAATCTTCCCTTCTGCCACTAGCTAGAGAAAACTCCCTGCTTTTAAGGCTTTCAGGTCATTGGGTTATGTACATCTCAATAATCCTTCTTTCTTACAGTCACCTGTGCCATATTACATAATGGAATCACAGGGGAAACATTCATCACATTAACAGTACTGGGGATCCTGCAGGGTGTGTACGGAGAGCGGGGTGAGGAGGCAGGAAATCTTGGTGACCATTTTAGCATGTTGCCTGCTGCCCCACACACAACCCTATGGTGCATTGAATCTGTGAGCTTTAAAAGTCTCTCCAGAGTACCATAGACAACCTACATTCCTCTGGGCCCTGGTCTGCCTCTGCTATGTCATCGTTCTTCTATTCTCAAGCCTCTCTCAAGGAAACACCTCATGGTGCAGTTCCCCAAATGTCCCCAAATGTTCACTGAGCTCCATCACACCAGTCCTTAGAAACTCCAGCTGCTCCAATTCAGATCCGTGGGGATCTTTGGCTTGTACACAAATCCGTGTTGTCAGACACAGGGGAGAGCCCTGCCAATTTTCTCCAAGGATGGCCTATGAATATTGAGATATGTTACAATGATTAAAAACAACACAAAACAACACAACAACCACAAAACTGAAGACAGCACAGTTCTCAAACCTCAGAGCTTATAGTCACTTAACTGAATTACTTAAAATCTTAAGAGCTGACAGTCCTCAAATTTCTACTAAGAGACCAGAAATTAAGTTCTTCCAATCTGCCATCTGGGCCCTGAATGAAAGAGAAAATTGCATCTAATCCTGATTCCAGTTTTGTTCAGAGATTTAAAAAAAAGAAGAAAATAAAAAAGTAAAAAAGGTCTTTTGCAGGCAGAACCTGAGAAATGGTATGGTGTCTTATTCTAAATTATCATACTTGCTCATTTGTCACAGAGTCTGGGTGGCCTGGTGATGATTACTATATAAAATTATAAGTCAAAAAATGCTTTATTTAGTCTTTGACAATGTGCTTGTTGATTAGAGTTTTAATATTTTTTTTCTGGATATGTTAGATCTTTATTAGTTAGCACTTTATGTTGTTATAAATAACTGAAAACTGGCCAGGCATGGTGGCTCATGCTTGTCCTCCCAGCACTTTGGGAGGCTGAGGTGGGAGGATCACCTGAGGTCAGGAGTTCGAGACCAGCCTGACCAACGTGGCGAGACCCCCGTCTCTACCAAAAATACAAAAATTAGGCAGGTGTGGTGGTGGGCGCCTGCAATCCCAGCTACTCGTGAGTCTGAGGCAGGAGAATCGCTTGAATCTGGGAGGCGGAGGTTGCAGTGAGTCAAGACAGTGCCATTGCACTACAGCCTGGGCGACAGAGGCTTCTCAAAACAAACAAACAAACAAACAAAAAAACCTAAAAAACTGAAAGCCTGTCTTAAATTACCTTATTATTAAGAGGGACCAATTAGTTTATGTTGCTGTAAAACAAAGCTAAGTTGGGCTTCAGAACGTGGTGTCGAGGCTCAATAATATTATCAAGGGGGGGGCCATTGTTTTTCTTCCCTCTACTTTGCCCTTTAAGGTGTCAGCTTTATCCCAAGTCTGATTCTCCCTAGTGCTTGCAAGATAACGTCCAGTAACTCTTAGTGCTGTGTGTTTTTATAATTTATTTTAATGGGGAAAAGAATACATCTGAACCAATATTCTGAATTTCATGTTTACTGGCTCTTGTAAAGGCCCATGGTCATCCCTGAACAATGACATATGCAGGAAAATAGAATATGTTGGTTGTTTACGTCAACATAGGATACCTGGAGAGGAGTAAGTTACCTGAAAAAAAAAATTGTAGTCTTGGCCGGGTGCGGTGGCTCACGCCTGTAATCCCAGCACTTTGGGAGGCCAAGGCGGGCAGATCACGAGGTCAGGAATTTGAGACCAGCCTGACCAACATGGTGACACCCCGTCTCTACTGAAAATACAAAAATTTGCCGGGTTCGGCAGTGCACACCTGTAATCCCACCTACTCGGGAGGCTAAGGCAGGAGAATCTCTTGAACCCAGGAGGTGGAGGTGGCAGTGAGACGAGATCATGCCATTGCACTCCAGCCTGGGTGACAGAGCAAGATTCCGTCTCAAAAAAAAAAAAAAAAAAAAAAAGTAATATATATATAGTCTTATGTACAAGATACTAAATACTATATAATAAAATTTCTGTATTTAAAAAAAATCTGTAAAAGCATCTTTTTATACTTTTAAGGATTTTGGCATATTGTCACCTCAGCAGCAGTCAGATGAGTCATTTTGGGCATTTGTATACTTTGTAAGGTTTTTGTTGGGTTTATATCTGGTTGAAAATCTAAGGCGCTTCATGTGCTACCTGTACTTTTGACTACTTTTTCTAAGTGGTGGGTGATACCAAAATGTTGCAGAAATAATTTCACATTCCCTTAGTAAGAGACATGAAGATGCTGCCCACAGATAATATCCCAGGAGCATCCACTTAAAAGGCAGACATTCCTCTGGTTGGAAGTAAAGACAGCAGTGGAGTAGAAGGGCTCAACACTGTTGAGAAGCAGTGGGAGAAGAGAGGAGCGCAGCTGTCTGCTCTCTAAATTAAGGGTTGGATATTTTCAAACTAATACAAATAACTGAGTATTCTCAAAATGTCTCAGCAAGTTGATTCTAATACCAGAGAGTAACTTTTAATAAGCAGAAGAAATTGCAATGGATTTCAAATATGCTTGTTCCCCAAATGGCAAAATTAGGCCTTCCTTTACCTAGAAATGGGAGTTCCACTTCTGCTCTAGGGATTCTTATAACTAGGAGATATTAATGTAAGTGCTATAATTGCTTAGAATGTATAATTTGGTAAAGAAATAAGGCCAACACCTGAGACAGAGTTGGAACAGGATCTATATGAAAAGGTCCTTTCATGACAGCAGGTGTCTCTCTTTCTTTCTGATTCACACACATCCAGAAACCTTTAAACTACTATTTGGTGACACCTGACAGAGAGCAAGACCTTTCCTTCCTCTAAAACATAGCTATCAATTTAAATGTTAAAAAAGTACCTAAACTTATCTCATCTATGCTCTTTACAAAGCTGCAAAAGGGAATTTTCTGACCAAATACCTGGGCTTTGGTGTAGTTACATTTTTTTCTCTAAATGATTTTAACTCCTTTATTTCTCTTTAATGCCTGTACTGCCCCCATCCCTCTGCAGGGTGCCTGTGTAGCTCAGTGGACTCTGCAGCCAAATAATGGCCAAGTAACGGCTGTGACTTCTCACCCAGGGCTGACAAACCACAATGTCAAGGGTACATATTCAATGAGAGAAGATGATTTCTCAACATCTTGCCCTCAAATTCTAGAACTTCCTCCTCAATACTTCTTGGAGATCTAATAAAAAAATGTATCTAATCTATTCCCTCCAGTGGGATATTTTACCTTGGTTATTATCACAACTATTTTGCTACGTGCAATGAAATTAGCAGAGATTCCATTTGCTGAAATCATATGTAGAAAGCAGTGCTCTCTGCTTTATTACCAAATGAGTACAGCGTGCCCTTCAATAATTCTTTAAACTCTCAAATGCCTTGGAAGTAATATGCTGGAATATTACTGAGCTGTGACTGAAGCACCATTTGTGCTAAATATGACAGTGCACAAATGATATTCCTCTATAAAAGTTCAAACTACATTAATCTTTTAGGGAGGCTCATTGACTGGGAAGATGGCTTAGATATAAAATAAAGACACTGAGGGCTCATTGAGGAGAGCTTTTCTGGTCAGGGTTTCTAGGAACAAGGTAAGGTGAGGTCCATAGTTTAACCCTTTATGATTAGGAGGTGAGCAAATGAATGCAATTCCCAGGGGAGAGATGGAAATGATAATGAACTCTTCTCAATATGAGGGAAGACAGGCTTTCAGGTCAGAGAAATAGAAATTAAACGGTATTAAACAGCTGAGCCAAATAGACAATATTATTGGTGCTGGGAATCTGAACAAAAATGTGATGAGTATTCCCAAGTTTATGTTAATAGTTCCAGCCCTTAACCATATTGCCATTTAGAAGAATGGCAGATTCTTCCTATGTAGTCTCTCCAATGTCAGTTTTTTCAGTCATTTTCACTTATCTTAGGGCTGCATAAACAAGAAACAATTGCACGAATGTCTTCTTTTCTTGGATTTCTAGATGTGGCCAATCAGTCAGTAGGGTTGTAGTGCATATCAAGAGGGAGGAATGGGTAGAAGATTTAATTAGCATTAACAAAGGTAGCTTCAATGTAAATATGTAATACTGTTCAGGTTTTTAGTATTAGTTTTACTAAAATATATAAAACATATAAAAAACAACATTGCTGTTTTTAAAAATTATAGACATAGGCCAGGGGTGGTGGCTCATGCCTGTAATCCCAGCAGGTTGGGAGGCCAAGGCGGGTGCTTCACCTGAGGTTGGGGGTTTGAGAGCAGCCTGGCCAACATGGAGAAACCCCATCTCTACTAAAAATACAAAAATTAGCCGGGTGTGGTGGTGGGCGCCTATAACCGCAGCTACTTGGGAGGCTGAGGCAGGAGGATCGCTTGAACCCAGGAGGTGGAGGTTGCAGTGAGTGGAGATCAAGCCACTTCACTGCAGCCTGGGTGAAAGAGCAAAACTCCATCTCAAAAAAAATTATAGAAATAATATATATTCAATGCATAAGACATGTAGCAGTGTAGAAAAATGCAAATGGAAAATCACCTGTTATCACAATGTCCAGAGAAAATCATCTCTAACTTGTTATTGTGTATCTTGTAGTCTCTCTTCTCTAAATACAGATGTGGTATAAAATGATAGATTGCTTTTTCACTAAACAATGTCATATATTTCCCCATGTCAATAAATAAGTAGAGCAAGGCTTTCCCCTAATGCAACAGCTTATTAATAACCTTTTTATTATAAAATTATTTTACTATTTTTTATAAATGTAATATACAGTTTTACAAAGAAAAAGTAAGCAATGAAAGTGTCTGAAAATTAAAATTTACTGGCATTCCTATCATCCAGATAAGATAAGCCAGAAAAGATATTAGAAAGATATGGATGAGGCAAAACCAACATGATTTAATGATAGAATGGATGGTGGAGGAAGGAGGAGTCTATGATAATGCCTACATTTGTGACTTGAGTCCTGGTGTGGGAAACAGAAAAGAAACTGACTTTGTTGCTGCAGCTCTACCTCTTAACTTGGCCACAGTAGCCAATAAGGGCTTCCTTGCTGTTCCTGGAATAAGCCAGGCACACTCCTGGATTTGGGCATTTGCTCTGGCTATTTCCCCTGCCTGGGATGCTCTTCCCACAGCTATCTGCTTGGTCAACTCTTCCTCCTCCAAGTCTGCTTAGATCTCTCCTTCTCCATAAGGACTCCCTGGTCCAATGAGCTAACTAACCTCTCACACTACCGTACTGATCCTCCTTACCTTCCTTTACTTTGCCTTTTTTTTTTTCACAGCACTTATCACTTTCTAAGATACTATTTAATTTATTTACTTACTATGTTTCTTGTTTGCCCGTCTCCCCTCAGTAGAATGCAAACTCGAGGACAGGAAGTTTTGTCTGCTTGGTTCTGAAGTACCTAGAATAATGTCTGCCACATAAGTAGCTGCTCAATTAATGTATGTTAGATGGATTAATTAAATAGTATCAGAGAGTTTGAAGACTGCTGAAGGATGAGATACTGAGAGTGGCAATGGGTAAGAAGAGAGGAAAATTTGAGCTATAAGACTTAGAGAAGAAATGAACCAGAGATGCCTTTAAGATCCTGTATGAAAATGATTTCCTGCCTTTTTACATTGAATGATCCTGTCCATTTTTTACATTGAATGATCCTGTCCATTTTTTCCAAATAACTTATAGACATAGCCTACTAACTTAGAGAGATTCACGGAACTAGGTTAAAAGAGTCTATTATTTTTAGGTTAAATATATATTGAATACTTGGCGCCAGAACCAGTTGACCTATTGATTAGAGACAACACAGAAAGTCCATTTATCTGTCAAGTTCTTATTTTCTATGTCAGAAGAATCTTTACAACATTGATTAGCTGTTTCTGGCAACTATGAGTATATTTCAGCACTGGATGTTTCTAAGTAAGGATTAAAGTAGAAATGGTAACTTTTAGATAACGATTGAAGCAATGATAACGGAGACCAATATTGTAAATAAAGATTTTCTATTACACGAGCTTATGGGGCAGGATATTGATTTTGTCGTTAAGACTCACGTATTACAGGGAAGTCACTTAATTTTCCCCCCAAAACATTTCTGTTTGCCTTTGAGTCTTGCCTGTGGCATGAAGATGGTAAAGAACATCCCTGCCTAGACTCTTCACTGTCATCAATATGTGGTGTGACAGCGCTAATAAGCTACTTCATGATGCATAAATATTTTGTAATTTTTTTCTGACTTACATATGAAAGATCTATTCAGCTTCAATCTGCAAGCTTCACTTTCACCCTGCCCACTGAAACCCCAAATACTTGCTCTTGGATACTCAAAAAGCCAACAGATCAAACCCTAAATGTTGATACTCACTGTAGAAGGGTGAGTCCCACATAGCTGGAAACTCCTTTGGCATGTCTCAAATATCTGACACTTGATACACCTTTTCTTTTTATTAAAAAAAAACTTGGAAATAGATTTTTATTATTTAGAACTTTAATTTCCATTCAAAAGAAGTAAAATATAAATTCAATAAGTTGGTTAAAATATTCCTAAAATGACTCCACATTTATATTTTATCCCTCTGAATTACATGTCAAAATCCTATCTTTTTCACAGGGTATCAGTCTCTGGACCATCAAGATCATCAATAATGCAGCATTTCTTTTTATTTTTCTTTCTTTTTCTTTTTTTTTTTTAATTTGAGACAGGTTTTGCTCTGTCACTCAGGCTGGAGTGCAGTGGCATGATCACAACTCACTGCAGTCTGTATCTCCCGGGCTCCTATCTCAGTCTCCCCCCGAGCAGCTGGGACTACAGGTACAGGCCATTGCGCTGTGCTAATTTTTATTTCTTATTTTTAGTAAAAACGCGGTCTCCCTATGTTGCCCAGGCTGGTCTTGAACTCCTGAGCTAAGGCAATCTTACCATCTTGACCTTCCAAAGTGTTGGGATTGCAGGCATGAGCCACCGTGCCCAGGAGCATTTTTTTTCTTTTTTAAACAAATTTTTAAATGTACAACACAGTATTGTTAACTACAAGCACAATTTTGTGCAGCAGATCTCTAGAACTTATTCATCTTGCATAACTGAAACTTTACATCCATTGAACATCTCTCCATTTTCCCCTCCCTGCAGACCCTGGCATCCACCATTCTGCTCTGTGCTTCTCTGGACTTGACTACTTTAAATACCTCATATAAATGGAATCATTCAGTATTTGTCCTTCTGTGACTTGTTTATTTTTCTTAGCATAACATCCTTAAGGTTCATCCATGTTGTTGCATTTCACAGATTTTCCTTTAGTTAACGGCTGAATAATATCCCAGTCAGTGTATATAACAAAATTAAAAATAGAATTACAATATGATTCAGCAATCCCACTTCTGGGTATTTCTACAAAAGAATTAAAATCGGGATCTTGAAGAGACACTTGTACCCCCATATTCATTGCAGCATTATTCACAGTGGTCAAGATATATAGGAAACAATCTAAATGTCCACTGATGGATGAATTGACCAACATTTTCTTACTTACATTGTCAGTCAGTAATACCTTCTTCAACAATAATGTTCTCCTGAGGAGGTTTGTTTTCCCTCCTTAAACTTCCATTCTTCCTACTTCCCCCTAATTTTCCACATCACAGTAAAAGGCATCACATACCCCTGATTACTTCAGCCAGAAATACAGCAATTATTCAAGATTCCACCATTACTCTCATCGACCATATCCAGTCCAATTAGAAACTCTATCTGTAAATATCTTTTAAGTTTTACTTCTTTATATCTTCAATATGACCCCCTTTATCCCTCTAACTGCCTTCAAAAAAATCTTACCTCTTTAGCCTTTGATCCCTTTAACTCACTCTCTACCCAGCAGAAAAGTAATCTACAACATAAATTGGATTGGATCAATCTCTGTTTAAGCCCTTCAGTGACTTTTTTTATGTGCACCCCCTTTAGAATATAGCCTGTATAAGACAAAGACCTTTCTTATGTGCCATTGTATTTTTGGGGCTTTGGACAGTGCCTGGTACATAGTTTGTGCTCAGTAAATACTTTTAGAATTAAAAAAGTTTGATGACTTCCTTGTTTTTTTAAAAACGTGAGGTCTTCACCTTTTTTGGAATCATAGCAGTAAGAGTTTAACTGGACCTTAGAGGTTATCTGGTTCAACCTCATTTTGTATTAAATTCTACAGTATGCTCCTGGGTCAACATTTTGGAGTTATTTTGGTGCTAGTCCCTGCTTCAGGCTTCTATCTGGTCAGTTTCCAGTGTCTGCTGATTCACTATGGACAGTATCATTTAGATGGGGTTCTCTCTCATTGTTTGCAAAACTGTTGACCTTTCCAGTTTTCATCCCTATGTGTTCAAATTATCGAGATAACACTGTAACTCAGTTTCCTTTCTGTTCATTTTCTTGGATTTTTTTTTGTTAATAGATTAAATTTTCTCAGATATTTGTTAGTCTGCTATTCTTCTACTGAAGAATTTACCTGCCTGATCAAATCTGAGTTCCTTCGCTTTACACTAAGGGAGACCGACCAGCTTATTGCCTCTGTACCTATGCATGCCATTCCTCTGTCATGGCCTCTTCTTTTCAGGCAAGGCTTACAATAAAGAGGTGCTTGTTCCCACCTTTGTTTGAGGTATTGCCCTGACACCTTCTTCATGATTAAGGTCAAGACTTATTGTCTCAAAGACTTAATTTCTAACTAATTCACTTCATACACTTACTTGCATTTCTTTAGCTATTTCTTATGAAACAAGGGCATGGATGAGGCCTAGTTGGCAAGTATGTCTTTAAGAAATCTGGGATAACAGTGCTAACAGCAGACAACTTATTCCCATAACAGGACTAGGAGTCCTAGAGTCTCCTAGGTCTTCTGCAGTGAAGACAGCTTGTGGGCTTATTGTTGGGCCTATGAGAGACCTCAGATAAATATATCTCTATGAAGAGGAGAAGCAAAGGTTACTTGTGTTAAAAAAATTTAAAAAGGGCCTGCCCTGGCAAGAAAGAGGGTTGTTTAAGGTCATGCATGCTGTCTGAAATTAGGTCTTGACTGGCCTCAGGGCAATACATTTGTCACATTTTTCCAAATAAGGAATAAAATTCAGGAAAATTTAAAGTGTGTAATCATCTCTTTAAAAATCTTCTACAAATGTTTATATGTATGAAAGCATAACATGGGCATTGGCTGTGTGGAAGCAACTCCCCAGTTTGTACATTTGCTGGAGTGTGGAGTCAAGAACATTGTGAAACTGTCATTTGGAGGCATCTGAGTTGCAAAAGAAAGACCTTAATACATATTTGTTATGTGAATGAATTGGCCTCATTTTCCAAGGAATAAACCTCTTGAAAATTAGCCAGGCGTGATGGTGGGTGCCTGTAATCCCAGCTACTTGGGAGGCTGAGGCAGGGGGATGGCTTGAACCCTGGAGGCAGATGTTGCAGTGAGCCAAGATTGCGCCATTGTACTCCAGCCTGGGAGACGAGAACAAAACTCCGTCTCAAAAAAAAAAAAAAAAAAAAATCCTCAAAAACCCCCCACAATCTATTGCTAGTCTGTGCTACTGTTCTAGAATGTTCTTAAGATACGGAAGTTCACAGGATGTGTCCCTTGGGATTTGTGACTATACTATTATGGGTTTGATCACTATGCTTACCATGCCAGTTTGCTAGTGGAGACATTTTGGTCTAAAGAGATACTGATAATTGGACTTGGATATTCTTTACACTCATGGCCTTGGTGCTTCTTTATTACATAGCCATTTTGAGGGTTGCTCCTGTTAAAACTGATGATAGTCCTCCCGATATGGGGAAATATGTTTTCTCTCTCTCTCTCTCCCTTTTAAAAACCAATAGGGATCTGAATCAGCCAAGCGTGGTGGCTCATGCCTGTAAACCCAGAACTTTGGGAGGCTGAGGTGGGTGGATGACTTGAGGCCAGGATTTCGAGACTAGCCTGGCCAACATGGCAAAACCCCGTCTCTACTAAAAATACAAAAATTAGCCATGTGTGGAGGCACGTACCTGAGTTCCAGCTACTCAGGAGGCTGAGGTATGATAGCTGCTTGAACCTGGGAGGTGGAGGCTGCAGTGAACCGAGATTGCGCCACTGCCCTCCAGCCTGGGTGACAAAGCAAGACTGTCTCAAAAAAAAAAAAAAAAAGGATCTGAATCATTCTTTGCAATAAAATAATTTCCTGCTTTGAGAAGTCTGTAATTACTCTCTGAACCATATAAATAGCAATACACAATTCCCAGCTGGCATGTGGAAATTCTTGGTTGTCTCTTGAAATATTTCAAAATGGTCTTCTGTTGTAATACTGGACTAAATTTTTCTAAACAGCATGCTCTTATCCATAGTATTTCACAGAAATGTGACTTAAAATGCCAGCATCTCAGCACATTTAGGTGTATCTGTCCATTGCCTGGGCAAAATAATCACTTTCTTTAATCTTTAAAACCAGCTGTTCACAGACATTAATTGCCATGTCACTTACACTCCTTGAAACATTATCATTCGACAAAGACACACATTTTAATTTGTTTGCTGCGTCTGGTCCTATTACACTTGATATTCAGCCATTGTTGGTGGTGAGAGTTTCAGCAACTGTGGGTGGCTGGCATTGTTGTGCAAAATGTAATGATTCCAAATAGGACGTTTTGTGAATAATTGCATTCATAGGCTATTAGTTTGGAATATAAGTCTTTTCTTAGTCAAAATCATCGGATTTTCAATGAGTGCACAAAAGAACTCAGTGCTGACTTGCTTTTTTGCAGCTGGATGCATTTATTTTTGGAGTCAGGTGGTGACGTGGAGGGCTCTGTATCTTCAGCTGACTTGCCTTCATAATCCACTGACATTTCTTTTTTTTTTTTTGAGACAGTCTAGCTCTGTTGCCCAGGCTGGAGTGCAGTGGCACGATCTCGGCTCACTGCAACCTCCACCTCCTAGGTTCAAGCCATCCTCCTGCCTCAGCCTCCTGAGTAGCTGGGATTACAAGCATGCACCACCTGCCCTGCCGATTTTTGTATTTTTAGTGGAGATAGGGTTTCACCATGTTGGCCAGGCTGGTCTCGAACTCCTGGCCTCAAGTGATCCACCCGCCTTGGCCTCCCAAAGTGCTGAGATTACAGGTGTGAGCCACCATGCCCGGCCTGCACTGACATTTCTTTAAGAAAATAACTAGTAGCATACCCAATGGTTGGGTCAGCATATTTTTCCATTTTCTTTTCTTTCATTAAGATTTTGAGAAACATTCAATAAAGAAGCTATTTCTTATTAAACTATTATCTTTAGACACTTTCACATAAAAATACATAATGTATGTAAACCTATATCAACTCGAATTATAAAAAAAAATTCTATAGAGCCTAACAACTGATTGATGAATTGATTCGTTTTTTCAAGCATTTATTTATTTTACATTTATAGAGTAGCTACTCTTTTCCAGGCAGTGTGCTAGACTCCAGGAGTATAAATAGAAGTAACATATTTCTATGCTCTGTAACCTCAAGAGCTAAAATGGAGAAAAATGTGTAAAGATGTAATTATAATACAGCAGCAGTGAGACAGAAAAATGCAGTCAAAACATTATGGGAACTCAGAATATCTAATGATTAATTCTACCTGAGAGTTCAAGGATTGACTTAATGACAACCTCACAGTCAGAATTCAAATTGTTTGTAACTTCTTTCCTCCTATCTTGACTCTAAAGGCAGAGAACAACTTACCTCTGAAGGTCTGGTGACCTGGGTTGAGAAGCGGGTCTTTTTTTTGTTTTTTGAGACGGAGTCTCACTCTGTTGCCCAGGCTGGAGTGCAGTGGCATGCTCTCGGCTCACTGCAACCTCTGTCTCCTGGGCACAAGCGATTCTCCTGCCTCAGCCTCCTGAGTAGCTGGGCCTACAGGCTCATGCCACCATGCCTGGCTAATTTTTTGTTTTTTGAAACAGAGTCTTGCTCTGTCGTCCAGGCTGGAGTGCAGTGGTGTGATCTTGGCTCACTGCAACCTCCCTTTCTTGGGTTCAAGCGATTCTCCTGCCTCAGCCTCCCAAGTACCTGTGACAACAGGCATGCACCACTAGGCTTGACTAATTTTTAATTTTTATTTTTTGTATTTTTAGTAGAGACGGGGTTTCCCTGTGTTGCCCAGGCTGGTCTCGAACTCCTGACCTCAGGTAATCCACCAGCCTCGGCCTCCCAAAGTGCTGGGATTACAGGTGTGAGCCACTGCCCCCGGCCTAGAAAAGGATCTTTTATAGCCCTCTTGGGTTGCTGCAGCCCAGGGAGCGAAGGTGCTGCAGAACACAGGAGCCTTGCTTCCCTCTGCGGGAGCCCAGGTCGTCTAATTCTGTGTTCATCTGTGTTCAACGCTCTTCGCCATTCTCACTTCCTGTCACTTTGTTGACCTGTTCCTATTTATTTTGGGCTTCAATGTTTTCTCCATAGATGCTTTCCCTGGCTTCTTAATCTAAATTACTGTCATTTCAAACTGTTCATCAAACTCTTTAACTTTCCTCCATAGCCTTTATCACAGTTTATGATGATAGATTTATTTGAATGTCTACCTGTCCACACGGCAAGAACTGCATTTGTTACTGTGTCATTTTCAGTACCCATCAGATGGTGTGGTATGTAGTAGGTGTTCAATAAGTACTTGTGGGATGAAGTATTTGTGGTGTATACAGCAACACAGTCCGAGGTATAAAGTACCCCAAAATGGAGAACTTACTTCTCTGTTTTAGCCCATTTTCTGTTGCTTATAACAGAATACCCGAGACTGGGTAAATTACAAATTAAAGAAATTTATTTCTTGTATTACGGAGGCTGAGAAATCCAAGGTCAAGGGGCTACATCTGGTGAGGGCTTTCTGCTGGTGGGGATTCTGTGCAGAGTCTCAAGGTGGTGCAGAGCATCGCACGGTGAGGGGCTGAGAGTGCTGGTTCTCGTCTCTCTTCTTCTTCCTATAAAGCCACCAGTCCTACTCCCATGATGCCCATTAATCCATGAATGGACAAGTCCATTCATGACAGCAGACCCCTCATGGCTCAGTTACCTCTTAAAGGCCCAACCTGATAATACTGCCAATTGGAGATTAAATTTTAACATGAGTTTTTGGAGGTGACAAATATTCAAATGTTAGCACCCTCCGAAGTTGCAAACACTGCTTCTTAAATTTTTTGCTGTTTTTTACTTTTTGCCAAGGGGTTTTTTGTTCTGTCATTGCTCTTTGAACTGAGTTAATTCTGGACCTAGTCAATAATGAGGGTCCGCACTCCAGGACACACACTATGTAGCCTTCCCCGTTCTTTTTTTTTTTTTTTTTTTTGGAGTTGGAGCTCGCTCTGTCGCCCAGGCTGGAGTGCAGTGGCGCGATCTCAGCTCACTGCAACCTCTGCCTCCTGGGTACAAGCGATTTTCCTGCCTCAGCCTCCTGAGTAGCTGGGATTACAGGCGTCCGCCACCACGCTAGGCTAATTTTTTGTATTTTTAGTAGAGATGGGGTTTCACCATGTTGACCAGGCTGGTCTTAAACTCCTGACCTTAAATGATCCTCCCGCCTTGGCCTCCCAAAGTGCTGGGATTACAGGAGTGAGCCACTGCACCTGGCTCTCTTCCCCGTTCTTCACCTAACAGCCTGAATTCTTAGCTCGTGTGGGTAATGACACCAACACTGTTCATTATGTCACTTAATTCTCCTTTACAATAGTGTATGTTTCTGATCTTAAGAACGTGGGAATTATACTTTAAATTGAAAGTGTTCAAGGAGTGCTATAGTTGTGTTACTGGGAAAAGGTGCTAGTCCAGACCCCAGGAGAGGGTTCTTGGATCTCATGCAAGAAAGAATTTGAGGCAAGTCCATAAAGTGAAAGTAAGTTTATTAAGAAAGTAAAGGAATAAAAGAATGGGTACTTCATAGGCAGAGCAGCTTGGGTGCTGCAGGTTGCCCTTTTTTTTTTTTTTTTGAAATGGAGTCTCACACTGTCGCCTGGGCTGGAGTTCAGTGGTGCGATCTTGGCTCACTGCAACCTTCGCCTCCCAGGTTCAAGTGATTCTCCTGCCTCACCCTCCTGAGTAGCTGGGATTACAGGCGCCCACCACCACGCCTGGCTAATTTTTGTATTTTTAGTAGAGATGGGGTTTCACTGTGTTGGCCAGGCTGGTCTGAAACTCCTGACCTCAGGTGATCTGCCTGCCTCAGCCTCCCAACCTGCTGAGATTACAGGTATGAGCCACCGTGCCTGGCCCAGGTTGCCCATTTTTATGGTTATTTCTTTATTATATGTTAAACAAGGGGTGGATTACTTATGCCTCCCTTTTTAGGTCATATAGGGTGACTTCTTGTTGTTGCCATGGCATTTGTAAACTGTCATGGCGCTAGTGGGAGTATGCAGCAGTGAGGAGAGCAGAGGTCACTCTCATTGCCATCTTGGTTTTGGTGGGTTTTGGCCAGCTTCTTTACTGCAACCTGTTTTATCAGAAGGTCTTCATGACCTGTATCTTGTGCCGACCTCCTACCTTATCCTGTGACTTAGGATGTTTAACCCTCTGGGAATGTAGCCCAGTAGGTCTCAGCCTTAATTTACCCAGCCCATATTCAAGATGGAGTTGCTCTTGTTCGAACGCCTCTGACAGTTATATTGATGATACAAATATTCTTGTAGTTTACTTTCATTAGCAGTAGTGATTGCCACTAACATTTTGTAGCAACTGTTTGCTTAGAGGATGTTGTCTGTCATAAGCACTGGTTGCCCCAGGAAAAAGTGGTAGGGGAAAGGAATCAGATCAGTGAAGCTGAAGGGATTAAATGAAAGCATCAATACCAGGGAGGTAAGGGTCACCAGAAAAAGATAGTCCTTGATAAAAGATCAAATTAAAATAAATCAGAGTCAGGATCTTGGAAATGAGGTTTCAAGAAGAAAGTCAGTGGTACAATAATTTGATTATTGGGTCCTTTTAAAAACTCTTATGCCATCTTCTTTTTGCAACCATAGAACAGTGGCTTAAAGCAGCAGTACTTGTGTTCTGTGGTCTACACAGAATACTTCTCTGGTTATTGTCTCAGCTCATCCTTGTTGTCAGTCTTCACAGTCTTCCTGGCCACTTGCTTAAACCATTATCCTTTAGTTCTCTGGAAAGAATGGACTTTCCCTCCTGGTTGTGAATGGGCCTTTCCCTCCTTGTTATAAATGGGCCCCTCCCTCCTGATGAAGTGCCCCTCCCTCCTGGTTGTGAATGGACCCCTCTGGCTATGAATGGGCTTCTCCCTGCTGGTTGTGAAAGGATCCCTCTCTCCTGGTTGTGAATGGGCTCCTCCCTCCTGTTGGAGGGCACCTCTCTCTTCACATCAGGAAGGCCATCGCCCGGCACTTTCCCTACCACAACATTTGCTACCCATTATTGTGAGCACAATATCTAGTGTCTACTTTCTCTTCCATGCATTCTGTGAGAGAAGGCATGATTTTGTTCTTGTTTACCTCTATATTCCCAAGGTCTGATCAAAGGATGGCACCCAGTACATGTGCTGAATGACTGAATAGGGGCAGAGTCCCTTCCTGGTCCTGAAACGTGGAAATTGATTATAGCACCATGCAGGAGTTTCCCCACCCAGTGAGCTGGGGCAGAAGAGGTGAGTTACTACTAGATTCAGGGTTTGGTGGGCCCCTGGGTAAGCACATCCCTTGCTCAGTGTCTTAGTGAGAATCAGGCCAGGGCTTATTTATTTAATCCTGGCATCATGGGTCATCCAAGCTGAATGGCCTTCTGCCATTGTCCTTGGTTCCTGGTCCACACTCTAGTACCTCATGGAGGCCTGACTTTCAATCCCATTCCCATTAGCTTTAAGCTTTGCCCAATTGTCTAGTTTATTTCAAATCTACCACCTCCCTCTACCCTGTCCCGTGTTGCTGCCACTTAGCTGTCTGAGCTTGGAAAAATTGCCTTACTACTCTAAATACATCTTTTCTTATGTCTAAAATGAGAATGGTGGTATCCACATCCCATGTTTGCTGTGAGGGTATCCACATCCCATGTTTGCTGTGAGGGTTATATGAGTTCATGTATATAAAGTATTTGGCACAATACCTGAGACATAATATCTTTCCTGGAGACATGATTAATACTGCACCCATAGCTGAGCCTTCTCAAAGATCTAATATGAAAAATGTCTATGTCTTTGTGATCTGACGGGGTGAGCCTGGCATTTTCTTTTTTTTTTTTTTGAGACAGGTTCTCACTCTGTCACCCAGGCTGGAGTGCAGTGGTGCAGTCTTAGCTTACCTCTGCCTCCTGGGCTCAAGTGATCCTTGCACCTCAGCCCCCTGACCGCTGTACTTGGCCCCCTGAACCCTGTACTCGGCCCCTTGACCTCTGTATTTGGCCTGCTGACCCCTGTACTTGGACCCCCGTCCTCTGTATTCGGGCCCCTGTTCTCGGGGGTCAGGGGGCTGAGGTGAGATTCTCACTTGGGGCTACAGGTGTGCATCACCGTGCCCAGATAAGTTTTGTATTTTTTGTAGAGATGGGGTTTCGCCATGTTGCCCAGGCTGGTGTCGAATTCCTGGGCTCAAGCGATCCACCTGCCTTGGCCTCCTAAAGTGCTGGGATTATAGGTGTGAGCCACCGTGCCCAGCTGAGCCTGGCATTTCTAAGCCTAAATCTGAACTAGCTGTTGTAGAGACTGCTCATTGTCCTGCAAAGTCCGTTCCCTCCTTCTTCAGTTAAAAAACCCCTATATACCTCTTAATTTCAGTGAGCACAGGCTGTCCGGCTAGGGACTATATTTCCCAACCTCTGGCCAGTGGGGGGTGAGCAGAAGTGAAATGTGCTACCTCCACTTTCTCCTTCCTCCTTTTGCAGGCCATGGTGGTGGTTAGCTAGCTTTGAAAATGGGTGTGTAAACAGCAACTTTTGGATACAGTGGGGACAAGAAGGTAGAAAGAATGTGGGTCCCTGCATGATCTCAGGGAGCAGAGCTGCTGACTCTCAGGACTGTCCATCATCAGGTTGGGTGAGAGAGAGAGAGAGAAAAAAAAAAAGAGTTGTGTTTAGGAGTCTCTATGCTAAACAGCTGAGCCTGAAACTATTAATAACAAACCAGCCCAATAAGAAAATCTGGGAGTGTGAATGGGTCAGATTCAAGGAGAGAGAAGATGAAGCAGAGAGGAGGGCAAGAAAAACAATAGATGTATCTGATGCCTGTATTTCTTTTCTTTTCTTTTTTTTTGAAACAGGGTCTCACTTTGTCACCCAGGCTGGAATGCAGTGGCACAATGTCGGTTCACTTCAACCTCAACCTCCCAGGCTCAAGTGATCCTCCCACCTCAGTCTCCCAAGTAGCTGAAATTACAGGAGCCTACCACCACGTCTGGCTAATTTTTGTATTTTTAGTAGAGATGGGGTTTCACTATGTTGGCCAGGCTGGTTTTCAACTCCTGACCTTAGGTGATCCACCTGCCTCAGCCTCCCAAAGAGCTGGGATAAAAGGCGTGAGCCACCGCGCCTGGCCTGATGCCTGTGTGTCATTCTCTTCTTTTCTTTTATAGTCATGTTAACAAAAGGAGATGCACAGAATAGCAACTTTCAGTGAGACTCTACCGAATTGTTGTAGGGCTTGGTAAAAAGTCCCATGTGGGAGAACCTTGAGTGTCCAGTGAGATGAAACACAGATTACTGAACCAGTAATCTGTGTTTTTTATTGGGCAATACTAGTACAGACTTAACCTAGACACAAGACTGTTATAATTCTATAAATTTACAGTATGATTGATATAATAGCAGGTAGAAACCACGTTCCTTGGCGCTAGTATCGAGTACAGTTGAATAACTTTAAAGTGAAAGTTAACATTTCCAATCTAGATTTTGTTATCATGGGGAAAATAATGATTGTGATTGAACAAATCAATGCTCGCATGCAAAATTTTAGGTGGACTTTTCTGAGATCTTGTAGAAAAAAAATAAATTGGGTTTTTATTGTCTAACCACAGATAGAGTAGAGTTTTGTTTTCTGGATCTGTCTAGTAGATTACTAAGCTTCCTTGTCCAGTGTGAATAAATAAGTTTGTGGGGGCATGGGTGATGCAGACAGTTTTAGCAGGACTTGTGTATTTTACTGGGTATGAGAGTAGACTTAGCATAAAGTGCTTGCAATTTCTCTCCACAATTGCTGTGCTGACTGATTCATATTCTGGGAATTAATTTACTACTGAATTCCTGGTTGGTGTTAAGAGAATGGCTTAACTTCTAATGATAAAGCTGAGAAAATAAGGACTTTCTTAACTGAAATGTGTCCTCCTCAGTCTTGTTCTTGTACTGTGCTCTGTCTCTCCATCCATCCTAAGCTCTCTCTAGTCACAACACTTACTCATTCTTCCATAAATAGACTTGTGCCCAAAAGGGGACAGACAAAAGAAGCATGGCAACATGTCTTACAGATTAGCTTTCTCTTTTCTTCCTCTGTCTTCTTTTTTCTGCAATTCTCAACTACTTCCCTGGCTTCAGGAATAATCTCTTATGATGATCATTCTCAAATCAGTTTCTCCAGCCTCTACCTTTCTTTTACATTTCAGTTCTCAATTCTCATTTTGTAGGTATCTCAAACACAACATATCTAAAATCAATTTTATTCCCTGCTATTCCCCTGCTCCTCCACCTTTCAATCCCTCTCCCACCCTGCTCCCACTCCTGAAATTCCATTTTCATGTAAAGGCTTCACCACCCGCCTCCTCACTCTACTCAACCTTTTGTAAAACCTCTCTCATCTCCATTTCCAGTTAGTTTCCAAGTCCAGTCAATTTTACATGATATCCTACATGGACTCGTTCACTGAGCTTAATTATTATTAGCAAACATTAACGCATATTGTGTTATTTCTACAGAAATCAGCAAAAGGTCCTGGGGTATCCTCTGTGTGGAAAATAACCATGATGCATCTTCAGTGTTGTGTGAGTTTTCATGACATACATGAGGGACACTTGGAAGTATGAGTGTTCTTCAAGGGAGATAGTTTGGAATGCTCCCCCACCTGGGCAGCTCCGGCACCTGGGCACCACCTGTGCAGAAGCAAAGCGGGTGGTTCTGGGAGAGAAGTGGCAGTTCTTACTGCCCCAGAGAGAAATATGTCAGAATAGATAGAGGAGGGGAAATTGACCTGAATGTGCCAGTTATAATTTAGCAGAAGCCCACCTCTAAAGTAATTCACCTCCAAAGCTAATGGAGTGTTAACCGAGGGAAACATTTTTTTGTGTGTTCTCGAGCGTGACTACCATGAACTGAGTCACTGACTGAGGCAGCTGAGAGGGAGCAGGAAGGAGAGACCTTGAAGTGGACCCTGCAGAAAAACTCAGAGCGAGGACAGTCTGGCCTAAAGGTTGATCTTAACAGAACAAGAAGGTCTCTAGCCTGGTTAAGTTAATACAATCTTATGTAGGTTGGAGAGAAATAAGTGTTAGTGACAGAATTGATGCTCTGGAAGCTGTCGGAATCCTGTCCAGAAATGACAGGGAGCTTTTGCGGCTGAGTCAGCCAGTGACTGTAACTGACGGACGGGACAGTGTTTGGGTAGGAAAGACAGCCTTAATGAAACCGGCTAACCAGAGTCTGTGAGAATAGACTTAGTTTCCCGGAAAGTGCTCGCAATTGCCCTCTACAAATGCTATGTTGACTATTTCTTTATCCAGTAATGAATTTAATACTAAATGTCTTGACAATTTTAAAATAATTTTAACCTTTTTTTTTTTTTTGAGACAGAGTCTGACTCTATCACCCAGGCTGGAGTGCAGTGGTGAGATCTCAGTTTACTTTACCTCCGCCTCCCGGGGCTCAAATAATCCTCCTAATGCAGCCTCCTGAGTAGCTGGGACCATAGGCATGTGCCACCATGCTCTGCTAATTTTTGTGTTTTTTATAGAGACAGGGTTTTGACATGTTTCCCAGACTGGTCTTAAACTCTTGGGCTCAAGTGATCCGCCTCCTTCAGCCTCCCAAAATGCTGGGATTACAGGCATGAGCCACCATGCTCAGCTATTTTAACTTTCAATGATTGGCAAAATTCTGTTTCTTACTTAGAATACCCCAGTACATCAACTTTACACAAACCTCAGGGATGATGGGTTGCTCAGTTACAGCTACCAAATGACTTGGCACCTGGAACCATCTAGTAGAACTTATGTCCTGGACTAAGGTGCTAAAATCTTAGTTAAGGAGGATTCTGTTGAGAATGTCATCACAAGAGAAATAGCAACTGAAAGCACACTATGTAGATTAGCATATATATATTTAAATCCAAGCTGGAAGGACTTAATATAAAACATGGGGTATTTAGGCATCTTTTTGTGACGACTAATACAAAATCATGTTCTAAAGCCTTATT
The DNA here is from genome assembly GCF_000001405.40 of Homo sapiens. Taxonomy (NCBI): domain Eukaryota; kingdom Metazoa; phylum Chordata; class Mammalia; order Primates; family Hominidae; genus Homo; species Homo sapiens. The sequence continues at coordinate 65,529,987 of NC_000008.11, read as the reverse complement.
TTTATACAAAACTTCTGTAGACATGATTTCATTTGATTATCATGGGAACCTAGTGGTGGGTGTTATTGTCAAAATCTTGTCTACTTCCTGAGGCTGGGCTTCTTGGGCACGAGCAGGTGCCGTGGCAGGAATGGTGTCTGCAGCAGGAAGTCCATGTCCAAGGCAGTGGGGAGGGGTGGAGTGAAGGAGCTGCAGAAACTGAATGAATGAGCCAGGCCCAGACTCTTAAGGGATGTTCAAGTCAAAAAAAATCCACAGAGGATTTTGGAGAGTCCAAAAAAATCCAAGAGGGCTGGAGAGATGGCAGCTTCAATAATGGAGGGAGCCCACTAATGAATGAATGGTGGGGTCAGGTATGAGGGTTGTGTATGTCCAGCCTGACAGACCAGGGCTTCCTTGTCCTCACTGACAGATAAGACTCATGGAAGTTCCCCAGCTTAAATGAGTTTTCCAACTCACACAAAGCAGCAAAAGTGAAATTTGCATTGACTTAGGCTGATTCCTACATCAATTTTCATCAATTTTGCTTTTTCTCTCTCTCTCTTTATATATGTATATATATGTGTGTATATATATATATATACACACATATATATACATATATATATATACACACCCACACACACACATAAATACATGTATATACACACACATATATACACATATTAGTTTTTATTTTATTTTTTTGAGGCAGGGTCTTGCTATTGCCCAGGCTGGAGTGTGGTGGCGTGATCACAGCTCACTGCCTCGAATTCCTGGGCTCAAGTGATCCTTCTGCCTCAGCCTCTTGAGTAGCTGGGACTACAGGTGAATACCACCACACCTGGCTAATTTTTGAATTTTGTAGAGACTTGCCCCAAACTCCTGGGCTAAAGCGATCCTCCAGCTTCAGCCTCCCAAAGTGCTGGGATTATAGGTGTGAGCCACCACGCCTGGCATGCTTTTAATATATTATATGATATTTTAAAATAGTTACTGATTTGTACTTTTGCACTTATTTAAATGTAAGAGTTTTGATCAAATAATCACCTTGTCCACAGGTTTTAAGTAAAATATCCTTGTAAATTTTAACTTCCTAACTGATGATTCTTAGCTAACATTTTGTAATTAGATCTGACCAAATATAAGTGAACAGTTGCATAAAATTTTAAGTTAGCAGGAGATATGTGAATTAACAATTGTAATCATAGTATCCCCGAGTCCTCCAGCCTTCCTATTTTTCTTTAACATCTGTTCCAAACAGCGTAACTGAAGCTTTCATCTCGTCACATGTTGTCTGTCAAGTGCCCTCCCCAGTACTTTCTAGGATTCTTGTTAGAGCTTCTATTCTCTCCTGCCTTTTTAACTCATAATTCGTATTAGCTCTTTTATTTCATTTTCTCCTCACCAATCTCCTGTCCTTTGGCTCCTGGCTTTTTCCTGCCCACATGACCCCAGATCAGCCCCAGTGCCTGCTTCCTCGTTGCCTCATGCACCACCGACAAGGCAATGCATACAACAGACTGTTAGGAAGGTTGTAGGGGCTGGGTGTGGTGGCTCATGCCTGTAATCCCAGCACTTTGGAAGTCCAAGGCAGGCAGATCACTTGAGGTCAGGAGTTTGAGACCAGCCTGGCCAACATGGTGAAACCTCATCTCTACTAAAAATACAAAAATTAGGCCGGGTGTGGTGGCTCATGCCTGTAATCCCAGCACTTTGGGATGCCGAGTTCTTGAATTCCTGAGGCCAGGAGTTCAAGACCAGCCTGCCCAATATGGTGAAACACCGTCTCTACTAAAATAAAATAAAAATAAAAAAATTAGCTGGGCGTGGTGGAAATGTGATATGAAGAACTGGTAAAAGCTTTGATTTTTGGAGAAAGAAAATCAAATTCTTGATGATCATTTTTTTTCCCCTTTGGATATAGAGTCTCACTCTGTCACCTAGGCTGGAGTGCAGTGGCATGATCGTGACTCACTGCAACTTTGAACTCCTGGGCTCACGGGATCCTCCCACTTTAGCCGCTTGAGTAGGTAGGACTACAGACCACCTACCTGTAGCACCACCACACCTGGCTAATTTTTAAATTTTTTGTAGAGGCAGAGTCTTGCTATGTTGCCCAGACTGTGATCAAATTCTTAAGCAGTTTTTTTTTCCTACTCACAGTTTGTTATTGAAGGGGTGGAGTTTAAAATTTATTCTCCCCACTTCAAGAGTGATGATTGATTTTTATATTGCTGCTGCTTTTTCTTCCTCTTACATAATAATAATACAAATAATTATTTATTAGTATACTTCATAAATTCTTATCAAACATTTTACTGTGTATGGGCACAGAACTTAGAGCTATAGTTGCACCTATTGCATTTAACCTTTACAAACATCATGAGAAGTAACTACTGCTATTACACTCCATTTTCCAGTGGCTGGAGGTGAAGTTCAGAGATACGGTGTCTTTCCTGAGTTGTGCAGCTCACGCATGGAGGGATCAGGATGGGAACTGAAGCCTGCATGGCTCAAAGTCTTTGCTTTGAAGTGCTGCAAATATGGCTTCCTGAGGAGGACTGCCCTGGACTGCAAATTTGTATTACACAGACAATACCTTTTCCCAGTGCCTTCTTCTGGACTTATGTCTATGTATTTAGTAAATAACTTATGAGTTTGTTTTTAAAAAACCTATTGAGGGCTGGGCATGGTGGCTCATGCCTGTAATCCCAGCACTTTGGGAGGCCGAGGCGGGTGATCACTTGAGGTCAGTAGTTCGAGACCCACCTGGACAACATAGTGAAACCCTGTCTCTACTAAGAATATAAAAATTAGCTGGGTATGGTGGCACACGCCTGTAATCCCAGCTACTCAGGAGGCTGAGGCAGGAGAATCACTTGAAGCCAGGAGGCGGAGGTTGCAGTGAGCCGAGATCGTGCCACTGCACTCCAGCCTGGGCGACAGAGTGACTCTGTCTCAAAAAAACAAAACAAAACAAAACAAAAAAGCAAAAAACAAAACAAAACAAAAAAAACTATTGAAATGTTTTACAGGGAGAGGAATAGGAGATTAAGGGGAAATGCTACTTGCTGGAGGCCAGTGGAGAGGTAAAGAGGTTGGTTACAATGGCTCAGCAACCTCACTTGGTTTGCCTGGCCTGCAATTACTGGGAACATAGAATGAGGTAACTCATCATAGAGGACAACTGTTAAATGGACAAGGATGAGGGGAAAACATCTGTTGTACAAAATTACTTGTTGTGAAATACTTGTAATAAACTACTTGTTGTGAAATACTTGTAATAAATTTATAAAATAACCTTTGGGTAATGAAAACAAACTTTGTTGCAATGAAGCTTTCTTGGTAATGTAAAATTACTTGAAGTTATCTTTAATTTTATTTGGAACAGTTTTAAATGTTATTTGCCAAGCTTGCTGTTACTTGACACTTTTTGATGGTTTTCTGTATTTGCCTATTCCTATCTAGTTAGCATGTCCAGTGCCAGGATCCCTTTTCAGTAATTATGGTGCCTTAAATTCCTGAGGTAGCTTTAGAAAACAGACAAACAAACAAACAAACAAGCAACAAAAACAAAAAATGAAGGGCAGCTTGGCTCCCAGGAATTTAGGGGTTGCCACTGATGTAGTGGTGCCATGTAAGGAAGAATATGAAAATCTTTAACTTGCTTCTGAAGCAGACATCTAAAAAGGCTTATGTAAGAAAGAGACGGGGATAATGGTTCACAACTGTGGGAATGCACTTAATACCACTGAACCGTACTTAAAAATAGTTAAGATGGTAAATTTTATCTATGTTATGTTACCAGAATAAAAAAGAATAATAATTGGCAGGGGTTGGGGGAAGAAAAAAAGAAAAAAAGAAAAAAGAGAAAAACTGCAATCCTAATGTTGCCATTCTTACCTTCCCCTGTTATTCAGAGATGTTTCTCCTGGTAGACTTCTAGGAATGTCCAGCGCTCTGAGCCCTGGTGAATCTTGACTTTTAAAAACATCTTGATGCTCTGGTCCCCCTCATATCCAGGAAACACAGATAAAAGACATACACAGAATTACAGGAGTTCTCAGTGGAGGGAAGAAAGGGATACATGGAAGTATAAGATAAGGGTCGTATTCTCAAAAAGATGACAGTTGGGCTGGAAAAAGAATTTGCAAAGGTACCCACACACTTACACATGTACAGCTAAGGTACCATACAAGGCCTTTAAGTGGTAAGTGGTTAATGCTGACTGTAAGGGTTTAGGAGGTGGGCAACGGTGAGAATCCCTGAGTACTAAGTCCGTGAGGGAAGAATTCATGAAAAAGATGAAACATGCGTTGGAGCTTCAAAGAGCAGTAAGAATCAGGATTGTTGTAGAATTCTTCACAATATGAGAGACAAATTATGGTTGTATCCAATAATGAATTATCATTTTCTTCCTTAAGATAACTCCATTCTCCATCTTCATTGTTTTCATAAAAACATCTGTATTTCTTCATTTATGAATCATTCAATAACTCATTTCTGAGCACTATGTGACTTGCACACAGCCTGACTCTCTCATGCATGCATTGGGGGTACACTGTGAACAAAATGGACAAAATTTCTGTCCCTACCGAGCTTACACTCTAGTGAGGGAGAAAGAAGATGAATAAAATACAGGAGTCAAATATAGTTCTAGTGATAACCGCAAAAACTCAAAGAGTAAAAAGATGTAAATTGCCGGGGAATATTGAACTAAGATAAGGTGGCCAGGGGAGGCCTCACTAAGAAGGTACATTTTGAATAAAGATATGGATAAAGTGAGGGAGCTGTCTCAGAGAAGGACATCCCAGGCAGAGGATCAAGCAAGCATCTAGGTCCTGATGTGGAAACGTGCCTGAGGGGTTCAGGGAAGTGCAGAGGGCCAGTGTGGTTGGAGGGAAGATGAGTGGCAGAGAGGAGACATGTGAGGTAATGGAGAGCCATACCATGTAGGATCTTTTAAGTAATGGTAAAGACTTTGAGCGAGCTGGATCAATTTGCAGGTTTTCAGCATGAAAGTAATATGATGTGTCTGGGTTGAAAAAAGGCTGATTCGACAGGGGCTAAAGGAGAGAGACTAGTTAGGAGGTTACTGAACTAATCCAGAAGGGAGACGACTGTTGCATCAAAATGGAGACCGTGGGGATAACGAAAAGTACTTGAGCTTTTGATGAATTTTATTTTGAAGGTACTACTGATAGGATTTGCAGATGGTAGGACCAGATGTAGGAGTTGGGAAAAAAAGGGGGGAGGTGAGTTTTTAGGCTAGAGTGATTGGAAGGATAGAGTTACTTTCAATGAGATGCAGAAGACTATAGGTGAAGGAATTGTTTTGGAAGAATCTCAAGAGCTCATTTTGGCCATATTGACCTTGAGATGCTTATTAGGCATCGATTGTTGATATCAAGTAGGCAACTGGATATACAGGTTTGGAGTTCAGGGGAGAGGTTCAGGTTATAGATATACATTTGGGGCAAAAGGATATATTTAAGATCATGTGACCAGATGAGAGAAAATAGAGAATGAATATAGATAGAATAAGACCAAGAACGGAGCTCTAGGGCTTTCCAACATTCCAAGATTGGGGAGATTGAAATCTCTAGAGTTTCCTTAGAATAGAAGAGTTGAGTAAAAAAAAATATCTGGGACAAAAGAGATTTATTTTTTTAATTTTAAATTGTATTTATTTTCTAATTGACAAATAAAAATTGCACGTATTTGTGGTATACTACATGATGTTTTAATTTATGTATACATTGTGGAAAGGCTAAATCAAGCTAATTAACATGTCCATTACCTCACATGTTTCTCATTTATTGTGGTGAGAACATTTAAAATCTACTCCTAGCAATTTTTAGGTATATAATACATTATTATGAATTATAGTCATTATTTGTACAATAGATCTCCTGAGTTTATTTCTCCCATTCTACAGAAATTTTGTATTGTTTGACTAACATCTTCCTAATCCATCTAGCCCCCAGGCTCTGATAACTATCATTCTACTCTGTGCTTCCTTGAGTTTGAATTTTTGGAGTCCACATATAAGTAAGATAATGCAGGAATTGTCTTTCTGTGCCTGGCTTATTTCACCTAACATAATGTCTGGCAGGTTTATCCATGTTGTCATCAATGATAGGATTTCCTTCTTTTTGAAGGCTGACTAGTACTCCATTTTGTATATATGCCACATTTTCTTTATTCATTCATCTGTTGATGGACACTTAGATTGATTTCATATATTGGCTATTGTGAACAATGCTGAAATGAACGAAGGAGTGCAGATATCTCTTTGATATGCTGATTTTTATAGTTTTTGAATATACACCTAGCAGTAGGATTGCTGGGTTTTATGATAGTGCTGTTTTCAATTTTTTTGAGGAAACTCCCTACTGAGTTGCATAAGGATTGTACTAATTTACATTCCCACTAACAGTGTACAAGTGTTCCCTTTACTCCACATCCTCACCAACACTTGTTATGTATCTTTTATCTGCAAAAGAAATTTAGAAGAAACAGTCAAAAGCAGGGGTAAAACCTGGAGCATGCGGTGTTTGAATCACTGGTGACGTTAAATAGTTTCAGTGAATCAGTAGGAGTGAAAACTGGTATGTACTCAAGAGAAAATGAGAATGGAGAAATAGGAAGAAACAGAGTACTATCATCAAAAATAGCAAACAGAGAGGGTGACTTTCTAAAAGAAAATAATGTCTATTTGGGAATGGGCATTGCAAGGCATATGCATACTTCAGTAAACTATGTGTGTATTCAGGGAGGTAAAGAAAGAGAAAGCTTTTTAAAAGAAAAAAAGAGGAGGATTATATAATTCCTCTGAGATAATTATCTTTGGCTGCAAAGATCAATAGCAAGGATGGTGTCAGCCCAATGTTGGACAGGCAGTTGCTGGGCATATGTCCTCGAAGAAGTATTTTTTATGTGTTAGATTGTGATGGACTTTGTGCAAGGTTGTGTTTCAGTCTTTGATGGTAGTTTTGTTATCAGGCATTTGTGCATAAGAACTCTCCCTTCATGACCTTTCCTGGCTGTTTTTCAGGTTTTTTTTTTTTTTACACAAGTGACTCCATTTTGATTCTGACAACTTTCACAGTACCAACAACTATTTCAAGAAGTTTTACTATAAATAGAAGGAAAGAAAAATAGTAGCAGCTGAAAAAGAGAATTGAAGTCAAAAGAAATTAAAAGAATAAAGGAGAAATATCTGCAGGTTTGCATGGTGATGGAAATAATCTAGTAGGAAACATCTAGGGAATATTGATGATGCAGGAGAGAGGGAAATACTTGCTGCAGAAATAACTGTGTATGAAACATGAACTTGGGCTTAGGGAACAGACGTAATTTGAAGAAACCTGAGAGAAGTTAGAGCACATATGAACACATGAAAGTAAGCGGGAAGATGTGATCGTGGCAGTTTGCACATATATCTCAAGGCATCTTTTTTTTTTTTTGAGACGAAGTTTCGCTCTTGTTGCCCAGGCTGGAGTGCAATGGCGCGATCTCACTTCACCACAACCTCTGCCTTCTGGGTTCAAGCAATTCTGCCTCAGCCTCCTGAATAGCTAGGATTACAGGCATGCTCCACCATGCCCAGCTAATTTTGTATTTTTAGTAGAGATAGGGTTTCTCCATGTTGGTCAGTCTGGTCTTGATCTCCTGACCTCAGGTGATCTGCTCGCCTCCGCCTCCCCAAGTGCTGAGATTACAGACGTGAGCCACCATGCCCGGCCATCTCAAGGCATCTTAACATTTATTTTCTGTTTATTTAGAAAAGTCCTTTATGAACCTCCTTAAGGACAAAGATTATCACTGCATTTTTGTACATGATCTCGTGCCTAATTTATAATAGCCATTCAACAAATGTTTCTTGAATGAATGAATAAAAATGAAAAACTCAATATTTATGGCTTTGAATATACACAAACTAAAAACTAGATTTTAAGCATGATAAGAAACAAAATGAAATCTCATATTTTTAGTCCTTCTTTATGAAGGTTAGAAGTTGTTAGCAAGATATAATGAAAGTTTTATTCTCGAAATAAAAGTTTTTATGATCACCAAAGAACATTTTGATAAGCATTAACTTTTAAAAAAATAACAGCTTTGTTGAAATATGTTGGCCAGGTGCGGTGGCTTATGCCTGTAATCCCAGCACTTTGGGAGGCCGAGGAGGGCGGATCACGAGGTCAGGAGTTCAAGACCAGCCTGGCCAATAGGGTGAAACCCTGTCTCTACTAAAAATACAAAAAATTAGCTGAGTGTGGTGGCCCACGCCTGTAGTCCCAGCTACTTTGGAGGCTGAGGCAGGAGAATCGCTTGAACCTGGGAGGCGGAGGTTGTAGTCAGCTGAGACCACGCCACTGTACTCGAGCCTGGGCAACAGAGTGAGACTCCACCTCAAAAAAAAAAAAAAAAAAAAGAAATAGATCATATACCATAAAGTGTACCCTTTTAAATATACAATTCAATGGTTTGTAGTATTTTCACAGAGCTGCGCATCCATTATCTCTATCTAATCCAGAATATTTTCATAATCTCAAAAAGAAACCCCATAGCCATAGCAGTCATTCACCTTCCCCTAGCCCCTGGCAACCACCAATCTACTTTCTATCTCTACGTGTTTGCATATTCTGGAAATTTCACAAAAATGAAATTATACACTATGTGGCTTTTTGTGTATGGCTTCTTTAACTTAGCATAACATTTCTAAAGTTCACCCATGTTGTACCCATTTTTGCGAGGACATATGTCTTTAATTCTCAGCTCATTACAGCATCACCCCAAACTCCACAATCTCATCTACATCTTATTAGCTCAACCATTCTAAATTTGATTATCTAAATAATCTAAATCAGGTATGGGTGAGGGTCTGGTGGTAATCCATCCTGGGGCAAAATTAATCTCCATCTATCGACCTGTGAAACTAGAAAACAAATGATCTGCATACAAGATGCAATAGTGGGACTGGCATAGGATAGCAGTTTTAGACATTTCTGTTCAAAAAGAGAAGCCATGGAATAAAAAAAAGGAGCCACTAGACCCAAGTAATTAAAAAATTCAACGAGTTGGGTGGATCACGAGGTCAGGAGATCGAGACCATCCTGGCTAACACGGTGAAACCCCGTCTCTACTAAAAATACAACAAAGTAGCAGGGCGTGGTGGGTGCCTGTAGTCCCAGCTACTCGGGAGGCTGAGGCAGGAGAATCACTTGAACCTGGGAGGCAGAGGTTGCAGTAAGCTGAGATCAAGCCACTGCACTCCATCCTGGGCAACAGAGCAAGACACCATCTCAAAAAAAAAAAAAAAAAAAACCAAAAGAAATTCAATGAGAAAACTTTATTGGGTTTCAAGGCCTGAGAATACCTGTCTGTAGCTTGGGTCCTACTCTCTAGGCTCTCAGCTCTGAGTTACCTCTTCTTTTTCAGAAAAAGTAGCACATTTTTGCAACTGAGTAGTTTTATCAGTTTCCTGCCTGTAGACTTTTGGTTGTCCAACAGCCATCTTTCATTTTGTACTCTATTTGTCCTTTTAGATCTAAGATGGCAATGTTTCTGCTCGTATTTAAAATTCTCAAGAACCTTGTAGGTCTCCAGTATATGTCACATGCACTGGAGATTCACTCCATTAGACAAGAGGTCCTCCAAAATCTTTCTTAGACAATCTCATCTTTATTTTTGGCTTCTCCTGAGAAGGCTGAAGAGATGTATTAGTCACACACTTAATCTTTTTTGTGACATATGACTAAATACCTTGACCTTTTGATGGTTTTGAGGTATTAGCAAAAGTTTATGCATCCACATGCTCAGCTTTTTTTTCTCTACTGCCAGTGAAAGTCTTAAATTTTAGCATCAATTGCAATCCAGAAAGGCTGAAAATCCCCCAAACCAGCAAGTCCTGGTTAACTGGTTACATTTTTGCTGAACAGTTTTTCCTCTAAACCTACCAACAGTCTGTTAATGATTACTGAGCGACTTTCTTTTCTTTTCTTTTTTTTTTTTTTGAGACGGAGTCTCGCTCTGTTGCCTGGGCTGGAGTGCAATGGCACGATCTTGGCTTACTGCAACCTTCGCCTCTGGGTTCAAGTGATTCTTCTGCCTCAACCTCCTGAGTAACTGGGATTACAGGCACCTGCCATCATGTCCTGCTAATTTTTATACTTTCCTAGTGGTGAGGTTTCACCATGTTAGCCAGGCCTATATTGAACTCCTGACCTCAGATGATCCACCCGCCTCGGCCTCCCAAAGTGCTGGGATAACAGGCGTGAGCCACTGTGCCCAGCCTCCTGAGCAACTTTCTAAGGTGATATATGCTTTCTCTACCATGCTCCCCTATTTCCTTCTCAGGCTTCACTGACAGCGTCATTAATGTCCATATTTCTTGAACAGACTCTCATCTGTTCATGGGAATCTAGGATTTTTCTATTGTTCTCCTCAAAATGTTTCCAGCCTTTGTCCACTGCCCAAGCCAAAAGTCACTTCCACACTTTCAGGTATTTGTTACATCAGCACCTCACTCTCATTACCAAAATCTGTAATTGGCTTTTAAAAAATGTAAAAGATTGCTTTAATCATTTTTATATTGATTCCTTATTGAAATAATATTTTTGATATATTGGGTAAAATACAAAATATATGTATATTTTTTGAGATGAGGTCTCACTCTGTTGCCCAGGCTGGAGTGCAGTGGAACAGATCACAGCTCCCTGTGGCCTCGACCTCCCTGACTCAGGTGATCCTCCCACCTCAGCCTCCTGAGTATCTGAGATCACAGGTGTGCACCACCATGCCTGGTTAATTTTTGTATTTTTTGTAGAGACTGGGTTTCACCATGTTGCCCAGGCTGGTCTCCAACTCCTGGGCTCAAGTGATCTGCCTGCTTCAGCTTCCCAGAGTGCTGGGCTTACAGGTGTGAGCCCTGCCATAAAATATATTAGCAAAATTAATTTTACTTTTTACTTAAATTTTTTTTACTGATACATAATGATTGTACATATTAATGGGGTACACATGATCTTTTGACACATACATGTAATGTGTAGTGATCAAATCAGGGTATTTGGGATATCCATCACCTCAGATGCTTATTATTTCTTTGAGTTGGGAACATTTCACATCTTCTAGCTATTTTGAAATATATAATGAATTATTGTTAACTATCGTCACCCTACTGTGCTATTGAATAGAACTTATGCCTTTTATTTAACTATATGTTGGTACCCATTAACCAACTCACATCCTTCCCAGCCTCTGGTAAGCATCATTCTACTCTTTACTTCCGTGAGATCAGCTTTTTCAGCTCCCACATATGAGTGAGAACATGTGATGTTTGTCTTTCTGTGCCTGGCTTATTCATAACAGGTTTTCTGTTGTTGCTGTAATGGGTTACCACACACTTAGCGGTGTAAAACAATACGAATTTATCATCTGTGGGTCTGAAGGTTAGGCGTCTGACACAGGTCTCATTGGGCTGTAATAAGTGTCAGCAGCCTGACAGGGCTTATGGGAGAATCTGTTTCCTTGCATTTTTTTCAGCCTCTAGAGGCTGCCCACATTCCTTGGCTTTTGGCTTCTTTCTTTCACCATCAAAGCCAACAACAGGAGGTTGAGTTCTTCTCACATTGCATCACTCTGACCACTTCTTTTGTTCTCCTTCTTGCTTTTAAGAACTTTTATAATTACATTGTTTCATGTAATTCAGGAAAATGTATTTTAAAGTCTTGGTCTATTAAGTCTAACATCTGGGCTTTCTTAGGAAGAGCATCTATTACTAATTTTTAAAAACGTATGTCATACTTTCCCATTCTTTGCATATCTTGTAGCTTTTTGTTGTTGTTGTTGAAATCTGGCAATTGAAATTATATAATGCAACAAATTTGGAAATCACATTCCTCTTCACTCCTCTCCCATCCCCCAAGAGTTTTTGTTGTTCCTATTGGTTTGTTTATTAACTGATGTTTCTGGGCTAGTATTCTGTAAAGTCTGTGTAAAGTCTATAAGGGTGTATGTGGCCACTGAAGTCTTTGCTTGATTAGCTTAGTGATCATCTAATGATTAGACAGATTTACTTAATTACTTTGAGCCAATAAGGCTCTCAGCCTTTGCTGAAGAACTCTCTTTGTGTGTGTGTGTGTGTGTATTTGTGTTTGAACACACCCTCAATGCCATGAAAGGTTATTTACAAGTCTGCCTTAGCCTTCACTTTCTGCATGAGGAGGGCTTCAATGTCAGCAGGGGTGAGAGATCATGGTCTTCTTAGATCTTTCTGGGCATGTGTGCAGTCCTGGTTTATGCACATAGACCTGCTCATTTACATGACTTTCTTGACTCTCAGGAATATTTTACGCTTTCAAAGTCTGTATGGGCATCTCATTTCCTGATTTTTCCTTTTATGTTTTCTTGGTCAGCCTCTTTTTAGCCACAGTTGCAATGCTGCCTCAGGCAGCCACTACGTTAAACAATTGTCATTGATTGTTTTTGACAAATGCCTTGTAGATAGGGCTGCTTGCACAGAGTGAGCTCTGAGTCATGTCAAATAAAGAAAGTCCAAGAGTGGAGCTTTTCAGTCAGCTCTCAGAAGGTCAAATAGTGACAAGTGTCTGGGGATGAAGTTTTGTGGGAGTTCCAAGCACACATTGCTTCCTCCAGTGGCTGCAAGATTGCTGTTTTTCATTTTTCACAGCTAGCATGGAGTTTTTATTCTCATGATTTCCATCTTGCAGCTTTCTTTAAGAATTAGAGAGGGGCTAAAAAGTGAAATTGTCGTTTATTATCTTAAGGAAAAAAACAATAAAAAGGAGAGATTATGTCTCCTTAAAAATGAGGACTTGTTCACAAAGAATTTTATTAAAAACAGAAAGGTTAAGTGCCATCTGTCACTTCCACTCACCACCAAAAACAATGGTGATTTCTCCACAGTGTTGGGAAAATGACTCTCCATGAATTTCAGAGGATCCTTGTTCAGGCAGATCCAACTCCCTTCATGTTGATTCAGGCACAGAAATTGTCTAGTTTCATTTTATTTCATAACAGCACTTAGGTTTGCTCTACAGTAGGTAAGTTAAATGCCTTAAACTGAGATTAACTTGCTATTCCTGAATTGGAAATTACAAAAGTAGCCTGAGTATGTCAGAGGGCCCCTGCAACTGGATTTTTATCTTTGCCATGTAAATTTGGTTATGCCAACCTCTAGGTTCTAGGCTGTAGAGCAAAATTTTCAGCCATCATCATCCTTGCATTTTCTGAAACTCAGTAGAGAACAAAAAAAAACACACACAACAGAAGACAAGCAAAGGAGAGCTGTGGTGGCTCACACCTGTAATTCCAGTACTTTGGGAGGCTAAGGTGAAGGATCATTTGAGGCCAGGAGTTTGAGACCAGCCTGGGCAACATAGCAAGACCCAGTCTATAAAAAGTAAATAAATAAATAATCCACGTGTGCTGGCACATGCCTGTAGTCCCAGCTACTTGGGACAATGACATGGGAGGATTGCTTGACCCAGGAGTCTGAGGCTGCAGTGAAGTATGTAACTGTGACACTGCACTCCAGCCTGGGCAACAGAGCCAGGTCCTAGCAAAAAAACCAAACAAATAAACAACAACCCCCACCACCCAATATATATCAACCGAAAAGCCACAAGGATAGAAATGTGAATTTTATAAAAATAAAGCTAGAATTACCAATAATTCCTTTTATTCTAGTGCTAGTTTCATGGAACTTGGGATTTAATTCAAAATAATATGATTCAATTTTTCATGTTTTCTCATATATATATATATATATATTTTTTTTCTTTTCTTTATATTTAAATGTGAATGGCCCACTTAGTTGAATAGAAGATAGTGTCATTGAATGCCTGGTATCTTGAGTTGAATATGATATCTCAGCTTTAATCAGTGATTAAACTTTTTAGTTGGTCAAAGCCAAAAGAAATTATATCCATAATTTCAATATTATTTCAGACTTTTTTAAACATGAGGAAAATAAACTGATTGTTTTGCTTATTTTCCTTTGTCTATTCCTTTGGTGTTACTTAAAATCTTTTAAGATTAGAATGTCTGAGTATTAATAAAAAGTTTCCTTGATGGAGTTACTGATAAATAGTAACATGGTTGAAAATTGGCATTTTTGGTAGAAAGAAGGAGTCACAATCTCTTCGACTATCTAATCCAATCTGGGGCCTGGGCAGCCAGTTATGTTTCATTGTCCTAGGAACCTTAGCAGATCTAAAGGCTAAAGCAGGTTTTTAAAAAATTTACTGTCACACAGGGATTTGTCCCACTGAAGCTTGGAGTTTCTTTCTCATTCTTGGTGCAGCTTTGTACAAAACTCACTACCTGATCAGATAAATATTTGCCTACGTATTAAGGTGACCAGCACTTTAGAAATATATAAGTCTACTTGGTTTACATGGCAGTGTATCACCATCAGTGTTGATGGTAGTTTTGGTTATGTAGAAATCCATACATACATTTTCTCCTCCCCAGCCTCTCTGTAGGAAGCACATGAATGTGGTGGCTGGTTTATGGAGTGGGGAATATCCGTTAGTCTCTGGTGGCTTGAGACAACATAAATGATTCCTTAGAGCAGTGAGATGGAAAACTAGAAATCTAACTAGCTATACTCCAGACAGGTACTAGACCTCCTCTTGTAATTAACGTGCAAGGGGGAAGCATTGCTCCTTGTGAGGTTTGATGGCCTCTCTGCATCACTAGTTCATTGGGTGTGAATGATGTCGGCTTGTTTATCTGGAAATCTGGAAGTTTGCCTTTGTCTTATCTTTACACCTCATCGCCCCTCCATCTCTTTTTCAAATCTCATTTAAAAGGTATTTAGATATTTTCTCCTTGCCCATCTTTCTTAATTTTACTCTGCCTCTTGATGGCCTTGTGATTCCAATGTCTAACATTATTTTTTCCAGGGTGTCTGCCACTCTTCTTCAACTCAAACCTCGCTATAAAACATCTGCAAATTTTGCTCATGAAACTCAGCCTAGTGCATGGGAATGTAGTTGCCTAAATTAGTCCAGGACAGTGAATTATTTCTAGAATATAAATTGGTCACTTATGAAATTGCATTAATTCAGTTACTGATAGGCTTATAAGCTAAACTATTAGCCCGGTGTAGCAATGCACTTAGAACTTAGGGAATATTTATAGAATAAAATACAGAAATGATGTTCTGAAATAAAATTGTCATTTAAGAGAATGCTCCCTCTTTTTATAGTAAGAAGTTATTTTAGCCAGAAGAGTATGTAAGCACTAAAGAGATCTAGGATTTTGGAGGATTGCTGGTTACCTAGAAGGGTGAAAAGGGGTTTAGAAAATTATAAGATTTCCTGGCACAAAATTGAAGGGAGTATAACAGTACTTGACAATATTTAAATCTCTTGTAAGGCCGGGTGTGGTGGCTCAGGCCTGTAATCCCAACACTTCGGGAGTCTGAGGCGGGTGGATCAACTGAGGTCAGGAGTTCAAGACCACCTTGGCCAACATGGTGAAACCCTGTCTCTACTAAAAATATAAAAATTAGCCGGGCATGGTGGTGTGTGCCTATATTCTCAGCTTCTCTGGAGGCTGAGGCAGGAGAATTGCTTGAACCAGGGAGGCAGAAGTTGCAGTGGGCTAAGATTGCACCACTGTACTCCAGCCTGTGTGACAGAGTGAGACTCTGTCTCAAAACAAAAAACAAAAAAACAAAATTCTTGTAGCTTCTGTATATTTCCTTTCCTTGCTAAAAAGACTGAGGGACAGGTATTCAGGAAGGGGACCATGAGCAGTCACACCTCCACTCTCTGTAGCCCAAGGGCATTTGGAAGTTTGCTGAGATAAACTTCATGTCAGCTTTATCAAGTGTCTGAATTCCACTGGATCTAGACTCAGGGCAGTCAATTAGTTTCAGTTGACCTACTGGAGATCCTTTTCCTTAGTGCTGAGCTTCAGTCACAAAGTAGAACAGAGACACTTGCAGGATCTACACCAGCATCATTGGCATCGTCGGGAGGTACACTTCGAAGTAGGATATGATTTTGCCCAAGTCTGCAATTCTTACGTATGAACGACTTTTTTTTTTCAAAGAAAGTATTATTTCTTGTGCCAGCCTTTTCTCACCAATAGTGGTCTAGCTAGACCTCTCAGATATGTGGTAGTTAATCTAGACCAAAAAGTAGGGGAGCATGTCTTTTTCTGTTGCGAGTGGGCTGAGCATCTCAGTTTCTGGGCTACCTTCAAAGTTTGTGAATGCCAACATGTTTGTCTGTATTATTCTTGGCAATATTGGTCCTGGAGAGAGCACTTCTTGGATGGATGCTGCACTGCAGGAAATGAAGGTTTCTGGCCAATGTGATACCATTCCAAGGAGCTCTGCCTTCCAGGGAGAGGCTTTCTGTGAAATGCACCATGCCACTGCTTTGAGATATGTGTATCAGTCTCTCAAGGAGTCTGATCGTGATCTAGTGGCTAGAAGCAAAGCTTTAAGGGCAGATGACAGAGCACAACAGATTTTCCTCCACATCCATACCATTTGCAAAAATGTTTCAGAACTTAGGATCTGGAAGCTTGTCTATCAATATTCCCCAGAGAAAGAAGGCACAGCTTTAAGTTAGGCTTGCTTCAAATTGTCTTTTCTTTGATGCTTAGATTTTCTTTAGATCTAAAGATATGCTGTCATGGCTTCCCAAATCTGTTGAGCTCCAGGATGCTACGAGGCCTCCCTAAGGGTTTCTGGAATGATGGTTTGCCAGGACTGATACTGAATCTTTGCCTACTCCATTATCTGTAGATCTTACCCTCATCGCTGTTTTCAGGGAAGGGATTTTAAGTCATAACTCCCTACCTTCAGAATAACACAATAAATTGAGCTGGATATATTTGTTCTTTTCCTCTTTTGGTCAACATTTACTAAGGCCTATTGTGTGAAAATAGAAGTACATGAATTTTCTTCTGCCTGCCTGATAGAGTGTTTTGTGCTTTTAATAAGTCAGTCACCCATTGGTACCTGGGTTTGCTTCAGAAAGGGGAAGGTCATTTTCCTCACAGCAATGGTGTAAAGGGCTCATCCTTTAAGACAACCTAGTTGCTGGGCCATAGCTGCTTTCTCATGCTGCTTCATCTAGGGTGGTTTTTCCCTTATAAATGGGATAAGCTTTCATGAGTTAAAACTATTTCCCAATGGTCTGCCTCGTCTCCTCAGAGTATCTTTCAGTTCAGTGCCCTTAGGTGATGATGACTATGCCTGGATATGAAAGTTTTTGGTTGAGGCTGAATAAGCTCACTCTAAGACAGATGATCAGTCTGTAGAAATGTAATAGAAAATCCATTCAGTGCCTCATCAGCCTCAGGTTGATGATGTGATTCCACTTCAGGTGCTTTGTCTTCAGTGTAAACTTTTTCACCTGTTACTTTGAAGACGAAATGATGGTTTCAAATTGGATTTAGGATGCTGATGGAAACCAGCACCTACTTCATTGCTCCTGGAGGTCTGCACACTTGTTATTCTTGTCAGCTTGAGAAAAGGCTATCTTTTACCTCCTCGAGCCCCTTTTTGGTGAAGATTTCCCTTCTAGTCACTGTTGATTCCTTTTCCTTAAGGTCCACAGGCTAAATCCTTTAGTTGTTGTGATAGGTCAGGGCTATTTCTGAACTCGTCTCTTCCTTCCTTTCCTTTCTTGCCCTCCCACCTTCCTCATTGTGTTCTGAGGGGAAGACCTCAGGTGTATTTGATCAGCAACTGCATTTTCTTTTCTTTCTTTTCTTTTTTTTTTCTTTTTTGGCTTCTGCTTCTGCTTCTTCTTCTTCTTCTCCTTCTCCTTCTTCTTTCTTCTTTCTTCTTCTTTTTTTTAAGTAGCAACAGGGTCTTGCTATATTGCCTAGGCTGGTCTTGAACTACTGAGCTCGAGCAATCCTCCCACCTTGGCTCCCAAAATGCTGGGATTACAGATGTGAGCCACTGCACTTGGCCAGCATCTACATTTTCAATGTGAGTCACCAGTATCCTTTTAAAATGCTCCTTTTAAAATGGATGTTTCCATATAGATAGGTGCAAAGCTGATGTGCAGCCAGTATACACAGGTATGCCCAAACTAGTGGTTAAAATATTGAAAAATGTCTGGATTGATCGGTAAGTGGTCCCTTTCTTGAGACCCTGGGTACCCACTCTGCTGCCTGGGCTAATTTGGCCCCTAACCCAAAGCCTTCCTTGGAACTCCCTACAAAGGGAGCTCGGACCCTGCTTCAGGGCGGTGACATCCGGAATCCATAGTGGTTGGCCAGTGCCTAGTTATTAACTATTTGGAACATCACCCTTGGTTATGAGTCAGATTTTATTGGCAGAGCTTTCTAGTCCTTCATGCCTATACTTCTTCTGGGGACTAAAATACTTGGCTGAGAAGCTTGACTTTCAGGATTAGATGTCTACTGACTTCTGGAAATGAAGGTAAGTGTCATATTAGAAAATAAAATTTGAATCCATGTAAATCCCATAGTAACCCAAAACAATTTCCCAGTCTTGGGCTAAAATCTTCATGATTTGCTTGATGTGTTCCAATCCCCCTTTTCCCCAAGGCAGTATTTGGAGTCAACTCAGCTTTTGTAAGTTTTGGGAAATGAATGATTGCATATTTAAGAATATTTACCTCCAGGTCATTAAGAAAAAGTCCTAATCTTCTTGAGTGCTTTTTTTTTTTTTTTTTGGTGGTGTTGGGGGAAGGCTTTTCAGTTATCACCTCTTTGTTTAGTGGTTTGGCAGGAGGAGATGGACTTAACCAGCTTCCAGGAATTAACATTTGTCTTTTCAAATTAAAAAATTTGTCCTCTGTTTGGTATTTTAAAAATGTGTTTCAACTTGTACTGTACATAGGAGCTCTGGAGTGAAATTTTTAGAGCTCTGAAAACAAATGGAATGAACTTGCTTTTGTGTGTCAATATGTGGGTTTATGGACAGGAATGGATGGGCGCATGCCCGTGGCAGGCCCATTCATTTCTCTCATGTTTGAAAGCTTCACTCTGAAATGCCTTTAATGGAAGATGATTGTGTAATATAGAGGTGGTTGTTCACTGTACCAGCACTGATGTGCTGCATTTTGACCAAATGACTAACTTTGCAAATAGACTATTTATGTTGAGTAGGAGCAAAGCTTCTCTACCAAAGTGCATTTTTAATGATCTACTTTAAGAGTAAGTGGGTTTAGAAGTAGCTGCCCAGGAATCTGATTGGCTGGCACCAATGCCACTTCCCATAATTACCCAGTAAACCATAAGGGCTTTGTTGGCACATTTGTTCAAGTCTGTCATGTTTGACCAGCTGCCACCCAGCATTCTAAGTCCACTTCTAATATCCTCTTTAAAATCTTTGTGGAGAAATTTGGTGCCTACACACCTTTGAAAAATCTTAGTGGAGAAATTTGGTATTGATGCACTACAAATTTCATAATGAAACGCTGTGCTATTTTTTTGTAAGTTGGTAATGTTTTCCCTAAATAGCTAAAATTATAAAAATCAAGATCTGGAGTAAGCTATATCAAGTTTTGAAAAATGCTTCACTTCTTAGTACATTTAGGATTTTCACTGAAAATATAGATGTTATCTAACCTAAAAGATCCAAATCACAAATTCTGTCTTAAAACTAATGCTTGAAACTTGTGGAAACAATACACTTAAAAAAATTAAAGAAATAAAAAAAAAGGTAAATTGTGTCCCGGAGGTAGGAAGTAACCTGCTCAGTTTCTATGGTTAAAAAAACCGTATAACCATATAACTAATTTTATAAAACTATATAACCAATTTCATAATGTAAAAAATTAGAAAAGTATACACTAAGTACAATCACAGTGTTTTCTAATTTCTATATGAAGCATTTCAATTGTATTACAGACCAAGGATATTATAAACGGTTCTTACCCCATTTTGTGAGAAGAAAGAGGAAACTGTTGAAACTATAGTAAATATAGTGCATTCGGGAAAAAGCATTTCATTACACAGGAGTATAGAGATTTTGGATCTTTCAGTCATACCTGAAGATCTTTCTATTAAGATCTTAGGTGTATTTTTTATTGACTGGAGGGTGAGTAAATGACATTGTCGGTGGGTTCTGCCACTTGTTGTTGACAGCTACAGTAATTTAACTTATTTTCCCAGAATACAGTGTCACTGTCTACATTATCATGTAATTAAGTGTAACATGGGAACAGTGATATACTGAATAAAGCATGTTGCTATACACTGAAAAGCTAAAAGAAATCAGCTCTTACAATGGCTGTGTGGGCCTTCCAGAAAGGAATAGCTTCACTTTCAAGAAACTATCACAGAGTGAATCTTTGTATCAGTGTAAAATATTTCTGCAGCAGAATATTGACTCTATGGGGAAGAAAATATTGGCAATGAGCTAAAATGAAATAGAAGAAATTAAATGCACTTGACAGAAATTGGCTGAAGAAAATTCAGGAGATGCGATAGCAACAGAGCACAAGAAAATAACACAATTAAGGACACATTAGCCATATGCCTCTATTATATTGAGAACACAGCAATATAAATGACCAGGTGATGACCTTCAACCTAAACTGGAAGGTGTCTGACAAAGTCCATGTTGGTTTGGAAACTAAAGGTGGAAAATGAGATTAAATACTAAAGAGCATGGGATGGTAGTGATCTGCAACTTGGCGCTGATGTGAGGATTTGATAAGTTAAAGCTCAATACGATGCAATGCTGGAAAAGATGGTGTGGGTATATCATATGGATCTTTTGCCATCTGTACTTTATGTCAGCAAATATTTATTTATTTATTTATTTATTTATTTATTTTGAGACGGAGTCTCACTCTGTCGCCAGGCTGGAGTGCAGTGGTGCGATCTCAGCTCACTGCAACCTCCACCTCCCAGGTTCAAGCGGTTCTCCTGCCTCAGCCTCCCGAGTAGCTCGGACTACAGGCGTGTGCCGCCAAACCCAGCTAATTTTTGTATTTTTTAGTAGAGATGGGGTTTCATGATGTTGGCCAGGATGGTCTCGATCTCTTGACCTCGTGACCTGCCTGCCTTGGCTTCCCAAAGTGCTGGGATTACAGGCATGAGCCACTGCACCCAGCCTGCCAGCAAATATTTATATGTGGTACACGTTAATACACCAGAATAAGAAAGCCTTTTAAGTCAAGGGTGAACACTCTTCCACAGCCACTGCATCTGGTGCATACTGCAACAACAACCCTAGTCAAATGGCTCTGTAATTATTGGTTTCCATGTCTCTCTCCTGTCCAGCCTCTGATCTTCTACTAGGCAGGCACTGTGTCCTCAGAATCCTGCCTAGTGCCAAACATACTGTGGTCCCTGAACCAATGGCTCTCACAGTGATTTTGTATCTGAGACTGGGTGTCTGAAAAGGCAGATGGTCTGGTTCTTTAGGAGCCTTCTCCACACCTCACATATATTTTGTTTCTTTTTCATGGGCTTCTCTTAAGGTAGGGTTTGGTCATAAAACTGTGTGGCTTTCTCTTATACCCACCAGATTCACGTTTGCTCTAAGGTTGTTGCCAAACTGTCCATACAGCTAAAGTAAATATATGGTGAAGAAGGAAAAGAAGGAAGAAAGGATAAATGAAGGCATTTAATTTTAAGAACTAAAATCCCAACAAATATTCTATTAGTAGAGGCAGGGTGAAGAATTTAATTATTAATCTATTTATAAATGTTTATAGAATTATAGGTTAGATAAGTCCTGTAGAAAAATTTAAGACCAGCTTTCTTTTCTGACTGTTTGGATCATCATGGCAGACGGGAGGCAGGACTAGATTGCAGCTCTAGACAGAGCAGCCTGCGGGGCTCGCATCGTGAATTTTAGCTCCAGATTGACTGCAAGAACAAATCAGCAATCCTAGAGGACCCACAGACCCTCTGAAGGAAGCAGACTGCTCCTGCAGGCCCTGGGAGAGCCCCCCAAAACTGTGAGTGCCCCAACTGAGGAAGTGGGAAAGGGAGACCCTCCTCTCCTGAACACACACCCCCACTGGAGAAGCTGAAGGTCTGTTTGTGGGAGAAGTTTCCGATTTTACCTGCAGCTGAGTCAATTTGGAGAGCCGAGTGAAATACAGGGGTAGAGGAAGCAGCAGAAAGGTCCTGGGAGCTCACTGGGTCCCCAAGCAGCCCATTCCTGCCTGGCACCACAGGGATCCAACAGGAGAGGAGCAGGGGGTAAAACTCCACAGGGAGAAGGAAATCTCTAGCTGAACTCTAACAATTTGAACAGGGTGAGAAGCCTCTTGGCCAGAACTCGGGGGAGGGTGCAAATCTGGTGTGCAGACTCCACAAGTGGTGGAAGAACCAAGCCCTTTCTTTTGCAGCTGGTAGGTGGGTAGCCTGGGGCAGGTTTTCAAGCCTCTGTGGCTCTCCACCTGGAAATGGACTGGGGGCTGTTGGGGGCAGCACGTTGGGAGTGAGACCAGCCCTTTGGTTTGCGTGGGAGCTGGGTGAGGCCTGTGACTGCCAGCTTTCTGCCACTTCCCTGTCAACCTGCATGACTCAGCAGAGGCAGCCATAATCTTCCTAGGTACACAACTCCAGTGACCTGGGACTCTCACCTCCATCCCCCACAGCAGCCCCAGCAAGACCTGCCCAAGGAGACTCTGAGTTCAGACATGCCTAGCCCTGCCCCCACCTGATGGTCCTTCCCTACTCACTCTGGTAGCAGAAGTAAAAGAGCACATAATCTTGGGAGTTTTAGGGCACTGCCCACCGCTGGTTCCTCCTCATACTACCACAGCTGATGCTCTCTAGAAAGTGCCATCTTCTGGCAGGAGGCCAACCAGCACAAAAATAGAGCATTAAACCACCAAAGCTAAGAAACCTCACGGGGACCATTGCACGCACCCCCCTCCACTGGAACAGGTGCTGGCATCCATGGCCAAGAGACCCATAGACAGTTCACATCACAGGACTCTGTGCAGACAACCCCCAGCACCAGCCTGGAGCTGGGTAGACTCACTGGGTGGCTAGACTCAGAAGAGAGACAACAATCACTGCAGTTAGGCTCACAGGAAGCCGCGTCCATAGGACAAGGGGGAGAGTACTACATCAAGGGTACACCTCATGAGACAAAAGAATCTGAACAACAGCCTTCAGCCCTAGACTTTCCCTCTGACAGAGCCTACCCAAATGAGAAGGAATCAGAAAACCAACTGTGGTAATATGACAACATGAGGCTCTTCAGCACTCCCCCAAAACCACACTAGTTCACCAGCAGTGGATCCAAACCAAGAAGAAATCCCTTATTTACCTGAAAAAAAAAAATTCAGGAGGTTAGCTATTAAGCTAATCAGGGAGGGACCAGAGAAAGGCAAAGCCCAATGCAAGGAAATCCAAAAAATGATACAAGAAGTGAAGGGGGAAATATTCAAGGAAATAGATAGCTTAAAGAAAAAACAATAAAAAATTCAGGAAACTTTGGACACACTTTTAGAAATGTGAAATGCTCTGGGAAGTCTCAGCAATAGAATTGAACTAGTAGAAGAAAAAACTTCAGAGCTCAAAGACAAGGTCTTCGAATTAACCCAATCCAACAAAGACAAAGAAAAAAGAATAAGAAAATATAAACAGGGCTGGGCACCGTGGCTCACGCCTGTAATCCCAGCACTTTGGGAGGCTGAGGTGGACAGATCACGAGGTCAGGAGTTTGAGACCAGCCTGGTCAATATGGTGAAACCCCGTCTTTACTAAAAATACAAAAATTAGCCGGGCATGGGGGTGCGCACCTGTAGTCCCAGGTACTCAGGAGGCTGAGGCAGAAGAATTGCTTGAACCCGGGAGGTGGAGGTTGCAGTGAGCAGAGATCGTGTCACTGCACTCCAGCCTGGGCGACAGAGCAAGACTCTGTCTCAAAACAAAACGAAAAAAGAAAATATAAACAAAGCCTCCAAGAAGTCTGGGATTATGTTAAATGACCAAACCTAAGAATAATTGGTGTTCCTGAGGAAGAAGAGAATTCTAAAAGCTTAGAAAACATATTTGGGGGAACAATTGAGGAAAACTTCCCTGGCCTTGCTAGATACCTAGACATCCAAATACAAGAAGCACAAAGAACAACTGGGAAATTCATCGCAAAAAGATCTTCACCTAGGCACATTGTCATCAGGTTATCCAAAATTAAGATGAAGAAAAGAATCTTAAGAGCTGTGAGACAGAAGCACCAGGTAACCTCTAAAGGAAAATCTATCAGATTAAGAGCAGATTTCTCGGCAGAAACCCTGCAAGCTAGAAGGTATTGGGGCCCTATCTTCAACTACCTCAAACAAAACAATTATCAGCCAAGAATTTTGTATCCAGTGAAACTAAGCATCATATATGAAAGAAAGATACAGTCTTTTTCAGACAAATGCTGAAAGAATTCTCTATTACCAAGCCACCACTACGAGAACTGTTAAAAGGAGCCCTAAATCTTGAAACAAATCCTGGCAACACATCAAAACAGAATCTCTTTAAAGCGTAAATTACACAGGACCTATAAAACAAAAATACAAGTTAAAAAGCAAAAGCAAAAAAAAAAAAAAAACTAAAATACACAGGCAACAAAGAGCATGATGAGTGCAAAGATACCTCACATTTTAATACTAATATTGAATGTAAGTGGCCTAAATGCTCCACTGGATAAGAACTCACCAGCCAACTATCTGCTGCCTTCAGGAGACTCACCTTGCTTAAGGTAACACAAATTTAGCTTAAGGTGACATAAACTAGCTTAAGGACTCACATAAACTTAAAGTAAAGGGCAGGGGGAAGGCATTTCATGCAGATGGACATCAAAAGTGAGCAGGGGTAGCTATTCTTATATTAGACAAAACAAACTTTAAAGCAATAGCAGTTAAAAGAGACAAAGAAGAACATTATATAATGGTAAAAGGCCTTGTCCAATAGGAAAATATTACAATCCTAAACATATGTGCACCTAACACTGGAGATCCCAAATTTATGAAATAATTACTAATAGACCTAAGAAATGAGATAGGCAGCAACACAATAATAGTGGGGGACTTCAGCACTCCACTGACAGCACTAGATAGGTCATCAAGACAGAAAGTCAACAAATAAACAATGGATTTAAACTATACCTTGGAACAAATGGACTTAACAGATATATACAGAACATTTCATCCAGCAACTGCAGAACACACATTCTATTCAATAGCACATGGAACTTTCTCCAAGATAGACCATATGATAGGCCATAAAACTAGCCTTAATAAATTTAAGAAAATTGAAATTATATCAAGCACTCTCTCAGACCACTGTGGAATAAAATTGGAAATCAACTCCAAAAGGAACCCTCAAAACTATTAAAATACATGTAAATTAAATAACCTGCTACTGAATGAGCATTGGGTCAAAAACAAAATAAAGATGGAAATTAAAAAATTATTCAAACTGAACTACAATAATGGCACAACCTATCAAAACCTCTGGGATACAACAAAGGCAGTGCTAAGAGGAAAGTTCATAGCCCTAAACACCTACTTTAAAAAGACCGAAAGAACCCAAACAGACAATCTAAGGTCACACCTCAAGTAACTAGAGAAACAAGAAGAAACCAAAGCCAAACTCAGCTGAAGAAAAGAAATAACCAAGATCAGAGCAGAATGAAATAGAAACAAAAAGAATATAAAAGATAAATGAAACAAAAAGGTGTTCTTTGAAAAGATAAATAAAATTGATAGACCATTGGCAACGTTAACCAAGAAAAGAAGAGAGAAAATCCAAATAACCTTACTAAGAAACAAACAGGAGGTATTACAACTGACACCACTGAAATACAAGAGATCATTCAAGGCTACTATGAACACCTCTATGCACTTAAACTAGATAACCTAGAAGAGATGGATAAATTCCTGGAAAAATAGAACCCTTGTAGCTTCAATCAAGAAAAATTAGATACCCTGAACAGACCAATAACAAGCAGTGAGATTGAAACGGTAATTTAAAAATTACCAACAAAATTAAGTCCAGGACCACACAGATTCACAGGAGAATTCTACCAGATAGTCAAAGAAGAATTGGTACCAATCCTTTTGAGACTGTTCCACAAGATAGAGAAAGAAAGAACCCTCCCTAATTCATTCTGTGAAGTCAGTATCACCCTAATAACAAAACCAGGAAAGGACATAACCAAAAAAGAAAACTATCTTTGATGAACATAGATGCTAAAATTCTTAACAAAAGCTAACTGAATCCAACAACATATCAAAAAGATAATCCACCATGATCAAGTGGGTTTCATACCAGGGATGCAGGGGTGGTTTAACATACACAAGTCAAGTCAGTAAATGTGATACACCACATAAACAGAATTAAAACAAAAATCATGGCTGGGTGCAGTGGCTCATGCCTGTAATCCCAGCACTTTGGGAGGCTGAGGCAGGTGGATCACTTAAGGGTCAGGAGTTCGAGAGCAGCCTGACCCAAAGGTGAAACCCCATCTACTAAAAATACAAAAATTAGCTGGGCTTTGTGGCAGGTGACCACAGTCCCAGCTACATGGGAGGCTGAGACAGGAGAATTGCTTGATCCCGGGAGGCAGAGTTTGCAGTGAGCTGAGATCGTGCCACTGCACTCCAGCCTGGGTGACAGAGCAAGACTCCACGTCAAAAAAAAAAAAAAATTACGTGATCATTTCAATAGATGCAGAAAAAGCATTTGAAAAAATCCAGCATACATCTATGATTAAAACTCTCAGCAAAATTGGCACACAAGAGACATACCTTAATGTAATAAAAGCCATCTATGACAAACCCACAGCCAACATCATATTGAATGAGGAAAAGCTGAAAGCATTCCCTCTGAGACCAGGAACAAGACAAGGGTGTCCACTCTCACCACTCCTCTTCAACATAGTACTGGAAGTCCTAGCCAGAGCAATCAGACAAGAGAAATAAATAAAGGGCTTCCAAATCAGTAAAGAGGAGGTCAAACTGTCACTGTTTGCTGACGATACGATTGTTTGCCTTGAAAACCGTAAGGACTCCTCCAGAAAGCTCCTAAAACTGACAAAAGAATTCAGCAAAGTTTCTGGATAAAAGATTAACGTACACAAATAAGTAGCTCTTCTATACACCAACAGCGACCAAGCGGAGAATGAAATCAAGAACTTAATCCTTTTTAAATAGCTGCAAAAAACAAAAACAAAAAACCAAACCAAAACAAAACTTAGGAATATACCTAACCAAGGAGTCAAAAGACCTCTACAAGGAAAACTACAAAACACTGCTGAAAGAAATCACAGATGACACAAACAAATGGAAACACATCCCATGCTCATGGATGGGTAGAATCAATGTTGTGAAAATGACCATACTGCCAAAAGCATTCTACAAATTCAATGTAATCCCATCAAAATATCAACATCAGTCTTCACAGAATTAAAAAAAAATTATAAAATTCATATGGAACCAAGAAAGAGCCTGCATAGCTGAAGCAAGACTAAGCAAAAGAACAAATCTGGAGGCATCACGCTACCTAATTTCAAACTATACTGTAAGGCCATAGTCACCAAAACAGCGTGGTGCTGCTACAAAAATAGGCACATAGACCAATGGAACGGAATAGAGAACCCAGAAATAAGCCCAAATACTTACAGCCAACTGATCTTCAACAAAGTAAACAAAAATATAAAGTGGGGGAAAGGACACCCTTTTCAACAAATAGTGCTGGGATAATTGGCTAGCCACATGTAGGAGAATGAAACTTGATCCTCATCCCTCACCTTGTACAAAAATCAATTAAGACCTGAAACTGTAAAAATTCTAGAAGATAATACTGGAAAAATTCTTCTAGACGTTGGCTTAGGCAAGGATTTCATGACCAGAAACCCAAAAGCAAATGCAATAAAAACAAAGATAAATAGCTCTGACCTAAATAAACTAAATAGCTTTTGCACAGCAAAAGGAACAGTCAGCAGAGTAAATCGACAACCCACAGAGTGGGAGAAAATCTTCACATTCTATACATCTGAAAAGGACTGATATCCAGCATCTACAATGAACTCAAGTAAATCAGTAAGAAAAAAACAAACAATCCGATCAAAAACTTGGCTAAGGACGTGAATAGACAATTCTCAAAAGAAGATATACAAATGGACAACAAACATATGAAAAAATGCTCAACATCACTAATCATCAGGGAAATGCAAATCAAAACCACAATGTGATACCACCTTACTCCTGCAAGAATGGCCATAATAAAAAATAAAAAAATAGTAGATTTTGGTGTGGATGTGGTGAACAGGGAACACTTCTACACTGCTGGTGGGAATGTAAACTAATATAGCTGCTATGGAAAACAGTGTGGATATTTCTTAAAGAACTAAAAGTGGAACTGCCATTTGATCCAACAATCCCACTACTGGGTATCTATGCAGAGGAAAAGAAGTCATTATTCGAAAAAGATATTTGCACATGCATGTTTATAGCAGCACAATTCACAATTGCAAAATCGTGGAACCAACCCAAATGCCCATCGATCAACGGGTGGATAAAGAAACTGTTTATATATATATATACACACACATACATATATATATTATATATATAATGGAATACTATGCAGCCATAAAAAGGAATGAATTAACAGCATTTGTAGTGACCTGGATGAGACTGGAGACTATTACTCTAAGTGAAGTAACTCAGGAACGGAAAACCAATCACATATTCTCACTGCTATGTGGGAGCTAAGCTATGAGGATGCAAAGGCCTAAGAGTCAATGGACTTTGGGGATTTTGGGGGGAAGAGTGGGAGGGGGATGAGAGATAAAAGACTACAAATATGGTACAGTGTACCCATGGGTGATGGGTGCATCAAAATCTCACAGATCACTACTAAAGAACTTATTCATGTAACCAAATACCACCTGTACCCCAATAACTTATGGGAAAATAAAAAAATAAAAAAAATTTGAGACCATATATACACATATACATACATTAACTTATCTATACCTTATTTAATGTGACTGAATGTCGGGCAGACTCATAGATCTTCTGCCTCTGTTACTGACATACTTCTGTCTCAATTTTGTTTTATGAGCACTGGTTGTACAAGTATTCCAGTGATGGGCAAAATTTCAGGTTTTGTATTACCTGGTTCATGTCCATGATTTCTGTTTTGTTTGCAGGAGGAATATAAATTTTAATCTCTGTTTTTATAGATGCCTGGTGTAGCTCAAAATTTTATATTTGGTTTTGAGTACGTATGTGTTGGGTTCCAGATGAAACCATTTTCATGCTGTGTTTTGTATTCAGATTGTTTTCTTTTGGAGAAAGGGATGGTCAAAATTTGCATCAATACAGTTTACTGGTATCCCAGCCTCAGATTTGGTAAGTTGGCTTGATCCCTGCTGGGGCCTCCCTGAGCCAGGGGTAGGGGAAGCAGGCCTTTGAGGCAAATGCATGTGTATTTAGGTTCCAGCTCCTCCCTTTCCTAACTGAGTAATCACAGGCAAGCGTCTCTACTTTTCTAAGCCTCCGTTTTCTCATTTGTAAATAGGGGATGGTATATTCTTCATTGGATTTTTGTGAAGAGTAAATAAAATAATCTAAAGTACCAGGAAGCATTCATTAATGGGGATTTTAGAAGCAGCGCAGTCATGCTTCCTTTTAGCATTTGTCTACATAGTTATTTAATGGGAGAGAGATCTTTTAACCTCTCGTTACCTTATTTTCTCTGTGCTGATGTTAATTCCATGATATTATAGGTAATACTGTTTACTATAGATACTGATTTATTTCATGCCAGGACTTCCTCAGGCCTGATTTAATGTAATGCATTTAAAGCAAATGAATTCTGTTTCAGTCAGAATGAGGCTCCTGCTTTTGCTGATTATATATCTGATTTATTGGCAGAATGGAAGGATTAACAAAGAAGGGGATTTGAACTCTCTGAACATCAGGGTTATATTCATATATATCATTATCATCATTGCTACCACCACCATGAGTATCCACTGACTGACCTTGTTATTTACTCAGGGAGGTACTAAGCACTTTATGCAAGTTTAACCTTGGAACAACCCAAGGACATAAGCAGATATTATTGTCTTCATCTTATAGATAATAAAATTGAGGAAAAAGTCGTTAAAACTTTTCCAAGGTCAGAGCTGGATTCAAACTCAGAATAACTCCAATACCTGCTTCTTTACCTATTAAATGGTTGTCTTTGTTATTATTTAAAAAAAGTTGTATCCTTCGTATGCCTCCCAAAGCTATTTAAAACATTATAATACAGCCCTAGAGTTGTAGAATCCCAGGAGACTTCTGGGGTGAGCTTCTTCTCTTTTCCTAGCTATCACCAGCTATTTTATGGTGTGTGTACATGTGCACGTGTGTGCTCATGTATGCATGTAATTTAGCTTAATCGTTGCTATGTATACTCTGTCAATCCTGACTCTTATCCTATAGCTCAGTCATTCCTTGAATGTTGCCCTGGAAGATGGAGAGGAAGTTTCTAGGTCAAGTCGTAAGGGAGTTCTGACTTAGGATGCTACTCTGGATATTCCAGCATCTGAGGATCATGCTTCGGATGCTGCTCACCCTCCTCTAACTTTTCTGACTTCATTAGCCAAGCTCAGCCCTCAGTCCTTGGCAGTGGTTGGCCTGGCAGTCTCATGTTTGTCACTGATATGGTTTGGCTCTTTGTCTCCATTCAAATCTCACCTTGCATTGTAATAATCCTCATGTGTCAAGACAGGACCTGGTAGAGATAATTGAATCATGGGGGCGGTTCCTCATGCTGTTCTCATGATAGTGAGTGAGTTCTCATGAAATCTGATGGTTTTATAAGGGGCTTCCCTCTTCACTCTGCACTCGTTCTCTCTCCTGCCATCCTGTGAAGAAGTGCCTTCCCCCATGATTGTAAGTTTCCTGAGGCCTCCCCAGCCATGTGGAACTGAGCCAATTAAACCTCTTTTGTTTATAAATTACCCAGTCTCAGGCATCTCTTCATAGCAGTGGGAGAATAGACTAATACAGTCACCTAATCTATCACTCTTCTTTGCCATGTTCCTTAATCCACCTTCTAGAATCTTGCTCCAGGTTCCCACCCCCCCATCTGATCTGCTCTTCTCCTTTTATCTCCCACATATGATTTTGGTATCTTTCTGAACAATTTCTGTATTGGTTCACCATTCATCAGCACAATAAGTTCTTGTTCCTCTGCTCATATCAGGACAATTAGTAGCTATGATTGGCCTCTGTTGTCAATGCCCTGCTTTCAGTGCAATCACAATAATAATAATTCCCCCACCCTCTTTTTTTTTAAAAATCTCTTTTTTTCCCCTTTAAGACAAAGGCATTCCCTAAGTTCTCTTAAGGAAAAAATACAGAAGTTCCCTGTCAGCCTCTCTACCCAGGCGGATGTATCAGAGGAGGGGCTAGGGGAAAGAAAGGTGCCATCTTGCAACCTTTCTATTTTAAGGGAAAGAAGTAGCCTTGAAGGATTTCATTGTTTATGGGGCTGTTTAGGATCTTCCCACTGTCTAGCAGTACTATCTGATAATTGCTTCCAGAAACATATATTAATTTCTGTTTCATGTGTCCGATCTAGGGCATTTCTGGGTAGGCTCATTCTTTTGCACTGTAGTCCCTCAAGTCAAGTTAAAAGGAATATTGGAGACGGTTCTGGGGGACACAAAGGCAATTTTCCTTGTTCATCTCTCCGAAGAACTTTAACTCCATGGAGAGCAGGGAGTGAGGGCATGGGAGAAATTAATAATAAGTCTATGCACTTTGTTGTGGCTTTTTTTTGGAGACAGGATCTCGCTTTGTCACCCAGGCTGGAGTGCAGTGGTGCGATCTCGGCTCACTGCATCCTTGGCCTCCGGGGCTCAAGTGATTCTCCCGCCTCAGCCTCCCAAGTAGCTGGGACTACAGATGCGTGCCACCATGCCCGGCTAACTTTTGTATCTTTTAGTAGACACGGGCTTTTGCCATGTTGGCCAGGCTGGTCTTGAACTTCTGACCTCAAGTGATCCACCCTTCTTGGCTTTCCAAAGTGCTGGGATTTCAAGTGATAGCCACCATGCCCAGCCAAGTCTGTGCACTTTGATATGGTGGAAATGTGACTGAGGTGTTTGGGCTGTGATGTACCCTTCAACCGGGTTTATAGAAAGGCTGGTCAGTTGCTCCGACTAAGGACCGTGGTGAGGTAGTCACATCTGAGAGGCCTCAGTCTTGGAATATGATTCATCAGGCATGTGAGGCCAGAAGGAAGTCTAGTGTTCATTTGTCATAGCTCTTATCTATTCGCACAAAACATCTTCTTTCCTAACTCATTTAAGTCTGGGTTAATGAAGAGGATTTTAGTCTAGTTTTAGGGTAAAGATAAGGGATTTGACAGAAGAATTTCATACATAGTAGTGAAGTTTTGTTTTTCGGCTGAGAATTTGCACTTGATATGAATGTATATTTTTTAGTATCTGAAAGAATTCAAGTCATGCTGGGCATTCTGATGCTTCGAACTTATCCATTAAATTAGGTGGCAGGGTCATAAAGCATTCTGTAGAATCCTGCGTTGATATATCACTCTTGAAAGGTGTTAATTTGGTTCTCCAGTTCCAATTTGTTTAGTAGAACATATTAATTGCTTGGTAGATAGAATTAAACCATTTTAGGCTTCAAAAAATGGGAAGCTCTGAAAAATAAATAGTATGATCACTGCAGAACATTTATTCTGATTATAGCAGCCTGTTTGAGCAAAGACAGTATAAGTTTCTTCTCTCTTTGAATTATTAACAATTGCCCTTTTTTTTTTTTTTTTTTTTTTTTAGACGGAGTCTCACTCTGTCGCCCAGGCTGGAGTGCAGTGGTATGATCTTGGCTCACTACAACGTCTGCCTTCCAGGTTCAAGTGATTCCCCTGCTGCAGCCTTCCCAGTAGCTGGGATTACAGGCATGCGCCACTACGCCTAACTAATTTTTGTATTTTTTCTAGAGATGGGGTTTTTCTGTGTTGGCTAGGCTGGTCTCAAACTCCTGACCTCAGGTGATTCGCCTGCCTCGGCCTTCCAAAGTGCTGGGATTATAGGCATGAGCCACGGAGTCTGGCCGACAATTGCTTTTAAAATAGGATTTGATACTGATATAGTAGTTCAAATGACATACAGTTTTCTTCAACAGCTAAATTAAAATTATAGGAATGAAAATATTGTCTATCTACTCTTGAGGGCATTATCATGATAATGAAAGCCAAGATAGTGAAAGCCAAGAAGAAGGAAGATGTTTTGGTCCAAACAGACTGTATATCAGCTGAATATTAAAATGATTAATTAATAATATTGATACCTGTCATTCATTGAATTTTTACCTATTATGTGTCCCCCTAGCACTTTGTGAGCCTTTACATGCGTGAATTCATTTAATCCTCATAAGACTCATCCACAGATATATTTTCTTATAATACATGTGAAGAAACTGTGGAGCAGGGAGGTTTGTTTTGCAAAATGTCAAATACAGTGAGTAGCAAGTCTTTCTGATTCCCAAGCCTGTACTTTCAACCCCTTGACCTCACTACCTTTAATCATTCACTCCACCTTCCCTAATAGTCTTTCAGCTCACTTTAAAAGTAATAATACTATTTATGCAGTCTAACTTTTTGTTTTAGTCCATTCATGCTGTTATAAGAAAGCACCTGAGACTGAGTAATTTATAAAGAACAGAAATTTATTTTCTCACCATTCTGAGGGCTGGGAAGTCCAGTCAAGGCCCTGGCAGTTGGTGTCTGCCGAGGGCCTTTCTGCAGCATCTGCATACAGCTGAAGGGGTAAACACTGTCCCACATGGCGGGAGGGATGGAAGAGGATGAACCTACTCCTTCAAGTCCTTTTATGAGGGCACTGATTTCACCCATGAGGACTCCACCCTCATATCTTAATCACTCTGTAAAGGCTCCAACTCTTAATATTATCACATAGGTGATTAAGTTTCAGCATAGGAATTTTGAGGGATCCATTCAGATCACAGCATTTTCTTTGGATAAAATTTTAAAATAATTTAAAAGTAATATTAGGGTATGGAAAATGTTCTGTGTCTT
This sequence comes from Homo sapiens, assembly GCF_000001405.40. Classification (NCBI taxonomy): domain Eukaryota; kingdom Metazoa; phylum Chordata; class Mammalia; order Primates; family Hominidae; genus Homo; species Homo sapiens. Next base: position 65,495,940 of record NC_000008.11, on the reverse strand, counting down.
GAGTTGAGTGTGGTTCCACAGGTGTAGAATTCTGTGAAAATTCATTGAGCTGCACATTCAGACTTTAAAACTGAAAAAAAAAAAACCCTCCAAACCAAATACCACTAATTCACTGTGTTTAGCAGACTACTTATTTAACATTGATCAGGGGTCCACCCTGTGCCTGGTTTGCCATTGTTTACAGAGAGGCATTTCCCAAAGCCTTACCATTGAATAGTCTGACCACCCTGAGACCTGGAGGGACAAATTGAAGTCAGGAACTGTGTCCCGGGTGTGCTTTTGCTCAGCTTCAGCTGGGCTTTGCTGTGTTCCTGCTTCTTTTTCCTTTTCTGGAAAATAGGACTATATAGGACTCTTATTCAGAGTAAGTCTTCATTTCTGTGGTGTCCTATCTCTGAGAAACAGGATACAGTTTCTGGTAAAACGGAAATTCAGAGATGCATTTCTCTTACAATATCATCATCCTGCCTCAGCCATCTGGGCTCCTTCCCAACAAGCTTAGGGACTTGCCTTCCATAGCAAGGGAAAGGAGGGCTAGGTGGAGTGTTACTTAGCATTTCTTCTTTTCTTCTATAAGAAAATGCAGACATGAAACTACAAAATTAGCATGATTGATGCACTTTATAAAAAACTTTACTATAAGGCTTTATAAATATTTGGATCTCAAGAGCAATGGCATATTTGATTGATTATAAATCCCTTGATAGAGAGTGGTGGCTGCAGAACTGGGGAGCTGAATTTTTGTTTGTTTGTTTTAGAGATGGGGTCTTGCTCTGTCACCCAGGCTGGAGTACAGTGGTGTGATCGTAGCTCACAGCAGCCTTGAACTTCTGGGCTCAAGGGATTCTTTCACCTTAGCCTCCTGAGTAGCTGGGACTACAGGTATATGTCACCATGCCCAGCTAATAAAAATAAATGTGGTAGACATGGGGTCTTGCTATGTTGCCCAGGCTGGTCTTGAACTCTTGGCCTCCAGCAATCCTCCTGCCTCAGTCTCCCGAGTAGAGTTGACATTGTAACCACCATTGTTAATTGAAATTTAGTCAGACATGAAGACAATGAAGTATCTCTGAATGAAAATGTCCTTCAATGGGAAGATATGCCTTCTTTAATAAAAATTCCAATTTACAACAAAATTTTAAGACTCTTATTTTAAGGAAGATCTAAATGCATTGTGCAGCTTTATTAGAAAGAAGAACCAAGAATTCATTCTTCAAATTGTATTTTACATGGTTTCAAAGTATCCTTGCAAATATCTAATTAAGATAATAATAAATAACTACTACTTATTGAATACGTGCTATTGGCCAGGCTCTGATGAAGCATTTAATCTAAGTTTTCTTAATTCTCTGAAAAGTCTCTCGAGGTAGGTTTTGTTATTATTTCCATTTTATCCTGACTGACCCTGAAATTCTTCAAAGTACTGATAGGTTTTCTAAATCACCGAAGAAAAGCAAAATTAGGTAGAGTTCTTTGCTCTGTGATTATCATATTGTGACTTTGCAAATTATTGGAGAAATGCATGGAACAACTCTGTTGGGCAGAGTACTGGATTAACAAGAGAGGGATTATGGAGTAAAGCAAACTCCGGGACCTGATGTCCCAGGTCGCAATCCTAGGCTGCCACAGGACAAGATAAATGACGTCTTCATGCAGTTCCCCCATTTATAGAACAGAGGTAAGAAGCATAATCCCTACTTTATAGGGGCATCCTGATGAAACAATGAACTAATACGGCAGTTAGAACAGTGCCGGCTGAGAGTCAGCTCTCAACAAATACTTGCTATTATGGTTAATATTCCATTGTCTGAAAGTGCCAGTTAACAGTGAGTTGCTGTAGTTTGTTCATGCCTGGGATAATATTTGTTCTTTTAAGGGGGCTGAGAATTTGAAGAATGATATAAGATTATATCAATGACATAAAGGTGAGAAAGAGAAGTATTATTTAGTTTATATTTTGACTTGTTAAAACTTGCCAGCTTCTCTTGGTGGCTGAATTTATTGGTATATTTTTCACTTCTCTTTTTTGGTAGGAAATGGGGAGAGGGAAGGAGAGGACTAGAATGTTGAACTCTGTGGCCACAATACAACTTTTACAAATGAGAAAAGTTATTTGGAATCCAGGTTAGGTTTTACTATTGTCTTATTGGAGTAAAACAAGCTTTGATTCCCATACATTTGCCTCTATAAACTTTATATAAATGGGGAAACTGATAATTTGAAAGCCATTCGGGATTTTATCAAAGTAGTGAATTAGCTTGTGATGCGCTTCGAGGATTATGAATGCCTTTAAAATGTATTTTGTGGCCAGGCGTGGTGGCTCACGTCTGTAATCTCAGCACTTTGGGCGGCCAAGGCAGGCGAATTGATTGAGGTCAGGAGTTGGAGCCCAGCCTTGCCAACAAGGTGAAACCCCATCTCTACTGAAAATATAAAAATTATGCGCCGGGCGCGGTGGCTCACGCCTGTAATCCCAGCACTTTGGGAGGCCAAGGTGGGCGGATCACGAGGTCAGGAGATTGAGACCATCGTGGCTAACACAGTGAAACCCCATCTCTACTAAAAATACAAAAAATTAGCCAGGCGTGGTGGCATGTGCCTGTAACCCAGCTACTAGGGAGGCTGAGGCAGGAGAATTGCTTGAACCCAGGAGGCAGAGGTTGCAGTGAGCCGAGATCACGCCACTGCACCAGCCTGAGCGGCAGTGCAAGACTCCGTCTCAAAAAAAAAAAAGGAAATACAAAAATTAGCTGGATGTAGTGGCGCATGCCTGTAATCCCAGCTACTCTGGAGGCTGAGGCAGGAGAATCACTTGAATCCCAGGGACAGAGGTTGCAGTGAGCTGAGATTGTGCTCCTCGCCACTGCAGTCCAGCCTGGGCAACAGAATGAAACTGTGTCTCAAAAAAAAAAAATGTATCTTGTATATAAGCAAAACTGAAAAATCCTAGTTAAAAAAGTACCATTTATTTACAAATTAATCACTTTTTATGAGTCCCCTTTGCTCCTCCAAAGACCAAAAGAGTAATATTTTCTCTCTTGGTTTGGCATAATAGAAAAATATGTTATTCAAACTCCTGGTTGTGTAAGTTGGGAGAAAAAGTGACATTTATCATTTAATTAGTTATTTCGACTCAGCATCCAAAATTACAGTCCAAATTTTCTAACAAGCAGAAGAATGTGAGCAAATGATAGCATCTTGCTATTAATAAAAAAACCTAAGGGATACCAGCAGCTTGCCGTCTGGTTTAATTATTAGTAGGATATTTTTCTGATATGTTTATACTAATGTACAGTGGCCTCTCTGATGCTTCATTATTTTACTCGTGATATAGAAGTGTCTGAAATAAATGCACCACAGCTATAGATTGAAAAGCTTTTAAAAAAATTTGGCTTTTATTTCTTCTCCAGCCTTTTTGGGGCGGAGGAGTGTTAGTCTGTAAGACTCCTTTAAGATTTAAATCGATCGTGATTCTATGACTCAATAGCTTATGCTCAGGGTACCTGGAGTAGGAGCAAGAATGAATTAAATGGTGTATGGCTGGTGATTGGTGTTTGAGTCAATTATTTTGAAAAGGTGATAAAGACTTAAGAGATAATTAAGGATTCTTGTCTGGATGATATTTAACAACATAAATTGAATTAAATTAATAAAAAAGTAAATCTGTAGAATTCACAGGATTCTGAGAAATTTTAATTAAAACCATTTGGGGCTTCTTTTTGTTGTCACAGTTCAGATGGTGCTTTTTAGGGTAGCACAGGGTGAGAGAGAGAGTCCCTGAGTGTGCTTTGGTGCCAATGAGCCATCTGAAACAGCAGGAAAAAAATGGTGAAATTTCATAGTTAGGCTAGTGTCTAACCACATTGATGGTGCATGATTTTAGACTCCACTTCTCTCTCTGGACTTTGAATTGTTTCCTCTTTTTGATGTCTGGCTAGGTAGATATGCTTCTTACCTCTGCTATGCCTCAGGCTTTCAGAGGCTTCCTACATGTGCACACGTGAATGACCCTGCTTCCTGGCTTTGGTGTTGCCACTAGGTTCTCCTAGAAAGCCTGACGTACACCTCTTACTTCTTTGGGGGATCTGTCATGCCTGGCATTATTTCTGCTAAGTCATATCAGACTGGGGAATAAGATTTGAGTTGGATGTTTAGGAACATATGTGATAGGAAAAGCGTCTAATGTAGGCATGGGTAGCAGTAGCAAATATCCCCCAAACCTCAGAAGTTTAAAATAGAAAAAAATGTTTTTTCTTTATTTTCTTTCTTTTTTTTTTTTTTAGACGAAGTCTTGCTCTGTTGCCCAGGCTGGAGTGCAGTGGTGTGATCTTGGCTCACTGCAACCTTCACCTCCTTAGTTCAAGCGATTCTCCTGCATCAGCCTCTCTGAGTAGCTGGGACTACAGGCGTGCACCACCACGCCTGGCTAATTTTTGTATTTTTCATGGAGATGGAGTTTCACCACGTTGGCCAGGCTGGTCTCGAACTCCTGACCTCAGGTGATCCGCCCACCTCGGCTCCCAAAGTGCTGGGATTACAGGTGTGAGCCACTGCGTCCTGAGGAGAAAAAAATGTCGATTGCACATTGAGTGGGGGTTGAGGGGGCTCTCCTCCAAGTTTCACTCTACTTATGATGCCACCCATCAGCATGGTGCTACAAGGTTTACTATGGCTGAAGAAGAGCAGAGACGGAGAGTCTCACTCCAGCAATTATATGCTCTAGCTCTGAAATGACACATTCTTATAACTCATTGGCTACAACTACTCACATGGCTCTATACAAGTACAGGGGTAGCAGAGGAGTGTAATTCTCCCATACTCCAACAGTGGAGCAGGGCTGAGTTTGGGTAAGCCTTGGCTGTTTCTATCATAAATTCTCAATAGCACATTTTATACATGGTTTAGGAATTACTCAGACTGTGAAGCAAACATTTTCTCTAGCTTATTTATGTGCAAAACATATACACAATTACATGCTACTGACTCATCCTTGATACAGCAGATACTGTAATGGATTTTGTAATTGATGCTGGATTTGTACTGACCCAATTACACTCTATAAATCTGCAATTTCTTATATCATTCTGATAGTGGGAAAATCTGTGAGGTGAGTAGCTTCAGTTGGGAGCAGGCAGCAGCATGAAGTCTGCTGGCCCACCTCAGAGTTAAGCCAGTTTTTGGTCTCATTTGAATGGTGTTCTAATGAAATGTACCCATCTTTTGCGGTAGCTCAACCTCAGGAATCTCAGCATGTCACGTGACTGTGAGTTGAGTCCTTTAACCTTCCTTCTTTTTATTGGAGGGTGGAGGTAGTAATTGATGAACAGAACAGTTTTCTAGACTTTTCAGGTAAGGAGACCAAGGTGGGCTGCTTTGCTGGCAGCTGGGAGACGATGATGTCTGGCTATCCAGACAATGGTGTGGGCCTTAACTCCTGTGTTTGGATCCACAATATGAAATTTATAAATTGGAGAGAATCTTGCTGGCAAATGGAAGTTTTGCTCTTCTAATTTTTTATAACTTTTGGGGTATAATAAAGGTCATCCAATTTTTCAGATTCATCCATCTAAACTTCTTTGGTCCATCTGTTTTTGTCCTGGCACGCACAGTAGTAAATGCTTCATTTCAGAGCTGCTTCACTGCTCTTCCAGAACACAGAAAAGAGAGCTCTCAGGATTATTATTAATTTCTAAATAAAATGGGCCAGGTCTTATGCTCTCCTAAAAATGGAAACAGTTTTTTTTTTCCACAAACGATACAGGGGGTAAGATTTTAGTGTGGTTTGTGGGAGAGTGGCTGTCAAACTCTTTGCATGAAAAGGCAATTAACTGTTTGTGAAGCTGGCAGTGAAGCCCAGGAGAAGGGGAGGAGCAGGAGATGAGAGGGTCAGGTTGTGATTCCCTTCGGCAGTCCATGTGGCTCTTTCCTGGCAGAGCGCCCCTCGATGTCAAAGTGAACTGTGTGCGCCAGGAATGAGGTGGTGTGAGGAGAATGAGATACCAGGTCTGAGCGGTTTGCATTTTTCTTTCTTTTCCTCTTTTTTCTTTCTTTCTTTTTTTTTTTTTTTTACAATGACAGTTTGAAAATAAAGGTACTTAGCTTTCCACACAGGATGAGTCCTGTATGATTATTTTCAAAATCCTGTATTAAGCACCAGGGATATTTTTGGATCTGGAACTAAGTGCAAGGTTGAAGTTGAAAAGGGACAAATCGAACTAGGGTTCCTATTATTATAAAAACCTGGCCAAGTTAGAGCTTTATCCTCAAATTTGGTAAGTTGAGCTGGTCATTTGGAACCAGTAGGAGAAAAAAGGTCAGTGGGTGTCAAGGTATTTGCTCTTGTCTCTGCCATCAACTGCTCAGTGCCCTTGGGTGAGACACTTCATATCACCTTCGTCATGTCAGCCTGAGAGTAGATAAGGGTACGAGAGAAACCGGAAAAGCACAATGTTTAATCAAGACTTGATAACGCTTTGGTGGTGTGGTATACATTGTACTGTGACTAATAAATGATTTTTAATCGGGAGGCTGCTTATGAAAAGGCTGAGGAAATATGTTAATTAGCACTATGGGACCATACATAATTAAGTACAAATGGTGCCTCCAGGTCATGTGGTCCTGACATTTGCTTTGTGGTAGTAACAATTTCAACCATCTGACTGAATCCTTTCATTTGACTTTCCTGATCATACTCATTTGCCAGGGGGATAGAGAATATGTGTGTCTGTGATTGAATAATATAATATATTGTACTATTTTTAAGGTCTACTCCTATACGAGACATTGTGCTAAATGATTTTTGGGTATTAACCCATTTAATTGTCAAAACAGGCTCATGAAGATATAGTTTAAAAAATAGATACAGTGTTTAATATTTTCACAATAAATATTTGATTTTTTTTTAATAGATGGGGTCTCACTATGTTGACCAGGCTGGTCTTGAACTACTGGCCTCAAGTGATCCTCCCATCTCAGCCTCCCATAATGCTGGTATTACAGGTATGAGCCACCCACTGCACCTGGTTTTGGTTGTGCTTTTTTTTTTTTTCAGTTGAAATAATTTCAGACTTACACAAAGGTTGTAAGAGTAGCAGAGTTTTTTTTTTCTTGAATCATTTGAGAGCAAGTGGCTAACATGATGCTCCTTTACCCCTGGATGTCATAAGTATTTCCTGCAATCCAGTGCAATCCAGGGTATTCTCCTCCCTAGCCTCCGTCACCATAGATGGAATGTTATAGCCATGGAACCCCCAAACCCCATTCACGGCTGTCATCCTTTCTAGAAAAAGGACTCAACTCAGGACCATGTCGTCATGTCTTTTTAGATTGTTAAAATCTGGAACAATTCCTCATTTCTTTCCTTAAGTTTCCTGATCTTGACACTTAGGAAGATTATAGGCCAGTTGTTTTGTACGATGTCCATTGATTAGTGTTTGTCAGATAATTCCTCATGTTTAGATTCAGATTTAGATTTACATGTTTTTAGTTTTTTTTTTGGAAGGAATATCTCAGAATTGATGCTGGGTTCTTGCTGCATTCTATCAGATGGTACACAATCTTATTTGTCTAATTTCCGGTCATGTTAACCTTGATTTCTTGGTTAAAATACTGTCAGGTCCATTGTAAAGCTACTCTTTGCCCCCTTGCTAATCAGTCAGTAATTTTGCAGGGAGGTACTCTGAGACTATCTGAATATTCCATTCCTCATCAAACTTTCACCCACAGTTTTAGCATCCATTGGTGTTTCTTGGCTGAGTTATTACTATCATGATTACCAAATTGCGATTTTCAATTCCATAATTCCTTGCACATTCATCAGATGGCATTCCATGTAAAGAAAAGTTTTCTCAGCTCCCTATTTACTTATTTATATCAGTATAGGCTCATGTATTTTTTCATTTAATGGGCTACAACCTATTACTGTCATTATTTATTTTGATACTTATATGATCCCAGATTTGTTCAGTGGGAACCCCTTTTCTGTCCTTTTGATTTAAGTGCCCATCATTATTTAAGTACTTTCTTATGATTTGACACAGCAAGATGCTCCAGGCTCATCTTGAAGATTCTCTCAGTGAGAAGCTAGGGAATATATGCAGATATGTACAAACACACATTCACTACACTTATATCTGTAAGTGCCTATCTATATTGAAAACCATGAGTTCACATCAACAGTTCAAATCCAGTCACACAGAATTCATTCTAGCTTTCTTCCTGGCTCTCATTATCCTCTATATGTTTACATATTGGACCAGTCCTCCTAATAAGTATCAAATCTTGTCACTCACCACCACCCCCATCTCCTAACAAATCTCTCAGCACCACAGCCCCCCTTAGGCTCTTGTGCCAATTCTCTTTTTTTCCATGGGAAGGGCTCCCAATACCTCCCAACTGGACCATCCAGATTCCTACTTTACTCTTTTAGAGCTAATGCTCTTCAGATTGAATTCTTCAGAAAGGGAGGAAGGGAGAAAAGAAAAGAAGAAAATGTTGCTAATTTTTTTTATTTAAAGCTGATGCTGTTTGAATTAACTCATTACCTTTTTTTTCATTGAAAATTGATGTCCTGTCTATGTTTGAGAAATGTTATATTCCCTTTTCAGCAAGTTCATGTTCGTGTAAGCAGCCTATTCTAATTAGGGTAAGTTTTTCTGTATGTAAGAGAGATCCCAAGTAATACTGGCTTAAACAAGCTGGAATTGTTTTTTTTCCAATTTATTTACTTATTTTTAAATTAACACTCAGAATTTATGAGTTAGGCACAATATAAATTAACTCATTGAATCCTTAATATTCTCATATTAAAGAAGAGGAGACAGAGCCACAGAGAGGTTAAGTAACTAGGTTAATGTCACACAACTAGTAAATGACAGAGTTGGGATTACAGGCTGATATGGTTTGGCTCTGTGTTCCCATCCAAATCTCACCTTGCATTGTAATACTCCCCATGTGTCAAGGGTGGGACCAGGTGGAGATAATTGAATCGTGGAGGTGGTTTCCCCCATGCTGTTCTCCTGATAGTGATTGAGTTCTCACGAGATCTGATAGTTTTATAAGGGGCTTCCCACTTTGTTCGGCACTCATTCTCCCTCTTATTGCCCTGTGAAGAGGTGCCTTCTGCCATGATTGTTAAGTTTCCTGAGGCCTCCCCAGCCATGCAGAACTGTGAGTCAATTGAACCTAATTTCTTTATAAATTACCCAGTCCTGGGTATTTCTTCATAGCAGTGTGAGAACGGACTAATACACAGGCAGTCTGGCTTCAGAACCCATCTTTGTAACAACCACCTATAGACCTGTAGTAGCCAGTCTCACTAACTCTAGTTACTGAAACAAATTCAGACACAAATGTAATATACCTTAAAGATCACAACCGTTCTTAATATTTTTATCATATTATTTTATAAATTATGGTTCATTTTGGCTCAATGGTGATAATCCCACTTAAATTAAATTGATTCCTAAAAAAATAAAAGACCAGCATATTCATCAAATGTTAATTCTGTACAGCAGCTACATTTTACATAATTTACCCTGACAAATCTGTGGACTGTGAATTTTCTGTGTCAAGTAGCATGTTTTTGTGATTCATCAAACTGTAGTTATAGGATGCAGATTCATATAGTAAAAGGAACCCAAACCGAAAAGGAGGTGGAGCAGTTCAGAGAAGGCCAAAAACCGGGGGAAAACCTATATTTAGGAAGCAAAAATAGAGTGCTTTTGGAGTGGTCTTAATTACAGATGTTCATTGACTCTAAGCATATTGCTGCAAATGTGGATGCATGTTTTTATGTAAAATGACTTCATCATGTGCCTGTTTGCATGTTGCTTGTGACATAAGCAAATCATGGCATAGAATTATTATTATTATTATTATTTTTTTTTTGAGACGGAGTTTCGCTATTGTTGCTCAGGCTGGAGTGCAATGGAGTGATCTCAGTTCACTGCAACCTCTGCCTTCTGGGTTCAAGGATTCTCCTGCCTCAGCCTCCTGAGTAGCTGGGATTACAGGCATGTGCCACCACGCCCAGATAAGTTTGTATTGTTAGTAGAGACAGGGTTTCTCCATGTTGGTCAGGCTGGTCTCAAACTGCTGACCTCAGGTGATCCACCTGCCTCGGCCTCCCAAAGTGCTGGGATTACAGGCGTGAACCACCTTAAAAGAAAGTGCTTTAAAAGTTTTGGAAACATGAACCCTGGTTTGATAGTCAGCTGACTTAGATGCTAGTCTTGGCATTACCATCAATGAGAGTTTGCTTCGTTCTCCTGTGTTTGTAGTCTTTAAGATGGAAGTGATAGTACCTGCTTACACTTCTTACTCAAGTATGTTACTGACTTAGTGGGATTTATTAGAGGTGTGAGGGCAATTGAAATAATCCAGTCTAGTTGTTTTTCAGTTTTTTGAAAGTTGTAGGTCTCTTTCTTCTAAAGAATTCATACAAGAGAGCCTCTTGCTACAGCAAAAGTTAGAGTTAGGCCAGGTGCATGGCTTACACCTGAAATTCCAGCACTTTGGGAGGCTTAGGCAGGAGGATTGCCTGAGTCCAGGAGTTCAAGACCAGCCTGGGCAACATGTGAAACCCCGTCTCTACAAAAATACAAAAACTTAGCCAGGCCTGGTGGTGCATGCCTGTAGGCTGAGGTGAGAGGATTGCTTGAGCCTGGGAAGCAGAGGTTGCAGTGAGCTGAGATTGCACCACTGCACTCCAGCCTGGGCAACAGACAGAGTGAGACCCCCTCTCAAAAAAGAAAAACAAACAGAAACAAAGAAACAAAAAAATTAGAGTAGATCTATTTTGCTAACAACAGGTTTGGGTCTTGGGCCTGAGACCTGGCCTGTTGGCCTTACCTTCCTTCCAGAAACCCCTGGTGTCTGCACATTTTGAAAACCACTGAGCTTATCTTCCTCATCCCCATTTTACAGTTGAGGAAACCTGGACCAAGAGGAGAAGAGACTTAACAGAAATCTGAGAGGGAACTTGCACTAGGGGTGGGATCCAATGCATAGTTTTTTGACTCCCAATTGAGCATTCCTTCCATTAAACTAAATTTTATTACTATTTTCCGTTTCTGTTCTCTTCTTTAAAAAGATCACAAATTCTCTGAAATTTAATTAGCTTCTGTATACAGATGATGTCATGATTTTTATCTATGATTCTTGTCTATTACTCTTTGCTGAAGTACGCTTCCATTTTTGCCATAAGAATGCAAATACTTGATTGAATCATTGCCACTTGAAACATGACAAATACTTCTGTAGATATAGACACTCAATACCAAACTTGCCTTTCCAGTTCAAACCACTATTCTCTTTCTGTTCTCTAGTACAATATTTGGCATACCATTTCACGCCTCTCTTTCTTTACCTTACCATCCACTCATTTACAAAATATGCCACCATAAATATTTTAATTCAATGAATTGAATTTTGTACTTTTTCCCAACAACAAACTGAAATTTGAATGTAGGTTACATGCCATTCTTGTGTTGCACACTGTGAATACAGATAAATAAGATATAAAATTCAGGACATCTTCCGAACTCCTCTGCCCTTTCTCCCACTCTCCCCTTGATAAATTCACAAACTAGAAGGAAATTGAGGTCCCCAATTACAGAGCTGAATTCCGCTGGACCACGGAATCTCTCTCACATGTGAGTCTCTTCTTTCCTGATTTTACTCATTCAGTTGTTTGTGGGTTTCAGTTAGAGTGGTTCACTAACCACTAGCACTAACCAATGTGCTCTCATGTTACATTCTTTGTCAATTTATTTCTCTATTTCTTAATATTCAGTGAATCAAATACCAAGTATTGTTGAGAGTGCTTAGAGATCGTCTGTCATTACATTTCCTCCATCCCTCCCATCCAACTGAACCCACCTCCTTCCTTCCCTTCCTGCCTTCTTTAACCAGACTTTCCTGTCAAATCCCACTCTCTTCTTGTCAAAGGAACTTTCTTGTTCTTCTCGCCTCTTGGATCACTCATTCTCAGACATTTCCCATCATGCTTTGTCCAGAAACATCTACCTTCCTGGATCATTTCTAGCCTTTAAAAACACACTCCAAACCAATCTTCTAGGAAGTGTTTTATTAATCCAGCTCTACTTATCTCCAAATAATAGCATTATATTGTGGCCATGCCCAAGTTTCTACAGACTTGTTAAGAGATATTATGATCTTTTATTTTGACATTTGTCCCATTGAGACTTAATTTAAAAAAAATATTTGTGTAGGTTAAAATAAATAGCCCTGTGAAATTTATTACATTTGTTTAGGGTTAGGATATTCATCTGGGCATTGTTCACAATGTTACAGTTGTGAACGTTGTGACTTATGTAACTGGTCATGTTTCTCTTTTTGCACTGGTTGCTAGGAAGCTCAGAGAAAAATTTGTGGCTAATCTTCAGAAAGTGTTTAGGACTTCACCTTATTTGTTGCTTTTTTCAACCTCCCTCAATGGCTTTATTTAAATTTCCCCCCTATTTTCTCTTTGGTTAATTTTCTCTGAATATTTGCTTAATTCCATTATATTATGTATAATTTTAAAGGCTGATTTTATAGCCCCATATTAACTTTTTAACATTTAGAGAAATTTCCTTTTGACTTTAAGACAAAAATGGGATATTGTGCATTTTATTTCTTACCAGATTATTGGTTTCTGGTTCCCCAAAAGACCACTGGCATAAACTATTGATCAAGCAATACTTTATTAAACTTACTGCAATAACGGACAATTGTAGTTGCTTAGGAAGGCAGTGAAGGATCAGGTGATAAATGTATAAAGTCTTGGTAAGTAGATTCAAATAGATTAAGGTAGAAATTTCAAGGTGGGGAACAGATTGAAATTTGGCAAAATACATGACATAATAATTTAGTCTTGGTGGATACAGCAAGGTCTTAAAATGAGTCTTCATAATTGAACTGTTGCATAAAAAGGAAGCTCTTGGCTCAAGTGAGCAAATTATGTGCTGGTAGAAAAGTTATTTGCCCAGATGAGCCAATTGCTTATTCAGGTAAATTGGTTTTCAGGAATTGCTTGATGCAAACAGTCAAGATTTTAAATTGGTTTATAGTCTTAACTTCCTCAGCAAGATTATTTAAGTAATTTTTTGTACGTGTTTATAAACCACCTTAATTTACTTTTAGAAAAAGGCATGGCAAAATAAAACATGATTTCTAATTAAGCTATAGATTTAAGTAGTTAGCTAAATGTAAAGCAAGCCTGTGATTCTTGACATTTGTTGTGGTTTCAACACAAGCCATAATGCTCCAGTGTGCATTCAGATATGTTGGGTATAGAGATAAAGCTAAGATACAATACATGCAAAGTAATATTATGTATTTGGGAAGGTCTTAGGGACTTTTGGAGAGTATGTTAGAAGACTGCTTATTTCAATTTGGAGCTTGGGTTTTTATTTTTATTTTCCTTTCAACATTTGCTTAAATTATATTTTACCTTAGGAAGAACTACTTGTATAACTTATAAAGTTACATTTGATGATCAACACAAATTTGTTTTTGAAGTTGGCTAGTATGAGTAAGTTATCTAAATCTAATTATTAGTGCTATAATCTATGCTGCTGTGTATTCATACTTACTATCTCGTGATGTGTTGAGAAACTGTAGTTGGAAAAATGGATGTGTTCTGTTGATATTAATTGAAGTGACAAATAATATTTCATTGAAAAAAGGAGCTGGTGAGCATAAATTTTAGGAAATCATTAGGAAACTTGAGACTAAAAAAAGAAATACTCCTTAGTCAATCAACAAGCATTGATAAAACATGCATGGCATGCAAAGTTTCTTGCTACACATGTGATTTATAGCAAACGAATTATATCAGATGGTATCTCTAAGAGGATTTTACAAATATGCATGCCCAAGAGCAATTGGAAATAATGATTTAAATTATTCAGTAAATGATAGGCATTAAAATCTAACCTTACCCAATGGAAACTGCTCTGAGCCAGAAAAGATTTATCAATATCCCATTAGCTTTGCTGTTACACTACTACACAGGTCAGATATTGGGTCTTGGAAGTATGCTGTCCATTGAGCACTGCCAAAAAGCTATTTTCTGAACCCTAGGCTATTTTTAGGATCATAGAAAATGTTTCCTCCAAAATGTGAGAGAGAGATCACGATGATGATGATGATAATGGTGGTAATTACAAAGTAGCCACCATTTATATAGTTTTATCCTGTGCCAAGCACTTTACATTTGTTATCTCATTTAATCCTAACATCAACTCTACCAGGTAGGTTCTATAATTTTGAAAATTTTACAGATGAGGAAATAAAATATTAGGGAGTTTATTAGACAGAGTAGGCTAACTGCTGTTAATATCTCCAAACATCTGTGTCATCTAACACAATCAAGGGTTGTTTCTCACTCAACCCAGTGAGAGCCCCAGAGAGGATCACAGACTCATTTGAGACACAGGCTCTTTTCATCTAATGGATCTGCCATCCTTAGGGTCCCAGAGTCCGCCCATGGAATCTCTGCACCTGGCTGGGAGCCGAGGTCAGAGAGAAAGTGGAGAAGTAGTGGGTGTTCCTAACTGCTGTGTCCAGCGGCGACATAAACCATTTTTACTCACATTTCACTAAGCAACATGGCCACATCTAATTTCAAGGAAGCCTGGTACCTTGTGATTCCAGGAAGAAGAAGAAACAGGTGGGATGAGAATCTACTCAGGGTCTATCACAGGGAATTGACAAAGGTTGCACAACTGCTAGGAAGCAGAATCCTCCTTTTTAGAAAAAAAAATACGAGGACCCACAGATGTCCTTCTAGTCAGAGTAGCAAAATTATATTGTTGAGTGTAAGGAAAGGAACTTAAAGCAGTAGGTTACATTCAGCGATGCTAAGATGAGAACACTCATCACATTATGAGATGGGCTTGAAAGGGTCAAACAGGAGTGCAGGAAGGGCTTCTTAGTGTGGGTAAGAATCTTACAGGCTGCAGTCAGCTTTAAATAATTAGCCCTAAGACCTCCACCATACCAGTGGCAGAAGGCATTCTATAGAACGCATTTTGCCGAGTTCATTCACATTCAAAGAGACACATGTCTCCAGCAATAATTCCAGTGATATGCAGATTTATGTAGTCACATAAGTAGTTAGACTTTGCCAACGAAGCCACAAAATTGTTATGTCTGTGTATTAAAATAAACATGTACATATGTCTATTAGATTGAATCAAATGAAAAGGCCAATATTTGATTTTTTTTAACCTAAAACAGGTCATTTCAGATGATGCTACTTAATATTTAAATAAAATCAATGTCCAGATTCACTGGTAATCTGAATTTACTTCATTTCATCATGTGAGCTCAGTGTTTGTCAAGTGGTTTTATTTTGCTCATAGGAAATCTCAAATTAAAATGTCCTGTTAGGTATTCTAAGAAGAGGACTGCCCAGCCTCAACCAGCCAGGGGGATTAGCAGCATTCGTTGTGAACAGTTCCAGGCGGGACCTCTTGTGGGGGCGTATGCTCATCCCTCCTTTCATTTCTCTGGTGAAGCTTTGTCATGGTTCCAAAAAACCCCTTATCTCATTCACTTTAATCAGTGTCTTAGTCTATTTTGGTTGCTATAAAAAAAATACCATAAACTGGGTGGCTTAAACAGCAAACATTTATTTTTCACCATTCTAGAGGCTGGGAAATCCAAAATTAAGATGCTGACAGATTCAGTGTCTGGTGAGGGCCCTCATCCTAGTTCATAGATGGCTGTCTTGCTGTCCTCACATGTGGGAAAGAGCTGGAGAGCTATCTGGGGTCCCTTTTAAAAAGGTACTAACCCCATTCATGAGGGCTCAATGCACATGACCTAATTAGCTCTCTAGGGCCCCACATCTAAATAACATCACATAGGATTTCAGTATATGAATTTTGGTGGGACACAGTCAGTCCATTGTAATCAATGGAGTAGTTCTGAAAGCTGCTGTTAAGTGCAAATGTTTTGGAGTAGAATTGCACTCTAAATCACTCTCAGATGATAGCACCTTTGTTTTCTAGTGGAGGATAAGTCTGTGATGTTCTAAAACTCAGAACAGGTACATTTTGATAGAGATGAGAGCATTCAAGGTATTAGTTTGAAGTCACTGGGTATCCACTGGGTTGAAGATTTGGTGTCATTGTATGGAAGGGAGGTAGAGAGGGAGGGACATGGAGTGATACTGGAGATGAAGTTCAACCTTGTCACATTTTTTTACATGACTGTGGAGTCAGTAGATGAAAACTTATTTTTGGTCTCTCCTGTATCTAATGATTCTGAAAAATCTCCTTTAGTGTTGTAGAAAATTTCAGAGGTGTGGGATACTGATGGTCTTGGCTTGCCTAGCTAAATGACATCTACTTCTAGCTCAAAGAAAGTCAAGGAACTGTGTGGAGAGAGGTACAGTGTCTGGCAAGGGATGGCCAGAGGGGGAATAATCACTGGCCATACTTCCTCTGTTTTTCTAATTTTGTATATTCTCTCTTATTGTTCTCAAATTGTCCTTCTGTTGTCCTTCATTCAGCTTTTTCTTTTTATCTCTCCAAACAATATATATGAAAGATATTGGGACCTCTTTATGTTCTAGTGTTCAGTCTTTCACATTTTTGTTGTCTATTTTGTTCCCTTGAGAACCTCATTGAGTCTCATGGCTTTAAATATAAACTGTTAGCTTAAGAGTCCCACACTTATATTTCCAGTTCAGGTCTCTCACGTTATCTCCCAATTTGTATATCCAACTTGGATATATGTCTCCCTTTATTTTGTTGACATGTTCAAATGCAACCCAAACTGGACTCCCAATCTTCTTCCCTGACTTGCTCTACCCTCTGCCTTCACCTTGTCAATAGATGGCAATTCCACCTTTCTGGTGGCTCAGGCTAAAAATCATGGAGACATGTACTTGCATTCTTTCTTTTTCTCACATTCCATATCTAATTTGTAAAAATCTCATGGATTCTACCTTGAAAATACATAGAAAGTATATTGAGACTGCATAATCTGTGTTACTGCAGTGGGCTCTTATCTTGGCTTCTGTTTTTCTTTCCACAAATCCTCAATGTCCCAGTCAGAATGATCAAATCCCTTCTGTGTTCAGTGCTATTAAAAGTTGAAGTTCTCACAGCAGTCCTTAAGGCTGTATAAGACCTGTCCTCACCCTCCACCCCCCACTATCTCTCTTAACTCATTCTTTCCTCCTCACCTCCTCTCTTACTTTCTCATTCTACTCTAGCCCTATGGTTCCTAGATGTTTCATGATCAGGATGGACACAGTCACACTTAGTGTCTCCCCTCTGGCTGTTCCATCTGCCCCCACATACCCACATGGGCAACTCTTTCTTCACCTTCAAGCCTAGTCAAATTTCATCTTTTCAATGAAGCCTACTCTGTCCAATCTGGAAAAATTATAAACCTTCTCCCTCTCCTGACTCTTTTAATATCTTACTCAGTTCTATTATACTCTATAATACTCATTACCTTCTAATGTACTATATACCAATATATAATATACCATCTACTTTACTGTTTTATATGTTAATTTTTTTGGTCATATATTGCTACTAGAATAGAAGCACCACATGGGCAGGGATCTTTTTTGTTTTCTTCACTGATGTATCCCCAGCACCTAAAATGTGACTGGCTCATAATAAATCCTCAATAAATATTTGTTGAGTGAATAATATTTTTATTACGTGGAGGTTTATTTATTTATAATTTTAAAACAGATTTGAATAAAATCCACCTTAAAATTTGTGTGAATAATTTCTTTGGAATACATATTGTTAAGTAAGACTGACATATATTAGTTATTCAATAGTTGTTTAAAAGAACAATGATATCTATTGACTGCTTGCTTTCCCATTCCATTTTCAGCAGGTGTTTAAAATTGAAGTATGTCTAGATTTCTGACCTTTTAAAATGTTAGACTAGGTAATTTGGATCAGCATTCTTATTGAAATTGAAAAAGCTGGGTAAGATATTTAAAAATCTTTCGAAAAACACCCAAGTACTGAAAAGATAGTAAAGAATTACCTTAGCAAGACCTGAAAGAAGATAGAAATTCATAAACTTGAGTCTGGCTTTTGGAATGACTTCTGCTTGGAGGGACATTTGCCAATCCGGAACAGGTGGCTGAGCAGTGCTCGTGATAGCTTCCCAGGGGAGATGGGATTAAAGCTGGAGACCAGCGATCCCATGGGTGATCCATGGGAACACCCAGATTGACGATGGGGAACCAAAGGGCTGCATCGCAGGAGAGTAAACCAGACACAAACCAACGCTTTCATGGATCCTAAGCAGGCTTCAAGTCCTCTGGGAGCCCCCAAACTTCTGAAGGTCTGAAGTTGGTCAAATGGATCTTAGATTGCTAGTACCTGGCTTCCCAGCAGAAGCAAATGAAAAATCCTTCCTTGGAGGAAGAGAAAGATTATACTTAGCCTCAAATTATTACTGTAAAGTCTTTTTGTTTTTTTCAACTATGACATCTATTACACAATTAAAGATAACTAGGCACACAAGGAGACAAGAAAACATGAATCAGAACCTCCATAAATAACAGAATACAGGAACAGACTCATGAGTCACCTGGATAGTGGAATTACCAAAAGCAAATTGACATAAACTTGTATATTATGCTTATGAAGGGAAAACTCAGACTTAAACATTTCAGCAAGGAATTGGAAACTATAAAAAGTGATCTTGCATATTTGAAAGAGAATGAACTAGAAATTTTAGACCTGAAAAATATAATAATCAAACTGGAAGTGTTTATGTTTCACTAATATTCTCTAATAATGAACTATTCCTTGTTGAAACAATGCAGTGTTGGTGAAAGTTCCTATTTTATTTTCACCTTTCATACTATCATTTTATCTAGCCCTGGATTTTTCTTATAATTCCCTGGCTTATAAGGTGAGATATAAAGCAATTGTTAAATATGATTATACTTTCATTCTCAATGTTCCTTTGTGTCAATTTAGTAATAGCTACCCTGTTTAGAATGCTTTGTATTTAGATTTTGTTTTAGGATTGTTTTGCAGTTTTTCCTTTTGTGTATATGTGTAGGACACTTTTTATTCCTGCCTTTTCTTTATTTCTTTATTGCACACTTCCTGTGAGATAATCAAATCTAGACATACTTCATGACCCTTACAAATAGCTCTTTGGACACAAGATTATCTTAAATCTGCTTATTACATTTCTCCTTTGATGAGAATAACAGACTCTTATCAAAGGAGAATTTCAAGAATGAAAGAATATAAGCATGAGAAGAGAAGCTGAGGCCAGACCTCTGAGTCTCTCACTCCTGATTTCAGAGAATCAAAATTACACTGTGACTTTGGGGCTGTTGAACACTATGGATTAGTCTAATTGTTGATATCACACTAAAAGCTGACTGAAACTTCAGGAACCTCAACAAAGTGATTTTCTTGTCCTTTGAAAGCTTTTGTTTAACTGTGGTATTGGTTAATGCATTTTCACAGAGTTTTATAACCCTTAGATTACTTATTTGAAAGAGACTGTGGTAGAAGAAGACACACCAGATGGCAAAAAGAGGGAAAAGCCAATCTAATCTAAAATGTGGTAATAAATGAATATTTATTTAATTAGTATGCTAACGATTAATAGGAAAGTCAATATAGCCAACACCAAAGATATATTAGACATGTATTGTAATAAACACTCGGATTTGTGCTGCTATAGTCTGTCACATTGACACATCCCTGCTTGTATATCATGTGACTCAGGAGTAGAGAATGGAGAGTACGTGTTGTTGTTATGAGAAACACTAGATGGTTGCTTTCTTTGAAGAACTCTTGTTTTACTTCTTGAGGAGCAGCATTGTGGTAGCCAAGCACTCTGAAGGGTTTGTTATGACAGCATGAATTTCCAGGTAGAGCCAATGCTCGAGCCAGGTCAGTGGCACCTTGGTGGTTGCAGGTGTTCTGTATGTTTGCAGATCAAAGCCCTGGTCTGTGACTGAGGTTTAAGAGCAAGGTCCATGCTCCCAGGAATAAGGGATTGCAAACAAACAAAAAATCAGAGTTTTAGGAGTCTGGATGTGTAGGTTCAGAAGAGAGGGGTGGCCCTTGGTGGGCAGGTAGGAAGAGGAAACCAGAGGGCAAATCAAGAAGCCAAGGCAGAAGCACAGTCATCCTGATGAGAAACACACAAGGGGGGCTTGCAAGGGCAACTTTCACACAAGGTCTCCAAGCTAAGAGTATTTGTCCCAAGGAGTATGCGGTGATTCACAGGAGTGAAGACATAATAGAACTGCTGTTTACATTTGTTTTTATCTTATTCTTTGAAAATCTAATGCTCTACTGACTGGGCTATCTGGGTCACTATCTCATTCTTTAAAAAAATTGTTCTTTTGGGAACATTCATTCTATTGTATAAAGTGAAGCATTTCCCAATTCTAGGATTGCAAATAAAAGCCAATGAGAATTAAAAAATATATATATATCCTTATGTATGTCCTATGATGTATATATTACTACAGCATAACTCATATATAGTTTACATATAAATAAAGATATGTGTATAGGAGGCAGGTGCATGCTCAATAGTCTTTACTGAAGGAGGGATACATCTCATGCCTAGGCACAAGGAGATTAGCACACAGGCTAATCCAGCTTTGTATAGGTGTGCCGGGTTGGGTCAAACATCCAACTGAGCTGAATCTGCAGGTGATAGGCTGCTCAGTACTGAGATGTGAGCAGAGCAACAAGGTCAAAGACTGGCAAAATCTGAGAATCTTGCAGTATTTTGTAGCCTCTTTGTTCCTTCCTCCCTCCCTTCCCAGTTATTTGGTCTTGATGGAATCTAGTGCTTTATTCCTTAAACAATTTTTTTTTCTATAAGAATTTTTTTTGAATCAGGGTCTCACTGTGTTGCCCAAGCTGGAGTTCAGTAGTGTGATCATAGCTCACAGCAGCCTGAATCTCCTGGGCTCAAGCAATCCTCCCATTCCAGCCTCCCATGTAGCTGGGGCTACAGGCACATGCCACCATGCCTACCTAGTTTTTAAACTTTTTGTAGAGATGGGGTCTCACAATGTTGCCCAGGCTGGTCTTGAACATCTGGGCTCATGTGATCCTCCTGCCTCAGCCTCCCAAAGTGTTGAGATTATAGGATGAGCCACTGGGACTGGCATATAAGAACTTTTTTTTTTTTTGAGATGGAGTCTTGCTCTGTGCCCAGGCTCGAGTGCAGTGGCACAATCTCGGCTCACTGCAACTTCCGCCTCCCAGGTTCAAGTGATTCTTCTGCCTCAGCCTCCCTAGTAGCTGGGATTACAGGTGCGTACCACCATACCCAGCTAATTTTTTGTAATTTTAGTAGAGACAAGGTTTCACCATGTTGGCCAGGCTGGTCTCAAATTCCTGACCTCAAGTGACTCACCTGCCTTGGCCTTCTGAAGTGCTGGGATTACAGGTGTGAGCCACTGCACCTGGCCAAGAACTTTTAACAACTAAATTTGAACAATTTATCACACTTCTAAACTTGATAATATGATATTTTATTCTTTTGGATTTCAGCAACCTAACACAAATATATGAACCTCTCAGATGTCTTTTATTTCAGAAACTGCATACTAAACTCTTTCTGAGTTAATTATTAGAGCAAAATACATTGTTAAAACATACCTATTCTAATCACAACTAGCAATGATCATTTTTAACTTACTTTTATTATAATTATTGTCACAATTGCTACTGTAATTTAGAATTTTAGTGACTTGAGCTCTGAGTTGACAACTTTTTATCTTTTCCTTATCCATCTTTATGACCAGTGTTTGCAACCCAGAGAATAGTATCATGATGTCAATCAGAGACTGGAACCTCAGGATAAAGGCTGGGTAAGGCTCAGGGAGATGAAACTAGCATTTATCCATAGCACATGAGAATAAATTGGCCACTCAGCTTTTAGCTGAATATAGTAGCGCTGAGTCATGCTACATTCCATATTTACTGAGTACTTCTTAAGTGCCAGGTGCTAAGCCAGCTGATGTAAAAGTGGAAGTTGAGGGGAAGATATAGGTAATTATAAGTTATGTTTTTAGATCTTAAGAAGCTGATAATGTAGTTGGGGTGATAAATCCTACACACGTGTAACGTTAACTAACACAACAATATATACCTGCCAAATGTGTACTGCAGATAACACAACTTTAAGAGCTCAGAGAGAACATATGGTTTTTTCCTTTTATTTTCTCTATCCTTTAATCTCCCTGCACTTTTTCAAATCTGTGTAAATAGATTTAGCTCATTTGATGAGGATGATGATTATGCTTATTCCAAAGGACAAATAACTGTAGACAAATCTAATGATCAGATTTGGTTTCTTTCCTGTATTCATCCCATCATCCATCCAATATTCACAAAACGCTTATTATGTATCAGGCAACATGCTAAGTAATAGAATTACAAAAGTGTTCTCAATTCATACTTGCTAATGGAAAGTCTACTTTGACTACAAAGCCATTTCAAGTGAGTGACTCTGGCGGGGCCGGTGGTTGTGGTGGTGATGGGGGTGGGGGTTGGATTATAATCCTGAAAGACACAATCTTGAATACTGTAATCCAGGATGTTGAACTCTTGAAAGATCAAAATCCTTAAAATTAAGATCCCTAAAGTAATGATCCTAAAAGATTAAAATCCCAAATGTTGAAATCCTGAAAGCCGAATTCTGGCAAAGGAATTCATTCATCTTTGGTTGTGGGGCTGATAATGTTAGTTGCATCATGTTAGGTGGAACAACTACCTTGTTGTTGTCTTTATTCACATTTGGCAGAAAATTCAAATGAATGGACTGACCACGCAATATGGCAATGACTAAAACTTCACTTTAAAAATGCATCATTTTTCTGCATTGACATTTCTTTCAGCTGATGAAATTCCAGGAGATTTTAATTAAAACCACATTTTCCTAAATGAGGTATCGAAGTTACCAACCAGTTCAAAAATAATGAATTTGCACAATAGTGTAAGAAAATATGCAATGGTTTTGTTCTTTGATCACCAGTACTGTTTCCACCAAATCTGTGATCTGTACATGAGTGCGTGCAGAATAGATTTCCATGTACACAAAACAACATAGAAACATAGCACAGACGACAAAAAAATGTAATGGGTAATGCTCTTGTTGGTGTATATCGAGTCGTGGAAGGATTTCAAAAAGAGCAGCACTAAATAGAAAGTGATTGTGAACATATTCTCCGAGGAAAGTGATGCGATAAAAGAAAAAACATAGCTATTCATCATGATGCAAGACTTCAAAATATAGTTAATGATCATGAAAGTTGGCCAGCTTTTATAGACTACCTCCATCCATTGCTCATAATCTATCCCGTAATACACTTTTTCACATGTCACATTTTCTTTTTAGTTTTTTTGTTTTGGTCTTTTTCTTATTTTAGTTTTTCCCCTACTATTTTAAATTGTCTGCATCATTTTTTACAATTTTCTCTGCTGTATAGTTTATCTTCATATCATTTCCAACACTGGAGGTACAAATTGTATAAAGATTTTTAAAGAGTTCTTATTAATTTTATGCATTTTTTGCAAATTCGACTCCTCAAAAGTGCATTATCACAACATTGACTGTGTGTAAGCACTGGGTGTATATGTAAAAAGATTGAAACTTCCTCAATAAATAAAGAGCTGTTCTTTTTGTACATCTGCATTTATGAAAAAATTTCTCAATCTTGGCTCTTTGAGAGACTGCATATGCAGTGTTGACCTATTGCAGTGTTTGATCACTGTCATTGAGAGACTTAGGTTGTCCATTGTGGTATTTTAGATGACGGCAGATATAAAGCTGGGTGCACACAATTATCAACCATCGTGATATGCATTTATGTATTTTGCCTTTTTACCTATTTCTTCATGTATACAGTGCATCTTCCCTGAACTGTTATATGCATGCAACTATTGTTAGTATACCTGAGTGTTTATGATTGCAAAAATATGTATGTTATTGTCTATTTTATTGTGTAAAGTGGCCTAAAATGTCTTCTGTCATGTTTTTATGTTTCTACAACAAATTCTACTTAAAACATGTAAGTGAACATCAACTTAAAAATATTTTTTCCAGAATTATATTTTTGGGATATGGTCATTTGGAATTGTGATTTTCAGGATTTTAGATATTGGGGACTTTGTTCTTTCAGGATTTCAACATTCCGGATTATGGCGTTTGGGATTGTGTCTTTCATGATTTTGATCAGCTCCCACTCTGGGATCCTACTCAATGATAGATTCAGCTCAAGGATGAGTTCATAATGAGCCCTTTAGTGTAGTTCTGACTAAACATGGGAAATTGATCCATTCATCATTTATTCATTCATTCACTGATTTATGCCTACATTAAATGTTTATTGTTATGTGCCAGGCACCATGCTCAATAATGGGCATATTGTTGTAAAAAAGAAAAAACATGGACCAAGTCTGTATAGCAATACTGGTTCCACTTTTCATGGGCCTCACAATTTAATGGAAGAAAAGGACACTAAACAAATAATTACTTAATTACAATTGTGAAAAATGCTATGAAGGACTAAGACAAGGGTTTTGGGAGCAAATGAAAGGGGAACTAGTTTGAGAATAGAAAATGTGCCTGAAGGAGTAGTTGCGCATGGAGAAGGAGCTCAGCTTCCTGAGTGTCAGGGTCAGAAATGTGACCTGTGTCTGAGCTCTGGGAGCAGGAGGTGATTTATGTGGAGTGATTGTATCTCAACACAATGAGAAATCTTGCAGGTATTTTGCAGGCAAGAGACAGCAATAGATTTATTGATGAGAGACTTCTTAGGAAGTTATCTTGCAGCATTTCTCTCTTTTCTCTGTTGCTTTAGAATCAATTATTTAAAGGGCATTCCTTATTTTATTGCACTCAGTATTTCTTGTCCTTATTTCTAAGTGTAGCAAATATTATTGAATCTCGGATTTTAATTAGGAACTGAAGTTATGGGTGGAATTTAGTGATGGTATTAATCTCCATCTCTAGCTAGCAACTGCCTTCAAATAATTATGGAAACCTTCAGCATGTACGTTATAGTCTCATAACGCATAGAACATACATTCTGACATTACCTCAGTAGTTTTCATTGTGAAAATGTTGGACAAAACACAAATCAAGGCTCCTTGCATCTTTATTCATGTTTGAGATTTAGAAAACAGCTCAACACTGGTATTGGATGAATAGACAGGAAGCTGGTATTATTCAAGCTTCTTGTCTCAGGACTTAGAATTTTGTCAGGCACATGGTGGGTGTTCTATAAATATTAAGCAAACCAATGATAGTAGAATTTCTGTGTAGCAACCAGGCACATTGTAGGTATTGAAAAAATACTTGTTGAGTTCAATGGAATCTTTTGGAAGCTGAAGAATGTTAAGCTGATGACTTAGGATAAATGTGTAAATAATATGCACATTTAACCCTTAATATTGAAAGTTCTCATGGAGCCAAACTATATGTAAAACTCTCGACATGTTTTTATCTGTTTCTTTTAGTTTTTCTACACCTCAAAAAATGTTTTTGTTTGTTTGTTTGGAACTAAACCCAGTGGATTAAACCATCTGCCTACTGTTTTCAAAATGAAAGAATACTTTTCTCCCAAATGAATGTGATATCCTAGAATGTATACCCTTAGAGGGCAAGAATTACAATTTTCATGTTATTTAATGTTGTGCTAAGAAAAATGGAAAGCCACACACTTGGGAGACACAAATAAACACCAGCTGACTGTGATGAAGCCTCATGAAACCAATCTTAAAATAGTTATTTGTTTCCCAGTTTGCCAAAATATTATCTATATTTCACAACACAAAATTTAAAAAAAGAATTCAAGCATCTTTAAAATGTTTTCTAAAATGTGTAGGTAAAAATCAAATGAAGTTCCTTAATCTCTGAGATTTCACATTCATTTTTAGTAGCTTTGTTTTATCATTCATTTATTTATGATCTCAAGCCATGCTGAGACTGAATTTCTAGTTTCTCACAAAAATTTTAAATATAAAGTTGTTTGTAGTGTAAAGCTCATTCAACAGAAAACTACTCTAAATGCTCATAAAGGATTTTTTGAAAACATACAATAATCATAAGCAGTAAGAGTAGGAATCTAGGTGTCCTTGCTCTGTTAATCTTCCTTCTTTAATAATGTCAGATTCTAGCCTTCGAACATTCTAATTAGATATTCAGAATACTGGGATGGAGGACTTTAGTCACCAGTGCAAAGAGAGTGACTGGGGAAGACAACTAACTTTTCTGGAGCACCTACTATGTGCTGGGCGCTTTGTATATTGATTCGTTCAACCCTCAGAACAACCCTATGACAATCTCTCCTATTTTGAAATCAGAAAACCAAGGCAAAAAGAGATGGCACCAGTTTCCCAAAGCCACATAGATGTGCATGGGGGATGGCTGCAAAGTCCATGCACCGCACTGGGCTGACTCCATGCTGTCAACTGGAAAGCTCACAGAGCAAATTTGGCTATTATGCCATGAGTACTTGAGACACCAATGAGGAAAAATATTATTTCATCATGGAAAATTCTGGAAGAGAAGAGGGTGACCTACAGGTGAATTTTGCCTAACTCTTAACACAGAATCGTCCTTAGACTGGGACACATAAATCAGGCTTTGACTTAGAGCAGAAGATAGTTTGATGCAATTCAGCATTACTAGCTCTCTTCCGATGTTTTTATTGACATACTGCTAAAGAGATGCCAACAGTTCTTTTTTCATATTCCAACTTAGTGTTATGCATTCCCTGGGTCTTATCTCTCCATAACTGCCATTAACCTTCATTTGGAAGAGTATTTAAGTGTAAAATGTTTGAGGCTAAGGATATAAAGAAGGAATATCAAGAGCACAATTTGCAGTAGCTCATTATGGACGAGTCTGCTACTACTCCCTGCCTCCTTCCAATTTTTTAAATGATCTAAAACTGAGAAGCCAGAAGATTCACAGCGTTTCTGGCAAAATTAGTACTGAGAAATGCACACAAAGATACATTCTGGTTAAAATCGTAAAACACTTTAAATATAAAGAACGAAGCTGATATATTAGTAATGTTTTATCTCACAACTGGTGGTTGAATCCACACAAACGAAGTGATGTGTAGGCATTGCATTAGGTATTATAAGTAATCTAGAGATGATTTAAAGTAAACGGGAGGATGTGCATAGGTTACATGCAAATGCTACACAATTTATGTAAGAGACTTCAGCATCCAAGGATTCTGGTATCTGTTGGTGGGGGGTGTCCAATCTCCCACAAATACCAAAGAATGACAACTGATTTATTCATTCTACTTTTGATAGACATTCGGGTTACTTCTGCTTCTGTTTTGTTTTCATTTTTTTCTATTATTATAGTGTTGCTATGGACATGCTTTTTTTTTTTTTCTGTGATCATGGTGTTTCTGTGAAGAAACATTCTTGTATTTGTTTACAAGAATTTTGCCAGGGTACAAAAGTACAAGGGGAATTTATAGGTCATAGAATATACTCATCTTCAGTTCTATTAGCTAATATCAGTGTTTTCCATAGCAGGGGTACTAAATCAAACTCCCATATCCTCATTAATTTGACACTGTCAGACTTTGAAACTTTTGCCAGTCTTGTGAGTATAAAATAGTATTTCACTGTAGTGTCAGTTTGTATTTGACCTACCTCTAAAATGCCTGAGCATCTTTTTTATGTTTAATGGCAATTCAGGTTACTATAGTAATGTGCCTCTTCAAGTATTTTATCTATTTTCCTATTGGATTGTTTTAGGCATTTATTTATTGATATTCAGGAGTTCTAAATATGAAAATAAATGTAGTGAAGTTGAATTTATAGATCTTTTTATTATGTATTGTATTTTACATATCATAAGAAATTATTCCCTACCTCCAAGTAATAAAGATATTCTCCTATGTTGTTTCCAAAGTGTTATCATTTTGCTTTCACATTTGGATTAATCTGCCTAAAATACATCCTTATCCTTCTTTTTCAGATGGTGTAACATAGAGACTTAATTTTTTTTCAGAATGGATAATCAGTATCTCAAAACTATTTATTAAAATTCTATACTCCACTGATATGCAAAGCCAGCTCTAAACATTGTGTGAGTAGATTTTCTTCTAGGCTTTCTATTTTATTTTATTAATCAGTTTTGTTTATGTCTTATCTGTCTCTTCATTAATACCACATGCTCTTAACATTTTTATAAGTTTTGATATCTGGCAAGCCAAATCCTTCTCCCTTGTCTGTTTTTAAGGAGTTTCTTTGCTCTTTAATCGTTCATAAAAATTTCACAATTGCCTTATCAAGTTTCAGTTATACACATACATGCACACAAAAACATGGTGAAATTATTTTTTTTTACTTTAAGTGTAACAATGTGATTTTTTTATTATCTTTTTACTTTTTTTTATTATACTTTAAGTTCTAGGGTACATGTGCACAACGTGCAGGTTTGTTACATATGTATACACGTGCCATGTTGGTGTGCTACACCCATTAACTCGTCATTTACATTAGGTATATCTCCTGATGCTATCCCTCCCCCCTCCCCCCACCCTGCAACAGGCCCCGGTGTGTGATGTTCCCCTTCCTGTGTCCAAGTGTTCTCACTGTTCAATTCCCACCTGTGAGTGAGAACATGTGGTGTTTGGTTTTTTTTCCTTGTGATAGTTTGCTGAGAATGATGGTATCCAGCTTCATCCATGTCCCTACAAAGGACGTGAACTCATCCTTTTTTATGGCTGCATAGTATTCCATGGTGTATATGTGCCACATTTTCTTAATCCAGTCTATCATTGTTGAACATTTGGGTTGGTTCCAAGTCTTTGCTATTGTGAGTAGTGCCACAATAAACATATGTGTGCATGTGTCTTTATAGCAGCATTTTTTACTTTAAGTGTAACAAACCTACACATGCACAGAACGTGTAGGTTTGTTACATAGGTATATGTGTGCCATGGTGGTTTGCTGCAACTATCAAGCTGTCACGTAGGTTTTAAGCCCTGCATGCATTAGCTATTTGTCCTGATGCCCCCCTCACCTCAACACCTCCCTGGCTCCATGGACAGGCCCTGGTGTTTGTTGTTCCCCTTCTGGTGTCCATGTGTTCTCATTGTTCAGCACCCAGTTACAAGTGAGAACACGTGGTGTTTGGTTTTCTGTTCCTGTGTTGGTTTGCTGAGGATGATGGCTTCCAGCTTCATCCATGTCCCTGCAAAGGACATGATCTCATTCCTTTCTGTGGCTCCATAATATTCCAACATGTTGGGATTTTGATTGGAATTGCATTTTGAAACTATATATCAATTTAGGCATTCTAGGAAGACTTGATAGCTATATGTCAAAGAATATGCCATATTTCTACATTTATTTGGTTCTGAAAGTGGCCTACTTGTCCCATAGAATTAAAATTTCTGTTTTTTTTATTGTTTAAATAAACATAGAAACTGACCCTCCCTGGTTTTAAAACTTGAAACTTACAGTTGTCTCATCTGAGTTCCTTTCTCAGGAAACTGACCTTCAGGCAAGGCACTGAAACTCATCAGATCCCCACATCCACATAATGAGATGTCAGACCCCCTGGTTCATCATTGTTTCTTCTTTCCCCTCCTTAATTCCTGTTTTCCTGTCTTCCCTGCTGTATAAACATCCCAATTAGAGATTCAAGACTTTATCTCCTGTTCTCCTTGAGGTAGTACCTGAATAAAGCCTTCTTCCCTGGCAATACTTGTTGACTCAGTGACTGGCATTCTGTGTGGTGGGCAGCAGGACCTAGACTGAACCCCTGGGGTTTTAGTTACAGTTCTTCTTTTCTTTTATTTTTTCTTTTTTTTTGAGATGGAATCTTGCTCTGTCGCCCAGGCTGGAGTGCAACAGCATGACCTTGGCTCACTGCAACCTCCACCTCCCGGGTTCAAGCGATTCTCCTGCCTCAGCCTCCTGAGTAGCTGGGATTACAGGCATGCACCACCATGCCCCATTAATTTTTGTATTTTTAGTAAAGGAGGGGTTTCGCCATGTTGGCCAGGCTTGTCTTGAATGTCTGACTTCAAGTGATCTGCCTGCTGCGGCCTCTCACAGTGTGGGGTTTATAGGTGTGAGCCACTGCACCCAGCCCAGTTACAGTTCTTTTAAAATATCTTGAAGTAAAGGTTTATAATTTTCTCCATAAAAGTTGTGTTCATCATTGTGAAAGCCATGTAACTTCTAAGGAGGGAATCTCTTCCAGTGTTCACTTCAGATCTATGAAGTACAATGGTCATGGAAGCACCTTTCAGAGAGTAGAGTTCAGGGTTGAAGGAACACAACTCATAAGGGAGTTCCTCTGAGAGCAAGAAAAGGGCACTTCCTACTCAAGGAGCTTCCATTCTCCTCCACCACTCACCTCAGGGTGGATAACTTTCATATAGACTTGCTAGCAGGATTCCAGGGCCAGTGACCTGTGGGTGCTACTCATTCTTCCCTCTTCAAAATGAGGTTTTTACTATGGTTACCCTGGCCCAACTCCGCTGTTATATTTTGTGTGTTGTGAGTGTAGATAATTTGTGTTTTTTTTTCCATAGGTCACTAAACCTTGTTCACTGAACATATATCAGCATTTGTTTGAGAAAACTACAAGTAGCCTTAAAATTAACAATGAATCCAGTTATCAAATAGGACTAGTTGTGGTCCCCCTTGTGGAGGCAGTGAATGTGTTCTATGCCTGAGAAGAAGAGTAAAAAGGTTGTTAGATCCTTGCCTCACACTACATATAAAAATTGACTCGAAGTAACAGACTTCAATGTAAGAGCAAAAACTGTAAAACTCTTAGAAGAAATAGGAATAAATCTCTGTGAAGTTGAATTAGGCATTTTTTTCAAATGACACTAAAAGTATACACAGTAAAAAAATAAATTGGACTTCAAAAATAAAAACTTTGTGCTTCAAAGGACATCATAAAAATGAAAAGATAACCCACAAAATGGGAGAAAAGATTTGCTAGTAATACATTTGATGAGGGACTTGCATTCAGAATACGCAAATAACTCTGAAAAATCAACAATAAAATGACAAAAAATACAATTTAAAAATGGGCAATTTGAATAGACATTTCTCCAAAAAAGATATACAAATGGCCAATAAGTACATGAAAAAATGCGTCATATAACTAGTCATTAGAGAAAAGATAATCAAATGCACAATGAGATTCAACTTCACACCCAATATGATGGCTAAAATAAGATAGACAACAAATGGCAAGGACATGGAGAAATTGGTACTTTTACATTACTGGTGGAAATGTAAAGTATTGCAGCCATTTTGGAAAACAGTTTGGCAGTTCCTCAAATTATTAAACATAGACTTACCACATAATCCAGCAATTCCAGTTCTAGATATGTACCAAAGAGAACAGAAAACAGGTGTTCAAACAAAAACTTGTACACGAATGTTGATAGCAGCATTATTCATGATAGCCAAATGTAGAAGCAATTCAAATGTGTATTAACTGATGAATGGGTACACAGATGTGAAATGTTCATTCAATGGAATATTATTTGGTCATGAAAAGAAATGAAGTACTAATACATGCTACAACATACATGAACTTTGAAAATATCATGATAAATTCATTTCACATTGCATACATGTGTCAAAAAACATCTCATGTACCCCGTAAGTATATAACCTGCCATGTACCCATGAAAATTAAAAACTAAAAAAAATTATATTATGATAAGTGAAAGACACTAGAGTGAAAAGGCACATATTGCATTACATCACATTTATAGGTAATTATATGAAATGTTTGGAATTGGCAAATCCACGAAGACAGAAAATAGATCAGTGTTTGCTAGAGGTTGGAGAGAGAGGGAAAAAGGGAATGGCTTTTAATAGTTACGGAGATTCTTTTTGAGGTGATGAAAATGTTCTAAAATTAGCCAGTGGTGATGGTTGCACAACTCTGCGAATATACTAAAAACCATTGAATTGTACATTTTAACATGGTAAACTTTTTGATCTATGGATTATTTCTCAGTAAAGCTGTTGTTTACAAAAAGTTACTAGAAAAAGAAAGGGCAGCCTGTGGCAGAGTCTTTGCTAACCATTAGTAAACTTTTTCCAAGTCTTCTTGTGTGCACTCTCCTTTCCAGGCACTGTAGATAGATGTCGCCTCATGCTTAGTGCTGACCAACGGAATGTCGGTGGAAATGCTGTGTGCCATTTCCAAGCCTAGCATATAAAATACTCCCATGTGGGGTTCTCCACGTCTTTCCCCTTTCAAATGAGCATGGTGACTTTTAGTTCTACATTTAGTATTTTGCTACCAGAATTACTTACGATTATTATAGATATTGTTTTATGCAATTTTTTTTAGATTTGTCCACATATTTATCAATTATTTTGCTCATGTGTTCTTGCAATTCAGCCCGTGCTTCTGGGTTCAGTTCTGTTCTTCCTGAATACATCTGTTAGACATTTCTTTAATTTGGGACCATGGTTGGTAAACTTTTTCAGTGTGCTTGTCTAAGATGTCTTTGTTTTAGTTCTCAAAAGATAGTTGGGTATAAAGTTATAGGTTAAACATTATTTTCTCTTTCCTTTTAAGAGTTATTATTTCACTGTTTTCTGGCATCAATTGTTGCTGAGAAATTTCCTGTTAGTCTAATTTGTCATTAATTATAGAAATCTGTCTCTGGTCTCTGGTTGCTTTAAAGATTTAGAAAATATCAGCAGGGCACGGTGGCTCACGCCTGTAATCCCAGCACTTTGGGAGGCCGAGGTGGGTGGATCATCTGAGGTCAGGAGTTTGAGACCAGCCTGGCCAACATGGCGAAACTCCATCTCTACTAAAAGTACAAAAACTAGCCAGGCGTGGTGGTGGGTGCCTGTAATCCCAGTTACTCAGGAGGCTGAGGCAGGAGAATGGCTTGAACCCGGGAGGTAGAAGTTGCAGTGAGCTGAGACTGTGGCACTGCACTCCAGCCTGGGTGACAAGAGACTCTATCTCAAAAAAAAAAAAAAAAAAAAAAAAGAAAAAGAAAAAGAAAAGAAAATATCTGGGTGCAAATTCGTTTCTCTTTGGCGTTCTTTGGTATTCCTGAATCTGAAAATCAGCATCTTTTATCAATTCTGGAAAATTGTCAGTAAGCATCTCTTACCTATCCCCCATTCTCTTTATTTTCTTCCGTTGAGGCGCCTAGTCCAAATGTTGGACCACATCATTCTCCTTTCCATGTTTGCTAAACTCCCTTTCATGTTTTCCTTTTCTGTTTTTCTGAGCTCTATTCTGACTATTTTATTTCCATTTTTCTTCTAGTTTTCCAATTCTGTTTTTAACTGTGTCTTCTTTGCTGTTTGAAACATGTTTTAAGTTTTAAATCATATATGACTATATTTTAATTTCAGATATTTTACATTGTTCTTTTTAAAATATTCCAGATAAAAGATGAATAGAAAAGATAAAATTTTGTCTTGCATCTTTTCTAATAAGATCTTACTTTTATCTATGTTTAATTTCACTGTTTATTTCTACTTTGTATTCAATGGTATTCCCAGGGTTCTAATTCTAATACTTTTTGTGTCTCATAGATTTTGCTGATGCTAACTTGTTTCTCCCATGCAGTTTTGTAATTTTTGATGTTGAACTTACTTTCACTGGAATTTTTATATGGGAATCCTGTGTAGCCTGAATTTATTGGATTGAAGACATGTCCCTTCAGGAAGCTTTTGCATTTTGTTCTTTTAGGTGCTCTAGGGGATGTTACAAGTCAGGTACCACTTTTTATGTTTCTATCTCAGCCTAGTTGTTTCTGGACCAGAATGTAGATCTAAAGCTCCATATTCTCCAATATCAGAGAAGCTTTTTGTTTTGTTTTGTTTCTCCTTCCTTATTCTTTTTTTTTTTTTGAAACAGTGTCTTACTGTGTCATTGAGGCTGGAGCGCAGTGGCACAATCATGGCTCACTGCAGCCTCGACCTCCCAGGCTCATGTGATCCTCCCACCTCAGCCACTGAGTAGCTGGGACTACAGGTGTGCACCACCATGTCCAACTAAGTTTTGTATTTTTTGTAGAGATGAGGTTTCACCATGTTGCCTAGGCTGGTCTCAAATTCCTGGACTCAAGGGATTTAACTGCCTTGGCCTCCCAAAGTGCTGGGATCACAAGCATGAGACACTGCGCCTGGCCTTGTTTTGTTTTTAAACCTGGGATACAGGCTGTGATTGACAAGATATCTTTTTACTATTAAGGGCTGAAGCTTTGATTTTTTTTCTAACTTATTCTTTCTCTGAAATTGTAGTTTTTGAAAACCCCTGATTTATAGAGGGATTCCATTAATTGCCCAATGTTTGGGCCCAAGGCCTTGTCTCCTGTCCATATTTGGCCACTAAGACACAAGCCTCTTGATTTTCATGAATAGTAAATGTTCTCAATACAGTCAAAAGCTCAGAGATGGCTCATTACTCTGGTTTACTTTACTCAGTTTCTTCTTTTTTTTTTGTCCTGCAAAGCTTTTGTTTACTTTTTTTGTGAGCTCAGATATTTACTTAAAAGAATTTTAAAAAGGCTAGGCACTGTGGCTCATGCCCGTAATTCCAGCACTTTGGGAGGCCGAGGTGGGTGGATCACCTGAGGGCGAGAGTTCAAGACCAGCCTGACCAACATGGTGAAACTCCGTCTCTACTAAAAACATAAAATTAGCCGGGCATGGTGGCGTATACCTGTAATCCCAGCTACTTGGGAGACTGAGGCAGAAGAATCGTTTGAAGCCGGAGGAGGAGGTTCTGGTGAGCCAAGATGGCGCCATTGCACTCCAGCCTGGACAACAAGAGTGAAACTCAGTCTCACACACGCAAAAAAAAGAATAAAAAAAAAGATCCATATTTCCAGGTGTTTTGTAGTGGTGGTTTTTTTTTTTTTTTTTTTTTTGAGACGGAGCCTCACTCTGTCACCCAGGCTGGAGTGCAGTGGTACAATCTTGGCTCATTGCAACCTCCACCTCTTGAGTTCAAGTGATTCTCCTACCTCAGCCTCCTGCGTAGCTGGGATTACAGGTGCACACCACCACGCCCAGCTATTTTTTTTGTATTTTTAGTAGAGATGAGTTTCACCATGGTGGCCAGGCTGGTCCTTACCTCTGGTGATCCGCCCACCTTGGCCTCCCAAAGTGCTGGTATTACAGGTATGAGCCACCACGCCAGGCCCTGTAGTGGTGGATTTTTAAAAGCAATATAAGCCAGCGTATTGATGGAAATTGAAGCTGAGTTAGCATTCTGGAAGTGGTGCTACTCTGCCCATGGATATCTATGATAATTCATCTATGGATATCTGATAAATAAAGATATCCACATCTTCACTAGAACATTATTTTGGTCCCTTTTCTTTTAGATTTCTAACTGTAATACAAAGTTGAATGAATTAAACTTGGGTTTGGAAAAGAAAAATTAAGTATGGATGAAGAGCAGTAGGGAATGAGAACTGTGTACACATTACTGAAAAGTTATGTTAGATAAAATCATGTACTGTACTTCATAAAGGGCATACAGTGCTGCCAACTTCTCCTCATCAAGGAGCAGAGGAAAACTTCACCAAGCATTAACTAAGTGAACAGTCTTCATTCAAGTTTAGACACATCTCTCCCTTTTACATTGTGTGAGAGCTGTTGACCCTTTCCTAGGTTCTCCCCTCATTTGTGTCTCAGATCATTCTGTGCTGGGAAGTTGCTTCTTATCTTAGGGCTTTTAAACTACCCAAGAATGTTCAGATTCTCTTTGTACTTGTTCAAAGTTCTCCTGGTAAACACACTCTTTTCCATTGTATTTCTAAGGGGCTTGGCATTTTGCACTATGATCTGGAGAATCTGGAGTTGATTAGTTGATAATCTGGGAATAATTCTCCATATATTTGCTCATCTCTGAGGTATTTTGCCTATTTCTAATTTCAGCAAGGTGTCATCTCTGTCCACTGTCTCTCACCTTGTTGATAGGAGGGTTACTCAAACACCTTATTTCTGACAGGTGGAGAAGCTCCTTGACAGAGATCTGACCTGCAAATACATTTTTCTGATGGGTAGAATGGGAGACACCGAGTCCCTTCTTGTATAGAAATATTTAGCATCCTCCTTTCTCCTTATTTGCCAAAGTTCAAAAGAGTTTCAGGTTAATCATTTTATTATCCTCACCGAGTGGGAAAAAGAAGCTCTTACCCATTAGGTTCTTATGGCCCATTCAGGCCACAGGAGCCCCGATATTCACAGGGGAGGGAATTAATATATTTTCTGTTGTTATCTTTGAGAAAATCAATACTCTGTTGCTTCTACACCTGCCTTCAAAAGCACAGCAAGACTGAACATCCTTGCTTCTAGAGTTGACCACAGAAGAAGGATTACTTATCAGTCTTGGTATGACGTTAGCTACAATATTTCCCCTATTATAGAGGGAGGATGGGAGTGGAATTTACATCTCAACCAAAAGCAAAAAGAGCAATATCTAGTCTCAGCTAACAGACTTTCCCGAAGCCCTATTGTAACTTAAGCACACTGGAGGCAGCTTTTTACTCATAAAAAATACTTGTTACAGAGCACATACCACTAAATGAACCAAATGTACAAAGTGGGGGTTTCTGTTTAAATAAATAAGCACCATTTGACATCTGGTGAAAAGATCTACGCAGCACCCTTTGTTCTCTTTAGCTTACACTGATGAGGTTTTACAATTGAGAAACTGCCCTGTTCAGAAAAGAAGCCCATGAAGAAACATGACTATTAGTTTTCCTTTGCTGCAAATGTCTGAAAATTTCACATCTAGAGTCTGTAGTTATTATAGGATTTGGCGTGTGGGTGGCTGAAAATATGGTACTTGGCCTTTTGGTGCCAAACTTTCACACAGCTTCAGCTGTCTGTATACAAAAGACATGGCAGAATGTGTTGCTTTACTTTTAATATTCGGAATTGTTCGCCGTGCCAGTGGAATAGTGAATATGTGGATGGTACGGTTGATCTTGGAGCTTGCCAGTCTCATAGAATCTTAATTGATGAAGATGCTGTTAGGAATAGAGTGAGCATGTGGGTGGGGGATGGCTGAATGCAAGTCTGCAAATTAGAAAATGCTGCCCTGGGCGACATTTCCTCTCCAATCTCCTCATCACCCTCCACACCCAATCTTCTATTTCTTCCCTCTTTTCTGCCTCAAATTAATGCCATTGATTTACTCTGGGCCCTGATCCTCATGAAAATAGAAGTTAATAAACACATGCCAAAGACTCCAAATGGCTATTCTTTGGTTGAAATTTTTTTTACATTTTATTAGGTTTTGGGAAGTGAATAAAATAATCTGGAAGCCCTCAGCTTCTAGACAATCTTCACTGGAAGTTTGATATCCTAGAGGCCTTGTTTGAACTTGAAGTGAGCCGTGAGCCATGAGCCGTGATCCGCGATGGCCATTTTTCTTCCTGACTGTCTGCATTTCTGTCTTCCTTCCTTCTCTTTCCCCTTTTTCTTCTCTCGATTTTCTTCTGGCTCTGTTCTCTCTACATTTCTGTCTAGTTAAAGTGGATAACTATTAAAGTCTTACCTCCCAGGAAAATGGTGAAGAATGATGGGATGGCTAAGCTGTTTTTACCTAGAGAAGTTATTAAATCACATCTCTGGGGAGTTTGTAAAATCATGTGGATAGTGATTTTCCTGGAGTAAATCTGTATGTAGTTCCCTCTTGCAGCTGAGACCTGGGCTATGACTGCTCAAGCTGTGGGTATAACACACGTCACCTTTCTCACATCACAGGTGATTTCCACAGGTGCATTTGAACCTGGAGAAGATGGAGGACACAGTTCTTCTTTCTTTGCGGTTGCACTAATGAGTCTCCCTCTCCCCTACTTGGCTTGCCCTTCCTGCTTTGCAGGCCTTGTCTGGAGTGGGTTTGATAAGCGATTATGAGGAAGGAATGTTGAGGACTGTGGAATAAAGGGCTTGATGTGGTTTCAGTCTCTATACTGAATATCCCCCATGGAATTGCCTATCAGGCACTTGGTTGGGATTGGGGATTTGATGAAATATAAGACAGGATTTCTCCCTCTAAGATGCTCACTGTCTAGTGGAGGCAAGACCAGCTACATGATTTTTGAGGCCCTGTGTAAAACGAAAATACAGGTCTCCTTGTATAAAAAATTATTAAGAATTTTAATATTCGACAGCAGAGCACTAAAGCAAGCACAGGGCCCTTCTGAGTGTGGGGCTCTGGGAGGCTGCACAGCTCACGCCGCCCGAGGCTGGCTCTGGGTCAGGGAAAGAGTTGATGGCTACAAATGGATCCAAGGTGGAGGGGAAAGGCCCAGGAATGCACCATACAAAGTCTCCTGGTGGTGCGTGGGTCAGAGTCGGCCCCTTGATTCAAGGAGACTTGAGAAGCAGCCTCACCTCGGAGAGATTTCCCATCTCAGCTCAGTGTCACGCACGGGGTTCAGAAATACACATTTCTTTTACTCTCTTGCAACACAGTAACTCGACAGCTTTGTCTTGCCAGACTGAATATATTCTAACATTGAAATCCTTCCTGTTCTGTGAAAAAAATCATTGTATAAAAAGTAACACACAATAAAATAATATTTTTAAAAAGTCCACGAGGAAAATAAAGCAAAGATAATGTAAGTGTAGGAAGAATAAATGAAGCCACTAATGAGATAAGTACAGAATGTACATTCTAGGAGATCCCTTACATTTGTAAGAGGTTGGCTGCAAATTTTGTGTTTTTAAAAATTGTGGTAAAATATATATAACATAAAATTTACAGTTTTAATCATTTTCAAGCATACAGCTCAGTGACATTAAGTACATTCACAATGTTGTGCAATCATCACCACTATCCTTTTCCAGAACTTTTTCATCTTCCCAAACTGAAACTCTGAACCCATTAATAACAACTTCATTTTTCTTCCTCTTCCCAGCTCCTGGCAATCTCTATTCTACTTTCTGTCTCTATAAATTGGACTACTCTAAGTTCCTCGTGTAAGTGGCATAGTACACTATTTGTCTTTTTTTTCTAGTTTATTTCTCTTAGCATAATGTCCTGAAGTCTCATCTATATTGTAGCTTGTATTAGAATTTCCTTCCTTTTCTTTTCTTTTCTTTTCTTTTCTTTTTTTTTTTTTTTGAGATGGAGTGTCACTCTGTCTCCCAGGCTGGAGTGCAGTGGCGAGATCTCAGCTCACTGCAATCTCTACCTACTGGGTTCAAGTGATTCTCCTGCCTCAGCCTCCCAAGTAGCTGGGATTACAGGCGCCTGCCACCACACCCAGCAAATTTTTGTATTTTTAGTAGGGACGAGGTTTCACCATGTTGGCCAGGCTAGTCTTGAATTCCTGACCTCAGCCTTGGCATCCCAAAGTGCTGGGATTACAGGTGTGAGCTGCCATGCCAGGCCAATTTCTTTCTTTTTTAAGGCTGAATAACATTCAATTACATCATATACTGCATTTTGCTTATCCATTCCTCTGTTGATGGACACTGGATTTTTCTACCTTTTGACTGTTGTGAATAATGCTTTTATGAACATGGGTGGAGAAATACCTGTTTAAGTCTCTGCTTTCAATTCTTTTGAGTATATACCCAGAAATTGAATGGCTGGACCATAAGACAGTTCTACGTTTAATTTTTTAAAGAACAACAAATTTAGTTTTGAGATTTCTAGCAGCCATTACAAAGAAGGAAACAATAAATTCTATGATTCACAGTGCCCCCAAAGTTAACATGGATCAGTTGTTCATGAGACTAGGGGAAACTTTCTCTCATGGATACTCTCAAAGAATGTGCTATGTAATGTATTGATCGACAAGATCTATAACAGCCTTAGAATAAATACAACAGTGCATTTCCTGCGGCTGCTCAGTGAAGTTATGGCATAATGCCAAAGCACAATTCGGTGAAAGCAGACAATGCAGTTTCAGGCTTGGAATGGAGATGGGTTCTCTTAGAATGGACGAGCAGAGGAAGAAAATGGTTATCAAGGGAGAGGGACATTAAGAAACACATCTAAGGGAAGAAGGGAGTTTTTCTTAAGAAAGCATTCTTAGCACTTTGCAGTTTAGAAAGGAGCGTTTTCCCCCTACTCCAGGATAAACTCTTCTTTATTTTTCTCTGTAGCAAACCATATTGCTGATTAACCACTGCTTTCATAAACTTCAAGTGGGCCATTCAAGCTGCCTCACCGCTGCTTAATGTCCTGTACTGAGCTCGCTCTTCCTGCAGTCCCTACCTAGGGTTTGTTTTTATTAGAAATTCACCTCGGCTTGTCTGTTGAGAGGAAAGAAAAGGGAAATTATACCCCAGAGCTTGGCAAGCCCATAAAATGGCAGAGATTCCTGAAGAAGACTGCCCTGAAACCCAAGCCCCTGGCTGCCTGAGCTGTAATGAAATGCATGACTACGAGAGATAATAATAATCGCAGCAATGGCTCGTTACAGCTCCCGGATGATTTGGTGCTGTCAGGAGTGCGCTGTCCGCTGACGTCCCAGGAGGCGAACGGCATCAGTGACTGCAGGCCCTGATTGGGGCAGTGAAATATTGCTGGCAAAAATTAAAAGGTCCCCGTGTCAAAATAATTCATGATATGCATATCTTCCATTCTGATGAAACGGCTGATATCTGGATTAGCAAGATAATAAAACTGATCAGGCTACAGTTAAACAATTTAAGTTGGAGAGCTGTTCATTTTGTAGGTGTCACTTGTCAGATCAAGGGGTCAAAGCGGAATGAAAGGCTCTCCCCGGTAACCTTCCGATGATGTGGATCTGGAGTGTTCTTCATGATTTGTCCAAAGTTTTCATCATCGGGCTGCCGACTAGCATTACTGCGGAAGGCTGTATTCTGACATTCAAATCCCCGGAATGACAGGCTATTAGGAGAGGAGAACTGGCTCCTCATACATTAAGCACCACATCTCTGACCTGTAATGTGAACTGATAGTGACATTGTAATTGAGTGAGTCTGAAAAAAAAAGAGGGGAGAATCTTTATTAAAACATGAGAATAGAAAGGAAAGCATTTATATTTCTGATGATTTGTGGGTTTGTAAAATAAGCTTTTTGGTGATGATTTATTTTCCATTTCTATAATGCTGAGGGGTGTGCATAGTGTGTTTATTTGGTGTAACAGTTATTTAAGATAACACCAACTCGCCCCAGACTCCTCTCCACATGCTGAGCAGGCACAGATCAGAAGAGATTTGTTCTGCAAAGGACAATTGCTTTAAAATGAACAAAATGGACTCAAGTGCAAGCCAAGGCTGGACTGCCACTCAGGATATTTGCCTCGTAGCTCTGTCTTCACTCCCTGCTTCCCCTGAGTTCTCTCTCCTGCATAAGCCAAGCCAAGCCAAGGGGCCTGGGGAGAAGCGGCCTTGGTTATTGGTGTCAGTGACTCCACTGTGGGGCAATGCCATGCATTGAGTGACTAATTTAATATGCATTAATGGGATCTCAGGTGATTCCTGTCAAGCCGCTCAAGAAATACCCTAGTCTACCAACAAATACCAAAGCAGGCAAATCACTAAATTTGGGAGTGGTGCAGAACTGCTGAAACAGCCTGATTCTTTGGCAACCATAAAGAAACTCAGTGTGTGTGTGTGTGTGTGTGTGTACATGAGTGTGTGCCTGTGAGTGGGTGCACACCTGTGTGTATAGGGGTATGCATGTGTATTGCATGTTGCATGCATGTATGTATGCGTGCAAATACACACACATATTCGGGCTCTGCTGCTGATTTCATAGGGGGAAGAACTGCCCAGGGAAGGTTCCAGTAAAGTGTGCTTCCTACCAGGCATTAGGAAACTGAGGTCATGGGGTGAATTTTAGCACTGACACACTAAGTGGCCCTGGACAAGTTAACCAGCACCTCCATCTGTAAAACGGTGAAATTGGTGTCATGGTGCCATGGTAAGGGGGAAGCACTTGATGAGCACATTGTGAGTTGTTATATAAACATGACATGTTGCCATTAATAAGGATAGGACTGACAAATGCTTAGTACCATACAAATGTAAGAGTTTATTACATCTACGTCTACTGGATATTATTAGAGGAGACCTCTTTGATTCTTCAAAATTTAAGATGAGTATGTTTCATAAAATATCCCAAATGAAGTATGGTACCTTTAAGCATTTTGGAAGGTTATCTTTAGTTTCTGTGCAGTCCTCACTGTTACAATAATAATCTATTTTTTATTTTGTAAACTTTTCTGGCAAAAAGCTGTTTGTGCAGAAGAGACGTCACAGCCTTCACCATAATAGAAGCTAGTAAATATCATTCTTCTCATTTTATAGATGGTATCACATAACAAGGGCATTCGTAAATGCCAAGAATGAGTTAGCAATGAGAGAGGGAGGCAAGGATGATACAAGATATTTGGCTTAAGAAACTGGCTAAGTTGATGATGGTGACATTTTTACAGATAATGCATGCTGAGAGTGGAATAGTTCCTGGATATAAAAATTAAGAGTTCTGTTTAGTACATATTGAGTTAGAAATGCCTATTATGTTGTATATTTTTCCCTGTTATGAGTTTAAGGATAGTTGAGTGACTTACTTTTTCATTCACATAGGAAAAATGTTATAAATTAACTAAATTATAAATGTTATTAATGAATTTTATTTAAATAGATCAATAACAAACAATGAATCAATAATTTGCTTAAATTCAACAAACATATTGAACACTTACCTGAATATGGCCCTGTGTATAAAGGATACTTAAATAGCTCTTTGGATTGTT
This sequence comes from Homo sapiens, assembly GCF_000001405.40. NCBI lineage: Eukaryota > Metazoa > Chordata > Mammalia > Primates > Hominidae > Homo > Homo sapiens. Next base: position 65,453,186 of record NC_000008.11, on the reverse strand, counting down.
TTTGTGAGAAAAAAATAATACATGACAATAGGGTGTAGCGAGCATTGTGGATTAAGGTGATCAATGAATGCATTCTGGAGGAGCTTAATTTAGAAAGAGACCAGGAAGATGGGTTGATGGATGAAAAATACAAGGGCATTCCAGAAGAGGAAAACATCATAATTAACTGCTCCAAATATACATCTGAATGAAGGCCTATCAAATATGAACTTCTGATTTAATGACTGAAATGAAATAGTAAGTAGAGGCATAAGTAAAGCACAGTTGAAATAATAGAAGAGCAAGAAGAGCTAGTATTTTAGAGATAGCTGTGCAGCGTGATGTATATCTAACTCTAGCAGCATGTATTCCTATGTACTAGATGCCTCTTCAAGGCCTCTGGGTCAAGGACAGGCAAGTTACCTCAGGCTGGAATTCAATGAGCAGACTTGTTCTTATGCACATATTCAAATATATAAAAATTTCAGTTACCAAAGAATTTCTGGGTGGAGAGTCATCCCAGGTACTGGGATCTGGGGTAGCCAGAGTCCTATTTATGAGGAGATGTATACATGGTCTGTGTCTGGCCACCAAGGTGCCTCCTAGGCTGGGGACATAGGAGGAACAGGAGAATTGAAAGGGAATGTGTTTGGATAAACATGGCAGGTAAATAAAGTATTTTGTGTCCTATCCATTTTAAAATTTGTCTGAAGGAAGCCACTGTGATAGCTGGAAATAGTTTTGCTGTGTCTTAGTTAATTCACATACTGGAAATCTCTGGCTCAGTCTAAGCTACTTATATTAGTGTTGATATTTTGATTTATCAAACCAAAGAGCTCGTTAGCAGCATGTGTGAAAGGGCCAATCTATAACCTTGTCTCAAGTTTTGAGGTCATTTTAGATAGAAATTAATTTAAGATTAAGGGCTGGGCTTACATTAGGTGACCAATGAGTATAATCCCACTGTATTTATAATTTAAAAAATAATTTATCAAATTGTTTAAAATTTATTTTTATATGTTTGAGAAGTGTCATTAAAGTCTGCTATGCCTATGTGAAAGGTAGAATAAAAGGAGGGAGGAAGGGACAACTGACACCCCATCTTGCTATGGCTGAGATATTTCTGTGGGAGAACCCGTTATATTACCTGGTGAATTTCCGAAGGAGAAGTGGTTAATCTCTCATTGCCATCAGAACCAGGTAAGTTGAGACCAGCAAGCTTCCTGAACTCCAGTGTTAATTTACAGATAATAAATAATAATTCCATCAAAAGTGAAAGTTAGGAAAAAAAGGGTACTTAATTGAAGTTGGTTAACTTTCTCTGTATGTTGAAAATAGAAGAAAATTTCTACTTAAATTTCTTACAAGGACCAGCACAAATAATATATCCTTATGGAGGTTATGTATGCTATTTGCATATTTCAAATGCTGAAATTATTTTTCATTTCCAAAATAGTGTTATTTGTTCTATTGTAATTATTTGCTATAGCAAATACATACAATATTTAATTCAGATATGAAGTCTTTAATCAGATGTTCAATGTAGATTAGAGATCTTTTTGTTGTGCTGATGAAATTTCTACAAACTCTGAATATATCATAAGTCTAAAACATTTCAAGAAAAAAGCAAAATGAAGAGCATCCTGGGAGGACCTAATTTAGTTCCAAGAAGTTTCCTTAAACCAGAACTTTGGGCATCATGCCTTACCTTTAACCCTTTGTTGACATAGTATTCTTTATTATTAGTACCTCATTTTCTTTAGTCCCATAATAGATGGAAGAAAACACTTTTAAATATATATCCTTCACTCATCAGAAAGAGAGCAAACTAGGAGAGAGAGCCAGGGCTTTTTAGGATTATGGTTTGCTCTCTTTCTGATGAGTAAAGGATACCTATTTACATATGGTTTCTAATTGTCTGAGAGATGATATAGCCCAACCTTATTTCATAGAGACAGTTTTTATTCTCATATCTGTTGATTGAATAATTTGTAACCTTGCAAACACAATAAGGTACCACAGGGCTGCTTTTCTAGTGGGAGGTGTTGCAGCTCTTGGTAAATTACAGCCTGTGCTCTGAACCCGACCGTCTGGGTTCCAATCCCCGCACCATTACTTATTAGCTATGTGACCTTGTATGGGATACTTACACCTCTCTGTGCTTCCATTCTTCTATCTGTACAATGGGGACCATTGATAAATAGTAATTCTCTCACAGGGCTAGTGTGAGGTTAGACTGGTTAATGCACTTAGGCTAGTGCTACAGCATGCTATTCCTTTTCATACTTTTCCTTTGTAGGTTTATTACCCTCATTGGCTCATGATGAGATAGGACTTTGCTCTTCTTTGAAATCTAGGAGTGGGTGTCAGTTATTATCTTATTGCTAGTGTGAAATTAATAATAATACATTATTACCAACACTATTAAATGTCTTCTTAAGGGAAGGGAATAGAAGTTTTCCCACAGATTAAACTCTAGGATGGAAGGATGAAATGGAAGGAAATGAGGAGGACCGCCCCCTAGGGGTGGAGGAAGCTGCTCTGAGGGTTGTGGGCTGGAAATAGAGCCCAGAGGGAGCTACCCCATTTCTGGTCAGTCAGGAGTCAGTCCCAGCGGGCGCGGATCTGACTAAGTTGCTCATGAGTCCTTCCTCAGTAAACAGTATATACATGTGGTTCTGCGTCTTGCCTTCAGGGGGCGCCACCCGCAGCACTGGCCATTTGGATCCTGATGCGTTTCTCTGCCTCCTTCCTATTTCCTTTCTGAAATACATTGTTTTTACAGCCCATCTAATTTGGGTGTAAGCTTGGCCAGCCTCGTTGTCATCTTAATATATATTATTTCAGTTTTTCACACAATCTGTAACTTATTTTATTGACTTTTTAATAAATAGTGGGGGAAAGCTCTTATTTCCATATGGACTGTGCATTTTGGAGAAGCTTCTCAGGGCTCAATACTACAGCAAATCTACTCTGGCTCATTTTCATCCCTCCCATTTGAGGTTTATGTGTCTCTCCTCTCCTAATTTTTCATTAGAATATAATAACAGTCTGAGGAAAGGGTGATTTGATATGTGATCTATTTCATTATGTTCTTATGGTAAGGGTAGCGTCTGAAGTGGGAGAGCATCACTAATTTTTCGGCGCAGTAATTTATTCCGCAGTATTTAAATGTTGTCATTTTCACACGGAGGCACATGCTGCCACATCTATCTTCCCCTGGACCAGTCTGTCTTGCTCTTTCCTTTTCATCTGTTTTGTTTTTGCATATTTTTTTCATAAATTCGACAGATGGCCTCTTGATGAATCCTTGATAATACTGTCATGTAAAGCAGCTAAGACTAGAAATCATCTCGCAACAATTTTTCATCGCAAAGGGAAAATTGAACAGAGACAAACATCACTAAGTCCATAACAACAGCCACAAAATATCTACTTCATGTAAATAAAGAGGACAGGCTTGCCTCCTAATGCTTTCTCACAAATGCCAGCGTCCTTTTAAAGTCCTCTGAATATTTTATGTTGTGTTTAGATCCCCCTGCAAGCCATGGGTTGGTTGAGATTTGTGGATCTTCATATCCCGAACATTTGGACAGCCTCTTTTCCACATCCTCTCTTTTCCCCGAGCCCCTCCTTTTTGGGCTTCATAATTGTGGATCAGGTGAAGTTTGCGTCCCCTCATTTCAAGGTCATGCACCAGTAGGACCATTTTCCTGACTCAGAGAACATGTAATTTCACAGCCGTGTACTCCTCATTAATCCCCCCAAGTGGGGGCTCGAGAAGTTCCAGATCACAGGTTTGTTTTTGTCTTGTTCTCTGACTCAGTGCTTCACAAAGGGATTAGATTAACCCCTTTGATTGTATTTATATCTTACTGCATTACGTTAGAAGCAAAGTGGTTTCTTTTACCCTCTCGTCTCCTCCTCACTTCTCTGCCCCTTTCCATTTCCTGTCCTCATATTTTTTTCCTCCCATTTAATGAATAGGTTGCAGTCTATTAAAGAGAGGTTTGTAGTAAATACAGGGAATTGTTAATTTGCTGGTAGTCATTGTAGCTTTCTTTTCTGATATATAGATGTGTACACACACACGTATGTATATATATATATATATCTATATATTTTTTTTTTTCTTGCTCTTTCTGAAGCCTGTCTGTGAAGTCTCCAGGATTATCATGAAGAGGAAAATTTGTTGTTGTCCAGTAGGGGTATGGACTAAAGTCTCTCCTGGTTTGAATAAGAATGGTATCCAAAAATCAGAATGTCCTGATCCCAGAATATTGTTATTTTGTTTCTCTGTGGTGTTGGCCTCTAGGATGAGTAGGCACAGGATCTCAAACAAGACTCTTTCCTCATTTTTAAACAGCTCCTTTCTTCTTGCCTTCCCTTCCCTGTTCTAATCCCTGGCTCTGACAGCCTCTGTGACCCTTAGTGAACATTAGAAGGACACATCTGGGCCTTTTATGATTTATCAAGCGGTGTCAGCCACAGCAAACCATCTCTGTGGGGTACTGAGAATCACTACTTTTCATGATGGTAGCAATAATAGCTTTCATATACCCACTGGTTTTAAGTATCAAGCACTTCACTGCCTCACATTGAGGTAGGCATTATTGTATCTATTTTACATAATAGAAAAACAAGCTTCAGAGAGGTTAAAGGGCTTGCCTAAAGTTCCCATTGTTAGATGGGTTGCAGCCAGGACTAAACCAGCTCTCCTGGATTTCACAGTCTTCTGTGCTGTTCTGCTCCTTCAGCTGAGAAGCTGTCCTCAGCTTCAAATTTAAAACCAATAGCCCCAGTTTCAAGTTTATATGAGTGCAAAATGAAAAGTATACTCCATGTGGTGAGATGATTTATTCTCTTCTTATCTTTCTCATCTCTTTGAACATAAATATGAGCTGGGAAATAATCAAGCAGAATTGGGGCAAGCTGTACTCAATTTCAATGTAGGATACGGAAGATATTAAGCCGACCCTGGGCAACTGCCCTCTATTCAAGAGGCAGCGGAATGCATTGCCTAAGAGCACCAGCTCTGTGTCAGACAGACCTGGGTGTGAATTCTTGCTTCTGTACTTGCTAGAGAAGTTACTTGTCTATGTCCAGGATATAGATTGTTGTGAGGATTAGAAGTTAATACATGTATAGACTTTAGGAAGTCTCTGGCACAGAGTGAACACTCAAGAAGTAATAGCTGTTTTTTTTTGTTGTTAGAGGTATTATTTTATGGCCCACCAGGCAAAGAACACCAAGAACACACCTAGAACCAGAACAAAGTCAGGTTTCCTTAGCTTGCAGCAGCAGGGGGAGTGCACCTGGGAAAGCCTTAAATTGACCTGCTAATAGGGACTTGGGAGGGATGGACTGTAGGATCTGGGCTTGTGCTGGGTGATTCTAAGGAGTTTTTAAAGAAGCTGAGGTTGGTTTTGGATGGAATGCTGTCAAGAAGCAGGGTCAATTTGATGACTGAATATCTTGGTAATATTTTGTCCAAGAGGCAGGAGGATTAGAGTAGGAGTAGAGCTGTCACTGGTACAGAAGCAGAAGTTACACATCTTAGCTGAAGGTAGGGTATTTTCAGCATCCTTGTCTCCATCTCATTTCAAATATGGCCTTGAACAAGATTTGTCTCCACCCTTTGCCCCTTGTAGCCACAGAGTGACTGTCTTTGTTTGTTTGGGCTGTGTCTTAGTCCATTTTCTGTTGCTGTAATTGAATAGCAATTATACCTGAGACTGGGTAATTTATAAAGAAAAAAATGTATTTCTTATAGTTCTGGAAGCTGGGAAGTACAAATTTGAGGGTCTGCATCTGCTGAGGGTGTCCTTACTAATGGGGACTCTGCAGAGTCCCTAGTGGCACAAGGTGATACGTGGTGAGGTGGCTCACAAGAGACGTCCATAGTGGCTTTTATAACAGACCTAGTCTTGTGATAACTAATCCATTCCCTCGATAACCCATTAATCCATGAATGGGCCTTTATGACTCAATCACTTGCCAAAGGTCCCACCTCTCAACACTGCTGTTTTGGAGACCAAGTTTCCAATGTGTGAACTTTTGGGGGATACTTTCAAACCATAGCATGCTGCTGTAACAAAGTACTATAGACTGCATGGCTTATAAACAACAGATATTTATTTCTCACAGCTCTAGAGGCTAAGAAGTCCAAGATCAAGATGCCCACAGGCCTTGTGTCTGGCAAACGACCATTCCTTATAAACAGCCATCTTATTACCCTCACCTTACATGATGGAAGGGGTGAAGGGTCTTTCTCAGGTCTCTTTTTAAAGGGTGCTAATTCCATTCATGAGGGCTCCGCTCCCATGACCTAATCACCTCCCCAAGGCCCCACCTCCTAATGCCATCATCTTGAGGGTGAGGATTTCAATATAGGAATTTTGGGAGGACATAAACATTCAGAATATAGCAGTGACTGGGTCTGACGATTATATTCGGTGGTAATTGTTTATGGGCAGTTGTGAATACAGTGTCTTACAGGGCAACTGCAAGGGACTTTTAAAAAATATCCCTTTCTCATTAATTAGGTACCTTCGTATATATGTATGTGTGTGTGTGTGTGTATATGTGTGTATATATATGTGTGTGTGTGTGTGTATATATATGTGTGTGTGTGTATATATATGTGTGTGTATATATGTGTGTGTGTATATATATGTGTGTGTGTATATATATGTGTGTGTGTATATATATGTGTGTGTGTATATATATGTGTGTGTATATATGTGTGTGTGTGTGTATATATATATGTGTGTGTGTGTGTGTATATATATATGTATACACATAAAACTTACAAAGTGCCTGGTTCTAACTGTTTTAAAGTATAAACCTCTTTATATTTTCATAACAACCCTATGAGTTGGGTACTAGTATTATGCCCATTTTAAGATGAGAAACTTGAGATAGTGAGAGGCAGTGACTTGCCCAGGGTCACAGCTAGTAAATGACTCATGATTGCTTCTCTTTTCCAGCTCCCATTTCCTCCTGAAGGCCTCACTCACCTGATGCATTTGGCGTTCCCTTTGGGCTCAGAGAATTCTGACAGTGTCTTTTGTGATTAGGGGACAATTAAAGATGGGAGTTCTTCCTCCTTTCTGCTATATGGCATTTATGTTACTTATGTTCTTGTTTTCTTTGAATGTGCAGGTGGATGGTGGGTGAGGAAACAGGTTAAATTTAAGTTGTGGAACTGGGTCAAGAGGTTGGAAGGACTCACATGCTCTTGGAACTTCTACAGGGCCGGTTGCATAAGGTACCAGGAGCTCAGGGAAATGAGTTGTTACGGTGAAAAGAGTTGGGAGATAATTAAATTGGGAGACAATTGGATAAAATATTGTGTAGTGGACAGTACTTGTGATATTGGCAAAACAACACAGTTTTCTAAAATACTGAAAGTCAGATAGGGGTATATATTTTCTATTTGCTACAGAAAGGCCATCACTTCTATAAAGGGAGAGGGCACTGACAGTGAAATGAAATTTAGAAAGGAAATATAAAATGTAATAGGAAAGGACCTTGAAAAATTATTATTTTAAAAACAAAGAAAATGAGTATTGAGTAATGTAACAAATATTCATTGAAAATGGAATATATACATGGAATTGTCATAAGTCCTGGGAATACAGAAGACCCCCCAGAATTCAGAAGTCGCCGCTTGTCCAAATATGTTCCAAGATCCTCAGTGGAAGCCTGCAACTGTGGATAGCACCGAACCTGATTGCTCTCATTTGGAACATGTTCTGTTCATGTCTTCCACCCACAAACATAATGCCTTTTTCATCTTAACTAAACACTTATTACCCACTGTGGCTGTAGCTTTTGCAGTTTGAAGTGTGACAGCAAAACTAGCACAAACTTCTTTTTCCCTCTTTACAATTTCACAGACAGAAGATTTGTTCTTACCATAGGTCTCAGCAGCCTCAGCATGTGATTTTTTTTTCTTTCCTTTCAGTTGAGAACTTTCACCTTTTCACTTAGAGGAAGCACCTTGCAGCTTCTCTTTGGCCTATCTATCGCCAGCATCACTATTCTTGTGCTTTGGGGTACATATTAAGTAAAATAAGGGTTTCTTGAACACAAGCACTGAGATACCTTGACAGTAGATGTGAAAGCCGATCTGGCTATTAAGTGACTCAGGGGCAGAGAGTATCTACAGCATAGAGACATTGGACGGAGGGAGGATTCATGACCAGGGTGGAAAGATCAGGATGGGGTGAGGTTTCATCATATTGCTCAGAATGACATGAAACTTAAAACTTATGAATCATTTATTTCTGGACTTTTTGATCTAATATTTTGGAACCTTAGTTGACTATGGATAACTGAAAGTGCAGAAAGTGAAACTGCTCATGGGGGGGCAGGGGGGGGCTCCTGCATAGTCCACTACAAGATAGACAAAATTGCTGACCAAATTCTTCCCTCTTTTAATTCCATTCAACAAATAGGAGATTGGTGCAACAGTAATTGCGGTTTTGTTAATAAAAGTAACGGCAAAAACTGCAACTACTTTTGCACCAACTCAATACTTACTGAGCCCCTGACATTTAGTAGGCATCACACATGTGCATGCACACAAATTCAAAAACACACTTAAACCTCAAACCCAACCCACACCAAAAACAGATCGATTTAAATAAAATAAGAGATTTTTTTCCCCTGAGTTGTTAATTCTTTGCCTCCCAGAAAATTAGAACTTTTTCTTGGTGACAATATTTTGTAATGAATGATTTTTATTTAAGGCTGCCCCTCAAACTGCTTTTTGCAATCTACGAAATAAATTTCTTTTTGGCTACCAGGTCAACTCATACTTATTGAGACCAAGTTCTGTGCTAAGAGCTTTCACCATTCAATTTTCCTGTGTCAATAAGAATGGGTGGTGGGAATTTTTTACTCCGTCGTATCAGTGAAGAGTCTTGGGGCACAGAGTGGGTAAATGAAGTGCCAGGCTTGAGAGATGGGATTTGAACCCACCTCTCCTTGCTTCAAATTCAGACCTCCCCCTTCCACAGAAAACAGGACTTCGAACAAAATTCCAGAATCTTAGCACCCTAGTATTTTCATTTGCCTCCTCCATCAAATGAATTTCTTACTAATTCACACATTTATTAACTGTCATAGCTACTATCTTTTAAAAGACAAATTAAAGCTTTCTTTTCATGTTAGACAGGCAACATTGATATGTAATTGTGCACTTTGTTAATGGCCATGAGATTATAGAGGGAAAAAAGAGGAATGTGAGAGAGTGGCTTTGCCACATCTTGTTTGGGAGTAAGCTGTTTGTGTCTTTTTATAAATTTGGGTTTGAAAAGCAAACTCCAGACTTCTATTTTCCCCTCGGGTTCTTTGCTACCAATCAGGGAGATACGTTTTGTTTATGTTCTTTTGCCTAAAACTGAGAATTTGATGAATTCAAGTGTATGTGTTTTTGTTAAGGCAAGTCATTGAATCTTTTTTTTTGGTTTGTTTTGTTTTTCGTTTTTTTGAGACAGAGTCTCACTCTGTCGCCCAGGCTGGAGTGCAATGGCGTGATCTCAGCTCACTGTAACCTCTGCCTCCTGGGTTCAAGTGATTCTCCTGCCTCAGCCTCCCAAGTAGCTGGGATTACAGGTACCTGTCAGTATACCCAGCTAGTTTTTGTATTTTTAGTAGAGACGGGGTTTCGCCATGTTGGCCAGGCTGGTCTCAAACTACTGACCTCAGGTGATCCGCCCGCCTGAGCCTCCCAAAGTGCTGGGATTACATGTGCGATCCCACAGGCGTGCGCCACTGCACCCAGCCAAGTCATTGGATCTTTCTGTACCTCTGTTTCAAAAATTTTTCTGATATGATAAAATCATAGATGTTTGAGAAATTCTATTTCTGTGAGCAATGACTGCTAAACATTTTGGAAGGATGTTTGCAGATGCACATGGTAAAGAATGCAAGCTCTGCTGCTGGATAGGACTATGCCCTCTGTTCTGTGACCCACTTGGGGAACTGCTAGGGGGAGATCACAGGGCTTATTCATAGAATGATACTGCAGCCAGCCTGCTTCACTTATGAATTCGCATCTGGGGGATTTATATTTGAAGTTACCTTTTGTAACTCAGCCTTTGTGATTTTTTTCCCCTTTTCTTGGGGTTAGGTGGGGGAATAAAGCATGTTTTTTTGTAATCCATCAATGTGGACAGTATTACTCTGGTATAGTGTGTGTATTAAAATTCACATCTTTCCATTAATGGGAACTTATTCTGCATTATCTCAATTCCTTAGGGGCTGGGTTATTCCATTTATAATTAATTTTTTTTCAATTTATTGCTCAGATGCAATCTTGCCTTGCAGAAAAGCATCTCATTAACCTCTCGTCCTTCCCACCTATATACTTTTGAACTGTTTTTTTAAACCTCTAAGAAACCCCTACTTCCCAGTGCGATGCCTGATGATTTTCCAACATGAAACTCAAAAAATTCCCACATTCTGTAGCAATTTCAGCACCAGCACAGGCATCAGCAGTTTGCAGCTGTCCCTTTGGGATCACAAAATCAAACAGTAATATCCCTGATATGGACAAAGCCTGGGCTTCAATTATTCAGCAAGAATCACAGTTGTGCAGAGAAAGCAGCATGCCAACATGGACTCAACCAGGCCTGGGGGTGAGAAACTGCATATTTTAGTTTCAGTGTTGTGCCTGATGGATTGCACTACTGGGTGAGTCCTGAACTTTTCTGTGTCTGGGCCTTCAGGTGCAAGATCCATTGGCTGCAGCTCTCAGTCATATTGTGAGGAATATAGGGAGAATGATGTCTCTTCCATGTGCCAGTCAGGCAATCATTGCTTTCTTTCCAGTGGCCTGGAATTTCCATTGCCTTCTTTCCAGTGTCTGTTAGGCCTGGAATGCTCATCGCCTCCAAGGAGGCAAACCCTGATCTTTCTCACCTGGGTGAATGGTCAGAAATATCATTTTCCTTTCAGAGCCACCTAGGCTTAGGAATAAGCAATGTTCAACATCAACCTGTCTGGACACAAACATGAAGTATCTGACTTTGACACGATGGAAGTAGAATTTGTGCTGAGCAGGAAGATGGACAGATGTGGGTTCAAGTCCCACCTCTACCACTTATTTCATCCATTTGAAGACATGTTTTAACTTGTCTGAAATTGAGACTCATTTTATAATCAATGACATGTTGGCATGTTATTGCAGTTTAAAGTTCAGCATTTTTATTTCTTTCTTAGTGGAACATAAATAATGGCAATCAAAGTTGATTTAGACTCAATGAGATGCTACAATACAGTTATATCTTCAAATCTATAATTGTAATAATGCTGCAGGTTTGCTGTGAGGATAGAGCAAGATAAAATGTATGATCAAGTTTATCAGAGAATTGGAAAATAGTAGCAATTAAATTAATGTTCATTGTTGGAATTTTTAGATACAGAAGATTGGGATATGTATTAGTCCATTCTCATGCTGCTATAAGGAACTGCCCGAAAGTGGGTAATTTATAAAGGAAAGAGGTTTAATTGACTCACAGTTCCTCATGGCTGGGGAGGCCTCAGGAAACTTACAATCATGGCAGAAGGAACCTCTTCACAGGGTGGCAGGAGAGAGAATGAGTGCCCAGTGAATGGGGAAGCCCCTTATAAAAACATCAGATCTTGTGAGAACTTACCCACTTTCATGAGAATAGCATGGGGAAAACCGCCCCTATGATTCGATTATCTCCACCTGGTCCCATCCTTGACACGATGGGATTATTATCATTCGAGGTGAGATTTGGATTGGGACACAGAGCCAAACCATATCAGGGTAGATGGAAGCCACTACTTAACATTTCTTTTCTTCTTTGCCATACTTAGTTGGGGACTGTGTGCTTCCAAATGACATCTGTGTTGACACAAGTCCAGGTTTTAGTATTATCTGTAGCAACATTTTCTCCTCCTTTTCTCCCCCCCTTTGTACCCCTTCACCAAAACTTTTTCTGGTTATTTGAAAAGGATAGGGAAGAAGAGTTATGTCAGATTGAAAGCCGAGGATATAAACCACAAATATTAATTTGGACCTCTATTTTTTTGCTTGATACATAATTACTTGTTTATAATTTTTATGAGATGTCGCGTTATCATTCATGTGTCTTCAAAAATATTAGTTTTATAATGTAACTGGTTATATGGTAGTAACCGGTGGTTGGACAGAAGTTGGAAAGATTGGATTTAATTAGAAATGAACAAACAGACTGAAAATTTTATGGTGAGTATGTAGTAATATAGTAGGACTAAATAATATAGTAGAAAAAAAAACAAGATATTTAAGGTGACCACAAGTTAAATATGAATCAGTGATATAATGTGTTTTGGACAAAGAGACAAAGAAGCAAAGAAAGTATATATGATACATTCATTTCATTCATTCAGAAAACATTGCTGGGGATCTTCAAGGCGCTGGGCATTATACAAGGAACTGGAGACGCAAAAATAAGTAAAACTTGGTTACTGCCCTCTAGGATGCCACGGCCAGATAGGAGAGAAGATGTAGGAGGAAATGTATTGGACTGTGGCAAGCATGACAATAAAATGATATCAAAAGCCTAGGGGTAGAGAAGACTCAATAAAAATGAGTAGAAAGGAAGGGGGGCAAGAAAGCTTCCTCTGACGACATGATATATGAACTAGATTTCAAAATTTAAATATTAACTCGATTAGTTAAGTGTAGTGTATCCTTTTAAATTTCCCAAATTTGACAATTATGTTGTAGCTATGTAAGAAAATTTCCTTGTTCTTAAGAAATATAAATGGAAATATTTAGTGGCAAAAAGTAATGATGTCTGCAATTCATTTTCAAAAGCCTCAGCAAAATAATAATTGCTGCACAGACATATATATGCACACATGCATGTGTATACTTACGTGTGGACAGAGAAAAATACAAAGCAAATGTGGCAAAATAGCAGAAATTAGTAATTCAGGGTTAAGAGTTTATTGTTATATTCATGCAACTTTTCTGTAAGTTTCCTGCAGTTTGAATTGTTTCAAAATAAAAAAGGCTTACTCTTTTCTTGAAATTTTAAATATTTAATTCCAAAATCTCCTGAAGAAACGATGGAAACTTTTTCTAATTAAAGTTAGATTTGCAATGGAAGAAGACTGTTCACTGATTCGTGTAGATTAGTTTTGAAGCATGATATTGGATTATGAAATAAGCCTCAAATATCGGGAGCAGTACTTTACTATAGCTATCACCATATTTACTTACAAGCTCTTTAAGGTCTAGTTAACTAAGAAACAAATCTTGTTTTGAAGAAGTACCTAAAATCTGTGAATGGTCACCATGGAATAAAGAACTTCCTCAAAATTCTCATGTATAAATCAGTTGTTTGAACACAGAGTAAAATTCTACTGATATAATACCATCTTTTAATATGGGAAATTTTTAATAAGCAAAGCATGTAACATTTGGTTTTAATTCATATTATGCCTTCATGGAATGAATTTAATGTCTACTGCGTGGACCAGTAATGGGCACAATTGTGAGCTAGCCATGTCCCTTTTTGTACATCTTCTGAAAAACTTTTATCCTGGTTCCTCAGGATGGTAATTCCATTAACAATAGTATTAATTATGGCTTTCAATACCAGCTCCTCTTTGAGGACACCATATGCCAGGCATTATGCTAAGGATTTTGGAGTTAACATACATCTCCTTGTAAACATGTAGGTAAAAAATACATTCTGACACTCTTTTATTTTTATTTTTTTGTCTTTTTTTATTATACTTTAAGTTTTAGGGTACATGTGCACAACGTGCAGGTTTGTTACATATGTATACATGTGACATGTTGGTATGCTGCACCCATTAACTCGTCATTTAACATTAGGTATATCTCCTAATGCTATCCCTCCCCCTTCCCCCCACCCCACAACAGGCCCCAGTGTGTGATGTTCCCCTTCCCGTGTCCATGTGTTCTCATTGTTCAATTCCCACCTATGAGTGAGAACATGCGATGTTTGATTTTTTTGTCCTTGCGATAGTTTGCTGAGAATGATGGTTTCCAGCTTCATCCATGTCTCTACAAAGGACATGAACGCATCATTTTTTATGGCTGCATAGTATTCCATGGTGTATATGTGCCACATTTTCTTAATCCAGTCTATCATTGTTGAACATTTGGGTTGGTTCCAAGTCTTTGCTATTGTGAATAGTGCCACAATAAACATATGTGTGCATGTGTCTTTATAGCAGCATGTTTTATAATCCTTTGGGTATATACCCAGTAATGGGATGGCTGGGTCAAATGGTATTTCTAGTTCTAGATCCCCGAGGAATCACCACACTGACTTCCACAATGGTTGAACTAGTTTACAGTCCCACCAACAGTGTAAAACTGTTCCTGTTTCTCCACATCCTCTCCAGCACCTGTTGTTTCCTGACTTTTTAATGATCGCCATTCTAACTGATGTGAGATGGTATCTCATTGTGGTTTTGATTTGCATTTCTCTGATGGCCAGTGATGGTGAGCATTTTTTCATGTGTCTTTTGGCTGCATAAATGTCTTCTTTTGAGAAGTGTCAGTTCATATCCTTTGCCCAGTTTTTGATGGGGTTGTTTGTTTTTTTCTTGTAAGCTTGTTTGAGTTCATTGTAGATTCTGGATATTAGCCCTTTGTCAGATGAGTAGATTGCAAAAATTTTCTCCCATTCTGTAGGTTTCCTGTTCACTCTGATGGTAGTTTCTTTTGCTGTGCAGAAGCTCTTTAGTTTAATTAGATCCCATTTGTCAATTTTGGCTTTTGTTGCCATTGCTTTTGGTGTTTTAGACATGAAGTCCTTGCCCATGCCTATGTCCTGAATGGTATTGCCTAGGTTTTCTTCTAGGGTTTTTATGGTTTTAGGTCTAACATGTAAGTCTTTAATCCATCTTGAATTAATTTTTGTGCAAGGTGTAAGGAAGGGATCCAGTTTCAGCTTTCTCCATATGGCTAGCCAGTTTTCCCAGCACCATTTATTAAATAGGGAATCTTTTCCCCATTGCTTGTTTTTGTCAGGTTTGTCAAAGATCAGATAGTTGTCGATATGTGGCATTATTTCTGAGGGCTCTGTTTGATTCCATTGGTCTATATCTCTGTTTTGGTAGCAGTACCATGCTGTTTTGGTTACTGTAGACTTGTAGTATAGTTTGAAGTCAGGTAGTGTGATGCCTCCAGCTTTGTTCTTTTGGCTTAGGATTGACTTGGCAATGCGCGCTCTTTTTTGGTTCCATATGAACTTTAAAGTAGTTTTTCCAATTCTGTGAAGAAAGTCATTGGTAGCTTGTTGGGGATGGCATTGAATCTATAAATTACCTTGGGCAGTATGGCCATTTTCACGATATTGATTCTTCCTACCCATGAGCATGGAATGTTCTTCCATTTGTTTGTATCTTTTTTATTTCATTGAGCAGTGGTTTGTAGTTCTCCTTGAAGAGGTCCTTCACATCCCTTGTAAGTTGGATTCCTAGGTATTTTATTCTCTTTGAAGCAATTGTGAATGGGAGTTCACTCATGATTTAGCTCTCTGTTTGTCTGTTATTGGTGTATAAGAATGCCTGTGATTTTTGCACATTGATTTTGTATCCTGAGACTTTGCTGAATTTGCTTATGAGCTTAAGGAGATTTTGGGCTGAGACGATGGTGTTTTCTAAATATAAAATCATGTCATCTGCAAACAGGGACAATTTGACTTCTTCTTTTCCTAATTGAATACCCTTTATTTCCTTCTCCTGCCTGATTGCTGTGGCCAGAACTTCCCACACTATGTTGAATAGGAATGGTGAGAGAGGGCATCCCTGTCTTGTGCCAGTTTTCAAAGGGAATGCTTCCAGTTTTTGCCCATTCAGTATGATATTGGCTGTGGGTTTGTCATAGATAGCTCTTATTATTTTGAGATACATCCCGTCAATACCTAATTTATTGAGAGTTTTTAGCATGAAGGGTTGTTGAGTTTTGTCAAAGGCCTTTTCTGCATCTATTGAGATAATCATGTGGTTTTTGTTGTTGGTTCTGTTTGTATGCTGGATTATGTTTATTGATTTGCATATGTTGGACCAGCCTTGCATCCCAGGGATGAAGCCCACTTGATCATGGTGGATAAGGTTTTTGATATGCTGCTGGATTCAGTTAGCCAGTGTTTTATTGAGGATTTTTTCATCAGTGTTCGTCAGGGATATTGGTCCAAAATTCTCTTTTTTTGTTGTGTCTCTGCCAGGCTTTGGTATCAGGATGATGCTGGCCTCATAAAATGAGTTAGGGAGGATTCCCTCTTTTTCTGTTGATTGGAATAGTTTCAGAAGGAATGGTACCAGCTCCTCCTTGTACCTCTGGTAGAATTTGGCTGTGAATCCATCTGGTCCTGGACTTTTTTTGGTTGGTAAGCTATTAATTATTGCCTCAATTTCAGAGCCTGTTATTGGTCTATTCAGAGATTCAACTTCTTCCTGGTTTAGTCTTGGGAGAGTGTATGTGTTGAGGAATTTATCCATTTCTTCTAGATTTTCTAGTTTATTTGTGTAGAGGTGTTTATAGTATTCTCTGATGGTAGTTTGTATTTCTGTGGGATCGGTGGTGATAACCCCTTTATCATTTTTTATTGCATCTATTTGATTCTTCTCTCTTTTCTTCTTTATTAGTCTTGCTAGCGGTCTATCAATTTTGTTGATCTTTTCAAAAAACCAGCTCCTGGATTCATTGATTTTTTGAAATGTTTTTTGTGTCTCTATTTCCTTCAGTTCTGCTTTGATCTTAGTTATTTCTTGCCTTCTGCTAGCTTTTGAATGTGTTTCCTCTTGCTTCTCTAGTTCTTTTAATTGTGATGTTAGGGTGTCAATTTTAGATCTTTTCTGCTTTCTCTTGTGGGCATTTAGTGCTATAAATTTCCCTCTACACACTTCTTTGAATGTTCTGACACTCTTTTAATTGGCATATTTTAGTCCACTTGTATTTGATGTAATTACTGATATATTTGATTGATACCTCCTACATTAGCATTTTTTTAAAATTTGACCCACCTGTTTAAAAAAAAGGTGATTGGGTTGTTAAGAGGGATTAATGCTGCTCTCATGAGACTGGGTGAATTCTCATGAATGTGAGAGTTCTCACTTTTATGATACTGGATTAATTACCACAAGAGCGAGGTGCCATAAAGTGAGACTGCCCTTGTGTTTTGCCCTTTTTGTGTGCACCTGGCTTCCCCTCATGTTATGATGAAACATGCGGCTCTCACTGGAAGATGATCAGATCTGGCAACTGTAGCCTCCAGAATCATGAGCCGAAATAAACCTCTTTTTTTGGCCCATCTCTTTTAAGTGTCCTTTTCTCTCATTTCTTGCCTTTCTTTGGATTAATCAGATATCTTTTATTATAGTATCTTTTTCTATATTGTTAGTTATACATCCTGTCATTATTTTAAAATGGTTACTATGGAGATTATAGCTTGCATTCTTAAATTATTAAAATCCAAATGATTAATTTTATCTCTTCCATAATAATGCTAGAATCTTAAAACACGAACTTGATTTACCACCCACTAACTTTGTATTATTGTTGTCATGCATTTAAATTCTGAACACATTTTTAACCTCCACAAGACATTATTATTATTGATTGGAACTGTCAGTATTCACTGAGGTCTACCCACTGTCTTAGTCTGCCTGGGTTGCCGTCATAATGAAATACCACAATCTGGTGACTTAAACAATAGAAATTAATTTTTTCACAGTTGTGGAAACTGGGAAGGCCATGATCAAGGTGCCAGCAGGGATGGTGTATGTTGAGGACTCTCCCCTTGGGTAGCAGTTGGCTGCCTGCCCGCTGTGTGCCTACATGGTCTCGCCTCTGAGTGCATGTGTGGAGGGAGAAAGAGGAAGTTCTTTCTTCAGAGGACACTAATTCTGTCAGATCAGGGTTCCACTCTTATGACCTCATTTAATCTTAATTTCTTCCCAGAGGCCCTATCTACAAATACAGCCACACTGGGGGTCAGGACTTCACCATATTACTTTGGTGGGGGGACAAAAACATCATTCAATCTGTAGCACCCACATAGGCACTATTTTTGGTGCTCTTCATTCTTTCTTACATTTTTGTGTTCCATCTGAGATAATTTTCCTTCTGCCTAAGTACTCCCTATAGTATTATTTCTTTTAGTGTGGGACGTCTAGAGATGAATTCACTCAGGTTATCTTTTCTTTCTTTTTTGTTCTTTTTGGTCTGAAACAACCTTTTTTTTTATAGCTACATTCACTGGATATAGAATTGTAGTAGGCAGTTATTTTCTTTTAGCACGTTAAATATATCACTCCACTATCTTCTGGCTGCCATTGTTTCTGTTAAGAAATTGATTGTTAGTCTTAAACAGAGGGTGAAATCATTTGTGAACTCCCATTCACAATTGCCACAAAGAGAATAAAATACTTAGGAATACAACTTACAAGGGATGTGAAGGACCTCTTCAAGGAGAAATACAAGCCACTGCTCAAGGAAATAAGACAGGATGCAAACAAATGGAAAAACATTCCAGGCTCATAGATAAGAAGAATCAATATCATGAAAATGGCCATGCTGCCTAAAGTAATTTACAGATTCAATGCTATCCCCATCAAGCTACCATTGACTTTCTTCACAGAATTAGAAAAAACTACTTTAAATTTCATATGGAACCAAAAAATAACCCGTATAACCAAGACAATCTTAAGCCAAAAGAACAAAGCTGGAGGCATCAGGCTACCTGTCTTCAAACTATACTACAAGGCTACAGTAACCGTAACAGCATGGTGCTGGTACCAAAACAGATATATAGACCAATGGAACAGAACAGAGGCCTCAGAAATAACACCACACATCTACAACCATCTGATCTTTGACAAACCTGACAAAAACTAGCAGTGGGAAAAGATTCCCTATTTCATAAATGGTGTTGGGAAAACTGGCTAGCCATCTGCAGAAAGCTGAAACTGGATCCCTTCCTTACACCTTATACAAAAATTAATTCAAGATGGATTAAAGACTTAAATGTTAGACCTAAAACCATAAAAACCCTAGAAGAAAACCTAGGTAATACCATTCAGGACATAGGCATGGGTAAAAACTTCATAACTAAAACACCAAAAGCAATGGCAACAAAAGTCAAAATAGACAAATGGGATCTAATTAAACTAAAGAGCTTCTGCATAGCAAAAGAAACTATCATTAGAGTGAACAGGTGACCTACAGAATGGAAGAAAATTTTTACAATCTATCCATCTGACAAAGGACTAATATCCAGAATCTACAAAGAACTTAAACAAATTTACAAGAAAAAAAACAAACAACCCGATCAAATGTGGGCAAAGGACATGAACAGACACTTCTCTAAAGAAGACATTTATGCGGCCAACAAACATATGAAAAAAGATCATCATCACTGGTCATTACAGAAATGCAAATCAAAACCACAATGAGATATCATCTCATGCCAGTTAGAATGGTAATCATTAAAAAGTCAGGAAACAACAGATGCTGGAGAGGATGTGGAGAAATAGGAACACTTTTACACTGTTGATGGGAGTGTAAATTAGTTCAACCATTGTAGAAGACAGTGTGGCAATTCCTCAGGATCTAGAACCAGAAATACCATTTGACCCAGTAATCCCATTACTTGGTATATACCCAAAGGCTTATAAATCATTCTGCTATAAAGACACATGCACACGTATGTTTATTGCAACACCATTCACAATAGCAAAGGCTTAGAACCAACCCAAATGCCCATGAATGATAGACAGGATAAAGAAAATTTGGTACATATACACATATACACCATGGAATACTATGCACCCATAAAAAAGGATGAGTCCATGTCCATGTCCTTTGCAGGGACATGGATGAAGCTGGAAATCATCATTCTCAGCAAACTAACACAGAAAGGGAAAACCAAACACTGCATGTTCTCACTCGTAAGTGGGAGTTGAACTATGAGAACACATGGACACAGGGAGGGGAACATCACACACCGGGGCCTGCTGGGGGGTGGGGGGCTAGGGGAGGGATAGCATTAGGAGAAATACCTAATGTAGATGACGGGTTGATGAGTGCAGCAAACCACCATGGCACGTGTGTACCTATGTAACAAACCTGCACGTTCTGCACATATATTCCAGAACTTAAAGTGTAATAATAATAATAATAATAAAAGAAATTGATTGTTAGTGTTGTTGTGGATCCTTTGAAGATAATATGTCTTTTTATTTTTGCCTTTTTTTCTTAAAAAAAGTTTTACCCTTATGTACCTTGGTGTGGTTTTCTTTATATTTATCCTTTTTGGAGTTTGTGGAGCTTCTTGTAGCTATGATTTGATGTTTTTCTATTGTTTTAGAAATTTTCATCCACCATCTTTTCAAATATTAACATCACTTCTGCTCCCTTCTCTCTCTGTTCTTCTGGGACTCCTACTATACACAAATAATATTTTTTTACTTTTTTATTATTATTATACTTTAAGTTTTAGGGTACATGTGCACAACGTGCAGGTTTGTTACATATGTATACATGTGCCATGTTGGTGTGCTGCACCCATTAACTCGTCATTTAGCATTAGGTATATCTCCTAATGTTATCCCTACCCCCTCCCCCCACCCCACAACAGGCCCCGGTGTGTGATGTTCCCCTTCCTGTGTCCATGTGTTCTCATTGTTCAATTCCCACCTATGAGTGAGAACATGCGGTGTTTGGTTTTTTGTCCTTGCGATAGTTTGCTGAGAATGATGGTTTCCAGCTTCATCCATGTCTCTACAAAGGACATGAACGCATCATTTTTTATGGCTGCATAGTATTCCATGGTGTATATGTGCCACATTTTCTTAATTCAGTCTATCATTGTTGAACATTTGGGTTGGTTCCAAGTCTTTGCTATTGTGAATAATGCTGCAATAAACATACGTGTGCATGTGTCTTTACAGCAGCATGATTTATAGTCCTTTGGGTATATACCCAGTAATGGGATGGCTGGGTCAAATCGTATTTCTAGTTCTAGATCCCTGAGGAATTGCCACACTGACTTCCACAATGGCTGAACTAGTTTACAGTCCCACCAATAGTGTAAAATTGTTCCTATTTCTCCACATCCTCTCCAGCACCTGTTGTTTCCTGACTTTTTAATGATCGCCATTCTAACTGGTGTGAGATGGAGATGGTATCTCACTGTGGTTTTGATTTGCATTTCTCTGATGGCCAGTGATGGTGAGCATTTTTTCATGTGTTTTTTGGCTGCATAAATGTCTTCTTTTGAGAAGTGTCTGTTCATGTCCTTCGCCCACTTTTTGATGGGGTTGTTTGTTTTTTTCTTGGAAATTTGTTTGAGTTCATTGTAGATTCTGGATATTAGCCCTTTGTCAGATGAGCAGGTTGCAAAAATTATCTCCCATTTTGTAGGTTGCCTGTTCACTCTGATGGTAGTTTCTTTTGCTGTGCAGAAGCTCTTTAGTTTAATTAGATCCCATTTGTCAATTTTGGCTTTTGTTGCCATTGCTTTTGGTGTTTTAGACATGGAGTCCTTGCCCACGCCTATGTTCTGAATGGTAATGCCTAGGTTTTCTTGTAGGGTTTTTATGGTTTTAGGTCTAACGTTTAAGTCTTTAATCCATCTTGAATTGATTTTTGTATAAGGTGTAAGGAAGGGATCCAGTTTCAGCTTTCTCCATATGGCTAGCCAGTTTTCCCAGCACCATTTATTGAATAGGGAATCCTTTCCCCATTGCTTGTTTTTGTCAGGTTTGCCAAAGATCAGATAGTTGTAAATATGTGGCATTATTTCTGAGGGCTCTGCTCTGTTCTATTGGTCTATATCTCTGTTCTGGTACCAGTACCATGGTGTTTTGGTTACTGTAGCCTTGTAGTATAGTTTGAAGTCAGGTAGCGTGAGGCCTCCAGCTTTGTTCTTTTGGCTTAGAATTGACTTGGCAATGCGCGCTCTTTTTTGGTTCCATATGAACTTTAAAGTAGTTTTTCCAATTCTGTGAAGAAAGTCATTGGTAGCTTGTTGGGGATGGCATTGAATCTATAAATTACCTTGGGCAGTATGGCCATTTTCATGATATTGATTCTTCCAACCCATGAGCATGGAATGTTCTTCCATTTGTTTGTATCTTTTTTTTTATCTTTTTTTAAAAATTTTATTATTATACTTTAAGTTTTAGGGTACATGTGCACATTGTACAGGTTAGTTACATATGTATACATGTGCCACGCTGGTGCGCTGCACCCACTAACTCGTCATCTAGCATTAGGTATATCTCCCAATGCTATACCTCCCCCCTCCCCCCACCCCACAACAGTCCCCAGAGTGTGATGTTCCCCTTTGTTTGTATCTTTTTTATTTCATTGAGCAGTGGTTTGTAGTTCTCCTTGAAGAGGTCCTTCACATCCCTTGTAAGTTGGATTCCTAGGTATTTTATTCTCTTTGAAGCAATTGTGAATGGGAGTTCACTCATGATTTGACTCTCTGTTTTTCTGTTATTGGTGTATAAGAATGCTTGTGATTTTTGCACATTGATTTTGTATCCTGAGACTTTGCTGAATTTGCTTATGAGCTTAAGGAGATTTTGGGCTGAGACGATGGTGTTTTCTAAATATAAAATCATGTCATCTGCAAACAGGGACAATTTGACTTCTTCTTTTCCTAATTGAATACCCTTTATTTCCTTCTCCTGCCTGATTGCTGTGGCCAGAACTTCCCACACTATGTTGAATAGGAATGGTGAGAGAGGGCATCCCTGTCTTGTGCCAGTTTTCAAAGGGAATGCTTCCAGTTTTTGCCCATTCAGTATGCTATTGGCTGTGGGTTTGTCATAGATAGCTCTTATTATTTTGAGATATGTCCCATCAATACCTAATTTATTGAGAGTTTTTAGCATGAAGCATTGTTGAATTTTGTCAAAGGCCTTTTCTGCATCTATTGAGATAATCATATGGTTTTTGTCGTTGGTTCTGTTTACATGCTGGATTATGTTTATTGATTTTCATACGTTGGACCAGCCTTGCATCCCAGGGATGAAGCCCACTTGATCATGGTGGATAAGCTTTTTGATGTGTTGCTGGATTCAGTTTGCCAGTATTTTATTGAGGATTTTTGCGTCAATGTTCATCAAGAATATTGGTCCAAAATTCTCTTTTTTTGTTGTGTCTCTGCCAGGCTTTGGTATCAGGATGATGCTGGCCTCATAAAATGAGTTAGGGAGGATTCCCTCTTTTTCTGTTGATTGGAATAGTTTCAGAAGGAATGGTACCAGCTCCTCCTTGTACCTCTGGTAGAATTTGGCTGTGAATCCATCTGGTCCTGGACTTTTTTTGGTTGGTAAGCTATTAATTATTGCCTCAATTTCAGAGCCTGTTATTGGTCTATTCAGAGATTCAACTTCTTCCTGGTTTAGTCTTGGGAGAGTATGTGTCGAGGAGTTTATCCATTTCTTCTAGATTTTCTAGTTTATTTGTGTAGAGGTGTTTATAGTATTCTCTGTTGGTAGTTTGTATTTCTGTGGGATCATTGGTGATAACCCCTTTGTCATTTTTTATTGCATCTATTTGATTCTTCTCTCTTTTCTTCTTTATTAGTCTTGCTAGCGGTCTATCAATTTTGTTGATCGTTTCAAAAAACCAGCTCCTGGATTCACTGATTTTTTGAAATTTTTTTGTGTCTCTATTTCCTTCAGTTCTGCTCTGATCTTAGTTATTTCTTGCCTTCTGCTAGCTTTTGAATGTGTTTCCTCTTGCTTCTCTAGTTCTTTTAATTGTGATGTTAGGGTGTCAATTTTAGATCTTTTCTGCCTTCTCTTGTGGGCATTTAGTGCTATAAATTTCCCTCTACACACTGCTTTGAATGTGTCCCAGAAATTCTGGTATGTTGTGTCTTTGTTTTTGTTGGTTTCAAAGAACATCTTTATTTCTGCCTTCATTTCGTTATGTACCAGTAGTCATTCAGGAGCAGGTTGTTCAGTTTCCATGTAGTTGAGCAGTTTTGAGTGAGTTTCTTAATCCTGAGTTCTAGTTTGATTGCACTGTGGTCTGAGAGACAGTTTGTTATAATTTCTGTTCTTTTACATTTGCTGAGGAGTGCTTTACTTCCAACTATGTGGTCAATTTTGGAATAGGTGTGGTGTGGTGCTGAAAAGAATGTATATTCTGTTTATTTGGGGTGGAGAGTTCTGTAGATGTCTATTAGGTCCGCTTGGTGCAGAGCTGAGTTCAATTCCTGGATATCCTTTTTAACTTTCTGTCTCATTGATCTGTCTAATGTTGACAGTGGGGTGTTAAAGTCTCCCATTATTATTGTGTGCGAGTCTAAGTTTCTTTGTAGGTCTCTAAGGACTTGCTTTATGAATCTGGGTGCTGCTATATTGGGTGCATATATATTTAGGATAGTTAGCTCTTCTTGTTGAATTGATCCCTTTACCATTATGTAATGGCCTTCTTTGTCTCTTTTGATCTTTGTTGGTTTAAAGTCTGTTTTATCCAAGACTAGGATTGCAACACCTGCCTTTTTCTGTTTCCATTTGCTTGGTAGATCTTTCTCCATCCCTTTATTTTGAGCCTATGTGTGTCTCTGCACGTGAAATGGGTTTCCTGAATACAGCACACTGATGGGTCTTGAGTCTTTATCCAATTTGCCAGTCTGTGCCTTTTAATTGGAGCATTTAGCCCATTTATATTTAAGGTTAGTATTGTTATGTGTGAATTTGATCCTGTCATTATGATGTTAGCTGGTTATTTTGCCCATTAGTTGATGGAGTTTCTTCATAGTGTCAATGGTCTTTACAATTTGATATGTTTTTGTAGTGGCTGGTACTGGTTGTTCCTTTCCATGTTTAGTGCTTCCTTCAGGAGCTCTTTTAGGGCAGGGCTGGTGGTAACAAAATCTCTCAGCATTTGCTTGTCTGCAAAGGATTTTCTTTCTCTTTCACTTAAGAAGCTAAGTTTGGCTGGATATGAAATTCTGGGTTGAAAATTCTTTTCTTTAAGAATGTTGAATTTTGGCCCGCACCCTCTTCTGGTTTGTAGAGTTTCTGCTGAGAGATCAGCTGTTAGTGTGATGCACTTCCTTTTGTGGGTAACCCCTCCTTTCTCTCTGGCTGCCCTTAACATTTTTTCCTCCATTTTAACTTTGGTGAATCTGACAGTTATCTGCCTTGGAGTTGCTCTTCTCGAGGAGTATCTTTGTGGCGTTCTCTGTATTTCCTGAATTTGAATGTTGGCCTGCCTTGCTAGATTGGGGAAGTTCTCTTGGATAATATACCTCGGAGTGTTTTCCAACTTGGTTCCATTCTCCCTGTCACTTTCAGGTACACCAATTAGACGTACATTTGGTCTTTTCACATAGTCCCATATTTCTTGGAGGATTTGTTCATTTCTTTTTATTCTTTTTTCTCTAAACTTCTCTTCACACTTCATTTTTTTCATTTCGTCTTTCATCTCTGATACCCTTTCTTCCAGTTGATCGCATCGGTTACTGAGGCTTGTGCATTTGTCACGTAGTTCTTGTGCCGTGGTTTTCAGCTCCATCAGGTCCTTTAAGGACTTCTCTGCATTGGTTATTCTAGTTATCCATTCGTCTAATTTTTTTCAAAGTTTTTAACTTCTTTGCCATTGGTTCGAACTTCCTCCTTTAGCTCAGAGTAGTTTGATCTTCTGAAGCCTTCCTCTCTCTACTTGTCAAAGTCATTCTCCGTCCAGCTTTGTTCCATTGCTGGTGAGGAGCTGCGTTCCTTTGAGGAGGAGAGGTGCTCTGATTTTTAGGATTTCCAGTTTTTCTGCTCCTTTTTTTTCCCCATCTTTGTGGTTTTATCTACCTTTGGTCTTTGATGATGGTAACATACAGATGAGTTCTTGGTGTGGATGTCCTTTCTGTTTGTTAGTTTTCCTTCTAACAGTCAGGACCCTCAGCTGCAGGTCTGTTGGAGTTTACTGGAGGTCCACTCCAGACCCTGTTTGCCTGGGTATCAGCAGCGGTGGCTGCAGAACAGCGGATATTGGTGAACTGCAAATGCTGCTGCCTGATCGTTCCTCTGGAAGTTTTGTCTCAGAGGAGTACCTGGCCATGTGAGGTGTCAGTCCGTCCCTACTGGGAGGTGCCTCCCAGTTAGGCTACTCGGGAGTCAGGGACCCACTTGAGGAGGCAGTCTGCCCATTCTCAGATCTCAAGCTGAGTGCTGGGAGAACCACTACTCTCATCAAAGCTGTCAGACAGGGACATTTAAGTCTGCAGAGATTATTGCTGTCTTTTGTTTTTCTGTGCCCTGCCCCCAGAGGTGGAGCCTACAGAGGCAGGCAGGCCTCCTTGAGCTGTGGTGGGCTCCACCCAGTTCGAGCTTCCCGGCCACTTTGTTTACCTACTCAAGCCTGAGCAATAGCGGGCACCCTTCCCCCAGCCTCACTGCTGCCTTGCAGTTTGATCTCAGACTGCTGTGCTAGCAATGAGTGAGGCTCTGTGGGCTTAGGACCCTCCAAGCCATGTGCGGAATATAATCTCCTGGTGTGCTGTTTGTTAAGCCCGATGCAAAAGCACAGTATTAGGGTGAGAGTGACCCAATTTTCCAGGTGCCATCTGTCACCCCTTTCTTTGACTAGGAAAGGGAATTCCCTGACCCCTTGTGGTTCCCGGGTGAGGCGACGCCTCACCCTGCTTTGGCTCATGCACGATGTGCTGCACCCACTGTCCTACACCCACTGTCTGGCACTCCCCAGTGAGAGGAACCCGGTACCTCAGTTGGAAATTCAGAAATCACCTGTCTTCTGCATGGCTCATGGTGGGAGCTGTAGACTGGAGCTGTTCCTATTTGGCCATGTTGGCTCCACCCCTCCAATATTTTTTACTTTGTCAACTAGCTCTTTTCTGCATTTTCCGTCTCTCTTTTCTTTGTGCTTCAGTTTGGATATTTTCTATTGATCTGTATTCCTGTTCAGCTATGTTCATTTTGCTGCTAGATTTGTTTATTGAGTTCTCATTTTCAGTTTTTGTATTGGTGTTCTAGGTCTGCCATAACAAAATACCACCAGCCAGGTGGCTGAAACAATAGACTTTTCTGTTCTCACAGTTCTAGAGGCTACAAGTCTGAGATGAAGGTGCTGACAGGGTTGGGATCTTCTCTGTGGTTTGCAGATCTTGCTCTCCTGCTGCCCCATCACATGGTCATCCCTCTGTGAATGTGTGCCTTTGATGGCTCTGTGTGTTATAATATCTTCCCTTAAGGACACTGATTGGGTTGGGTTAGGGCCTACCTTAATAACCTAATTTTGACTTCATTACCTTTTACAAGGCCTTATTTCCAAATTTGGTCACTCTCTGAGGTACAGTGCATTGGGGCTTCAAAACATGAATTTTAGAGAGATATAATTCAATCCATAACTGTTACTATATTTTTTCTCTAAAATTTCCATTGATACATTTATATAGATGCCAACTTTGGTACAAATTCAATGCAATCCCCATCAAAATATCATCATCCTTCTTCACAGAATTAGAAAAAACAGTTCTGAAATTCATATGGAACCCAAAAAGAGTCCACATAGCCAAAGCAAGACTAAGCAAAAAGAACAAATCTGGAGGCATTACCCTACCTGATTTAAAATATACTATAAGGCCATAGTCACCAAAACAGTGTGGTACTGGTATAAACATAGGCACATAGACCAATAGAACAGAATAGAGAAACCAGAAATAAACCCAAATACTTACAGCCGACTGATCTTCGACAAAGCAAACAAAAATATAAAGTGGTAAAGGACACCCTTTTCAACAAATGGTGCTGGGGAAAACTGGCTAGCCACATGTGGGAGAATGAAACTGGATCATCATCTTATATGAAAATCAACTCAAGATGGATTAGGGAGTTTTTGATCTTTCTCTATTAAAATATATTCTTAAATATATGAATCATAGTTATTTAAAAGCCTTTGTTTGCTAACTCAATATCTGAATCAACCATGAACCTGTTTCTACTGTCTATTCTCTTAAGAACATTTTGGTTATATGATTTTCTCTTGGCATTTAGCACATTTTAAAATTGAATGGTAGATGATACATATGAAAATAACTTAGAGACTTCAGGTAATACCTACCATCTTCCAGGAGAGAGGGTTAACCCTTTCTCTGCTAGGCAGATAGATGAAGTCCAGTCACCTTACTTTAATCAGATTCTGAGCTGAAGAGTTGGTTGTGGTTTTACTGATTTGCACCACTCCTGTTGTAAAGCCCCTGGGACTTTCAACTGGGAACTTGGTGTATTTATCTGTACTTCACTCTGGTAGTTTCTGAATTCTAGTCTTTGCTTCTTAATATAGCTAGGCTGTCCAAACCTCTCCTCTGCTTCTCAGATGCTTTCTGGTTAACTCTTTACTTCATAAAGTTTCAGAAGTCAACATATGTCCTGAGTGAGAACTGGCTGTATGTCAGGCTCTGTTCTCCATCCTTTCCTTCTCACCAGCCATTTGGCACCTCATGTTTCCAATTTGTCTCTCTGGAGGCTAAGACTGAAAAATGTCTACTGGTTTCTCTGCACCCCATCCTCTATTCAGTCAAATCTCATATTCTCAGTCCATCACCCCACCATCATAATCAGCAAATATACCCATGGAGGAAAAAGGCAGCTATAATACATCCCTCATCTTCCATGGTTTCCAACTCTCCAGACTTTTTTTCTATCAAGCCTTTTCAGTTATTCTCAGTGGGGACATCGACTGCCACAAATTATCTATCCTACCTGGAAGCAGAAGGCACAGCAAGAATTTAATATTCCCTCTTTTCTTCGCATTTAATTCTCACAGAAACTCTATGGAATAGGTATTATTATTATTGCTTACTATTTATGTAATATTGGGAAATTTTGTATTATGTATTTGATGAGAAAACAGCCCCAGACTACTTAAAGAACTGGCACAAAATTCTATAGCTAGTTAGTTGTAGAGTCAAGATTCAAACCCAGTCTGTTATGGCTCCAGAGCCCTAGATTTTAAGCACAAGATTATGCAGCCTTTCTAGTTCACCTCATTTTCTCCTGTTATTTTCTGGTCGTCAAATGTTCTCATTTCACACTATATCCTTTTATTTCAAGGGAGATTCCTCATTTAGAAAGGCAACAGATCTCAGGTGATGGTAAAAAGGAAAATATTTGGGTTAGCTAATTTTTGCTAAGCTGTGAATGATTATATAGCCAAGTGTTTTACCATTTCCAGAAATATTTATGCTTATAGAGTACTGTATTAACTCAAAGAAATGTGTCTTAAAATAAAATTGAGATAATCCTCTGAATCATTTTCTCCTCCCTGCCCTTTCTCGACTCTACTACTACTGTGTTATTCAGTTACGAGGTGTGTGTGTGTATGTTATGTATACGTGCCTATATCAATATCATCCATATAACTTTGTATAGTTGTATGGAGCTTTACATACCTATCTATAGGTTTCTATATTTCCTTTTAGGTGATAAGGTTTTTAAGAAAGAAGTTCTTTCTCTATTTCCTTTTTCTGTACTCCCTAAAAACTTGTACAGTGCCTGCTGCATGATAGGTGCTAACTTAACATTTATTGAATTAAGTGTATTATAGGTTTGGTGAGGTAGGATGACTTCTTATAACTTGAAAAATATTATCACACAGGTAATTTTTGATATTAAGTATGTTTAATATTGAACATCAAAAGAAGAAAAGGAAAATATGAGAGACAGTAGTGCTTACAGCCTGACTGAGGAGGAAAGCAGAGGGGAAGAATTGATTCATATATGTCTGTTCAATTTTGCAAACTACTTGAAGAGCAATGCTTTTGCTCATAATAAGAAAAATGCAAATGTAGACTATGCAAATAAAACATTTCTCACCTATCCAATTGATAAAAATCCAGAAGATTGATAAGGCCGTCTATTGTTGAATCTGCTGAGAAATTGGCACCCTTATATGTGGTTAACGTGAATGCAAGACGGGAAAAATGTTTGGGGTGGAATTTGGTAATATTTTGCAATATTATATGTGCCTTTACCCTCTGAGTAATCCCACTTCTAGGAACTTACTGTACCTACCATGATACTAGAAAAAATATAAAAAGATCATTCTGAAGGCTATTAGTAGTAATATTGATGATAGCAAAATGCTAGAAAAGGCTCACATTTTGATCAACAGAGAACTAGTTGAATAAAGTATGGTGTATGCAGAAACTAGAGTCCTATGCAGATGTAAAAACGCATGAGAAATGTCTTCATATGACATCATGGGGTAATCTTTGGGATATAGATTTCAGGTCAAAAAGGCAAGATGAAGAAAAGTGTGTGTCTCATTAATTTAAGGGCCCGGGGAATGGGAGTGGGGGAGGGTATGTATTAGTTTCCCAGGGATGCCATGAAAACATACCACAAACTGAGTGGCTTAAAATGACATAGATTCATGCTTTCACAGTCTGAAGGGTATAGGTCTAAAATCAAAGTGTTGGTGGGGCATGCTGTCTCTGGAAGCTCTAGGGAAGAGTCCTAACTTGCCTCTTTCTAGCTTTTGGTGGCTGCTGGCCATCCTTGGCATTCCTTGGCTTGTAGCTGCATCACTCCAATATCTGCTTCCTTATTCATGTGACTGTCTTCCTGCTGTGTGCACCTGTGTCTCTGGATCCAAATCTCCCTCATCTTTCTCTTATAAAGACACTTGTCACTGGATTAGGGTCCACCCTAATCTAGTATGACCTCATCTTAACTTGATTACATCTGTAAAGATCCTATTTCCATATAAGGTCACAGTTGCAGGTACCTTAGATTAGGACCTCAACGTATCTTTTTGGAGAACATAATTCAAACTCTAACATAGGGTAAACAAGTATGCGTGTGTGTTTATGGGCATGTGTTGGAGGTGACAAGGATAGAAGCTTATGTTTCTCTGAATAGATATTATTTTGTTTTTGAAATCATGTAAATATTCACATAATTATACAAAATTAAATATAAAATTATAGAAAGTAAAAGTAAAGTGAAATAAATTAATATCAGAATTTGAGTTTATGGCACACCATTCAGAAAGAAACTATTTCAAGTGACTTTCAAACACACTGCTTTGACCATATTTCCCTAGTGGCATATACTCTAAAGAAAAAAAATTTTTTTTTTTGACACAGAGTTTCACTCCTGTTGCCCAGGCTGGAGTGCAATGGTGTGACTTCAGCTCACTGCAACCTCCACCTCCAGGGCTCAAGCTATCCTCCTGCCTTAGCCTCTTGAGTAGCTGGGACTACAGGCACACACCACCGCACCCAGCTAATTTTTGTATTGTTTTTGTAGAGACAGGGTTTTGCCATGTTGCCCAGGCTGGTCTTGAACTCCTGAGCTCAAGCAATTCGCCCACCTCAGCCTCCTAAAGTGCTGGGATTATAGGCATGAGCCACTGCGCCTGGCTGAAAAACATTTTTTAAAAACTGTTTTAATAATCACATTGTAGGTGATAGTATTAGCATTCTCATTTTAAGACTTCTGAATGTGTATTGTGTGGATGAAGTAAATGAGTAGTTATGTTTGTGTGTTTGTCAAAAGATGTAACACAAATGAGGCTAAGTTAAAAATCTTGTCCTAAGTTTGAATCAGAAATATAAATTTTAGTTTATGATGTATATGACCTTAAAACAACAACAAAATAACCACATATTTATAGCTTTTCACTAAGAAATCCTGAAAATAAGGGCTGACACAGTAGCAATCAGCAAACTTGATGTCAAGGTCTTGACCTGGTAGCACCATTTATTTGCCGAAGGAACCAGAATTCCTCAGAGAAGTGGAAAATCTGGGGCAGAAAATGTTCAACATGACCCTATAGCATCTCATCATACTACAAAGCATAGAGCCTATTAAAGACCATCAAAGATGCAGCCAAAGGACTCAAGAGTCAACTTTAGTAGTATCCCCATTGATGAATGATGTGACAATTTGATCATCAATGAGGACCACAACTACAGTGAACCAAAACATTTCAAATATGCTTAAATCCACAATTTAAAAATGATTCAAAAGCAAAAATACTATCAATGATCACTGCTATGGTTTGAGTTTGTCCCCCAAAGTTCACATGTTGGAAACAATCCCCAAGGCAACAGTGTTGAGAGGTGGGACCTTTAAGAGGTGATTAGCTCATGAGAGCTCTGCTTCATGAATGGATTAATGCTGTTATCACAGTAGCGAGTTTGTTACTTCAAGAGTGAATTTGTTATAAAAGCAAGCTTGGCCCTCTCTGCTCTTGCCCTCTCTTTCTCTTCCACGTCCACCATTGGATGATGCAGCATAAAGGCCCTGCCAGACACCAATACTATGCTTTAAATTACCCATGGTGAGGTGGGATGACTTCTTATAACTTGACAAATATTATCACACAGGTAATTTTTGATATAAAATGTTTAATATTGAACATCAAAAGAAGAAAAGGAAAATATGAGAGATAGTAGTGCTTATAGCCTGACTGAAGAGGAAAGCAGAGGGGAAGAATTATCCAGTCTCTGGTATTCTGTTACAGCAGCACAAAACGGACTAAGCAAATGAACCAAGTGAAGACATTTGAGCATTGTTTGGATATTTAAACATATTTTTAGTTGTGGGAATTATATTGTGGTTATATTTTTCAAAAAGAATACATGCTGTAAATTTAAGAATAAAATGACATGAAGTTTGAGATTTTCTTCAAAATATTCTGGGTACAATATAGCTGAAATGGTAAGATTGCTCATGAGTTGATAATTGTTGAATCTGGGTGATGGGTATATATGCTGTTATTTTTGTAAATGTTTGGAATTTTTTATAATAAAGAGCCCTTCCTTCCTTCCTTCCTTCCTTCCTTCCTTCCTTCCTTCCTTCCTTCCTTCTTTCCTTCCTTCTTTGCTTTTAAAAAAGAGTGCTACTTAGAGAAGGCTGAACAGGCTGCTAGGACATGAGAGGCCAAATAAATTCTACATTAATAAACTTTATCAGCAAATGTTCCAGAAATCATTGGCAATTTAACTGGTGAGTACTACTAATAATAATGTGTAATGATGATATTGAAAACAATAACTAACATTTATTGGGTACTTACTATATTCTTGTTGCTTTGCATACATCTTACTTGATACAAAAACCTTGGAGTGGAATACCAATTTTATAACTGTGGCTGCTGAGACTGTTGCTAAACAGATTTGAATTTTGAAAATTGCCTTCTAATCTTGCCCTTGTAAAACACCTCTGCTGCAGGCTACAGTTTTTCCTTTGGCTTCTTCCATCTTTTTATGATTCCCTCTTCTCTCTTAAATCCTTGTCCATTTTTGAAAACCCAAATCATACCTCCTCAGCAAAACATTGTCCCACCACCCCAGCCTATCAAGATTTCTTCTTCTGAGCTCTTATTTTACTTTAAATTCACATAAAAGTTAATTGTGTGCTGACCTGTATTCACAGGATTGTATTGAGTTGTTATTAAAATATTTAATGGCTTAACTTTGTTTGTTCAGGTCTAGTGTCTCCAACTAGATTTTTAAACATCTTGAGGGCATAAACAGTGTCTTATACTTTGGAACCCTTACAAATGTTGGCGTGATTCCTTGTATGATAAATTCGTTCTAGTTTACAGAAATTGTTTGGAGACTTGATAAGGAATAGCAAACAGAATAGATTCTTCTATGGCAGTGCCAGCAACGCTATCTGTACGTAAGGAGAGAATTGTCAAGTTATATGAAATGTTTCAAATAAAAGTCCACATTCAGAGGAAATGCTAGTAAGCACTCCCTGTGTTGCCTGGTGAAGTGATATCCTAATGTTCCTTGCCTCTCCCTCTATCTCTTACTTGGTGTTTCTGGAGGGAGGAGGAGTGAGTAGAGCAAGAGAAATCTGAGAGGTGAGTATGAGAAAAAGAATATGGCCGGCTCAATTGCAGTTTCAATTTCTCCAACCTGCAGAGAATGTGTGTATTTATCTGCTCTTGGGTATGTAGTAAACTTAGCACCACTGGTTCTGCCCAGTGTCTGGGAGTGGAGGAGACAGGGACCGCTGCAGGGAGTCCTGCAATTGCAGCCCTCCAGCACTTCCTCTGACACAGTGTGTCATTTTAGTTCTGTAGAGCATCCTTAGCAACACCATGAAGCTCTCTCATCTGAAGCAAATTCTCCCACAGCTTTATTAGGAACAAAGGCGATATTTTATTTCCATCTCCCTGACTCTGTGTGTCTCTCAATTCTGAACTTGGTTGGGGAAAAGAAGTGTGTTATTTATAAGCCTTTCAAACCTCAAATATGTAAAGAAAGTATATTTTTAAAATTAACTGTATTTATAGCAGCAATTAACTTGGCAAAAAGGCAGGGGCTTCGTAAGATCTAGGCCTGGGGCTGGGCAAGGTGGCTCACACCTGTAATTCCAGCACTTTGGGAGGCCGAGGCGGGCGGATCACTTGAGGTCCGGAATTCAAGACCAACTTCACCAACATGGTGAAACCCCTTCTCTACTATAAATACAAAAATTAGCCAGGCGTGGTGGCGCATGCCTGTAGTTCCAGCTACTTGGGAGGCTGAGGCAGGAGAATTGCTTGAACCTGGGAGGCAGAGGTTGCCGTGAGCTGAGATCATGCCACTGCCACTGGGTGACAGAGCAACACTCTGCCAAAAAAAAAAAAAAAAAAAGCTAGGATTGGTAAGTAAATTTTGTTTAAAAATCAGACATCTCAGCTGAGGTGATGGAGTAGGAATCCTCAATAGCCCCTGCTCACTGTGAAGTGATCCTCAAGCCATCCTCCACTAGTGGGAGGAGCAAAAAGCAACTGGAGAAATCAAGTAGGAAGTAAAAACCATGTAAAAGGAGTTACGGTAATGAAGAAATGAAGAACAATATTGACAGAATGAAGAAAGGAGGAGGGATATCAAATATTCACTGTCAAAGGGCAATTAAGAAAAATTAAGGTGATAAAAAAAAAAGAAAAAAAAGGGAAGTGGAGTCTGAAATAAGACCTTAGATATAGACACACTACCACGTGCTCTTAAGTCAAGGAGGCAAGTAAACATGCTAGGTTGGGATCACTCTTTAGAGCAGCTTGGAATTAAGACTCTTATAATGCAAACAAGAAAAACATACCCAGGATCACAGTTGTTTTCAGACTCATTTTGTCAAAGGTGAGGACTTCTGCCCTCTGGACCATGAATGACAGTTGGGAGAGTCAGGGTTAAGGTGGAAAAGGGCACACACACACACACACACACACACACTCTTAACTTGAACAGTAACACTTTTATATCCCTTACAGACTAGATTTCTGAGTAAAATATGTTTCAATGAACAATTCCTTGTACTCAAATAAATTTAAAAATAACTGCAGCACTCAGTATTGTAACCTTTATTTTATTATCTGTTCGACCGCTAGATATAAAAGTTAACTAATGGTATGCTAAGGGCAAAGAAGTGATTTTTCTCTTATCTTTTGAAATCTGATGTCTTTATCCTCCCAAGATGTGGCATTTCCAGAAGGGCTGATGAGGGCACATCTAACAATTAGGGCTTGTTATTTAAGGAGTGTTCCACAGACCAATTTCATCAACATCATCTGAGAGTGTGTTAGAGATGGAGACTCTCAGAACCCATGCTAGTGCCACAGAATGAGAATCTGTATTTTAGCAAACCCAGGTTGATGAGCGCTGATCTAGGTGATCTCTACAGGCTTTTGAATTTCTGAAATTTTATGAATTTTCAATCTTTAACTATAACATATTCCCTTTCTACTCCTATAATCAAGTGAGTAATTACAGTTTTGGAAGTCAACTAGGATGTCTTTACTCATGAATCTATCCATTACACACTCTATGCACACAGGAACACAGCAGTTATTATGTTATTAGAAGTGCTAACTGGATTTACCATCAGGAAAATGATTAAGCTTAAAACCTGCCTTCATATTTATTTTTACTTAAAAATATAGTTTGAGAAAAATATGCCTGAACCATGAATGAGAGAAACTATTCAAGACAGGTCACTGTTGCTCCTCAGTGTGTCGGGATGAACATGAAGTTTGTTTTTTATGGAACAGTGTCATGTGGAGGGTAAAAAAAAAAACAAAACAAACCTTAATTAGCTCATTAGCTCTGATTTTACTTTTTCAGTGTAAACAATCCTTTGCAGAAGTCATAATTACTTATAGATGCTGACTATATTTTAAAATCTAAAAATTGCTGTCATTGGAGTTGTGTCTTGAGAATATGTTTATCTGTCTTAGTGCAAATGCTTTCTAGAATCCTGGAAAGCACTTAAAAAAAATTTTTGAGGCACTTAAGCTCAATAGCTAATGGAAGATCATGTATTTAAATAATTTACGCTTCCATCTGGCTTGAAGAACACCAGGTGGAAGTTGCTGATCAGGATGAGTCTGCTACGTGGAAGGAAATGTTTGCTCAAAATAAATGAGAGGCAAACATTTACATGAGCCCCATCTTCTTGTCTGTGTGGGTAGACTCCTGTTCACTACTCTAATCGTCTTTGGGCCTGGATTCTACCTTGTACATTCACTTTGTACTGATGAGAGTCCAGCGGAGCACGATTAACAGTGACTTTCACTGTTTATTTTGTCTTCACAATCTTTTGATCATAAGCAATGATTATCTCCCTTATTCCTCCTTTCTGCCTGCCAACCTGAAATCAAAAGGGGCTGCCCCTTTCTGTAGGAGAGAGGAAGCTGAGAGTCCTGGATGTAACTCTCCTTGTTGCTGGGCCAGCTGGCAGATTCCATGTTTCCCACTGAGCATCACAGTGTGTTGTCAAAGGCTTGGTTTTGTGAGTTGACTTCTGATAGGCACTTACTGTATCTTACCTGTCAACTCCACAGTGGACTTCCTCATTTACAGCATGTGGCTTGCAAGCACAGACCAAACCCTTCAAGCCAAGAAGAGTCCTATGGAGCACATGGCTCTACTTTCCAGCTCTTTTCTGCTCATTGTGCTTGTCAGACACATTCTTCCATGCTTGGACTTTTTGGGTGTGTGTGAGTGTGTGTGTGTCTGTGTCTGGTCTGTCATTTTTAGGTATAAAAGAATCGGAACCATTCCTGCTGTGAATTCTACTAAGTCAAAAAATGGAACTGTGTGTCCTAGTATGGTAAGTACAAATATCTGGCTAAGGAGGGATTGTTCCCAGGGCTACAAACCAACTCACCTAACAATTCCTCAGCTTATGTGGGAGAGAATTAGATAGTTACCACAAACTGAATCAGTGCTTAGAAATGCAGCCTTTATAGTCCACGCGTTTCAGGTATTTCAAGATATCACAGTTTCCATACTCTGCCGGGATTACACTGAAGTTTATCTACCCAGCCTCTAAGACACCCCAGGGAAATAGATCACAAAATCTGCAGCGGCTTCAAACTCGTCTTTTCCAGAGCCAAATGAAATACAAATTCCAAATGTTTCAAGTTTTATTCTAGGTTTAGAAATTACACTTTTTTCGATTCAGTTCTAAATTTGACAGCATCCTCCCTCCCATTTCTAGAAACAAGCCTGGGCTGGGATGGGCTGGGCTAGGGTGAGGAAAACCAGCATGTTACCCGGAAGGACTAACTCCCCTGCCCTGGCCACTGCAAGGGTATCACCAGAAAAGGGAACCCTGTAGTTTATTGTAAAAAAACATTGGTAATGGGAAGGAAAATTGTTCAATGAAGTTGCTTTGGGGGCATTTTTAGATATTGGTGGCCACTGAATTTGTAACAGGCAATAGTCATTTCTATCACTCCTTTTCCTGTTTGGCTCTTGGCTACACATTTGGATTTTGGCTGAAAAGGAGGCTTGGTAGATGTGGGTGTTGAAACATCACTTCACTGCACCTCGTCTCCCTTCCCCACAGGGTGACCTAGATGTCTCAAGGGGTGAGGCTGGTCTATTCAGAACTGTGGGGCTCTCAATAGTCCTCGTGTTCCCAGCTCCCCTCAGATGGTACCACTCCAAGTGGGCCTGCAGGCAGGTGTATTCCTCACCCATATATGGAAGCCTATGGAAGAACCCGGTAAGTAAGCTCGGCAAGGATACTGTTAAATAACGTCATCATCAGGTCGAGCCAGCAGGGCTCATGGGGTGTGCTCGAAAATCCCCTCATTCATCTCCCCCACTGTTTGGTTTTCTGTTGTCCCCAGGGGATGCCTCTTGATTTTCTGGTTAGCTCTCAATAACAAAATGTCTTCTTGTTATTTTTAATAACAAATCAGTTTTGGTTTAGTAATTACTGTGTCCAATCCAGAGTAATACATAAAACACCTATTTTCATTTAATGATAAACTTTTCCCTTCAGCTTGGGCCTGTTGCCAACAGCCCCCTTGCAGGCTTATAGGTGGGTGTGGTGTGTGTTGGTTGTTTTTTTCCCACGTGCTCCATACAGTACTTTACCAGAGCTGGAGATGACTGTCACAGGAGGGGAGAAGGGAGGCAGGCACTACCTGTTGGCATGTGTATTCCCTGGACTTGGAAGATTTGTAAAATGACTTTTTTAGGCCTGCTTGGTTTTGAGTGTCTGTATCCGCCCCCACCCCCAAACTCATATGTTGAAATCTCAACCTCCAAGGTGATGGTATGTGGAGGTGGGGCCTTTGGGAGGTGATTAGGTCAAGAGGGTGGAGCCATCATGAATGAGATTAGTGCCCTTATAAAAGAGACCCCAAAATGCTCCCTTTCTCCTTCCACCATGCAAGAATGCAGAGAGGGCACCATCTGCTAACTAGGAAATGCCCCCCTCCCCTGCCCCAGATGCCAAATCTGCTGGTGTCTTGATCTTGGACTTCCAGCCTCCAGATGTATGAGAAATAAGTTTCTGTTGTTTATAAGCTACCCAGTTTATGGCATTTTGTTATTAGCAGCCTGAGCTGACTAAGACAAACACTTTCACAGATTACATTCTACCTCTTTCTCTCTCCCTCACCCCATACAGAAGACTTGCTGGGTTTTTCCTACCTGCAAATATGTTTCTAGTGGCTGGTCACATGCATCTCCTTCCTCAGCCCTGGGAATCCAACAGTTCACGCTCTGTTGGGGTCACCTTACTATCCAGGTGGCCATAAGTTACCTATATGCTTGTTTTCTCATAGGAGGGGCCACATGCCTGGGAGCACTTAGACATCTTTTGCTCAAACAAACCCTGGGAGCACGGGCAGACCCTGGCACAGTTATCTTTATTTCACTGTAAGAGCAGCTGGCTAGTTGTCTTCCTTCCTTTAAAAGTCTCAGAGTCAGACACCAGTCCACATTGCCCTCAGCTCTGAACGATGCATGTCAAGCTCTCAGAGGGATCCCATCGAAGTCCTTTCCTCAAAGGGAGGGGCAGATACTAGGATATTCCCATCAGTCCCTCAACCTGGTGGTTGTGGTCCCAAGGTTGAGGGCCCGATGGGAATAACCTAGTGTCTGTCCCTTCCTTTGAGTTACAGCAGAGAACAGTTCTCCAAAAAGTCCTCTTATAACAACCAACTCTTGTTTTCAGTCCCCCTAGTTGTTTGTGAGCTGAGGGTGGGTAGTTAGCAAAGGGTTAAATATCAATTCTTAAGCAAGTCCCATGCATATTCTGACTGGTGGCCTTCCTTGCCTCTCACTTTGAAATGTGATATTTATTGTCTAGGGAACTCTGTTGAAATTAAGGTTGAAATGGTTTATTTAACATCTGGTTACATTAAATCAAGGTTTGAGTGTAAAAAAATCCATCCAGCTTTTATATTCATATGGATGTGTGAATATCTGCATTCTCAGTTGATAAACTTGAAATTTAAAGTTTCTCTTCGGCTTCCTCTTTAATTACATGTGCAATTGAATAGACAGTTCTCAGAGGAAACAAGATATTTTCCCAAACTAGAGTTATTTTATAGCTTAACTAGGCAATATTATAATCAAACCTTTAACATAACTTTAAGATGTAGGCTGGGCACAGTGGTTCACACCTATAATCCCAGCACTTTGGGAGGCTGAGGTGGGCCGATCACTTGAGCTCAGGAGTTCGAGACCAGCCTGGGCAATATGATGAGACCCCCATCTCTGTACAAAATACAAAAATTAGCCAGGTGTGGGCCAAGTGTGGTGGCGTGTGCCTAGAGTCCCAGCTACGAGGGGGCTGAGGCAGGAGGATTGCTTGAGCCCAGGAGGCAGAGGATGCAGTGAGCTGAGATTGCACCACTGCACTCCAGCCTAAGTGAAACCCTGTCTCAAAGAAAAAAAATGAAAAGATATAGACAGAAGAATTATTAAACATTTTTTAACCCTATTCTCCAATAGCATGGTCTTCTTCAGCAGCAAAGTAGAATAGAATTTGAAATGGAAGAAGATTAACAATAAAAGCAATATTTAAACAGCTAATGCTTACAGAGCACCCATGCGGTTGCAGAAGTTCTGGTGAGTGCTTTATGGAGATATGCCATCGGACCCTCATGGCAGCTGTGTGTGTGGCAGGTGGTGATATTATTCTCATATGATGAAGTTTTAGCAAGTTCCCAGGGTCATTTGGATTTTAGGTGATGGAGTTTAGATTTTACTCCAGGAAATCTAACTTCATAGCTGATTTCCTAGTAAGGTTGAAAGGATAGTTAGGAGTGATTGGAATTCCAAAAAGAAACTTCCTGAAAACAGGAGATTCTAGAATCTTACATGCTGTCTCATTTCCTTGACTTTACTGAATTCTAGTGATTTCACAAAATTTATTTATTTTAAATAATCTTGCCTACTAAAGATTGTCTGTTTCTGAGGGCATGAGGGTGTCAGGGCAAAGGGACAAGTTTTATAAGAACTGTGCTAAATGGTCTATTAATTTCCTTTACTACCTTCAGCAACCTTTAAGAAACTTCCATTTAGTGCATTTCTTCCAATGAAAAGTGTCGGGGGCCTTCATGATTTCTGCTCCTTGACTGGTCTAATTGCTATTTTCTTGAGCATGGAGAAAAAGTTTCTTTACTTAGGTTGATATTTTTAGACCTGGGATGGGCCACTTTGCAACCACATTTTGTTGGCTCCCTAAATAAAGGGAAAGGCCAAGTCTGAAATGGACCACATGCACAACTCAAGTGGGTCAAAGCTCAATGCACATCGTTTTCTTCACAGTCCCATGAATGGATTAGCTTTGACTTAGCTCTGTGTCCACTCTTGGATGAGGGAAAACACATGTTTTAGTCAAGTTATGTATTCTTCAGTGATTGATTCTTAACTCGAGGGGTTAAGAATAATTCTTACAGCTTTAGATTTTAGAAAGAACTAAGAAAACTACTCTGCCTTTTCCCACCTACCCCCAGGATTGAAGATGCTCTCTGAGTGGTACTGACGCCCCTTCTCCCCTACACAGCTCTTTTATCATTCTGCATACCCTTGCTCTAGCACCACTCTGGATTCTTAGGCATTTCCTGAAATGGGAATGGCCTTAAATTAGACTCCAGTGGACTTTCTAGGCAATGGTGGCATTTGTCCCCTTTTCTGCCTTCAGCCATTTTAAATTTTAAATTTTATTCTCTCAATATTTTATGGATCTTATGACTAGTTGGAATAAAAAAAATCTCTAGAAAATGATGCCATTTACTGTTGTGTTACATGCAATCCAAGTGAAAAAAGTGTGTCAGATGCAAGACAAGTCCCCCAGTCCCCTATGGAAGTGCTGCTGCCCTGGTCCCTTCCTGTGAAGAATGACTATTCATTCATTTGTTCAACAAATATTTGCTGAGCACCTACTATGTCCATGCCACTGTTCTAAACACTGGGGTATGGTGAACAAAATGAAACAAAATCCCAGCCTTAATAGGACTTATATTCTCAAGGGTGAAGACAGAAAATAAACAAAGTATATTAGTAACATATACAGTATGCTGGAGATAAGTGCTATAAAGAAAAATAAAGCAAGAAGGGAGGGTAGGGATGCTGAGGTAGGAGGATATGGTTTAATTTCAAGTAACAACATTAGGATGCCTTGCTGGGAAGGCAATGAGCAAAGACTTCAAGGAGGGCAGTAAGTGAGCCATATAGAGATTGGGGAAGGTGCTGAAAATGTGACTTTTAGAAGAGCCACTATATGTGAGGATTGCTTTGGTTTGGTTCTCCCTGGCATTGTACCTCTGGAATCAGCACAGAACTCAACTGACTTCACAAAGTAAGGCAGAGGCAGTGGGACTTCATGGAAAAAATGATGGGAGAAAAAGCCTATCACAGCTGGCTGGCAGTGGGCTTAGAGGCCTACCCTCTCTCAAAGAGAGGCTACTCTGTTTCAGTTCTCAATTATATAGTCTCAATTATAATAAAGCTCAATCATATCAACAGATAACTTTATTTATCTGTTTATGCAAAATTTTAACAACTGTGAAGTTAGAGGGGCCAGAGTGCAACAACATTGTACTCCCTTCTGATGTCAATTGCAAGTTTCCCAAGCTCTCAGTTTTGATAATTCACTAGAGAGACTCATGGAACCCACTGAAAGCTATTATACTCATGGTTATGGTTTACTACAGGGAAGAATACAAAGGGAAGAGACACATAGAGCAGAGTCCAGGAGGATCTACAAGCTGCATTTCCAGTTGCCTTTTCCCCGTGGAGGCATGAACAGCATTACTGACTCCTGGCAATGATGTGTGACAATACATAGCATATCACCAACCAGGGAAGCTCACCCCAGCCTAGGTGTTCAGAGTTTTTATTGGAGGCTCAATCATACATTGCCTGTGTTGCTGTTTTTTAGTCTCCAGCCCTTCTGGGAGTCAGGCTGATAACTTTAATCTCTGGATCCTCCAAAGACTGGCAGATCCCA
Source organism: Homo sapiens (assembly GCF_000001405.40). Classification (NCBI taxonomy): domain Eukaryota; kingdom Metazoa; phylum Chordata; class Mammalia; order Primates; family Hominidae; genus Homo; species Homo sapiens. Next base: position 65,410,454 of record NC_000008.11, on the reverse strand, counting down.
TGTAGCCCAGCATAAATTTCATTGTTAGACTATCAGGTGGACCAAAGACCCCCAGCAAACAAGGACACTCTTATTAGGCATGACCTTCCAGGGGCCTGGAGATCATCTCTCAGTGGCTGAGGGCAAAGGGCAGACTTCTCTTTTGGATAAATTTAATTCTTCACTATGGAGTCTATAACATTCAATTATTTTTCTCCCACACACTTATTTTTATAGCATCACTCATAACTGCTCTTTGTTAATGATATAGATGAAAGGTGAAAAGAGACAGAGGCAGAGCTGGGGGGTTCGCATCTGTACACATGAGGGACCCACACATTTTACATGTGCATCTTAAGTGTCTTTACTATTGGATATATACTAGATGGTTTTAAATAACATTCTTCTCATTGTCTTTTGTCCCTTTTTGAGGCAAGGGGAAAACACTGATTCATGGAAAAAATATGTTTATATTCTGCACAAAATCACTGAAGGTAAGTAAACTAATAGCACATAGATTTAAATGTTTACTGGATTGTGTCAGTGTCTGGTTATACAATGAATAATTCATATCAAACTAGTAGAATGTAACATTTACATAAAATAATACTTTGCAAATTTATGGTAAGTACTAATTACTTGCCTTATTTGCCATGACTATGATATTAAATATTCATAAAAATGTGATTATTTCTTTGATTTGGCAGGCATTTAGATTTCTCTACAGCTTTTCACACTGCTAATTTTAATCCAGTAAATTATCTGGAAGAAAACAGTATGCAGCCTAAAAACTGTTCAAAATTCACTCCAACATTGAGCACATTATGGACGTAATGATCCATTACAACCAAACTTCAAGAAGGGCTTACAAGAAAACTGAGAATTAAACAAAGAAATATGGAGGCTATCATCATGATTTATCAGATATGTTTATTAGATTTTTTTACACATACCATGGACAACCTTTAGAAGCACTCTTTTGATATATAGCACATGTACTTGGAGGTGTTTTGCTCCCACCGGGGACCAGTTTAAGATAATTTACCAGGACTGTGCCAGTGTTCATTTCCCAGCTTGATGTTCAGTGAGATTATTTGTGAGGCCCATTAATGTGAGAACCTGAACTGTGGGTAAGTGTGCTAGAAATGTGCTCTTTATGGGATCGGGGGGCCGGGGAGAGGACCTCCTCCCTTCATTACTGCTGCTGGGGAAGTTGGAGGTTCTCAAATTCTTTAAAACAAAATTAGAACTCCATAGCATAAGGCTCATATCAGAGGAGATGGTTCTAAAAGACCTGAATATTTTATATCCTATTAACTTATAATTATTCTAATAATAATTTATCTGCTTTTTTGGTTCAAGGAGCACGAAATGAAACTCTCTCATGGTATCCAGCATTCCTTAGTCAAAAATTTCAGAGAGAGAAAGAGGGTAACTCTTGAAATCTAAAGGCCTAAGAACATAAGAGGAAAAGGAAGGTCTTTCCTCATAAGAGAAGGAGGAAAAGGCTGTCAGATGTGAACTTGCCCACCCATGAGAAAATATTTGGAGAGAGTTTGTAGGGACATATCAGACATGGCATGTCTCTTGTTTACATCATGGCTTCTATCACTGAATCCCTACACAACAAAGCAATCATACAGCATAGAGTTCCTTTGAATGCTAGTATTCAACAGGGTAAGTTCCACTAATCCAATATCTGGAGCTAGAGCTAGAAAGCACTCTCAAATGTATTCATGCCTGTTTATGAAAGGTGTTTGAATCAGGTCAGGGCCATGATACTGAACAAGAAAAACATTCATAACCCTGAAGAGTAATGTCTTTACAATATAAACCCAGACATCAAAGGTTCATAATCAAAGATTGATAGAAGAGGGCAGCTAGTGTGGTACATAGACAGAAGAGACAGAATGTGGCGGCCCTTCTTTTACAAACCTTAATGACAATGCAAAATGAAAATTAAGCCTGAAAATATAAAAAGCGAGACACTCAACAGAGCATGCAAACCTGTAAGTTTAAGAGTGCTCTGCTGGCCGGGTGCGGTGGCTCACGCCTGTAATCCCAGCACTTTGGGAGGCCAAGGTGGGCGGATCATGAGGTCAGGAGATCGAGACCATCCTGGCCAACATGGTGAAACCCCGTGTCTACTAAAAATACAAAAAATTAGCCGGGCGTAGTGGCGGGTGCCTGTAGTCCCAGCTACTCGGGAGGCTGAGGCAGGAGAATGGTGTGAACTTGGGAGGCGGAGCTTGCAGTGAGCCGAGATTGTGCCACTGCACTCCAGCCTGGGTGACAGGGCAAGACTCCATCTCAAAAAACAAAAAAAAAAAAACAAAAAAAAACAGTGCTCTGCTTTATCTCTGGTGGTGAGTGTAAGCTGGTAACCAATGCCCATTTAGTGGATGTTCCGCAATATCTCCTGAAGGAAGACAGCTTGGCTTGCTTGTCATACCAGGGAGGAAACATAGCACTGTGGTTAGGTTAGGAGCAGACAGATGTGGGTGTCACTGCTTCATATGGGGCGTGATGTTGGATAAGTTATTCAGCTTCTCTCTGCCTTAGTTTCCTCATCTCTGAACTGGGGAAGGCAATAATATTCACTTCATACCATTGTTGTGAGGATATACTGAGAATATCATATAAGGTGCTTAGCATAGTGTCTGGCATATGATAAATGCTTAATAAGTCTTATCTATTTTTATTATGACTATCATGTATAGGAAACTAAAACATTGAAAAAAATCAGTAGAATATCTATTCATGTAAATAATTTCAGATATTTGACTGACATTTTCCTGAAATCATTGCATTGACCCCATCCCATGGTTTTGTAATGGTATAAAGCCAGCATGTTCCAGTTAGTTAGTGACTGCCACCCTGGGGCCACCCAACTCGATCTTGAGTTTAGGCAGGAATAAGAAAAGCAGACAGCTCAGTATGAGGTTCAGGATGAACCTCACTTCCAGAACACCTCTGATGCTTGTTGGCCTGGATATATTCTAGATCAGGAGTCCTTAATCTGGAACCCATGGGTACCTGGAATCTGGACATAGTTTCTCATAGATCCTTTAGGGAATCTGTGAGCACCTGGAAATGATATGCAAGATTATATGTGTATGTATTTTTTTGGAGAGAAGGTCCATAACTTTGGTCAGACTATGAAGGGGTTTATGACTCACTATGGTTTGGATATAGTTTGTTTGTCCCCACCAAAACTTAGGTGAAAGTTTGATTCCTAATGTGGTAGTGTTGAGAGGTGGGAAGTGTTCAAGTCACAGGGCAGATCCATTATGAGTGACTCAGTGCCATTCTTGGCATAGTGAGTGCCATTCTCATGAGATTGGATTAATTCTTAGGAGAATAATTTTCTCATGAGATTGGATTTTCATTCTCATGAGATTGGATTAATTCTTAGGAGAATATTCCTGTGAGTGTGGGTTGTTGTAAAGCTAGGATGCCACTGGGGTTTTGTCTCTTCACACTTGTCCACTTACCCTCTGACATTTTCGATCATTTTATCACCCACCATGAAAATCTCTTCAGAAGCTGAGCAGATGCTGGTGCCATGCTTCTTATACTTCCCAGCCTGCAGAATCATGAGCTAAAGCAATAACTTCTTTTCCTTATAAATTACTTAGCCTCAGGTATTCTGTCATAGTTACGCTAACTGGACTAGAACATGAGTTTTCAAATTGTGTGGGCTCCTCTTCATGAGCACTGCCTAGAAACGAAGATGGTTCTGGAGTTCTGGAGTCCAGGGGAGGCCTGGCCTGTGATTAGGAGAGCCAAAATCATGTCTGCCATTCTTTGGCATTAGAAGGCCAGCTACAATGTATTCGCTTTTCAGGCAAGCTGCTTCAATTTGTACTCAAGCCACTGGAATTTATATTCGACTAAATTTATTTTGTTGTTCTTCTGAATGCTGCTATTTAGCTATAGCTACCTCATCTTTCCTTGTATAATTGTTATTTGAAGTCCAAGTGCCAGATTTTACATTTATGACAAATGCTATAATAATGCTATATAATCATGTTAAACTTTTCCCATAAATTTACCATACTGAAATAATTTTGAATTCTGATTCTGTCATTAATGTATTTTATGACACTCTGAATTTCCTTTCAAGTATAGATTTGATAAAAATGTATCTAAGTAAATATGGAAAATCCTGTGTCCATTTAAAATAATTCTTTTTCTTTTTTGAAAAAAAATGTTCAGGTTAAATAAACTTTCTCAACATAAAACACAGTGATCATTTTCCTGGCAAAATTGAAATGTTGTTGTACGGATCAATTTTACCAGAGTGCCTGGTTACAGTGCCAACCTGATAAATCAGGGAAATTGAGAACAGGTTAAAATATATGATATCTTTTTAGCCAAAGTCTTCTTGTGTCATTGTTTTGAAAATTAGCAATGATACATGAATATGATTTGCCTAAATTGAAGGCTATAAAAAAATAACGCAAAGAACGTTGTAGTAGAGTGTGAAACTATTCTGACCCAATTTTTACTTCCCTAACAAACCCACACAAAGTCCTCAGAAAATCTGCCGCAAGATGGCACAGCATAAAATAACTATGTATAAGTTAACCCCACCCCCATCTCACTCTCCACCTTTGTTGCTGGCCACACTTCTTAAAATGAAAATAAATGTAAACTGGATGCTTGCTTGCTTTCTCTGAAGGCTGTTCACCAACTACTGAATTGCTTTTCCAAGCTCTGACCCAGCCTTCTTATGTGTATGCTTACCAGGTTTGAAAAACAAGAGGCAAAGCTGCCTTGAAATCAACGGTTCACTCTGATGGAACCTCTCCAGTTCCTGGTGCTAATCATAGCACTGGAGCCCGCGCTTTCAGAAAAGCAGAACGCTCATGCTTTAAAAAAAAAAAGAAAGAAAAAAAAATCCTTCCTACCAAAAAAATAAAAAAAGAAAAAAAACCCCAAAGTGCAACTGCAAAATATATCTTATTTCTCTTTCCATTAGTCTGCTTCTCTTATTATTATTATCTTTATCCTGACAAAGGCTTGTAGGTTCTCTATGAGCATCTTGTCACTGCAGGCAGTGGGGCACAGGAGGAAAGTTTTCAAGGAAAGCCAAAGGAAAATGGTAGACACTGGAGGTCAGAGCAGTTCACAGGGGCTGTTAGCAGCTGTGGGCACCATCTGACTGATCCAAGCGCGTCCTCTGAGCTGCCTCAACAATATGTGGAGCTTATGGGAGATCTAGGCCCGGCTGCCGAATGTCATTTACCATAAAGAAACTGACTGAACTGGCATCAGTTCTGTCCTGGGCAAATGTGGCTAGTAGACCAAGTGTGGCCTTCATTTACCCAAAGTCTCTAAAAGAAACACAAATGGGGGAAGAGATGGTTTCCTTTGTTAACATGGAGATAACATTGTTTGCTTATGTTAATTTAAAAGGAGGACCCAAAGCATCAGACATCTGGTTTTTAAAAGCCAAATCTGTGCCCTACACATGGAATTTTTCATTTGATTATGATATAATTAAAAGCATAAACAATGCAAAATTGGAGGAATCAGCTAGATAGTGTTACCATTCCTGGGACCTGCACCCCATCTGAGGGCAAACAGGACCTGGAATGCTTGTGAAATATTCAACTTTTGTGTTGCAGATGGTGAAGTTGACCAATGCTGCCTTTCCTTCTCGAATTGAACAAGGCCAGATGAAGAGAGGTCAGCTCTCTGGAGTCTGGGATAGTTTTCCTGATATTATTGAGAGTATCATGCTGAGTTGCTCAAAGTGTGTGATGTATAGAAACAATGAAATGTATGCCTTGTGTCTTATGTGTACATGGTGTGGGCTTTTAACTGTTGAATTGGAGAGTCCGGTCCTAAAATGTCACTGTGCTGAGCCATCACCTCTTGGTTGCTGGGAAAGAAAATGTAGGGACATTAAAGCAAAGGTAGCCTTCGTTCATTGGTACTCATGAGCACTTTTGAGTTTCAGGAAAGAACTCTCAAGAAAATGGAAAATGGTGCAGGGAAGATTAACACACATTTTGCCTAGTGTCATATGTGTGGAAAATGAGTTCATTTTCTGAGCGAGTCTGGGAAATAAGCACAGACTCACAGTGCATTAGTTTGCCAGAGCTGCCATAGCAAATTACCCCAAACTGCTGGGCCTAAAACAACGGAAACTTTTTGCCTCACAGTTCTGGAGGCTGAGTCTAATATCAAGAGGTATCTGGGGCCATGCTCCCTCCAAAGCCTCTAAGGGACAATCTTTTCTTGCCTCTTCCAGTTTTGGGAGCCTTAGATGTTCCTTGGCTTGTGGCAGCATAACTCTAATTTCTGCCTCTGTCTTCACATGGCTTTCTTCTCTGTGTCTCTGTGTCTTTACATGGCTGCTCTTCTCTGTGTCTCTTTCCTCTTCTTAAAAGGGCATCAGTCATATTGGATTAATGGCTCATCCTCCTGTGGTATGACTTCATCTTAACGAATTACATCTGTGATGACTCGATTTCCAAGTAAGGTCATATTCTGGAGGTACTGGGGGGATTAAGAGTTCAACATATCATTTCAAGGGGACTTGACTCAACCCATAACTCACAATGTAAAATAAATCCGAGTGGACTTAAGAGGAGTTGAGGAATGAGCCTAAAGGAAATTGAATTCTGTTACTCTGCTTATTTCATATTGTATTGCAAGTCAGCTAGGAGTTTGGGATAAGGTAGGCTAGGGTAGGTGGTGAGGGTCGCTGTGGCTTGAATGTGTCCCTCCAAAAGCATATGTGGAAACTTAATCTCCATTGTAACAGTGTTGCAACGTGAGACCTAATGAGAAGTGATTAGGTCATGTGGGTGGAGTGAATGGATTCATGCTGTTATTGCAGGAATGGGTTTTTTATAAAAGGATGAGTTTGATCCCTTCTCTCTTTCTTGATTTTTCTTTCTCACCCTCTATTTGCCCTTCTGCCTTCTGTCATGGTATAATGCAGCAAAAGGTCCTTACCAGATGCTAGCACCTTGATCTTGAACTTCCAAGCCTTTATTAGAACTGTGAATGAATGAATTTGAATTCATTTTTAATTACCCAATCTATGGTATTCTGTTACAGCAACACAAAATGGACTAAGACAAAGGTTTTACTGTGGGATTTTTCCAGTACCAACTACAGGCAGAAATTCAATATTTAGTGATATTAGGAGCTATAGAAAGGTGCAGTATTAGAATTAGCAGATATATATGTGAAGGCTATGGCAGTGCAAAATTTATTGGCTTCATAGACTGTCTTTAGGTCTAATGAATTGGAAAAACTCTTTGCAAGGGTGCTCTGTCACAGAACAAGAGTAACTTTTGTGATTTGTTTCACATATTTTTAGAGGTGACAAAGCCTATATTCAGTTAAAAAATAAACACAAAGCACCAGCTCAGGGTCAAGATCTATATTTTGAATATACAAAAGTAATATGAGATGCTTACCTGTGGTTAAGTAAATTGAACAGAATGGTTTGGGAGTAAGGTATTGTATTATTTGAAGGTCCTATTTCATCAGAGTCCCATTTTATGTGTATTCTTATAGCTTAGTCTGGGGTTCTTTGAGAGGTGATACGGTTACTGCCAGGCTTGTTCCCAGCTTCCTAGTAGCTAGAAAATGAAATTTTACTGCTAATATCTAATATATTGGTTATTTTGCCTTAGCAGCTACCTTTCCTAGGTGCCACAGATAAAGGAAAAACTCAGCCACCTTATCTCAAACTAAATAAAACAAGACACATTAATTTTTTTTCTTTTTTCTTTTTTTTTGAGACAGAGTTTCACTCTTGTTGCCCAGACTGGGGTGCAGTGGCACAATCTTGGCTCACTGCAACCTCCGTCTCCTGGGTTCAAGTGATTCTCTTGTCTCAGCCTCCTGAGTAGCTGGAATTATATGCATGCACCACCCCTCCCAGCTAATTTTGTGTTTTAGTAGAGACGGGATTTTGCCATGTTTGTCAGGCTGGTTTTGAACTCCAGACCTCAGGTGATCCACCCGCCTCAGCCTCCCAGAGTGCTGGGATTACAGGAGAGAGTCACCACGCCCAGCTGACACATTAATTTTTAATATAAAGGAAACAGCAGCAGAAGATACAGCACTGACTGTGTTCCAAAGACTGAATAGGTCATGTCTTGGGCATCCTTCTGTATGCTCCTGGGTCCTCAGAAATGGACCACACAGGTGGATGCTGACGTCATCTGCCTAAAGTCACTCAGTGGAAGGCAGAGTGTGTCTGGATTCATATCTCCCTTTGACCTCAAGGCCTGTGTAATTATTGCCTGCTCTTTAGGGACTCATGGCGGAGGAGGGAGCAGAGCTTTTCAGGACTGTGCAAATAGTGTGAGAAAAGGCAAAGGATAGTATATTCTGAATTACTTTTTATTGGGTGCTGACTATGTGCCAGGCACTTTAGAAGACAGACATTTTTATTCATTTAGTTCGTTAGTTAATCTAGGCACTTTCATGTGCTATGTTGTCTCATAAAAACCATGTAAAGTTTTATTCCCATTTTCCAATTGAAGAAATGAAGCTCAGTAAGGTTAAATGGTTTTCCAAAGGTAACACAAACAGTTGTCTCTGGAGTTGGGTTTTGCAAAATTGTAAGAGGTAGGTAGAAAGCATGGCAATCATTTTGAATTATCAGAACAGAAGCACCTTGTTAGCGAGCATGAGAGATAAAATTGGAAGTGTGTGGGCAACTGATGGAGGATTCTGAATGTAAGCCTGAAGATATATCTACTACAGCGACATTACCAAGCAACTGTGGATTTTGAGCAGCTGGGTGAAGTGATGAAAACAATATTGAAGAAGAAGAATCAAACATTTGTGAGAGGAGAAAATAGAGGCAGGGAAACCAGCCAGAAGATTTTTACAGTAATTGAGGCATACATTGAATTGAGCCTTATGTGTGTGGGGGCTGTGGAAAGGGAAAGAAAGGGAGCTTGTTTGTTTGTTTGTTTATACTTTGTCTTATTCCAAAGAAGTCTTTAAGGTAGTTGGCAAGAGTATATGAAATACAGCAGAATAACACAAAAGAGCGGCATGAGAAAAAAAGCTAAAAACAAACATGGGGTAATAAAATGGAACCAAGGCCAATGCATTCCTAATGTGGAAGGCATCCCACTCATATACAAAGTAGTTAAATATGGGAAAAAATCTATACATTCTAGGGACACAATTCTGCTCATCTGATTTAATGCAGGGGTGAATTTTAACGTATGTAGAGGGCTACATGCTCTTTAGGCAATCCAAAACTTGCACAAGTTTTGACAGATATTGCATGGCAATATATTCAAGTAATGGGAGCCACATACTATGTTAACTTGCTTGCTATAGACAAAAACTAGAAATGCATTCCTTATTCAAAGTTAATCTGGCTAGGATTTATGTAAAATGAACAGCTTAACCACAGCATATGCATGGATAGACCATTCTAACTCCACTCACAGGGGAATCAAAAGTACTCTTGGGAGGGATAAAGATTCTCATTAGGAAAAAAAATGCATAAACAATTGGTGATCATGGCCTCCAATTTTAGTTTTGTATAACTTGATGATTTGAGAAAAATTTAAGGCAAGTATAACTAACATCACTGACATGAGTATACATAAAAGGCATACAATTGTAGTTTTATGTAAAATTTCTTCCTGACTGCCCTTCAAATAGACTGTGACATGTATATTAGAAATGAGTTAACATTCTCTCTGATATTAAACATAGTACTAGACAATGAATCAGCAGCATTTAGAGAAAGATGGAAAGAGATGAAAAGGAGACTTCTTCTTTGGTCTGCTCATACTAGACATGGTATCAGATATATTATCACAGATTCTTAGTTGCAAACAATACAATCCACTCTAGTTATTTAATGCAGAAAAGGAGCCTGTTAAAGGAATTTTGCCTGGTACTCTCAGTAAGAAATACACTGTGCATCATGGCTTTCACATATACATGTATATTTTAATATGTAAATATTCTTATCCTTACTCTATGAGATTTAAACTTTTTTCCCTGTTCTATTTCTTTTTTAAAATTTACTGGTTGTGATTTTCTAAATTAGTTTATATCCTACTAATGGATTGACATATTTTCCAGTCAGGAAAAAGTTGCCACCTTTGTCAGAAGATGGATTTCATCACAGCCTGGCTTGCATAGGTTGCTCAATTCCAAATTGAAGGTTCCCATTGGTGTGTCTGATATGAAACCTTAGTCATGTGTGGTGCCTGAGCTGCAAGGAATATACATCTTGTCTTAGTGTGTTTTATGTTGCTATAACAGAATACTTGAAGCTGGGTAATTTATATATTTTTTTAAAAGGGGTTCACTTTGGTTTATGGTTCTGGAGACTGGGAAGTTCAAGATTGGACAGCTGCATCTGGTCGACTTCTGGTGAAGGCCTCATGCTACACTGTAACGTGGTGAAATGCATCACGGGTGAAGGAGGTGCTCTGAGAACCAAAATGCCTTTTTTTTTTTTTTTAACAGACCCACTCTCTTGATAATCTATTAATCCATTAATCCATGAATCACCTCTTAAAGGCCATACCCCTTAATACTGTTACATTGGAAATTAAGTTTTAGTATAAATTATAAATAAGACAAACATTCAAACCATAGCGTATCTTCTACCTTCTCAATTTGAGAAGGCAAGTCTCACATGGTGGAATTTCTCAAATATAAGGAGTTTGTTTTAGAGATGCTGGAGAGCTAGACAAGTGCCAAATGCTCATTGCATTCCAGCTAACTGGTGGTTTTCACTAAATTGAGTAGAGAAAATAAGTTGAGATGTTGAATGCCTGGTATTCTTTTTTTTAAAAATTGTGGTAAAACATATATAATATAGAATTTACCATCTTAAGTGTACAGTTTTGTGGCATTAAGGAGTTTCACATTGTTGAGCAGCCATCACAACCATTCATCTCCAGAGCTTTTTCATCCTCCCAAACTGAAATCCTGTGCCCAGTAGATAACTCCACATTTCTCATCCCCAACCCCTGCTAGCCTCTATTCTACTGCCTGTCTCTATGAATTGGACTTCTCCAGGTACCCCATATATGTGGAATCATACAGTATTTGTCCTTGGAGTGTTTGTCATTCTTAGTGATGATTATAAAATGGAGTATGCAGACGAGTAGAAGTGCAGAGCCCCAGGGATTGAGTCTCAAGGACCCCCAGTGAAAAGGCCTCAGTGGACAGTAGATTGTAGGCAAGGCACAGTAGTTGCTCTCGATGGTTTTGAAAAGAGAGAATTCTTTCCAGGAACAGTGTCACAATTTCATCTAGTGCTTAGCAGGGCATATTTCACATTTGTGACAAAGCCAGTGTACAGAGATCATATTATCATCTATTACAAGAGACCTTCAGATTGTGTTTGTGTTTCTAGTCGACAAAGGCCTTGATTACCTCTAGCACTCTCATGTGAAGATCTTTATTTAGGCCCAGATTCCAGACAATTATCACAAAGTTCAAATAGCTAATCATAGTTGGCAATGGGGAGATGAGCATTACATCTCCCCATTGTATGTAGGATTACAGACACATTTTCATTCTCTTAGACATGGGCCTTACAGCACTTAGATTGCTCTTAACAAATGTGCTTCTGGCAAAACTGTCAATCATGGTAATAATGGGATGACTAGAAACTCAAAGAATATAGATATGACCTTTGTGGTTATAATTATCATTATTGCTGTGCACAACACTTAGAAGACAGAACAAGTGACTTAACTAGGGCATAATTGTTCATGATAATATATTGATAATGCAGCGTTTGTGTTTATGATAATTTAATTTGGTGTAGGTAGTGTTGGGGGATGTCCTAGTTAAATATGGATATTAAAATTTTATGTTATTCAGGATTTGTTGAGCAGTTGTTAATAGGTTAGGTTCCCTTCCTTATTAAGTCAGTTGTTCAAGAAGAGAGACATAGTTTTACTGCTTGAATGATTATATCTAAATGTGGTTATCATTTTTTTTAGGGCTAGATGTTGATTGCTTTAAAGGATAAGGAAAGAGAAAGAAAGGTAAATATTTATAAAATATGTGCCAAAATAGGCCAAAAATAATCTCAGCACTCAATTGAGGTTGAGAATTTTGAGATGTGTGGTTGTCTTTGAATGTTGCTAGTTAAATGTGGCTACAGGGAAACACACAATTCTGCTTGATTGGTCTCACTTTAAATTCATAACCAAAAAGCTCAAGTGAGCCCTCAGTTCTACCCTGTGATCCTACTGTTTCACTGGTTACTGCACTGTCTTGCTCTCCAATGTGATGACTTCATACCTTTCCTCTCCATCCAGATGTCCAACATCACATTCCTCTTCATTACTCTCAGCTGATAACCTTCCATCTTTCACATACTGAGAAAGTAGGAGCAACCTGAAGAGGACTTCCACACACTCCTGCTCCCATATCTACCCACCCAGTTGCATTTGAACCCACATCCTCTTCCTTCTGGCTTATAATAATAATAAAAGAGCTGTCCATGCTTTTTTAAGCATTAGACCCCATCCTCTCTTGCCTACCCAAAGACAAGACTTTTATAGCATGCCTCCTCCCATTTCTAGATAATTCCCACCATCATATAAATGTACTATTATAGTCCTCATCTGGAAAACAACACCCTATCTTGATGGTACGTTTAGTCTGAATACCATCCTGTACTTCTGTTTTACTTTCAAACTAAATTAATTAAATATTGGTTATACTTCCCTCTCCATTTCCTGTTCTCTCACTATCTCTTTAATTCTCTCTAAGAATATACTATTCCTTGCCTCTGCTTATACAATATATGCCTGGATAGACCACTCTAACTCCAAAAGCCTCTAAGTCAGGCTTTTGTCTTTCCTGCTCTGACAAATTGCTCTTATTTGGGTCACTATTGACTTCTGTATTGTCAGAATGAATTGTCAGTTCTCATTTTATTTAGTCTTTCTGCAGCATGTGATGCAATGGATTGCTCCCTTCTTGAAAGACCTTTTTCACCTGACCTCTGGGATACTCTCTTGCTAACTTTTTACCTCCATGATGGCTCCCCCTCACTCTCTTTGCTGGTTTTTCCTCAACTATTTTATCTCATTTCTTCGTCTTCCTTTCTTTCCCATCTATACTTACTCCCTAGGTCAGCAGTTCTCAAACTCTTTGGTGTTAGACCTCTTTATGCTCTGAAACATTATTTTATTATTATTATTTTCTGAGACAGGGTCTCATTCTGTTATCCAAGCTGGAGTGCTGTGGTGCAATTGTTTACTGAAAACCTCAAACTCCTGGGCATAAGCAGTCTTCTCACCTCAGCCTCCTGAGTAGCTGGGACTAGAGATGTGCCATCATGCTTGGCTAGTTTTTAAATTTTTTTTAGAGATGGAGTCTTGCCTTGTAGTCCAGGCTGGTCTCAAGTTCCTGGCCTCAAGCAATCCTACCACCTTGGCCTCTCAAAGTGCTGGGATTACAGGCATGAGCCACCATGCCCAGCCTTAAGGATTATTAAGGAACCCAAAGAACATTTGCTTATATGAGTTATATCTATTGATAATTACTGTATTAGAAATTAAGACTGAGAAAGTTAAAAATTTTTATTAATTTGTTTAAAAATAACAAAGCCATTACATATTAACATAAAACATTTTTATAAAGAATAATTATATTTTTCAAAACAAAAAATGTGGTAAGAAGAGTGGTATAGTTATATATTTTTGCAGGTCTCTTTAACATCTGAGTTAATAGAAGATGGTTGGACTGTCATATCTGCCTAGGCATTCTAGTTGTTGCCATAACACATCTTACGTAGTCCCTGGAAAACTCCACTGTACAATTGTGAAAGAAGAAGCATTAAAAAGGCAAATGTTAAAAGGATCTTGAGGATTAGCAGAAGTCTCAGACCACATTTTGTGCATGGTTGTCCTAGGTGATCTCACCTGTGCCCTTAAATGCCACTGAATGCTGGTGACTCCTAAAATTTATATCTCAGCCCAGATGACTTCTCTGATGGCCAGACCCATGTATATAATTCTCTATGTAGCATCTCCTCTTGGTCTAAGAGGTAGTTCTAACTTAACATGTCCCAACCTGAACTCAATCTGCCCCAAGAAACTTGATCATCCCATAGTTTCCCTGTGTCAATAAATGGCTTCCAGTTGTTTGAGCCAAAAAAGATGATGTCATTCCCTTAACTTTTCTCTTTTATATTCCATATGAAATCAATTAGCAAATCCTGTCAGCTCTTTCTTGGAAATATTTCCCAAATCCAACTTCTCAGGATGTCTGTGACCACTCATCCTACTCCAAGCCACCGAATCTTGCCAAGATTATTGCAGTCAACTCTAACTAACTCCCTGCTTCTGCATTTCATCCTTACCCTCCTTGCCCTGTCTTTTCTCCAGAGAAAGCCCAAGGGATCTTTCTGAAATTTGAGTCAGCTCCTTCCAATGGCTTTCCATCTGAATCAAAATCAAATCCAAAGCCTTTACCATGGCCTGAAAGACTTCATTTTCTACCACTCTTTCTCTGCTCTTCGTCTCCTGGCTTAGGAAGAGCTTCTTTGCTTGTCCTCAAACACAGCAAATATTCTCCTGCCTCAAGGTCTTTAAACTCAGTTCTCTTTGCCAAGAATGCTTTCCCCTACACATACACATGGCTCAGCCCCTTGCTTCCTTCAGATTACTGGTCAGATATCACCTTAAAAGAGCGATTGGCACTAACACCCCTGTATACCCCTGTGACCACTCTCTTTCCTTCCTCTGCTTTATTATGCCTGTGATAACTTATCACCACTTGGTACATTATCTACTTATTTGTTTATTGGCTGTCTCTTTTCCCAGGAGAATGTGAGCTTGAGGGCAGGGACTGTGTTTTGTTTACTTCTGTGTCTCCAGTGCCTGATTTATTGTTGGTACTTGTGCATCAAGGGCAAATGGCCAAGCAGCACATGCACCAGGCCTGCTGGAATAGTGTTTATGGGGAAAACTCATAGAGACAGGAGCAATAACAGGTCCCCTGTTGCTCATTGCATTACAGGGCATTTGCACAGAGATCTAGCAAGTACAGATGTTAGACTCCAGGAGAGAGTCCCTGACCCTTAGGCTATGGCCCTTTTAAGCTGCATGATTACATAAGCATCATCCTCTTTCCTGGATACAAAGGCATTATAAAGTGGCAGAACTTTGGCTCCAGTTCTGTCCTGAGAGCTTGGTTTTGTGTTTGGGATAACATCAACCCTTTCCCTGCTCAGATGAGGGGCTGTGACTCTATGTTGTGACAATACGTAAATTCCCCTCATAAGGCCTTCAAGACTGAGAATGCAGGAATCCTACCCTTGGCATCATGAGCGGCTGTGGTACAAGCCTTGTATTTAGCCAGGAACCATTGTTTTAAGCACTGGGCCATGGCCAGTAGCCATTAAACTTTGTAGAAATCCAATTTTTTTTCTGGTCAGCTAGCCTTCAGGATAAGAAAATCATTACCTGTTGGCATCTCATATATATTTATTGAGTGGATGAGTACACCCATGTGTGCATGTGCATATGTGTGTGCTAGAAGCATTCCCCAACTTTTGACCATACTTTATGACTGACTACATAAAACAAGAAGGAGCAATGTTGGAGAAGGGGAGATCTCTGGGCTTCATAATAAGGGTCTCTTGTGGCCCCATTTAATATGCTGGGAAGGGACTAGGCTACAAAGTTAACCTCTTAGGCAAATACTGTAAAATGTTTTTCTTTATGCCAATGTAAAGGACTAGTTTCTCTAATGTGAAAGCTATTGGTATCCTCAAGTTATAATTGCCCAAAGCATAAATTCCCAAAGGAATACTTGCCACAGAGAAAAAATAAAATGTCACTTATCTTTGCTTAAAAAATAACATTCTAAATAATGTTATAGAATTGACATAATAGTTAAAATAAAATTTTATTTTTAGTATGTCATGATTTAAATAATTTGGAGGACTAACAAGGTCTAAAAATCTAATTACAATTTGTCACTTTTTTTCTGTACAGGAAAGCATTTTTGAGTACCATAATACTTAAATTAATATTTGGAAGGTAACCTGTTTACAATTCAGACATTGGTTGTTTAGGTAATCCATATTTTCCCCAGTGAATTATCTTTTTCATTATTGTTCACATTCAGAAGTTATCATGGAGATGCAATGGAGTAGCAAATCCAAAGAGAAGGAAGATAAAAAATATGTACCCTACAATATTATCTCAATATTTCCATCTTGTTGGTTAATTTTATGTCAACTTGAATGGGTTGAGAGATGCCCAGATAGCTGGTAAAACATTATTTCCAGATGTGTCTGTGAGGGTGTTTCCATAAAAGATTAGCATTTAAATAATTAAAACGAGTAAAGAAGATCCATCCCCACCAATGTGGACAGGCATCATCCAATCCACTGAGGGCATGAATAGAACAAAACATAGAAGAAGCGTGAATTTTCTCTCTCTTCTTAAGCTGGTACATTCATTTTATCCTGCTCTTGGACAGTGGAACTTCTGATTCTTGGGCCTTTGAACTCCAAATGTGCCCCCTGCTCCTGCCACCCAGAAGTGGGAGTTATACCATCGACTCTCCTGGATCTCAGGTCTTTAGAGTTGGACTGAATTATACTACCAGCTTTCCTGGGTTCTCTGGCTTTCAGATGGCATATCGCAGGACTTCTCCTCCACAATTGCATGAGTCAATTCCCATAATAAATCTCCTTCTAATATATATATGATATATATATATATATATATATATATATACACGATATATATACACACACACGTATATGATAATATATGTATGTATGTATATGTGTATCTGTCTCCTATTGGTTCTCTTTATCTGAAGGACCCTAATACAGCATCATAACAAGCCTTATCACTTTCTCATCAACTCCTTTGCACCCCTATAATTTGTCTTGTTTCCTGACCACAGTGCATAAACTGATCACTCAGAGCTGTCAACTACCCCTTAATTATCAAGGTCAATGATTTGTCTTTAGACCTCATCTTTTCCAGCTTCCCATAGCATCCCATAGGCCCAATCACCTCCTCTTTTCTTCAGACTCTCACATCTTGTTCTCTCTAACAAAACACTATTTTGATTCTCTTCCCAATCATCTTCCATTTTCTTTGTTTGCTTGCCTTGTCAACTAAACAAAGGAGTTCCCCAAAATCCTGAAAGTGGGCCTCTCACTTGACCCTTTCCCTGTTTTATGTTGCATAAGCACCATCATTAACATCTAGATTTTTTCAAATTTCTTTCTTTAGCCTTCATTTTTATTCTGTGCTTCAGAATCTTGCATTCTGAAATGTTCAAAAACTGTTAAACATCTTTCATTTACACTGTATGCCCAAAATTAATTATTAGTTCTCCCATTCCTAAACCTTTCAAGCTGAGTTTCCTCTTTCTATGCAGAATGAAACGTAGGTAATCATTTTTGGCTTATTCACTTGCTATACTGATTCTACATAGTAACTTGCCAAGAAATGTGGATTTTATATTCCAAATATTTTGTAAACCCAACTCCTAGTGCTTCCTCATTACATCTCTAGTTGGAAGTATTTTACAATAGGGCAATTGAGATCTGCCGGCCTCCTATTCTTTACATGTCTTATGTGAATTATTCACCCAGGTGTTCATGGTATGTTACAATTATGAGATCCAATCTACTTTTCCAAGCTGTTTCTCCTCCCTTTCCTACTTATTCCCTGCACCACCCTAACTGGACAGCTCCTCAATCATCAGTGTTTCTCCCAGGTTTTTCCTCTACTTTCATGTGATTTTCTCACCCTCTCCTCTTGCTGAAACCATAATTGCCCTTCCTATTCCATCTCAGATGCCGTCTTTTGCGTGGTCTTTCTTTTTCTGCTCAATTGGAGGTGATTTCTTGTGCCTTGAAGTCCCAAAGCACTTTATTTATATTCTTTTCATGGGACTTTCCTTTTCCATGTTATCTTTGAGTCATGTGTATATTTACCTTATTTATTTCACTACATGCAATAATGTAAGAGCTGTTTACTGAATCCCTATTAGGTGGAAGGTACTGGACTTAGCCTGGGTATTCCACTATGAATAAGACAGATACAGCACCTGTCCTCCTAGAACTTAGCATTCAAGCTGTAATGTTAACCTCGAAGTCGTGCCCTGCAGCACGACTTCTCAACCTCAGCACTATTGACATTTGGGGCTGGGTAGTTCTTTGTTGCTGTGGGGAGGGGTCCTACACATTGTAGAATGCTTAGCAGAGTCACTGGCCCTACCCACTAGATGCCAATAGCACCTTCTTCCCAACCGTGAAAACAAAAAATGTTTTCAGACATTGTCAAATGTCCTCTGAAAGAAAAGTCACTCCTCCTTGAGACCCACTGCTCCACAGTGTCTATCAAAATTCTTTTAATTTATTTATTTATTTATTTATTTATTTTTTATTTATTTATTTTTTTTTATTATACTCTAAGTTTTAGGGTACATGTGCACATTGTGCAGGTTAGTTACATATGTATACATGTGCCATGCTGGTGCGCTGCACCCACTAATGTGTCATCTAGCATTAGGTATATCTCCCAATGCTATCCCTCCCCCCTCCCCCGACCCCACCACAGTCCCCAGAGTGTGATATTCCCCTTCCTGTGTCCATGTGATCTCATTGTTCAATTCCCACCTATGAGTGAGAATATGCGGTGTTTGGTTTTTTGTTCTTGCGATAGTTTACTGAGAATGATGGTTTCCAATTTCATCCATGTCCCTACAAAGGATATGAACTCATCATTTTTTATGGCTGCATAGTATTCCATGGTGTATATGTGCCACATTTTCTTAATCCAGTCTATCATTGTTGGACATTTGGGAACTAGAAATACCATTTGACCCAGCCATCCCATTACTGGGTATATACCCAAAGGACTATAAATCATGCTGCTATAAAGACACATGCACACGTATGTTTATTGCGGCACTATTCACAATAGCAAAGACTTGGAACCAAACCAAAATTCTTTTAATTTAGACTCTCAATAAATGTTGGCTGAATTAAGTCAAAATAATACTTTTTGTCTTCCCACTAGGCACAGCGTTAGGCACTGTAATGGTGGCAGAAAGAACATAAACTAAGGATGGGTTTGAGAGATATTTGGATGTCTCTTCTACTTACTAATGTTTTTTTATTTATTTATTTTTTTAAATTTTTTTTTTTTTTTGAGACAGAATCTCGAATCTCGCTCTGTTGCCAGGCCGGAGTGCAGTGGCACGATCTTGGCTCACCACAACCGCCGCCTCCCAGGTTCAAGCCATTCTCCTGCCTCAGTCTCCCAAGTAGCTGGGACTACAGGCGCCTGCCACCACACCCAGCTAATTTTTAGTAGAGGTGGGGTTTCACCATGTTGGCCAGGATGGTCTTGATCTTTTGACCTCATGATCCGCCCACCTCAGCCTCCCAAAGTGCTGGGATTATAGGGGTGAGCCACTGCACCTGGTCTTACTAAGGTTTGAACTGTAGCTAGTACAGTGCCTCATTCAGAGACATGAGGAACCAATAAATTAACACATACAAGGCATTAGGATATTATGTGGCACAAAAATGCAAAGTAATCATTCAAAAAGTGTTCACGGTAAGTGACCTGGGGGATGAAGCCTTTTCCTTTTGCCATCTTACATTGAGAACATTTGTAGACTGAGAGACACATGTACGTAGCACCAGATCAGCACCATACATTAATAGGGCACAGATTAAACATATAAACATTAAACATATAAAACGAATGAGTTTTGGAGAAAAATGAGCAGACATAGTGACATGGTTTAGATCTGTGTTCCCGCTCAAATCTCATGTCGAATTGTAATCCCCGTTGTTGAAGGTGGGGCCTGGTGGGATGTGATTGGATCATGGGGGTGGATTTTCCCTCTTGGCGCTGTGTCACAATAGTGAGTGAATTCTCATGAGATCTGGTTGTTTAAAAGTGTGTAGCACCTGCCCCATCTCCTCCTTTCTCCTGCTTCGGCCATGCGAGGTGCTTGCTCTCCCTTTGTCTTCCACCATGATTGAAAGTTTCCTGAAGCCTCCCCAGAAGCTGAGCAGATGCCAACATCATGCTTCCTGTACAGCCAACTAAACCTCTTTTCTTTATAAATTATTTGTATTACGGGGATTTTCAATGGAATTAACAACTCAACATAATGCAGAAGAAAACAGTATGCTGGAGACTTCTATAATGAGATTTAACAATTCTGTAATTTGGGGGGAAAGCAAAAAACTCTGGATCTGGCTGATACTTTTCTGCATTTTTTTCCTCAGAAATTGTTTATACTAAGGTAATTGCTTAAATCTAATTTCTATGTCATGGCTTTCATTCAAGGTACATATGCCTCATTTATCACTCTACTCATATATTCTACTTTGCTCCCATTTGGGGAAGAAATAATATTTTCCCTATTTTTCCCCCATCCCGCCTTCTATAACTCCCCTTGCTTCTAATGAGAGATTTCTTGAGGGTGTTGGGAAGACTATTAGTGAAAAACATTGATATTGCCAGGGCAGAAGACAGGTGCATGTTTTCACTTGCAGGCTTGAACCCAAACTGAGACTTGAGCATCCCCAGGTACTGCTAAAGCACCTTAGGTTGTTTTTAGAAAACATTGAAAAATTAACCCTTTTGCTAATGATGTAGAAACAAGCCCTGCCCTGAACCAAACCCCTGAAATGCTCAGGTTAAACTTCGTAACCCAATCCCTTCACTACAGACACCCAATAGGAAAGTCACAGGTGCAAGGATGAGATGACTTTCGTCAAACTCAGACCCCATAGGGCCAGGAAGGCCTGAAGGAGAGGAGGCTCATGCTTCCAGGTCTCAGATCAGAGCTTTTTCTAAGGACTTTTAAAAAACCTCACAAGAAAGTCTTTCATGTCCTTCACCCCCTTCCTGCTTTGACAAGATTTATCACTAGATATTCTTTAGGACGTCAGGAATTCAGGTAAGAGGCTCTCAAGAGAACACTTGCCCAGCAACGGCATCTCCTACAATGGACTGACAGCAACTCTGGCTTTGAACCTCTGGAACCAGGGAACTCTGTTTCTAAGCAGCTTCTGTCAGCCTCTCCCTTTTTGCTGATAAAAACTTCTTTTACCTCTCTGTGCACAGAGAGCTCTCTCTACATTGTTTTTCCTCTACTCTCACACCACAACAATCATCAACACAGAAGACTTGTAGGATCAGATGTGTGAGTTTTTTTCCAAACCCAGTAGCGAACACCGGCTGGGAGTCCTCTAAGTCAGCTGCAATGCTGTCTACCCAGAGACAGTCCCAGATCCCACAGATTGAAGGCTCATTCCCCAAGACTGCCCCACACACCATTCCCAAGTCCAGACCTCCAGAAGTTCTGATCGACTGGCTTCAAGTTGGGGATCCCATGCCCCGCTCTTTGGGTTTGATTAATTTGCTGTAGCAGCTCACGGAACTCAGGGAAACACTGACATTTTCTGGTTGAATACAAAGCACTGCAGAGGACACAGATGAAGGGACACATAGGAGGAGGCATGCTTAGTTGGGAGAGGAACAAGTTTCCTTCACTCTCTTTCTTTCTTACCTCTGTTTCCCAACCACTTCTTCTGGGGTTGATAGACTGGGGCTCCAGGAATCAATATTTCTTTCTTTTTTTTTTTTTTTTTTTGAGACAGAGTCTCACTGACTCTGTCACCCAGGCTGGAGTGCAGTGGCACAATCTTGGCTCACTGCAACCTCTGCCTCCCATGCTAGAGAGGACTTGTACCTTCTGGCCACCTATGGGCTAGTAAGTGTGTATGACTTCAGGGAGGAATGAATAGGATTTGGTTTATTGTGGAATAGGAATTACTATGTCAAACCATGTGTCAAAATCCGGCATGGATGGCGGCCTCAGAATCCATGTGAACTTTCCACAGCAGTTTTTTTCAACGTTGACTGGACATCAGACTCTTTGATGTGTGTATTAGGAGGTGCCAGTCCATGAATGGGGAACTGCAATTATCTTAAACTCACTTGTGATTTATGAATTCACACACAAATAAACAAAGCTCACAGTATTTTTTAACCAAGACAGTCCATTAAAAGTGTAAGTTTTTTTTTTTTTTTTGAGATGGAGTCTTGCTCTGTCACCTAGGCTGGAGTACAGTGGTGTGATTTTTGCTCACTGCAAACTCCACCTCTGGGGATCAAGAGATTCTCCTGCCTCAGCCTCCCGAGTAGCTGGGATTACAGGCACCCACAACCACATCCAAGTATTTTTATATTTTTGGTAGAGATGGGGTTTTGCTATCTTGGCCAGGCTGGTCTCAAACTCCTGATCTTAAGTGATCTGCCAGCCTCAGCCTCCCAAAGTGCAAGAATCAATATTTCTTAAGAAGACAAAGAACAATCAGATGGATTGTACATGTAAAACAGCTAGCATATGCTTAATGCAGAGTAAGTGCTGAAATTTTAGTTATTATTATTATCATTATTTATTTTATCAACTAACTGGTCTAATTTTGTCCCCTGGGGTGTTCTTCACAGTGAAGGCACTTTTGCTTGTATATAAGACTGGCCCCTAATCTTTAAATCCAAAGCCGACCTGAAAGTAACCAGGCTCAGTCAAAGTACTAATACTTGTTTCTTATTCCCTGATGTTTCAAACACTTCAAAACAGGAGGCAAATATTAACAATATTTGTAGAAACACTGTAATATTGAGTCACAAAATGGAAAAGGGCAATAAGGAGTGTGGGGGCCACAAGCAAAGAGCCCTTTGGCAAATCCAATAGAGAAAACAACTTTTAGGTTAAAATGGAAATCATAAGAAAAAATTCCTTTCTCCTTGGCATTGACAGCATGATAAGAGTTTCTAGATGTGTTGAATTCATGTCTCAGGTATAGAGTGGGCCAGGCTGACCACAAAAGTTTGCAGTTCCTCAGAAAGTGGAAAGTTCAGCCATCGTAGGTAAAGTAGCTACGGGGTACTGAGAACAGGGCAAGGACAGCCTCTGGGGGTTAAGGAGAGGAAGTCCCCCTGCTGATTTCAAAACTTTGTGATTGCAAGGGGATCCGGGGAAAGCTCGAGGGCTCAGTGCCTGTGCTAGGGGACCTCAAAGCACAGCTTCCAACTTAGAAAGTGGAAAAAGATGTCACTGCAGGTGAATTAAAGGGGTTTTATAATTGGGTACTGGATTCAAACCCTGTTTATGTATCTACAATAGAATACTAAAAAAAGTGGGTATCCTTCTGAAAACCCTGACGTGCTTTGTTCAACCTCAGAGTCAGAAGTATTTGGTTAAAATACCATAAACTGGCTGTTCTCAATTGGGCACGATTTTGACAAAGTCTGAAGACATACAATTGAGGATTAGTGTTTGTTTATGATTTGTTCACTGATTTGCAGCTGCATAATTTTTATTTTTGACTTCTTAATATACTATAGCTCTGTGATAAAGTACTTATGTTGGATGTGAGATATTCTCATGAATAGTGGGAGGCATGGGACAAGGCAGGAAGGGGCCAGGAGGGAGATGGCATAAGGCATTGAGAATTTTTTGCCGGGAAAGTTGGGGATGGAGTCCCATTCTATTGCCCACCTAGGCTGGAGTGCAGTGGCATGATCATAGCTCACTGCAGCCTTGACCTCCTGGGCTTAAACAATCCTTCTACTTCAGCCTCCCAAGTAGCTAGGACTACAGACATGCACTACCACATCTGGCTAATTTTTAAATTCTTTGTAGTGATGCGATCTCACTATGTTTCCCAGGTTGATCTTGAGCGTTTGGGCTCAAGTGATCCTCCTGCCTCAGGCTCCCAAAGTGCTGGGATTATGGGCGTGAGCCACTGCTCCCAATTGGCATTGGGAATATTTCAGTAAGCTAATACTTGGAGAAATTTGTGGAAAATGGAGCAAATAGAAGTGCCACATTTTATATAGCATACTCAGGTTTACAAAGTACTTTTACGTGTGTAATCTTATTTATTCCTCACAATAACTCTGTAAGCAGCACATTTTCACTTAAGACAAAATTTCCTTTGAATTTTTATTTAGAAGAAAAACTTATATAAGTATTTATTTATTTATTTGGTGTACTTTGGTCTATACACATTGTTACTTTCCTAAATGGAATCTCCATTATTTGGCTAATGGAAATCATTTTTATTTTAGCACTAAGTTTCAGAATGAGATTAGGACAAAACAATGAAGACCCAAAGTTTAACCAACTTTAGCACCAATTACTTTTTAACTTTTATTAAGTCATTGTTCTTTATCTTATGCAATTACCTCTTCCTTTGAATGCTTAGAATTGATCACACATATGTAAGAATTTAGTAAATTGAAAAGGACATTTTTTAAAATTATACTTTAAGTTATGGGATACATGTGCAGAACGTGCAGGTTTGTTACATAGGTATACACGTGCCATGGTGGTTTGCTGCACCCATCAACCTGTCGTCTACATTAGGTATTTCTCCTAATGCTATCCCTCCCCCAGGCCTCCACACCCCAACAGGCCCCATTGTGTGATGTTCCCCACCCTGTGTCCATGTGTTCTCATTGTTCACCTCCCACTCATGAGTGAGAACATGTGGTGTTTGGTTTTCTATTCTTGTGTTATTTTGCTGAGAATGATGGATTCCAGCTTCATCCATGTCCCTGCAAAGGACATGAACTCATCCTTTTTTATGACTGCATAATATTCCATGGTGTATATGTGCCACATTTTCTTTATCCAGTCTATCATTGATGGGAATTTGGGTTGTTTCCAAGTCTTTACCATTGTGAACAGTGCTACCATAAACATATGTGTGCATGTGTCTTTATAGTAGAATGATTTATAATCCTTTGGGTATATACCCAGTAATGGGATTGCTGACTCAAATGGTATTTCTGGTTCTAGATCCTTGAGGAATCACCACGTCTTCCACAATGGTTGAACTAATTTACACTCCCACCAACAGTGTAAAAGCGCTCCTATTTCTCCACATCCTCTCTAGCATCTGTTGTTTCCTGACCTTTTAATGATCGCCATTCTAACTGGCGTGAGATGGTATCTCATTGTGGTTTTGATTTGCATTTCTGTAATGACCAGTGATGATGAGCTTTTTTTCATGTTTGCTGGCTGCATAAATGTCTTCTTTAGAGAAGTGTCTGTTCGTATCCTTTGCCCACTTTTTGATGTTTTTTTTTCTTGTAAATTTGTTTAAGTTCTTTGTAGATTCTGGATATTAGCCCTTTGTCAGATGGATAGATTGAAAAAATTTTCTCCCATTCTGTAAGTTGCCTGCTCACTCTGATGATAGTTTCTTTTGCTGTGCAGAACCTCTTTAGTTTAATTAGATCCCATTTGTCTACTTTGGTTTTTTTGCCATTGCTTTTAGTGTTTTAGTCATTAAGTCTTTGCCCATGCCTATGTCCTGAATGGTATTGCCTAGGTTTTCTTCTAGGGTTTTTTTTATGGTTTTAGGTCTTAGGTTTAAGCCTTTAATCCATCTTGAGTTAATTTTTGTATAAGGTGTAAGAAAGCGGCCCTTTCAGTTTTCTGCATATGTCTAGCCAGTTTTCCCAACACCATTTATGAAATAGGGAATCCTTTCCCCATTTCTTGTTTTTGTCAGATTTGTCAAAGATCAGATGGTTGTAGATGTGTGATGTTATTTCTGAGGCCTCTGTTCTGTTCCATTGGTCTATATATCTGTTTTGGCACCAGCACCATGCTGTTTTGGTTACTGTAGGCTTGTAGTATAGTTTGAAGTCAGGTAGCGTGATGCCTCCAGCTTTGTTCTTTTTGCTTACGAATGTCTTGGCTATACCAGCTCTTTTTTGTTTCCACATGAAATTTAAAGTAGTTTTTTCTAATTCTGTGAAGAAAGTCAATGGTAGCTTGATGGGGATAGCATTGAATCTATAAATTACTTTGGGCACTATGACCATTTTCACAATATTGATTCTTCCTATCCATGAGCATGGAATGTTTTTCCATTTGTTTTGGGTGGTATGGCCATTTTCATGATATTGATTCTTTCTATCCATGAGCATAGAATGTTTTTCCATTTGTTTGTGTCCTCTCTTATTACCCTGAGCAGTGGTTTCTAGTTCTCCTTGAAGAGGTCCTTCACATCCCTTGTAAGTCGGATTCCTAGGTATTTTATTCTCTTTGTAGCAATTGTGAATGGGAGTTCACTCATGATTTGGCTCTCTGTTTGTCTGTTATTGGTGTATAAGAATGCTTGTAATTTTTGCACATTGATTTTGTATCCTGAGACTTTGCTGAAGTTGTTTATCAGCTTAAGAAGATTTTGGGCTGAGATGATAGGGTTTTCTAAATAAACAATCATGTCACCTGCAAACAGAGACCATTTGACTTCCTCTCTCCCTATTTGAATACCTTTTATTTCTTTCTCTTGCCTGATTGCCCTGGCCAGAACTTCCAATACTATGTTGAATAGGAGTGGTTAGAGAGGGCATCCTTGTCTTGTGCCAGTTTTCAAACAGAATGCTTCTAGTTTTTGCCCGTTCAGTATGATATTGGCTCTGGGTTTGTCCTAAGTATCTCTTATTATTTTGAGATATGTTTGATTGATACCTAGTTTATTGAGAGTTTTTAGCATGAAGGGCTGCTGAATTTTGTTGAAGGCCTTTTCTGCATCTATTGAGAAAACATGTGGTTTTTGTTATTGGTTCTGTTTATGTGATGGATTACGTTTATTGATTTTCATATGTTGAACCAGCCTTGCATCGCAGGGATGAAGCCGACTTGACTGTGGTGGATAAACTTTTTGATGTGCTGCTGGATTTGGTTTGGCAGTATTTTATTGACGATATTCACATTGATGTTCAGCAGGGATATTGGCCTGAACTTTTCTTTTTTTGTTGTGTCTATGCCAGGCTTTGGTATCAGGATGATGCTGGTCTCATAAAATGAGGTAGGGAGGATTCCCTCTTTTTCTATTGTTTGAAATAGTTTCAGAAGGAATGGTACCAGCTCCTCTTTGTACCTCTGGTAGAATTTGGCTGTGAATCCCTCTGGTCCTGGACTTTTTTTTTTGGTTGGTAGGCTATTAATTGCTGCCTCAATTTCAGAATTTGTTATTGGTCTATTCAGGGATTCGACTTCTTCCTGGTTTAGTCTTGAGAGGACATATGTGCCAGGAATTTATCCATTTCTTCTAGATTTTCTAGTTTATTTTTGTAGAGGTGTTTATAGTATTTTCTCATGGTAGTTTGAATTTTTGTGGGATCAGGTTGATATCCCCTTTATAATTTTTTATTGCATCTATTTAATTCTTCTCTCTTTTCTTATTTATTAGTCTGGCTAGCAGTCTATTTTGTTGATCTTTAAAAAAAAACAGCTCCTGGATTCATTGATTTTTTGAAGGGTTTTTCGTGTCTCTATCTCCTTTAGTTCTGCTCTGACCTTAGTTATTTCTTGTCTTCTGCTAGCTTTTGAATTTGTTTGCTCTGGCTTCTCTAGTTCTTTTAATTGTGATGTTAGGATGTCGATTTTAGATCTTTCCTGCTTTCTCTTGTGGGCAGTTAGTGCTATAAATTTCCCTCTACACACTGCTTTAAATATGTCCCAGAGATTCTGGTATGTTGTGTCTTTGTTCTCACTGGTTTCAAAGAACATCTTTATTTCTGCCTTCATTTCGTTATTTACCCAGTAGTCATTCAGGAGCAGATTGTTCAGTTTCCATGTAGTTGTGAGGTTTTGAGTGAGTTTCTTAATCCCGAGTTCTAATTTGATTGCACTGTGGTCTGAGCGACTGTTTGTTATGATTTCCATTCTTTTGCATTTGCTGAGGAGTGTTTTACTTCCAATTATGTGGTCAGTTTTAGAATAATTGTGCTGTGGTGCTGAGAAGAATGTATATTCTGTTGATTTGGGGTGGAGAGTTCTGTAGAAGTCTATTAGGTCTGCTTGGTTCAGAGCTGAGTTCAAGCCCTGGATATTCTTCTTGATTTTCTGTCTTGTTGATCTGTCTAATATTGACAGTGGGGTATTAAAGTCTCCCACTATTATTGTGTGGGAGTCTAAGTCTCCTTGTAGCTCTCTAAGAACTTGCTTTAGAAATATGGGTGCTCCTGTATTGGGTGCATATATATTTAGAATATTTAGTGCTTCTTATTACATTGATCCCTTTACCATTATGTAATGGCCTTCGTTGTCTCTTTTGATCTTTGTTGGTTTAAAGTCTGTCTTATCAGAGACTAGGATTGCAACCCCTGTTTTTTTTTTGCTTTCCATTTCCTTGGTAAATATTCCTCCATGCTTTTATTTTGAGCCTGTGTGTGTCTTTGCATGTGAGATGGGCCTCCTGAATACAGCACATCGATGGGTCTTGACTATCCAATTTGCTAGTATGTGTCTTTTAATTGGGGCATTTAGTCCATTTACATTTAAGGTTAATATTGTTATGTGTGAATTTGATCCTGTCATTATGATGTTAGCTGGTTATTTTGCCCATTAGTTGATGGAGTTTCTTCATAATGTCAATGGTCTTTACAATTTGGTATGTTTTTGCAGTGGCTGGTACCGGTTGTTCCTTTCCATGTTTAGTGCTTCCTTCAGGAGCTCTTGTAAGGCAGGCCTGGTGGTGACAAAATCTCTCAGCATTTACTTTTCTGTAAAGGATTTTTTTCTCCTTCACTTATGAAACTTAGTTTCGCTGGATATGAAATTCTAGGTTGAAAATTCTTCTCTTTAAGAATGTTGAATATTGGCCCTTACTCTCTTCTGGCGTGTAGGGTGTCTGCCAAGAGATCTGCTGTTATCTGATGGGCTTCCCTTTATGGTTAACCTGACCTTTCTCTCTGGCTGCTGTTAACATTTTTTCCTTCATTTCAACCTTGGTGAATCTGACGATTATGTGTCTTGGGGTTGCTCTTCTCGAGGAGTATCTTTGTGGTGTTCTCTGTATTTCCTGAATTTGAATGTTGGCCTGTCTTGGTAGGTTGGGGAAGTTCTCCTGGATAATATCCTTTATAGTGTTTTCCAACTTGGTCCTATCCTCCTCATCACTTTCTGGTACACCAATCAAATGTAGGTTTGATCTTTTCACATAGCCCCATATTTCTTGGAGGCTTTATTCATTCCTTTTCATTCTTTTTTTCTCTAATCTTGTCTTCACACTCTATTTAATTAAGTTGATCTTCAATCTCTGATATCCTTTCTTCTGCTTGATCGATTTGGCTATTGATACTTGTGTATGCTTCATGAAGTTCTCATGCTGTGTTTTTCAGCTCCATCAGGTCATCTGTGTTCTTCTCTAAACTGGTTATTCTAGTTAGCAATTCATCTAACCTTTTTTCAAGGTTCTTAGGTTCCTTGCATTGGTTTAGAACATGCTCCTTTAGCTCAGAGGAGTTTGTTATTACCCACCTTCTGAAGCCTACTTTTGTCAATTCATCAAACTCATTCTCTGTTCAGTTTTGTTCCCTTGCTGGCAAGGAGTTGTGATCCTTTGGAAGAGAAGAGGTGTTGTGGTTTTTGGAATTTTCAGCCTTTTTGTGCTGGTTTCTCCCCATCTTCATGGATTTATCTACCTTTGGTCTTTGATGGTGGTGACCTTCAGATGAGGTTTTTGTATGGACGTCCTTTTTATTGATGTTGGTACCATTCCTTTCTGTTTGTTTGTTTTCCTTCTAATAGTCAGGCCCCTCTGCTGCAGGTCTGCTGGAGTTTGCTGGATGTCCACTCCAGACCCTGTCTGCCTATGTATCACCAGTGGAGGCTGCAGAACAGCAAAGATTGCTGCCCTTTCCTTTCTCTGGAAGCTTTGTCCCAGAGTGGCACCTGCCAGATGCCAGCCGGAGCTCTCCTGTATAAGGTGCCTGTCGACCCCTGCAGGGAGGTGTCTCCCAGTCAGGAGGCATGGGGTTCAGGGACCCACTGGAGGAGGCAGTCTGTCCCTTAGCAGAGCTCGAGCGCTGTGCTGGGAGATCCACTGTACTCTTCAGAGCTGGCAGGCAGGAACGTTTAAGTCTGCTGAAGTTGCACCCACAGCCACCTCTTCCCCCAGGTGCTCTGTCCCTGGGAGATGGGAGTTTTATCTGTAAGCCCCTGACTGGGACTGCTGCTTTTCTTTCAGAGATGCCCTGCCCAGAGAGGAAGAATCTATAGAGGCAGTCTGGCTATAGTGGCTTTGCCAAGCTGCGGTGGGCTTCGCCCAGTTCGAACTTCCTGGTGGCTTTGTTTATGCTGTGAGGGGAAAACCGCCTACTCAAGCCTCAGTAATGGTGGACGCCCCCCAGCCCCCCGCCTCCAAAAGCTCTAGTGTCCTAGGTTGACTTCAGACTGCTGTGCTGGCAGCAAGAATTTCAAGCCAGCAGATCTTAGCTTGCTGGGCTCCATGTGGGTGGGATCCACTGAGCTAGACCACTGGGCTCCCTGGCTTCAGCCCCCTATCCAGGGGAGGGAACGGTTCTGTGTCGCTGGCATTCCAGGTACCACTAGGGTATGAAAAGAAACTCCTGCAGCGAGCTTGGTGTCTGCCCAAACGGCCACCCAATTTTGTGCTTGCAATCCAGGGCCTTGGTGGTATAGGCACCCGAGGGAATCTCCTGGTCTGCAGGTTGCAAAGCACATGGGAAAAGTGTAGTATCTGGGCTGGAATGCACCGTTCCTCATAGCACAGTTCCTCATGTCTTCCCTTGGCTAGGGAAGGGAGTTCCCCAACCCCTTGGGCTTCCTGGGTGAGGTGACGCCCCACTCTGCTTCTGCTTGCTCTCTGCCGGCTGCACCCACTGTCTAACCAGCCCCAATGAGATGAGCTGGGTACCTCAGTTGTAAGTGCAGAAATTACCTGCCTTCTCTGTTGATCTTGCTGGGAGCTGCAGACTGGAGCTCTTCCTATTCGGCCATCTTCGAAAAGCACATTTTTGTTTCT
Source organism: Homo sapiens (assembly GCF_000001405.40). Classification (NCBI taxonomy): domain Eukaryota; kingdom Metazoa; phylum Chordata; class Mammalia; order Primates; family Hominidae; genus Homo; species Homo sapiens. Next base: position 65,379,622 of record NC_000008.11, on the reverse strand, counting down.
TTGCTTTCACTGGGTTGGGAATCTAATAAAACCTGTTCTATTAGGGAGGGCCCAGATGTCTGCTGTTTGGGCCTCAATCTTCCAAACATGTTTTAGAAAAAATGACTTAGGAAAAATTGGCTCTAGAAGTGGAAAACTATACCTCTAAATATCAATGTAAAATGCTTCTAAGATGGACAAATTTCATTATTGGGCTAATTTTGATGTCATCTTTGAGTTTGCCGTTTTAGCAACATCTCACTAGATTTATTTAAAAGACATTATAGGAATATGATGGAACTTTATGAAAGTTATTTATGGGAGACTAGTTTTCAGAAGCACTTTGTATTTGACCAAATTTCTTTCTTTCTTTCTTCTTTCTTTCTTTCTTTTCCTTTCTTTCTTTCTTTCTTTCTTTCTTTCTTTCTTTCTTTCTTTCTTTCTTTCTTTCTTTATCTTTCTTTCTTTCTATCTTTCTTTCTTTCTCTTTCTTTCTCTCTCTCTCTCTCTCTCTCTCTCTCTCTCTCTTTCTTTCTTTCTTTTTTTTTGAGACAGAGTCTCTCTCTGTCACCCAGGCTGGAGTGCAGTGGTGCGATCTCGGCTCACTGCAACCTCCCGCCTCCCGGATTCAAGCAATTCTCCTGCCTCAGCCTCCTGAATAGCTAGGATTACAGGCACCCGCCACCACGCCCAGCTCATTTTTGTATTTTTAGTAGAGACGGGGTTTCACCATGTTGGTCAGCCTGGTCTCGAACCCCTGACCTTGTGATCCACCCGCCTTGGCCTCCCAAAGTGCTGGGATTACAGGCGTGAGCCACCGCGCCTGGCCGTATTTTACCAAATTTCTAAGAGAGTGTGTACTCATAGTGTTTGCCATCTTATGTATCATATCTACATTATCCTGTTTGCATAACATATGTTAAAAAGAACTAATAGTTTACGAAAATATATAAAAGTCTTCTAGGGCCAATCATATTGCTTTCTTATAGTTTTGATTCAGTAGTATTTATTTATGATCCATATATTTAGAATGTTTACATAAACTCGTATTAACATTTTGGACAAAATAATACAAATAATAGTTATGTTTGCATAAGAAGCAGCAAGTAGGCTGCTGAAAATAGGTATGCTGAAAGTTGACCATTGTTTCTACTTGGCTTTTCTGCCCTGAAACAGAGTCTTGAAATCCTGGATAATACAAAAAAATCATACAATTTGCTTTGGATGTTTGATTATGGGAATATTGTTTCTACTGAGAGAGTGACACTTCTTTTTTTTGTTATTTAGTTTTTATTTCATAATCATAAACCTAACTCTACAATCCAGCTAGGCATGGAAGGGAACAAGGAAAACATGGAACCCCTTCCCTTGGCTAGAGCAGGGACTTCTCTCCCAAAGGGAAACCAAAGGGAACTGCAGCAAGAGCACAAAGATTATAGGCTACTGCGAGCAAATGGGGTGGAGGGGTGCTATCCTGAGTTACAGAGGGAATGGTCTGGTGGTTAAGATAAAACCCAAGTCAAACTTATTAGAGTTGTTCATAGTCAGCAATGGTGATCTTCTTGTTGGTCTTGCCATTCCTGGACCCAAAGTGCTCCATGGCCTCTACAATGCTCATGCTTTCTTTCACCTTGCCAAAGACCACATGCTTGCCATCCAACCACTCAGTCTTGGCAGTGCAGATGAAAAACTGGGAATGGTTTGTGTTGGGTCCAGCAATTGCCATGGCAAAATGCCAGGACCTGTATGCTTCAGGATGAAGTTGTCATCATCAAATTTTTCCCTGTAGACGGACTTGCCATCAGTGCCATTATGGCATGTGAAGTCACCACCCTGACACATACATCCTGGAATAATTTTGTGAAAGCAGGAAACCTTATAACCACATTCTTTCTCTCTAGTGCTCAGAGCATGAAGGTTTTTGGCTGACTTTGAAAACATGTCTGCAAACAGCTCCAAGGAGGCATGGCCCAAGGGCTCGCCATTGACGGCAATGTGGAAGAACATGGTGGGGTTGACCATGGCTGATAGTTTGGGGCTCCTGGTGGTGGCAGCAGCTGCTGCAAAGCCGAGAGTGACATTTTCAATCATGTTTTGGATTTGTAAATATAGAAACAATGTTCATAACATGGTGTGCTTGTTATTTAATAGTAGAGCCAATTAAATAGGTTTTGTTTTTAGTTGGGAGATAGTACGATAATCAGGGCTAGACAAAATTTTGACTTGAAGGAGAGACATCTGATGACAACGAAGGGGGCGCCATGGCCCAGGAACAAGTCCCTTCCTGTGCACGAGACTGTTTTTATTGGGTAGAAGCCATCCTTGGGATTTGCAAAAGAAACAATGGAAGGAAGGGAATAAGAGTAGGGGAGGAGCAGATGGGATTACTGAATTGAATTCCCGCTTGTATCTCCACAATTGAATTCCCAAACAGCGAAGGACCATTGCCCTGATATAATTCAAACTTCAGAATTAAAACTATTTGTTTAAAATGTCAAAAACCAGTGGTTCTCAACTGGAAGCAATTTTGCCAAAGTCTGAAGGCATTTTTGGTTGTCACAATGGAAGGGAGGTGCTATTGGCATCTAGATGTTAGAGGCCAGGGATGCTGCCAGACATCCAACGACACACAGGACACTTCCCTCTACAAATAACTATCCAGGCCAAAATGTCAGTAGTGCTGAAGTGAAGGGATCCTTCCTGAAATTAGCCATAGTCATATTTTTAGCAGGCACTATGGGTGTGACTATTGCTCTGTTCAAAGCACGTTGATATAGGAAGTGCTTATGGTAGATCATTTTTTCTTGTCATGTTTTTCTCCCTGTCTTCTTCCTGTAATGAGAGGCAGCCTGGTAGGGGAAAAGGCATCTATAAGCTTTAGAGCTGCTGGGTCTGTAATGTGATGATCAACAGGAACCTATTTCATGGGTAGGTGTGAGGATTAAATGTGATCATAGACATTAGGGCTACGGAGTAAGCACAAGTATTAGCTGTCATTTCATCAGTAGAGAATGTTGGAAAAGTTAGCCTCCATTTTTATTGGAATAAAATGAAGCTAGTGATAGCTTGTAGAGTTACAGTGAAGATTAAATATTAAGTGCTTAGCCAATTGTCTGGCACAAATAGGCCCTCAATGCATAATAGTTGCTATTGCTATTTATCTTCATTATTCACTTCCAAAAATATATCTATGACCACAGTCAAAGGAAGATATCACTGGAAGCAGTATGGAGAATAAGAACGTATAAAGTCAGTGAAACTGTGTAACTTTGAATAACTTGGACTCCAGTTTCCCAATTGAGCCAGTCTATAGTTCTTTTGAGTGTTACGTGAAATAGTAAATATGGAGCACAAATTTAGTTTTTAGAAAATGTTAGTTTCCCTTTCTGCCTAGCCAAAGGGCCTTCATTTATAGTTTCTGAACTAGAATATTGACTTAGCCTAGGATCCCTTGAAAGCAGAGCCTGAGATAAAAGGCTGGTGTGTGAATATTTTGAAATGTGACTCCAGGGAGCAGAAGTGAAGAAGAGGGAAAAAGGGAAAGCTGGAAGAGAAGGCGGTAGGGAGATGTCACTGCCCAAATGATGGTTTGGAATTTCTAGGAGCCTTAGGAAGGGGGTCTCAGAAATGTCTTCCCAGAGAAAAAAGGAGTGAGCATTCCTCCATCAGCCCTTGTTCCCACTGGCCAAGAGTGAGCCCAGTAGTCCAGTAGTTCTGGGTGCACATGCGTGAATGCCAAGTGGGTTCTCTTGGGCATGTCATGCTGTGGCATCAGGCAAGTCCCACTTAGGAAGGAAGAGTTCCATGCTGGATGCCTGAGGCTAGGTCCTGTCAGATCACATCTGAGCGAAGCTGATCAAAGCTGGGTAAAACTCTTCCCCTGGCGGAGGCTGGAGGAAGAGATGCAGCCAGGTGGGTTTGAAGTGCTGCCCGAGAGGTATCCAGTACAAGGATTTTTCAGGTTATCCCCCTGGTATATGTTGTCAAATTCATATGGAAAAAGTTCTGTGAAAATCCTCTGAAGCAATGCACCATACAAACAATTGTTATTTGAATTAGTAAAAAACAACAGCAAAATATACTTTAGGCAACAGTTAATATGACAGAGTGATATTTGTTTCATGTTTCATCTCATGATAATAGTTTAAAAAACATTACTTATATTGATGCTCAAGCTTCATATAACTGCCTGATTTGAGTTTTATAATACATTTTAACTTACAAGTTAATATGATAAATTGTATTTTCATTTGAGGCAACTCCTTGCTCTCTCAGTTTTTTTTTTTTTTTTCTCAAGAGACAGGGTCTTGCTGTATAGCCCAGGCTGGAGTGTAGTGGTGTGATCATAGCTCACTGCAGCCTTGACCTCCTGGGCTCCAGTGGGCCTTCTGAGGAGCTGGGACTATAGGTATGAGCCACCACACTCAGCTATTTTTTTTTAAAAAACTTCTCATCCACACAGGGTCTTGCTATGTTGCCCAGGCTGGTCTTGATCTCCTGGCTTCAAGCAATCCTCCTGCCTTGGCCTCCCAGGGTAATGGGATTACAGGTGTGAGCCACTGCATCTGATGTTTGTCAGTTTTGAAACAGTTTTCAAGTCAAAACAATACTGTTTTGACTTGCGATGAACACATTCTCTGTTGTTTTAAGGTACAGTCCTCAGTCTACCCCAATCTTGCCTGTGTCCCCATCACTCAATTGAAAAAGATAGCTCTTACAAAAGTAATCAATGTCTTCCACGTTACTAAATGCAATGAACACATCTCAGTCTTCATCTCATCTGGCTTTTTGCAACCAGAGACTATTGCTTCTTTTTCCTTCTTGGCACCCTGCTTTCCTGCTTTCTCCCCTACTTCTTGGGCCACACCTTTTAATTTTCTTTTGCAGGTCAATACTTATACTACTAGCCGTTAAATGTTGGAATTCCTCAAGACTCAGGCCCTTTTATTTTTTTTTATTCTACTTCCTTTTCTAATGATCGACATGCAAATGCCCCTCCAAATACCAACTATACACCGGTGTTTCATAAGGATTTTCAATCACTCTTTACTCAATATCTCCACTTAGATATCTCAATGGCACATTCAAACTCAAGACATCCAAAACCAAAGTAATGATATTCTCTTCTCCCCAAACGAAGTCCTCCTCAATTGTTTCCTCCCTTGAAAAATGGCGTCACACATATCTTGCCTTGGTTAAAGACCAGGTGTCATCCTCGACTGCTTCTTTACTTTTATACTTCAATTCATTGTCAGGTAAGATCAATTTTATTCCCTAATTCTCTTTTATATTTGTGCAATTCTCTTTACCCTGGTTCCAGATATTAGCAACTTTCCAGTGGATCTCTCTCCATGTCTACTTCAGCCTTCCTCTAATACTTGGCGTGTCTGCATCCTTTCTGGGCCCCTTCCTGTCCATTCTCCACATAGCTGCCAGAGCAATCTTTTCTTTTTTTTTTTTTTTATAATTTCAATTTTTACTGTAGATTCATGTGCAGGTTTGTTACATGGGTGTAATGTGTGACGTTGACGTTTGGAGTATGAATGATCCTGTCACCCACATAGTGAATATAATACCCAACGGTTAGTTTTTCAACCCTTGCCCCCCTCCCTCCCTCCTGCCCAGTAGTCCCAGTGTCTATTGTTTCCATCTTTGTGTCCATGAGTACCCAATGCTTACCACGTACCTATTACTGAGAACATGCATTTTCTGTTCCTGCATTAATTCACTTAGGATAATGGCATCCAGCTGTATCCATGTTGCTGCAAAGGACATAATTTTGTTATTTATTTATTTATTCAGCTGTGTAGTATTTCATGGTGTATATGTACACTTTCTTTATCCAGTCCACTGTTGTACATGTTCTTTATCTGGTCCATAGGTTAATTCCATGTCTTTGCTATTGTGAGCAGTGCTGTGATGAACATACAAGTGCCTGTGTCTTTTTGATAGAATGATTTATTTTCTTTTGGATACATTCCCAGTAATGGGATTGCTGGGTCGAATGATAGTTCTGTTTTAAGTTCTTTGAGAAATCTCCAAACTGCTTTTTAGTGGGGCTAAACTAATTTACATTTCCACCAACAGTGTATAAGTGTTCTCTTTTCTCTGCAGCCTCGCCAGCATCTGTTGTTGTTGTTGTTGTTTTGACTTTCAATAATAACAATTCTGACTGGTGTGAGATGGTATCTCCTTGTGGTTTTGATTTGCATTTCTCTGAAGATTAGTGATATTGAGCATTTTTCCACATTTGTGGGCTGGTGGGCTGTCTGTATATCTTCTTTTGAGAGGTGTCTGTTCATGACTTTTGCCCACTTTTTAGTGGGGTTGTTTTTGCTTATTGAATTAAGTTTCTTATAGATGCTGAATATCAAATCTTTGTCAGATGCGTAGTTGGAAATATTTTTTCCCATTCTTTAGGTTGTCTGTTTACTCTATTGATATTTTACTTTTCTGTGCAGAAGCTCTTTCATTTAATTAGGTAGGTCCTACTTGTCAATTTTTATTTTTATTTTTATTTTTAGTTTTTGAGACAAGGTCTTGCTTTGTCACTCAGGCTGGAATGCAGTGGTGTAATCATAGCTCACTGCAGCCTTGACGTCCTGGGCTCAGGCAGTCCTCCCACCTCAGCCTCCCAAGGAGCTGGGACTACAATTGTGCACCACCACGCCAGCTAATTTTTAAAATTTTTTGTAGAGATGTGGTCTCACTATGTTGTCCAGGCTGGTGTCAAACTCTTGGACTCAAGTGATCCTCTTGCTTTGGCCTCCCAAAGTGCTGGATTACAGCATGAGCCACATACCCAGCCTGCAATTGCTTTTGAGGACTTAGTCATAAATTCTTTCCCAAGGCTGATGTGTCTCCTAGGTTTTCTTCTAGGATTATTATAGTTTGAGTTCTTATATTTAAATCTGTAATCCATCTTGAGTTAATTTTTATATATGATAAAAGGTATGGTTCCAGTTCCATTCTTCTGCATATGGCTAGCCAGCTATCCCAGAACCATTTATTGAATAGGAGTCCTTTCCCCATTGCTTATTTTTGTCGACTTTGTAGAAGATAGGTTGGCTGTAGGTGTACGGCTTTATTTCTGGGTTGTCTATTCGGCTCCATTGGTCTCTGTGTCTGCTTTTGTACCAGTACCATTGCTGTTTTGCTTACTGTAGCCTTATAGCATAGTTTGAAGTCTGGTAATGTTACACCTCTGGCTTTGTTCTTTTTGCTTAGTATTGCTTTGGCTATTTGGGCTTTTTTTTTTTTTTTTCGTTTCATATAAACTTTAGAATAGTTTTTTTTCTAGTTCTGTGAAAAATGATATTGGTAGTTTGATAGAAATAACGTTGAATTTGTAGATTGCTTTGGGTGATATGGCCATTTTAATGATATTGACTCTTTCAATCCTTGAGCATGGAATGTTTTTCCTTTGTGTCATCTTTGATTTCTTTCATCAGTGTTTTGTAGTTCTTCTTGTAGAGGTCATCACCTTCATAGTTAGATGTGTTTCTAGGTATTTTTATTTTTTTATGTGGCTATTGTAAATGGGATTGCATTCTTAATTTGCCTCTTGGCTTGAATGTTATTGGTGTGTAGAAATGCTACTTATTTCTGTATATTGCTTTTGTATCCTAAAACTTTATTGGAGTCATTTATGAGTTCCAGGAGCCTTTTGGCAGAGTCTTTAGGGTTTCCTAGGTGTTGAATCATATTGTGCATGACTAGAGACAGTTTGACTTCTTCTTTTCCTATTTGCATGCCTTTTATTTCTTTCTCTTGCCTGATTCCTCTGGCAAGGACTTCTAGCACAATGTTGAATAGGAATGATGAGAGTGGCATCCTTGTTTTGTTCCAGTTCTCAAGGGGAAATGCTTCCAGCTTTTGCTCATTCAGCATGATATTGGCTGTGGGTTTGTCATAGATGGCTCTTATTATTTTGAGGTATGTTCCTTCAATACCTACTTGTTGAGGGTTTTATCATGAAGAGATGTTGAATTTTATCAAAAGCTTTTTTTGGTTATCTATTAAGGTGATCATATGGTTTTTGTTTTTAATTCTCTTTATGTGGTGAATCACATTTATTGATTTGTGTATGTTGAACCAACCTTGCATCCTAGGAATGAAGCCTACTTGATTGTAGTGAATTAACTTTTTCATGTGCTGCTGGATTCTGTTTGTTCGTATCTTATTGAGGATTTTTGCATCTATGCTCATGAGGGACATTGGCCTGTTGTTTTCTTTGTTTGTTGTGTCTTTGCCAAGTTTTGGTACAGGGTGATGCTGGCTTCGTAGAATGAGTTAGGAAAGTGTACCTCCTCCTTGATTTTTTTGAACAATTTCTGTAGAATTGGTATCAGCTCTTCTTTGTACATGTGGTAGAATTTGGCTATGATTCTGTCAGGTTTGGGGCTGGTTTTGGTTGATAGATTTTTTTATTATTGATTTAATTTTGGAACTTGATATTGGTCTGTTCAGGGTTTCAATTTCTTCCTGATTCCACCATGAGAGATTGCGTGTTTCCAGGAATTTATTCATTTCCTCTAGATTTTCTAGTTTGTGGGTATAGAGAAGTTCATAACAGTCTCTGAGGATTTTCTGTATTTCTGTGGGATTGCTTATAATGTCACCTTTGTTGTTCCTGATTGTGTGTATTTGGAGCTTCTGCTTTTTTCTTTGTTAATCTAACTAGTGGTCTATCAATCCAGTTTATCCTTTTAAAGAATCAACTTTTGGTTTTATTGATCTTATGTGTGGATTTTGGGATCTCAATTTCCCCTAGTTCTGCTCTGAGTTATTTCTTTGCTTTTGCTAGCTTTGGGGTTAGTTTGTTCTTGTTTTCCTAGTTCCTGAAGGTGTGATGTTAAATTGTTAATTCAAGATCTTTTTAACTTTTTGAGTTAGGTGTTTAGTGCTATAAACTTTCTTCTTAACATTGCTCCTGCTGCATCCCAGAGATTTTGGTATTTTGTCTCTGTTTTCATTTATTTCAAAGAATTTTTGATTTCTGTGTTAATTTCATTTTTGTTTTTGTTGAGACAGGGTCTTATTCTGTCACCCAGGCTAGAGTGCCGTGGCACAATCATGGCACACTGCAGTCTTGATTTCTCAGGCTCAAGCAAGCCTCCTACCTCTTAGACCCCCATGGAGCTGGGAATACAGGCACGTACCAACATGCCTGGCTAATTTTTGTATTTTTTTGTAAAGACAGGATTTTGCCATAGTGCCCAGGCTTGTCTCAAACTCCTGGGTTCAAGCAATCTATCTGCCTCGGCCTTCCAAAGTGCTGGGATTATAGGCATGAGCCACTATGCTTGGTCAATTTGGTTATTTACCCAAAAGTCATTCAGGAGCAAATTGTTTAATTTCCATGTAATTGTGTGGTTTTGGGAAATCTTTGTGGTATTGATTTCTATTTTTATTCCACTGTGGTCTGAGAGTAAGGCTGGCATGATTTCATTTTTTTGAATTTATTGAGAATTGCTTTATGGCCAAACATGTGTTTGACCTTGGAGTATGTTCTGGTGGCAAATAAGAAGAATGTATATTTTGTGGTTGATGGGTGGAGTGTTCTGTAGATATCTATTAGGTCCAATTGTTAAGTGTCAAATTGAAGTCCAGAGTTTCTTTGTTAGTTTTCTGCCTCAATGATCTGTCTAATGCTGTCAGTGGGGTATTGAAGACCCCCACTATTATTGTGTGATTGTCTAAGTCTTTTCATAGGTCTAGACATAGTTGTTTTATGAATATGGGTGCTCCAATGTTGGGTGAGTGTGTATTTAGGAAAATTAAGTCTTCTGGTTGAATTGAACTCTTTATCATTATGTAATGCCCTTCTTTGCCATTTTTTTTTTACTGGTTTAAAGTATGTTTAAGTATGGTTTATTTGATATAAGAATAGTGACTCTTACTGTTTTTTGTTTTCCATTTGTGTGATAGCTTTTTCTCCAAACTTTTACTTTCAGCCTATGAGTGTCATTACATATGAGATGAGTCTCTTGAAGACAGTAGATGGAAGGGTCTTTTTGTTTTTTTAAATCAAACTTGCATTTTTGTGATGGATTTAGACTGTTTACATTCAAGGTTAATATCGATATGTGAGATTTTGATCCTGTCATGAAGTTGTTAGATGGTTGCTTTGTAGTTTCTGTTGTATGCTTGCTTTATGGGGTCTGTGGGCTATCCACTTGAGTGTGTTGTTTTTGTGATAGCAGGTATCATTCTTTTGTTTCCTTGTTTAGAACTCCCTTAATGATCTCTCGTAAGGCTGGTCTAGTGGTAATGAATTCCCTTAGCACTTGTTTGTTTGGAAAAGATTTTATTTCTCTATCTCTTAGGAAACTTAATTTGGTGGGATGTGAAATTATTGGTTGGAATTTCTTTTCTTTAAGAATGATGAAAATAAACCCCTAATCTCTCCCAGCTTTTAAGGTTTCTGCTGAGAAGTCCACTGTTAGCCTGATGCAGTTCTCTTTATTTATGATCTTACCTTTTTCTCTAGCTACCTTTAAGTTTTTTTTTTTTTTTTTTTTTTTGCATTGACTTTGGACAGTCCGGTGAATATCTGCGTTGGTGATGTTCATTTTCTATAGTATCTCACAGATGTTCTCTGTATTTCTTTATTTTATTTTATTTATTTATTTTTATTATACTTTAAGTTCTAGGGTACATGTGCACAATGTGCAGGTTTGTTACATATGTAAACATGTGCCATGTTGGTGTGCTGCACCCATTAACTCTTCATTTACATTAGGTATTTCTCCTAATGCTGTCCCTCCCCCCTCCCTGTTCTCTGGATTTCTTATATATAGATGTCTACCTTCCTTGCAAGATTAAGGATTTTTTAAAAAAAATTATTCCCTCAAGTATGTCTTCCAGGTTGTTGCCTTTTTCTTCTGCTGTCTCAGAAATGCCAACAACTCATTGGTTTTGTTGCTTTACATAATCTCATACTTAACAAATACTTTGTTTATTTTTTAAAATTAATTTTTCTTTTTTTTTTGTCTGACTGGGTTTATTTAAAAGAATGGTCTTCAAGCTCTGAAATGTTTTTCTTCTGCTTAGTCCAGTTTATTGATAAAGCTTTCAATTGTGTTTTGAAATTCTTTAAGTGAGCTTTTAAATTCCGGGTCTGATTGATTTCTTTTTAAGATGTTTATCTCTTCCTTCATTTCCTAAATTACTTTAGAAGTATATTTTTGTTGATTTTTAACCTTGTCTTGGATCTCATTGAGCTTCCTTGCAGTCTATGCTTTAAATTCTTTATCTGTCATTTCTGAATTTCCATTTTGGTTAGGGACTATTGCTGCAGAGCTAATGTAATCCCTTGGTGGTGTCACTACATTCAGATTTTTCATGGTGCCAGCATTTTTGCACTGTTTTCTTCTCATCTGATGTTGACACTTGTAGTTTTTTTGTAATTATTTTTGTGTGGGTAGGATTTTTTCCTTTTTTCTTTCCTTGTGGTATTACTGTTTTTTTTCTTTCCCCTTTTCTTTCCTCACTCTCTAAGGGGTGCGACTGTAGAGAATGTTGGATAGGGTCTTCAGGCTTTGCTTCTATAGCCCTATATACTTCTTTTAGAAGGTTTTAAAAAACAATTGGGTTCTGTGGTTCAACCTCCAAGCCAGTAGATGGCGTGTATGGGTAAGATTCATCTGTGGCCAATGTAGCTAAGTGTATATTTGACCCTTGTTTACTGGGAGAAGCTCTCTGTTGCCTCAGACAGTGCACTGATCTGTAGAGTGCATGGTAGTCTGATCTCCCTGCTAAGCTCAGTGGAGGTGGGCGGCAAGATGGGTATGGCCAGACCAGGCAAGCCCACCTATAGTTCCCGATGGTCGGCACAAGCACCAGTGCTGAGGGACAATCCAGTGGGTGGTCACCAAGTGCCCAGATGTGTTTAGTTGCTTAACATAATCTCATACTGCATGGAGTTGGGAAACCTCCTTGGCCCCAAGTTCTCTGCATGGGTAGGGGCGGTAGCCTAAACTCCTAATTCAGGAGAGTGGGTGCTCTAGGTGCCTGTAGATCAGCCTGGGCATGGAGTGTAGAGGGCCCCACTGCACCACAATCTCTGCACAGGAATGGTGGAGCAGCTGTGATTGGTAATCCAGAGGAATGGGTGCTCTGACTGCCTGGAGATCTGCTTGGGCAAGAGGTGGAGGGGGTCCCACTTCACCAAAATTCCTGCATGGGAAGGGTGGGCTGGCTCGGGCTGCTGATTCAGGTGAGTAGTTTCTTTGAATGCTTGGCTATCTTCCTGTGCATGGAGTAAAGAGAGTCCAACTTTGCCAGAATCTCTGCACAGGAAGGGTGGGGTGGCTCAGGCTGCTGTTCCAGTCAAGTAGGAGCTCTGAATGCCTGAAGATCTGCCTGGCTGTGAAGCAGAGAAGGCCCTGCTGCTCCAGAATCTTTGCATAGGAAGGACAGGGCAGCTCAGGCTACCAATCTAGGTGAGCAGGTGTTTTGAATGTCTGGAATTCTGACTGGGGGTGAAGTAGAGAGGGTCTGCTGCACCACAATATTAGGGGAGCAGGCTGGGGAATCCAGCAATGGCACATTTAGACCAGTTACAGGTCACCAAGCTGGCCCTGGCTGCAAGTCTCACCACCCAGGAGAAACTGCAGCTGTAGTAGCTCTCCCCCGGCCCCAGGCCTGCAATAGGGATAGCACAATTCCAGTGCCTACTAGTGAAGTGCTTTCCACCTTTCTGGCTGTGGAGGCCCCTACCTCACTCCAGAGCAACCTCTCTAACCTGTGGCCTGAGACAAAAAAAAAGCCTACCCAGGCACGCTGCTGGGTTGCCAAAGAATGGCCGACTTTGTATGCACCTGGAATAAAAATGGTGTCCTGCTCTTGGTCCCGGGTGTCAGAAAATTCCTGCAGGTTTTCCTGGTGTCTTTCCCTCTCAGTGCCTCCAAGCCTCTCCCCAAGTTAGCTCCAGGGATTGAGATAAACAAAGGGCTCTCCTTTAGCCTGGGTTATTTGGATCCCCAGTAGAAAGGTGAATCACAGAGAAAGGCTCTCTGCCTCTCTTGCATACTAGGGACTACCTCACTTTTATCAGCTGGATGCCATCACAGGAGCTGCTTGCCTGCGTTTTCCTCACCAGGATCTGGGGTTTCGTTCATGATTCTGGTGGATTCCTGTTTTCCCTATTGAATTAAAGCTCAGAGAGTTAATCTTTATGCACTGTCTTGCTATTTCCAAGTGGCTAAAGCATGCTAAAAGCCTCTAACCCACCATCTTAAAAAAAACCAAAAAACAAAAAAACAAGAACAATCTGATAATCTCACGAATCTGATAATGTTGCTGGTCTGGTTTGTGGGGTACACCTAGGTGTTGTTAAAGGAATGCCTGAGTATGTTTCCTTCTCAGTCTATCATTTTGTTATATTATTAACAGTTTCACTAATAGCACTAATTAAGTAAGCCAATAGTCTCATTCGTTTAAAAACCAACTTTATTAAGATGGAATTTATATATAATAAAATATAAATTTTAAGTTACAGTTTGATGAGATTGAACAAATGAATACACATTTGTAGCTACAACCCTAATCAACACTTAGGACATTTCCAACATAGCAAGAGTCCCCTGCTGCTCTTTGCAGTCATTGCCCTCTTAGTACCATTCTTAGGTAAACACTCTTCTGATTTCTACCATCACACAGAATTATACAAGATGCACTCGTCTGTGTCATTTTCTTTCTCTCCATATTGGGTCTGTGAAATGCATCCACATTGTCTGAGTGTATTACCAGATTCACTTTTTATTGCTGAGTAGTATTCCTTTGTATAAAGACACTGAAATATGTTCCTTTATTCACCTGTTGATGGACATTTGGGTTTCCAAATTTGGCTTTTATGTCAATATACTATGAGTATTTTTTATCTAAGTAATTCTGTGGATATATATTTTTATTTTTCTTGGATAAATACCTAGTACAATAAATTCTTACTTAACATTGTCGATAGGTTCAACCTATGACAAAACTAAATTATTTTCTCATTAATGTTATAAGTAAATGATGTTGACTTGCTATACATCGTTTTGCTTAAAGTCACAGTTTCCAAGAATCTATCATTGATATTAAGTGAGCACTTATTATAAATGATTTGCTGGGACATACGGTAGGTGTATGTTTAATGTCATAACAAATTGCCAAACTGTTTTATAAAATGGTTGTACCCTTTTGACATTCCTACTAAAATGTAGAAAATCCCAACTATTCTACCTACATCTTTTCAACACTTGGTATTTTCAATTTTTGATGAAGTCTAATTAACTGTTTTTTTTTCTTCTAAGAAATCTTTGCTTACCCCAGGTCAAAAAGATATTCTTTCTTTTTTTTTTTAAATAAGTTTTAGAGTTTTATTTGTATGTTTAGGCCTATGATTCATTTTGGATTAATTTGTATGATCATGTGAGATAAGAATTGAGATGAATTAAAAAAAATTTCTCACATGCATGGTTCTAACACCATTTGTTACAAAAGAACACCTGATCATTTTTCCATTGAATTACATTGATGTCTATAAAAATCAATTGGTCATGTATGTGTGAATCTACTGGTAGACACTGTATTGTTTTGTTATCAATTTACCTATATTTACACCAATACCACATTGTCTTGATTACTATAAATTTATAGTAAGCATTGAAATCAGGTAGTTTCAGTTTTTTAAAACCGTTCTTGTTTTTCAAAATTATTCTGGCTACTCTTGGTAATTTTCATTTCCATATAGTTTTTAAAATCAGCTCTCTAATTAAAAAAAAAGCCTGCTCAGATTTTATTTGGACTGTGTTGAATCTATAGAACAGCTTAGGGAGGAATTATATTTTAATAATATTCACTCTTCCAATCATGAACTATTATATCTTTCAATTTAATTAACTTTTATCATATTTTTTTAATGACGGTTTTGTCTTAATAAACACATTTAAAATAATAAATTCCCTCTAAACATTGCTTTTGTTGTATCCTACAAATTTTGATATGTTGTGTTTTCATTATTATTCAATTGAAAATATTTTCTAATTCCTCTTGTCATTTTTCTTTGGATCCTGGGTTGTTTTGAAGTACATTGTTTGATTTCCATTTTTGGGGAAGAATTTTTAGATTCCTATTGTTACAATTTTAAAATTTAATTTTGTTTATTTCAAGAACATACTCTGTAGTATTTCAACTTTTTGAAATTTATTGAGACTTATTTTAGGGCTCAGCATATATTCTATTCAATGAATATTCCATGTGCATTTGGGAAGAATGTGAATTCTGAACATTGCTGAGTATTAGGTCAAATTGATTGATAGTAGTGTTCAGATCTTCTGTAAACTTATTATTCGTTTAGTTATTCTAACAATTACTGAGAGAGTAATGATAAAATATTTAATCGTGGTTGTGCATTTGTCTTTTTCCTTTTAGTTTTGTAAATATTTGCTCTATATATTTTAGTGTTGTAAATATTTGCTATACATTTAGGATTGTAATGTCCTTTGAAGAATTGACCCTTTTTAAAAATTATGAAATACCCCTACTTGTTTGTGAATACACTTACTGTTTCAAAGTCCACTATGACATTAATCTAGCCACATCAGCTTGTTGCTTGCATTGTCACTTTCTGTGTTTTAGAACTCTCTGCCTATTTGTTTACTTTATACCAAAGTATGTTCCTTGTGTATGATATATAGTTAGGTATTGTTGTTTAGCTACTCTGAGTCTTTTCCTCCTAATTGGAGAGTTTAATCCATTTACACTGAATGTACTTATTGATATAGTTCATGTCTGTTATCTTGCTATGTGTTTTCTCTATTTGTCCCATCTTTTTCTGGTTCCTCCGTTTCTTCTTTCCTCTCTTTTCTTGGGTCATCACGTGTTTTTTAGCATTCAGTTTTATTTTTACATTGTATATTGGCATTTTAGATAATTTCTTTATTTTTGATTTAATTTATTTTTATTATTTATTTATTAAAAATTTTTCGGCCAGGCGCGGTGGCTCACACCTGTAATCCCAGCACTCTGGGAAGCCGAGGCAGGCGGATCACGAGGTCAGGAGATGGAGACCATCCTGGCTAACACAGTGAAACCCTGTCTCTACTAAAAAAAAAAAAATACAAAAAATTAGCCGAGCGTAGTGGCGGGCTCCTGTAGTCCCAGCTACTCGGGAGGCTGAGGCAGGAGAATGGCATGAACCTGGAAGGTGGAGCTTGCAGTGAGCCGAGATCATGCCACTGCACTCCAGCCTGGGTGACAAAGCAAGACTCCATCTCAAAAAAAAGATAAAAAAAATTTTAGTTGTATTAAGGTATAATTTACAAATAAAAATTATGGTGCACAATGTGATGTTTGGATGTATGTATACATTGTGAAATGATTATATCAAGTTAATTAACATATCTATCACCTCACATCACCTTACTTTTTTGTGGTGAGAACATTTAAGAACTAATCTCTTAGCAATGTTCAAGAATCCAATACATTATTACTAAATATAGCCACTGTGCTATACAATATATCTCCAGAACTAATTCATCCTATCTAATTGAGACTTCATATCCTTTAACCAATATCTCCCTATTCTGAGCCCCTCCCTGTCTTCGACCCTGGGAACCACCATTCTATTTTCTGCTTCTATGAGTTCAACTTTTTAGGATTCTATGTATATAAGTAAGATCATGCAATATTTGTCTTTCTGTGGCTGTCTTCTTTCACTCATCATAATGTCCTCCAGGTTTATCTATGTTGCGGCAAATGGCAGGATTTCCTTCTTTTCTAAGGGTGAATAATATTCCATTGTGTGTGTGTGTGTGTGTGTGTGTGTATATATATATATATATATATATAAAAAACGTTTTCTTTATTCATTCATCTGTCAGAGAAAATTGATTCCATATCTTGGCTATTGTGAATAATGCTATGATGAATATGGGAGTGCAGTTATCTCTTCAACATATTGATTTCATTCACTTTGGATATACACCCAGAAGCAAGATTTCCGGATCATATGGTAGTTTTATTTTTAATTTTTTGAGGAACCTCCATGCTGTTTCCATAATGGCTATACTATTTTTAGCTAATTTATTGATTGATTGATTGGCATCTGCTCTAGGAATCACAGTATGCATACTTCACTTACCACAGTTTACTTAGAATTAGTAGTCAGTCACTTCATATAAAATGTGAGAACCTTTAACATTATAAACCCACTTGTGCCGCCTCTATCTTTTGTGCTGTTGTTGCTAGATATTTTGCTTTTCATATGTTTTAAGTCCCCATGTCATTATGTTATTATTTTGTTTTATACAGTATGTTATCCTTTAAGAAAATTTTATAAAGAAAAAAAGTAGGTCTTTATGTTTACCCACATATGCAGTACATCTTATGCATTCATATATATTCAAGTTTCCATCTGGTATCATTTTTCTTGAACCTGAAGATTAAAAAAATTTTGTTTGTTTGGTTGCTTTTCTAGAGCTTCCTATAATGCAGGTCTACTGCTAAAACATTTTCCTGGCTTTTGTTTATCTGAAAATGTCTTTGTTTTATCATAATGTTTGAAGAATTTTCACTGGACATAGAATTCTAAATTGAGCATTGCTTTATTTGAGCATTTTAAAGATATTCTTCCATTGCTGCTGGCCTCCATTGATTTTGTTAAGTTAGACATTATTATCATTGCTGTCACCTCATATGTGATATGTTATTTTTCTTTTTATCTTTGTTTTTAAGTAGTTTGATTAGCACTTGTTTTCTTTGTATTTATCTTGCTTGAGGTTAATTGAACTTCTTGAATCTTTGGTTAATTTTTTTATCAAATTACAAAACCTAGTGGCTTAAAACAATAACACTTATTAGCTCGGAATTTCTGCAAGTTGGGAGTCTAAGTGTGGTTTAGCTATGGTCGTCTGGGTTTGGTTTCTCATAAGGCAGCACAAATCTCAAGGTTCAACAGGGAAGGATCTGCTTCCTAGCTCACTTGTGTGGTTGTCAGTGGGATTCAGTCCCTTGTGTATTGTTGGACTAAGGCTTCAACTCCTTATGAGCTGTTGGCCAGAGACTTGCTTGGTTCCTTGCTCTATGGGTCTCTCCATAGAGTATCTTACAATATAGAATCATGCTTCATCAGAGTAAGCAAGGAAGAGGACAAGAGAGAGTTCAGCAGGAGAGAATACAAACAAGATGGAAGTCATAGTCTTTTGCCACATAATCACACAAGTGACATTCCATCTGCAGTAGGCAGAACAATTCTACTCCCCTCCCCTCCCCCACTCAAGATGTCCACATTCTGATCCTGAGGACCTGTAAATATGTTATGTTACATGGCAAGGGGGATTAAAGTTTGCAGATGGAATTAAGGTTGCTTATCAGCTGACTTTAAAATAAAGAGATTATGCTGGTTTATCTGGGTCAGCACAATGTAATCACAAGGGTCCTTTAAATGCAAAAGAGGGAAGCAGAAGAGTCAGTGTCAGATTGATTAGATATAAGACTTGACTGGCAAAATTGCTAGCTTTGAAGATGGAAGGAGGCCATGAATCAAGTAATGGAGGCAGCCTCCAGAAGCTGGAAGAGGCAAGGACACAGACTGTCTCTGAGAGCCCCAGAAAGGAATGCAGCTTCACCAACGCCTTGACTTTAGCCTAGTGAGAACTATTTTGGACTTCTGACCTCCAGAATTGTAAGATAACAAATTGGTATTGCTTTAAGACACCGTGGTAATTTGTTACATCAGCAATAGGATATCAGTAATTTGTTATATATATCAGTATCAGTAAATATATCAGCAATTTGTTATATCAGTAATATACAACAACTTTTGATACATTTAGTTCACTAGAAGCAAGTATCTAGGTTCAGTCCATACTCAAGGGGAGGGGATTATATAAAGGAGTAAATACCAATAAGTGGGGGGGGATCATTGGGAGCCATTTTGAGGGTTGTGTAGCACAATTACTAAGTTATGCAATGTAATTATGAGACCTTAGAGGTACTTAAGATGCTATTTTGTTATATATAAAATTGAACTATGCCTATTACTGAATTGGTTAGATATCTTTCTTTTCCATTAATAAAAGAATGAGCCTTCCTGGGGCCTTTTGGATAAAGATGTTTAACAAATGAATATCTTCGAAGAATTCTGAAATTTTGAATCACATTCAAGATACATTTACTATTGTTTATATAATTTTCCATTCTTTCATTCAGCGAATTAAATCTTTTGCTATCAGCTGAATGTTTATGTCCTCCCAACATTTATTTGCTGAATCTCTGACCCCCAATGTGACAGTATGTAGAGATAGGGCCTATGAGGAGGTGATAAAAGTTAAATGAGGCCCTCATTTAGGGCCAGAAACTGAATTGGCTGAAACTTTGATCCTGGCTTTTCAATCCTCCATAACTGTGAGAAATAAATTTCTGTTGTTTAAGCAACCCAAAACTATGGCATTTTGTTATAGCAGCCTGAGCAGTCTAATATACCCTTACTTTGTGCCAGGACTGTGGCTAGGCACTAGGAAGTATAGCAGCAAGGAGATATAGTCCCTGTTCATAGACAGCTCACAGTCTAGTAGAGGTAATAAATAAAGGAAATTATAATGTAGCAGGTTATATGGTATGATGGGGGAAATATGGGAAGGACATGGAGGACTAAAGGACATTTAGTCATGGAGAGCTGGGGAATTGTGAGAAATAGTACAGAAAATGGGCTTTTTGAAAAGTGGAAAGATGGGAGAAAAGATATTATTAGGTGATAATTACTAATATTAATTTAGTTTTCAAATGATTATATAGCTTTTTTGATGCTAAGTTTAACTCAAGATCAGGAAAACCATATATATATATATATATACACACACATACATGTATATATGGAGCTCTTATATATGTGCATGCCTGTGTGTGTGTGTGTGTGTGTGTGTGTGTGTGTGTGCGTGCGTGTATGCATACATATAATTATATAAATATTCCCTCAAAAGGGAAACACAGTGATTTTAGTGTTAGCTCTTTTGGAATGCTTATGCAAGCACCAGGAGGCCTCTCAATCACTGAGCTTTTCACATTAGGTGATACCCTACACTACCTGGACAATGTTGTAGTAGTTTTATGCTTCTGATAGGGAATCTTGAGGCTAAGAGAAATTACATTGAAATGCGTTGTTTCTGTGTATGCCCTGTGTGATCTTATGCTTCTGAGAAGGTTTGGTAGGCTTTGCTCATTGAAACAGGAACTTGATGTAACCAGTAAGTATGTGGATATTTAGAGCATGTGAGGTCTTCCTCACTATCTGCAAGCCATCTGAAATGCTACAGGTGTCAGAAGTAAAACCAGTAACCCTGATATTGGCAGTAGAAATGCAATTGGCATGAAGTTACCACTGCAGCCACAGTTAGAGTTTAGAAAGGGTGTTGAGACACCAAATGTGGGACTGGTGAACTGAAGATGGCTGGATGGTTATCCAATAACTGAGGCATGAGTCTGAAGAGTATTTGAAAGGCTACTCTGAGAGAATCAAATTAGTGGAATTTGTCTCCTGTTTCCATACCTCTGATTGGTTGAGCTCAAAGGGGTACTAAAGAGGACACAACCAAGGGCAAGGTGGCTCAAGTTGGTTTTCTGTTTTCTCCTAATGACATAGCCAAGGTGACAGGAATGACTGAGAATACCGAAAATCTATTGAAAATTCAAAAGAATGAGGTGGGCCTGGAAGACCTCCTCTATGCACTATTAAAAACTGGTAGTCACAAGAATATAGGCAGAAATTATCAAGGTTTAAAGCGAGTGGAGGACAGAGGACAGAGCTCTTAAATGTATTACTTCTCATTCCTAACCCTACCTCTACAATTGGCTAAGAAACAAGAGGAGCTGTAAAACAAAGAGAAATAAATTAATGCCAAGTTAGTATAGGTTCTTCTTACCTTCCTTGAAAAAAAGGCCAAAGAGGAGAAGACTGGTTCCAATGTAAAGTTTCTATACAGTAGCAACTCTGTTTTAAGATATTTGCTAAATCTCTCTCCGTGAACTCTAATCTTAGCCTATATGATTTGGAAAAATAGGCTCAGTACCAATGGAATAAAATTAGTTTTAGTGGTTTCAGAATTTACTTAAATGTGACAAGAACTGTTCACTGGTAAAAGAGTAAGCATTTTGTTTCAAACTTATGCTTGAAACAAGTGTGCATATGTGACTTGATCAGGAAGCATTTGGAAATTTGGACTGAGAATATCCATGTTTTCCAAGTACATTTAATTGAAATTGTATTAAAGTAATTCAACTATAGCATCAACATAGTACTAAGTGATTAACTTCTTTGTTCTGGACATTATTTTGTTTAGGAAAGAAGATGATCTTTCAGTACTGGAGCTAAAGGAGATACAGTAAATTGAAAAGAAACACTAAGGCACCAGAGATTGAGCATAGCGTGGAAAAGCTTTACTGCAAAGTAAGAAACCTCTTCCAGCACAAAGTCTAGGCTCTGAGTGATGAAGTTCAAGGGAAGAGAAGTGCGGCAAGTCCTTTAAAACAGCCATGAACATTCTTTATTCCATAGTAGAAGGGCAAATTATCTGAGTGTTTTGATTGGCAGGTGCTGTCTGGGCTGGTGGGTGAGGTAAAACCCAGGCTGACTGGAGGTGGTGTGCTGCATATGTGGGAACTGCCTTGGGATTCTAGTATCCAGTGGCTTCTGCTGCAGACATGAGCTGCCCATTAGGAGCAGCCCATTAGGAGCAGCCCATGAGGAGATTATGATGCCAATTATGTCTGTACCAATATCAGCTGGTTAGTGGGCCCAGTCAAGGTCTGTCAGATAAAGAGTGAGTCTGCCTCATGTGTGTTTTCATGCAACACACAGATATTTTTTTCCTTTTTCAAACCACTTTATTATCTTGACTGATAAATAGGTAATTTTAAAAGATAGAAAATGCTGAAGAATGTCAGCTAATATTTTACAAGTTATATCAATGTTAACTGGACAGTGTTAAGGTGAGGGCATATCTATTATATTAGAGTAGGGGAAGTTAAATTCCTGGCTAAATGTTAGTATTCTAGAGTCAGGCATGTGTAATTGTATGGTATGACAGTAGAAGGCAGTGGGGTGGTCTTGTGCTTTGAGCTGGCACAGAAGACTGCAAGCAACCTTGGACCCCCAGGTGATCTAAGTACTCTTCCTAGTACAGAGGGGAGTGAGCAGTGCCTTTCTGGGCACAGCCAGACCAAACCCAGACCAAGCTAAGAAAGACAATCAGCAAATAAGGGAGAAAATCTGCTGAGACTTGATAGAAAGAAGGAGAAGGGGTAAGATCAATAGTGACAGTTTTGTTCCCTATCTCCCAGATGAAGACAAAAAGTGAGACATGAAAGAGGGAGAAAAGAGGCTTAATTGCAGCTCAGAAGGTTATGCTCACAGAAAGCAGTGCTGTCTGCACTTGCACCTCTAGGTAGAGTGAGGGTGCAACCAAGGTCTTTTGATTTCAGAGTCCCTGGAAAACATTTGTTCCTTCATCAATGACACTGGAATGGCCCTGTCTAAGTGCAAAAGCAGGAGGTCAAGGAACAATGTTTCATCAGGTGTTAATTGAGCCTGCAAATTGGAAACCTCTAGTAATGCTAGCCTTTAGGGAGATAGTTAATCTGAGATAACTAAATGCCAGTGATTCATATGAGTTGGAAGCTGTGAGTTCATTTATTTGATGAATAATTATTGCGTACCAGCTATGTACCAGGCACAGAGAATATACAGAGAACAAAATTTAAAAAGTAGAAGGAACTGATGAAAAAGGGGCTGGCTGAGATAGCTGACTAGAAGCAGCTAGTGTGCACCACTCTCACGGAGAGAAATAGAAGAGGTGAGTAAATAAAGCACCTTCAACTTGAAGCAACTTGAAGTATTCAGGTACAGGCATTGGGATTCATCAAGAAAACAACTCAACCCACGGAGAACAGAGAAAAGCAAGGCAGGATGACTGTCCACCTGGGAATGACATGGAGCCAGGGGAGCCTCCCCAACCCAGGGAAGTGGTGGGTGAATGAGTGAACAACCTTGGGGACCCATGTTTCTCCCATGGATCTTTGCAATCCTTGGGTCAGGAGATCCCCTCGTAAACCCACCACACCAGGGCTTGTCGTCTGACATGCACAGCTACATGGAGTTTCAGCAGGGCAGCTGCCCAGGTATACCTAGAGCCCTGGGAACTTTAGATATCAGACTTCCTGGCAAAAGCAGCTGCAGCTCTAGCAAAGTGGGAGGTTAGATCCCTGTACATACCCCTAGGAAAGGGACTGAATCTAGTAGGCTGAGCAGCTACAGTTGCAGGCCCCACTTCTATGGTAACTCACTGGATAAAAGACCCACTGGCTTTGAAGTCCAACCAGCCACCAGTAGTAGCATTACACCTCCTTGAGATGGAGCTTCCAGAGGGAGAGGGAGACCACCATCTTTGCTGTTTTGCAGCTTTAGCCATTGTTGCCTTTGGTGCAGCTGTGTTACAAAAAAGTGGCCAAACTGTTTTTTAAATGCAGGTCCCTGACCCCGCTTCTCCTCACTGAGTTGAATCTCCTGATTGGGGTCATTAGCCACCTTGCTGGTGTTTTCTGGCAATGGTTCCAAGCCTCCCTGGGATGGAGTTCCCAGTGGGAGGGATGGGCTGCCATCTTTTCTGTTTCACAGCCTTAGCCGTTTTTGCTTTCAGGCTCTAGGGAGTCCGAAGTGACTAAGGACTGGAGCAGTCCCCCAGCACAGCACAGAAGCTCTATGGAAAAACAGTCAGACTGCTTTTTCACTCAGGTCCTGGATCCTGTTTCTATTCACTGGGTGGAATCTCCAGACTGAGTTCTGAAACCACCCCTGCTGGTGTGTTTGGGCCAGCAGCAGGTTCATACTTCCCTGGGTTGAAACTCTCAGAGGGTGGGGCAAGCTGCAGTTTTTACAGTTTTGCAGCCTTCATTGTCGATCCCTTCAGGTACTGGAAAATCCAAGGTGACTAGGGACTGGAGTGGACCCCCAGCACACTGCAGCAGCCCTATGGAAAAGTGGCCAGACTTTTGTTATGTAGATTCCCAATCCCTCATCTCCTCACTGGGTGGGTCCTCCTGTCCAGGGTCTCCAGCTACCCACCCCCTGCCCAAGCTAGGGATATCTAACCAGTAGCAGCTCTGAAACTCCCTGGGACAGAGCTCCCAGCAGGAGGGGTGAGTTGCCATTTGAAGCCCATGCCCTTGCTGTCTCCAGGCTCTGGAGAGTCTACGGGGACCAGAGGCTGGTTTGGATCATGAAAACAGAGTGGTCACCTCATGGAAAGGTGGCCAGACTCTTCTCCACACAGGTTCTGGTCCTCACTTCTCAATGGGCAAGGCTGCCTGACCTGAGACTCCAACACAATTACGCTGCCCCCACCTCATCACTTCAATCAGAAGTGGCTCAGCAGTTAAAGGAACACCCATATGCAGAGATGAGAAAGAACTAATGTAAGAACTCTGGCAACTCAAATGGCCAGAGTAGAGTGTCCTATGTCCTCAAAATGATCACACTAGTTCTTCAACAAAGGTTCTTAACTAGGCTGAGTTGGCTGAAATGACAGAAATAGAATTCAGAAAATGGATAGGAATGATTATCAAGATTCAGGAGAAGAGCAAATCCCAATTCAAGGAAACTAAGAACCACAATAAAACAATACAGGAGCTGAGAGACAAAAGAGCCAGTATAAAAAAGAAGCTAACAAATCTGATAGAGCTGAAAAGCACACTACAAGAATTTCACAATGCAGTCACAAGTATTAACAGCTGAATAGCCCAAACTGAGGAAAAAATCTCAGAACTTGAAAACTGGTTCTCTGATATAAGACAGTCAGACAAAAATGAAGAAAAAAGAATGAAGATGAACAAACAAAACCTCCAAGAAATATGAGATGATGTAAAGAGGCCAAATCTATGAATCATTGGCATCCCTGAAAGGGATAGGGAGAAAGCAAACAACTTGAAAAACATATTTCAGGATATTGTTCATGAAAACCTCCTCAATCTCACTAGAGAGGCCAATGGTCAGATTCAGGAAATACAGATAACTCTTGCAAGATTCTGCAAATGATTATCCCAGAGACACATAATCATCAGATTTTTAAAGGTCAAATGAAAGAATGTTAAAGGCAGCTAGCAAAAAAGGCAGGTCAGCTACAAGAGAAACCCCATCAGGCTAACCCCACCTCTCAGCAGAAATCCTACAATCCAGAAGAAATTTGGGACCTATATTTAATGTTCTTTAAAAAAAAGTCTTCAACCAAGAGTCTCATATCCAGCCAAACTAAGCTTCCTCATTGAAGGAGAAATAAGATACTTTTCAGAGAAGCAAATACTGAGTTTGTTACCACCAGACTCACATTACAAGAGATCTTGAAAGGAGCACTAAATATGAAAAGGAAAGACCATTACTAGCCAATACAAAAATACACCTAAGTACACAGACCTCTGACACTATAAAGCTACTGCAAAAACATGCTGGCATAATAATGAGCTAACACCACAATGACAGGATCAAATCCACACATATTAATACTAACCTTGAATGTAAATGGGCTAAGTGCCCTGTTTAAAAGGCACATAGTGGCAAGCTGGATAAAAAAGCAAGACCCAATTGTATGCTGTCTTCAACAGACCCATCTCACATGCAATGACACCCATAGATTCAAAATAAAGAGATGGAGGAGAATCTACCAAGCAAATGGAAATCAGAAAAAAAGCAGGGGTTGCAACCCTAATTTCATATAAAAGAGACTTTAAGCCAACCAAGATTAAAAAAGACAAAGAAGGGCATTACATAGTGGTAAAGGTTTCAATTCTACAAGAAGACCTAACTATTCTAAATATATATGCACCCAACACAAGAGCACCCAGTTTCATAAAGAAAGTTCTTAGAGTCCTACAAAAAGACTTAGGCTCCCACACAATAACAGTGGGAGACTTTAACACCTGACTGATGGTATTAGACAGATCATTGAGGCAGAAAATTAACAAAGATATTTAGGACCTGAACTCAACATTGGGCTAAGTGGATCTAATAGAGCCCTACAGAACTCTCTTCCCCATAACAACAGAATATACATTCTTCTCATTGCCACATGGCACATACTCTAAAATGAACCACACAATTGGACATAAAACAATCCTCTGCAAATACAAAAGAACTGAAATCATACCAAACACTCTCTCAGACCACAGTGCAATAAAAATAGAACTCAAGACTAAAAAACACTCAAAATTGTGCAATTACATGGGAATTAAACTATCTTTTCCTGAATGATTTTTAGATAAACAATGAAATTAAGGCAGAAATCAAGAAGTTCTTTGAAACTATTAAGAATAAAGATACAACATACCAGAATCTCTGGGACACAGCTAAGGCAGTGTTAAGAGGGAAATTCATAGCACTAAACACTCACATCAAAAAGTTAGAAATATCTCAAATTAACAACCTAACATCACAACTAAAAGAACTAGAGAGGCAAGAGCAAACCAACCCCAAAGCTAGCAGAAGACAGGAAACAAGCAAAATCAGAGCTGAATTAAAGGGGATAAGAGACAGGAACAACCATTCAAAAGATCAACGAATCCAAAAGTTGGGTTTTTGAAAAAATTAATAAGATATATAGGCCACTAGCTAGACAAGTAAAGAATAAAAGAGAGAATATAAAGATAAACACAATTAGAAATGACAAAAGTGTATGTTGCCACTGACCCCACAGAAATACAAACAACCATCAGAGACTATTACAAACACCTCTATGTATACAAACTAGAAAACCTAGAAGAGACGGAGAAATTCCTGGACACATACACCCTCCCAAGACTGAACCAGGGAGAAATTGGTTCCCTGAACAGATCAATAATGAGTTCTGAATTTGAATCAGTAATAAATAGCCTACCAACCAAAAAAAAGCCCAGGACCAGATGGATTCACAGCCGAATTCTGCCAGATATACAAAGAAGAGCTGGTAGTATCCCCCCTGAAGCTATTCCAAAAAGTTGAGGAGGAGGAACTTTTCCCTAACTCATTCTATGAGGTCAGCATAATCCTGATACCAAAACCTGGCAGAGACACAACAGAGAAAACTTCAGGTTAATATTCTTGATGAACATTGCTGCAACAATCCTTAACAAAATACTTACAAATGGAATCAAGCAGCACATCAAAAAGCGAATCCACCATAATTAAGTAGGCTTTATCCCTGGTATGCAAGGTTGGTTCAACATATACAAATCAATAAACGTGATTCATCACATAAACAGAACTAAAGACAAAAACCACATGATTATCTTAATAGATTCAGAAAAGGCTTTCAATTAGATTCAACAGCCTTTATGTTAAAAATTCTCAATAAACTAGGTATGGAAGGAATATACCTCAAAATAATGAGAGACATCTATGACAAACCCACAGCCAACATCATGCTGCATGAGCAAAAGCTGGAAGCATTCCCCTTGGAAACTGGCAAAAGACAAGTAGACCCTCTCTCACCACTCCTATTAAACATAGTATTAGAAGTCCTGGCCAGAGCAATCAGGCAAGAGAAAGAAAGAAAGGGCATCCAAATAGGAAGAGAGGAAATAAAATTATCACTGTTTGCAGATGACATGATTCTATGTGTGGAAAACCCCATAGTCTCAGCCTAAAAGTTCCTTCAGCTGATAAACAACTTCCTCAAGGTTTCAGGATACAAAATTAACACACAAAATTATCACTAGCATTCCTATATACCAACAACAGCCCAATCAAGAGTCAAATCAAGAACACAATCCCATTCACAACTGCCATAAAAAGAATAAAATACCAGACTGGGCATGGTGGCTCATGCCTATAATCCCAGCACTTTGGGTGGCCAAGGCTGGCAGATCACCTGAGGCTGGGAGTTTGAGACCAGCCTGGCCAACATAGTGAAACTCTGTCTCTACTAAAAATATGAAAATTAGCTGGACATGGTGGCATGTGCCTGTAATCCCAGGTACTTGGGAGGCTGAGGCAGGAGAATCACTTGAACCCAGGAGGCAGAAGTTGCAGTGAGCTGAGATCGTGACACTGCACTCCAGCCTGGGTGACAGAGTAAGACTCTGTCTAAAAGATAAAATAAAATAAAATACCTAGGAATACAGGTAACCAGGGAGGTGAAAGATCTTTACAATGAGAATTACAAAACACTGCTCTAAGAAATCAGAGATGACACAAACAAATAGGAAAACATTCCATGCTCATGGATAGGAAGAATTGACATCGTTAAAGTGGTCATATTGCTCAAAGCAATTTACCAATTCAATGCTATTTCTATCAAAATACCAATGACATTCTTCAAAGAACTAGAAAAAAACCACTTAAAAATTCATATGGAACCAAAGAAGAGCCAAAATAGCCAAGGCAATCATAAGCAAAAAGAGCAAAACTGGAGGCATCATGTTATCTGACTTCAAACTACACAATAGGGCCACAACATAAATGTCATGGTACTGAGACAAAAGCAGACGTATAGACCAATGGAACAGAATAGAGAGCCCAGAAATAAGGCCACAGACCTACACTCATGTAATCTTCAACAAAGCTGACACACACAATGGGGAACGAACTCCCTATTCAATAAGTGGTGTTGGATAACTGGCTAGCCATATGCAGATTGAAACTGGACCTTTCCTTACGCCATATACAAAAATCAACTCGAGATGAATTAAAGACTTAAATGTAAAATCCAAAATTATAAAAACCCTGGAAGACAACCTAGGCAATACCATTCTGTAATATGAATATTTAAAGATTTCATGATGAAGATGCTGAAAGCAGTTGCAACAAAAGCAAAAATTGACAAATGAGATCTAATTACACTTAAGAGCTTCTGCACAGCAGGAGAAACTATAAACAGAATAAATAGACAACCTACAGAATAGAAGACAATATTTGCAAACCATGAATCTGACAAAGGTCTAATATTCAGTATCTACAGGAACTTCAGCAAATTTACAAGAAAAAACAAATGGTCCCATTAAAAAGTGGGCAAAGGACATGAACAGATACTTCTCAAAAGAAGATATACATGTGGCCAACAAGCATAAGAAAAAAGCTCAATATCACTGATCATTAGATAAATGCAAATCAAAACCACAATGAGATACCATCTCACCCCAATCAGAATGGCTATTATTAAAAAGTCTAAAAATAACAGATTCTAGCAAGGTTGTGAAGAAAAGGGAATACTTACACACTGTTGGTAGGAGTGTGAATTAGTTCAACCATTGTGGAAAGCAGTGTGGCAATTCCTTAAAGAACTAAAAACAGAAGTACCATTCAACCCAGTAATCCCATTACTGGTATATATCCAAAGGAATAGAAATCGTTTTACCATAAAGTCACATGCACATGAATGTTCATTGCAGCACTATTCACAATAGCAAAGACAGAATCAAGCTAAATGCCCACCAATGACAGATTGGATGAAGAAAATGTGGTACATATACACCATGGAATACTATGCAGCCATAAAAAAGAAAAAGATCATGTGTTTTGCAGGAACGTGGATAGAGCTGGAAGCCATTATCCTTAGCAAATTAATGCAGGAACAGAAAACCAAAGACTGCATGTTCTCACTTAAAGTGGGAGCTAAATCATGAGAACACATGGACACAAAGAGGGGAACAACAGATACCGGGGCCAACCTACTTGAGGGCAGAGAATGGGCAGAGGGAGAGGATCAGAAAAAATAACTATTGTGTACTGGGCTTAGTACCTGGGTGATGAAATAATCTGTACAACAAATCCCTGTGACACAAGTTTTCCTATATAACATTCCTGCACATGTATCACTGAACCTAAAATAAAAGTAAAAAAAAAAAATTAAAAGTGGAAATAAAACCCCTCCCTGCCATCATGGCACCTACATTTGAGTGTCTTAGTAGAGAAGCTCCTTATAAAATACTGACCTTGGTCTTTCCAATATCCAAATAAATAATTGGGATTGCTCAAAGCCAAATTTCATGCTTGCAGCTGTCATTGTATAAATCTGCCAAGTCCTCCAAAGAAGGTGACTGTGTTTCATCTCTGTGATGATAGTGTGGATATCCTGGATCTGGCTCCAAGAGTCACTCCTGCAAGACTTGATCACATTAATTGCTGGTCTTTGAAGTAGAAGTTGAGCCATTGTGTCCCAATAAATTTCAGAGCCTTGCCACTCAAATTAAGTTCCTGGGCATTTTCTGGTCCTCTGAGAGTAGTCAGATTCCTGATGTAGTCAAATAATAGCGTCTCTTAAAAACTCCCTCGATGCTCAACATGACCCCATACCTATTGGGTTTCTTTGGCTCCTGGTATTAGTATTTATCACATCTCCTGCTGTTCTTCTGGCCAATTTATGAGATCACCTGTAAATCCATCACCTTCACATGAGGGTTCCCACAGCAACATGCCTCAGAGCTGGTACAACTGGCCATACAACAACCCTTCCTCAAGTGCCATCCAGTACTGACTTCTGAGTGTAAGCCCTGGCCACTGAGGAACATGGCTCCTGGAGCTTATGGATGAAGCATGATGTTCACTGGCTACCCATGGGGTTCTCATCCAGATGCTTGTCTCTCATGGCCTCCTGCTGTATGCCTTTGGATTCATCAACTTCTGGTGGCCTATTGGGCATTATTAGAGTCTGGGACCATTGCAAGTTCTAAGCCACTGGGGCTCAGAACCCAAGTGCCCATCATGCCCTGAGTTAAGGAAACCCCCTTGCCCCATGGCATGGCATGGCTACTGAAAAAAAAAATGAAAATGGTACCTTCAGGACAGGGCTAAATTGATAAAGGAGGTCTTTCTAAGCTGCAGGAGGAAGTGGCCTCCCCTATATTCAACCTCTTGTTCATGAATGATGGGACAACACTGGTGGTAACTCCACTGCTGTCACCACTTGCTAGGTGGGAAGACCCTTGGTTCCAACTATCTGAAGCAGAAAGGGAGTGGTGTACTTCACTGACAGTGCTGGACAAATCACATCATCCTCACCCTGTGGGTCATGGCTGGCTTCTTCAGCCTGCCTCCTGCTCCTGCTGCCCCAGCCAGTCTGCGTGCTATAGCAACCACTGCCCTGGACTCTAACGGTGGGTCATTCTACGAGTTTGATATCTTGGATTCTTTATTTCTCCTGGAATATGTAGTATGTCTAACCTCAAATCCAGCTTCGCCTCACATACAGGTCTTCTGCCAAATAGTGGGTCAAAACCCACATGAGTGTAACACGACACTGAGCCATCTAGAGGCATACTGGGTCAACAAACACTGCTTGCTAACTAACTCTTGCTCCTTCCCCTGAGGCCCTGTTCTCTGCCTAAAGGGCCACATTCAGGATATCCCAATCCTTTGTGCCCTCCTAAACATATGGGGGAACTGCTATTTGTTGGGTCCAGCGACGCCATTCTAACACTAACTTTAGGTCTCCCTCAGCACAGTGATATCTGCCTGGCACCCTACAACTATAAGGGGATGTCTGAAACCTCCCAGAACATCATACAGACAGTCCCCCCTTTTCCTCACATGCACCAGGCTTTTACCACCTATTGGGTGCATATCATCTCATGGAAATTTCAGCCCAGACGCTGCAATCCCTGAACTGCTAGACCTGCCATAAAAGCCCTCTCCTAGAGACCCCTGCTGCACAGGCCTATACCACAGAGTATTGCGTAGCCTGCAAGCCACCTGGTCCTTTGTTAGATGGGGATACATGTTCCATCCTAAGCCTCTCATCCTGTTCCATGCTGCCACAGCACAGCCCAATTTTTTGCAGCCAAGATCTATGTGCATCATGTATTTAGACAAGACAGGGATGTGATGTTTATATCATCCTTTTCTGCCCTTACAAGTGAGTAATGTAGCTCATGCTCACTTCATATCAGCACATAAATTATCTGTGGCTAGGGAACTGTCTGTTTTTAGCCTTCTAATACGATGACAATGGTCTCTTATGGTCCAAAGAAGGGCAGCATCTATACTATATACTCTGCTTCCTTACCTGTATTACTTCACCCCCTGTAAGTACACACGAGGTGTTTCAGGCCTACTTATAAGTTTCCATAAACTACCCTAAAATCCAACCTTCCACTGAATAAAGCTCCCTTCCTGATCTGCTTGTCCATGTGGACCATGACCATACTGGGCGCCCCACACATAGCACTGGATACCATTACCACCAACAAGCAAATGGCCCTGGCCCTATCCTCGTACATGCACAAAGCATTCCAAGCCCTATACCTCTTAACTCAGAGACAAGACTTTCTAGCCCAAATGGTATTAGACAATCACCTAGCCTTAGAGTACTTATTAGCTGCCCAAGGAGGAGTATGCTCATTGCAGGGAACTTCTTGTATGTGGATCAATACTGGGCAAGTGCAACAGCTCCTCAAGGAAATAAAAATTGACCTTACAGCAATGCATAATGTTATACAAGTATTCAAAAACATACATACCAATAGTCCTGGAAACTGCAGATCTGTTCTGTATAGAGCCAATGACTCTGCACAGGATTCCAAACCCCAGTAGTACTCATTATGACAATTGTGATCCTCTTCCTACTGGTCAAGTGCCTACTTCACTTCCTAGGAAGGCAATTTTCCTACTCCCTAGAACCCACGGTCATTACCAGGGTTTAAAATTAAGTTTTAATTGACAAATACAAATTGTGTATATTTATTGTATACAACATGCTTTGAAATTTTTACACATTGTGGAATGGTTAAATTGAGCTAATGAACATATGCATTACCTCATATACTTGTCATTTTTTTGTGGTCAGAACACTTAAAATCTACTCTTTTGTTGGCATTTTTCAAGAATACAATAGGTTGTTATTAACGGTAGTCACCATGTTGCAAGCATCCTATGTTTTCTTCAAAAAATTTACAGTGTTATACTTTACATTTAAATCTGTGATTTGTTATGAGTTAACTTTTCTATAATATGTGAAGTTTAGATCAAGATTCTTTTTTTCCCCCTCTGGATGTCTGATTGTACCAGGATCATTTGTTGAAAAACTATTCTTTCCCCATTGAATTGCTTTTGCATCTTTGTCAAAAATCAGTTGACAGCACTCATGTGGGGTTCTGTTCCTTTGATCTGTGTATATCCTGTCAGTGCCACATAGTCTTGATTACTGTAGCTATGTCATACATCTTGAGACCAGGGAAAGTGGTTCTTTCCAGTTTATTCTTCTTTATTAAAATTGTCTTAGCTATTTTAGATCCTTTGTTTTTCCATATATATTTTAGAATAATTTTGTCTATTGCTATAAAATATCCTGGTTAAATTTTTATAGAAATTATATTAAACGTGTATAACAGTTTGGGGAGAATTGACATCCTTACTATGTTGAGTCCTCCAATCCATGGACACAGTATGTCTCTCCATTTATTTAGATCTTTTTTGATTTCTCCCGTCAGTGTTTTTTACTTTTCGGCATGCAAGTTGTGTGCCTATTTTGTTAGATTTACACCTCAGCATTCAAAATTTTTTGTAAATGGCACTTAATTTTTTCATGTTTATTGCTAGTAAGCAGAGATAGAATTGATTTTTGTATGTTGATCGTGTATCTTGTAAATTTGCTGAACTTACTAGTTCTAGGTGCTTTTTGTAGATTTCCTGTGATTTTCCTATACAGACAATCACATCATGTGCAAATATGGATTTCTTTTTTCTTCCTTTTTAATCTGTAGGGCTTTTTTCTTTTTTTCTTGCTTCATTTCTTTTCTTTTTTTTTTTTTTTTTGAGACGGAGTCTTGCTTTGTCACCCAGGCTGGAGTGCAGTGGCACAATCTCGGCTCACTGCAAGCTTCGCCTCTTGGGTTCACGCCATTCTCCTGCCTCAGCCTCCCAAGTAGCTGGGACTACAGGTGCCCGCCACCATGCCCGGCTAATTTTTTGTATTTTTAGTAGAGACGGGGTTTCACCGTGTTAGCCAGGATGGTCTCAATCTCCTGACCTCGTGATCCACCCTCCGCGGCCTCCCAAAGTGCTGGGATTACAGGTGTGAGCCACGAAGCCCGGCCCTTCTTGCTTCATTTCAATGGCAAAAATCCCAGCACAATGTTGAATAAGAGAGTTGAAAGAAGACACCTCTGCCTTATTTCCAATTTTGGGAGAAATGCTGTCATTCACCACTAAGTATATTGTTGATTATAGTTGTTTGATAGATGCTTTTTATCGGCTTGAAGAAATTCTCTATTTTTTCTGGAAGTTTTCAATTATAAATGGGAGTTGAAAGGTGTCAAATGATTTTACTTCATAATTTGATATGATCATGATAATTTTTCTTTGGCCTATTATATGGTAGATTTCATTGACTGCTTTTCAAATATTGAATCAACTTTGTGTCCTCGGAATAAACTCAATTTGGTCATGTGATATTTTCTATTTTTCCGAATTCTATTTGCTAACATTTGTTAAGGATTTTTGCCTGTACATGAAGCATATTTGTCTCCAGATATGTGTTTGTACTGGCTTCATCTGGTTTAGATATCAAGGTAATGCTAGTTTCATACAATGAATTGAGAAATTGTGATGGTTAATTTTATATGTCCTCTTAGCTAGGCTATGGAACCCAGTATCAGTTTAGATGTTACTGTGAAGGTATTTTTAAAGATGTGATTAACATTTAAATCAGCAGACTGAGTAAAGTAGATTATCCTCCATAACATGGCTGGGCCTCCCTCATCCAGTCAGTAGAAGGCCTTAAGAGGAAAGACTGAGATCCCTAGAAGAAGAAGGTATTCTGCCTCCAGAATGCCTAGGACTCAAGAATGCAACATAAACTCTCCCCTAGCCTTAATGCCTTACAGGTTTCAGACTTGCCAGCTTCCCAGTCATGTCAACCAGCTCCTTAAAATACCCCACCCTCAACACACACAGTCCCTATTGGTTCTGTTTTTCTGGAGAACCTCAACTGATACAAAAGTGTTCACTCTTATTTTTTGGAATAGATTTTGTGGAATTAGTGTTAATTTTTTATTTTTATTTATTTATTTATTTTTTTGAGATCGGGTCTTGTTCTGTTGCTGGGGCTGGAGTGCAGTGGTGTGAACATGGCTTACTGCAGCCTCACCAACTGGGCTCAAGTGGTCCTCTCATCTCAGCCCCACAAGTAGCTGGGGCTACAGGCACATGCCACCATGCCCAGATAATTTTTAACTTTTTGTTATTTATAGAGACAAGGTCTCCCTGTGTTGCCTAGGCTGGTCTTAAACTCTTGGGCTCAAG
Organism: Homo sapiens; assembly: GCF_000001405.40. Classification (NCBI taxonomy): domain Eukaryota; kingdom Metazoa; phylum Chordata; class Mammalia; order Primates; family Hominidae; genus Homo; species Homo sapiens. The sequence goes on along the minus strand of NC_000008.11, from coordinate 65,344,398 downwards.
AAACCCTTTCACCCTTGGCCTCCCAAAATGTTGGGATTATAGATGTGAGCCATTATGGCTGAACCTGGTGTTAATTATTAAATGTTTGGTAGAATTCTCCAGTGAAACTATCTGGGCCTGGAGATCATTTATTTGTGAGTTTCAACTTTTACAGTTGTTATTAGGCTATTGAAATAGTTTTATATTAAGTGAGTTGTAGTTTTTCCTGTTCAAGAAATTTTCTTTTCAATTTCATTGGTATCTGCTCTTATTTTTATTTCCTTTCTCCTGCTTGCTTGGAGTTTATTTTGCCCTTCTATTTCTAAGTTCTTGAGGTGGGAATTTAGACTATTGACTCAATCTTTTAACGTATGCATTTAGCAATGTAAGTTTCTCTGTCATCACTGCTTTAATTGCATCCCAGAAATTTCTGATACGTTGTATTTTCATTTTCTTTCAACTCAATGGATTAAAAAAAATTTCCGTGGAGACTTTTTTGACCCATAGATTATGTACAAGTTCATTGTTTAGTTTTCAAATATGTGAAAATTTTCCTGTCACGTTCTGTTATTGATTTTTAGTTTCAGTCCATTGTGGTGGAAGAACATACTCTGTATGATTTAAATTCTTTCAAATTTGTTGAGGTTTGTTTTGTGAAGCAGCATATTATTTATCTAATATATGTTCTGTGGGAACTTGAAATGAATATGTATTCTATTGAGCATTCTATAAATGTCAATTAGATCTTGTTGGCTGATGGCGTTGAGTTCTATAACTTTGATTATTTTCTCTCTTCTGTCTATTGCTGAGAGAGGGGTGTTGAATAGTCTTCATAGTGGATTTGTCTAGTCCTCCTTTCAGTTATATCAGTTTGCTTCACATATTTTGCACCTCTGTGGTGTGGTAATATGTATTTAGGAATGCTATGTCTTCTTGGGTTGGGATGAGGTGGCATCATTACTGCCAAGTGGGGGTGAAAAGCTTGGACTTGCACGTGTTCTCCACTGAACTGTCAGTGGGGGGAGGTTCTTGTCACTACCCAGAGGAGATGAAAGTTCTCGTTTCCCACTTGACTTTCCTTTGGCACCATCGCAGAGGGGAGGTTGGAGAGTCTTGTTACAACCTGGATATTTTGAAAGTCTAGGCTCTTCATATGATTTGTGTTAGAGGAGAAATGGTTGAGGCCATAGGTTTCTTCTGTGATAGTTGATTGTAGGAGAACAGTTATTGTCTAATAGTTTTCTGTCTTGCTTGGCTGTCTCTTTCTTTATCCAAAGGCTAGAAATCAGCCTTTATTTATTTATTTATTTATTTATTTACTTATTTATTGCTTGTTTATTTCATTTTTGTCTCTGCTCATTACCTTTTGTGACTTGCTGGCTTCTCTAGCACTCAGTTGGGATATATGAGGCAAAAAGAAGACCCATGAATCTTACCAGTTTGTAGCTAATTGGGTCCTGAGGTCTCCAGCCACTCTGTCTTCTCTTCTCCACCTTTCGCTCATCTTGTTTGCTTTGTACATAGTATCTAGGGTTTTTAGTTGTGCTTAATTGAAGAAATGGAAAAATAATGGCTAATCCATATTTCTAAAACTAGAATCCTTTCATCTGAGTTTTAGACTAAATTCATCAAAAACCATAAATGGCTTTTTATTGGAATATCAATTACATTAAAATCTATAGATCAATTTGGGTGAGTTAACTTCTTTACATTATTGAGTCTTTCAAAGCATGAACTTGGCGTATCATTCTACTTATTTAGATCTTCAATTTTTCTCAATGGTGTTTTAGAGTTTCTGTGTAGTTTAAACATTTTTACTTAGATTTTCTCCTAGGTGTTTGATATTTTTGATGACATTATATATGAGACCTTTAAAACATTTAAAATTTTCTGACTATGTTTCTTCTATGTGGAAATAAAATTTACTTCTTTATTGACCTTGTATCCAGCAACCAAAAAATAGCAAACAAATCTATGATAAATTATTAAAATTAGTAAGTAATTGTTTGGTTTCATGTGAAATTTAAAATAATTTTTCTACTTCTGTGAAGAAACGTAATGGTACCTTGAAGGGGATAGCATTAAATCTATAAATTACTTTGGTCAGTATGGCCATTTGCATGATATTGATTCTTCCTATCCATGAGCATGGAATGTTTTTCCATTTGTTTGTGTTCTCTCTTATTTAATCCTAAGCAAAAAGAACCAAGCTGGAGGCATCACATTACCTGACTTCAAACTATACTACAAAGCTACAGGAACCAAAACAGCATGGTACTGGTATCAAAATAGATATATAGACCAACAGAACAGAACAGAAGCCTCAGAAATAATGCCACACATCTACAACCATCTGATATTTGACAAACCTGACAAAAACAAGAAATGGGGAAAGGATTCCCTATTTCATAAATGGTGTTGGGAAAACTGGCTAGCCATATGCAGAAAACTGAAAGGACCACTTTCTTACACCTGATACAAAAATTAACTCAAGATGGATTAAAGACTTAAACCTAAGACCTAAAACCATAAAAGCCGTAGAAGAAAACCTAGACAATACCATTCAGGACATAGGCATAGGCAAAGACTTCATGACTAAAACACCAAAAGCAGTGTCAACAAAAGCCAAAATTGACAAATGAGATCTAATTAACCTAAAGAGCTTCTGCACAGCAAAAAAAAAAAAACTATCATCAAAGTGAACAGGCAACCTACAGAATGGGAGAAACTTTTTGCAATCTATCCATCTGACAAAGGGCTAATATTCAGAATCTACAAGGAACTTGAACAAATTTACAAGAAAGAAACAACCCCATCAAAAAGTGGGCAAAGGATATGAACAGACACTTCTCAAAAGAAGACATTTATGGCTGGGCGCGGACCCCAGCACTTTGGGAGGCCGAGGCAGGTGGATCACAAGGTCAGGAGATTGAGACCATCCCGGCTAACACAGGGAAACCCCGTCTCTACTAAAAATTCAAAAAATTAGCCAGGTGTGGTGGTGCACACCTGTAGTCCCAGCTACTCAGGAGAATGAGGTAGGAGGATCGCTTGAACCTGGGAGGTAGAACCCGGGAGGAGTGAGCTGAAATTGTGTCACTGCCCTCCAGCCTGGGAGACAGAGTGAGACTCCATCTCAAAAAAAAAAAAAAAAAAAAAAAAAAAAAGACATTTATGCAGCCAACAAACATATGAAAAAAAGCTCATCATCACTGGTCATTAGAGAAATGCAAATCAAAACCACAATGAGATACCATCTCATGCCATCTCAGTTAGAATGTCGATCATTAAAAAGTCAGGAAACAACAGATGCCAGAGAGGATGTGGAGAAATAAGAACGCTTTTACACTGTTGGTGGGAGTGTAAATTAGTTCAACCATTGTGGAAGACAGTTGGCGATTCCTCAAGGATCTAGAACCAGAAATACCATTTGATCCAGCAATCCCATTACTGAGTATATACCCAAAGGATTATAAATCTTTCTACTATAAAGACACATGCCCATGTATTTTTATTGTCGCACTATTCACGATAGCAAAGACTTGGAACCGAAATGCCCATGAATGATAGACTGGATTAAGAAAATGTGGCACATATACAGCATGGAATACTAAGCAGCCATTAAAATGTATGAGTTCATATCATTTGCAGGGACATGGATGAAGCTGGAAACCATCATCCTCAGCAAACTAATACACGAACAGAAAACCAAACACCACATTTTCTCACTCATAAGTGGGAGTTGAACAATGAGAACACATGGACACAGGGAGGGGAACATCACACACTGGGGCCTGTCAGAGAGTTGGGGGCTAGGGGAGGGATAGCATTAGGAGAAATACCTAATGTAGATGACGGGTTGATGGGTGCAGCCAACCACCATGGCACGTGTATACTTATGTAAAAAACCTGCACATTCTTTACATGTATCTCAGAACTTAAAGTATAATAAAAAATATAGATCATAAAACTGACAAAACAGACTGTTTGTAACAATAAGATACCAAATTATAAACAGGACCTGAGACCATGCCAGGCAACAGTTAAGTCGCACACTCCTACACTTAAAAAGTTATGTTCTAGCTGCCACAAGGCTTTTCTTTTTCATGAGTAGCCAAATGGGTACTAGATTCAAGATAAGCTGACTAACTGACCCCTACTCTCTGTTCCACCAGCTGTAACTACAGCTTTAATTAGACAAGAGACTGATTTCAGTACATTTCTCCTGATAAAAAGGCCATTAACCATGGGCAAGTGCTGGCTGGTTTACAGAAATTACACACTCAAGTGTCTGTGTGTACATATAGCATCTAATTATGATACATTTATATGTTGTCTCCATCCCAAAATGAACATGGGTCATATGTTACATACATATTTGTTTAATACACATGTGTCAGGACCAACTTTGTAAATATTAATAGCCCTTCCTATGACCTGTTAAATATGTATATTTAGCCAAAAAAGTTAGTAATTGTTTATCATAGAGTCTTTTGGAATTTTCCCATATAGCTTATGTCATTTGCGTATTCCTTTATAATATAATATCATATCTTTGAATTATTTTTCTTGCCCTTGTTGCACTGGCTAGAAAATCTACCACTATCTTGATTAGTGGTGATAGCAGACATCCTTGTTTCATTTCCAGTCTCAAAGAGAAAGCTTTCAATATTGTACCATTAACTATGATGTTTGCTATAAATTTTTGAGGGTATCCTGTATCACGTTAAGGAGGTTCCCAAGTTCTCTTCTTATTCCTAGTTTGCTGAAAGCTTTTATCATGAATAGAAATTGCATTTTATCAATGTTCTTTCTGTACCTATTTAGGTGAATATATGATTCTTTCCCTTTATTTTGTTAATAGGTTGAATTATAATTGTTTTTTACAAAATGTTAACCCAGGCTGAGAGTGGTGGCTCATGCCTATAATCCCAGCACTTTGGGAGGACGAGGTGGGGGGCGGATCACCTGAGGTCAGGAGTTCAAGACCAGCCTGGCCAACATGGTCAAACCCTGTCTCTATAAAAATACAAAAATTAACTGGGCATAATGGCAGGTGCCTCTAATCTGAGCTACTCGGGAGGCTGAGGAAGGAGAATTGCTTGAACCTGGGAGGTTTATGGTGCAGTGAGCTGAGATTGTGCCATCGCACTCCAGCCTGGGCGACAGAGTAAGACCCCATCTAAACAAACAAACAAACAAACAAAAAAAACCCGACTTTGTTTTCCTAGAATAAGTCCAACTTGATAATTATGAATTATTTTTTATACATCTAGATTCAATTTAGTAGTATTTTCATCAGGATTTTTGCATGTATGTTTACTGGATATATTAATCTATTAATCCATAATTTTTCTTTTTTGTAATATCCTTGGCAGGTGGGTTTTTTTTGTTGTTGTTGTTTAGATAGAGTCTCATTCTGTCACCCAGGCTGGAAGTGCAGTGGCTTGATCACAGCTCCCTGAAGCCTCGACCTGCCAGGTGATCCTCCCACCTCAGCCACCCAAGTAGCTGAGACTACAGGCAGGCATCAGCATGCCTGGCTGTGTTTTTAAATTTTTTTGTAGAGCTGGGGTTTCCCCATGTTGCTGAGGCTGGTCTTGAACTCCTGAGCTCAAGCAATTCATCTGCCTCAGCCTCCCAAAGTGCCAGGATTATAGGCAGGAGACACCGCTCCAGGCCTCCTTGACAGGTTTTGTGTTAAGGTTATTCTGTATTCATAAAACAAGTTGGGAAGCGTGTCCTTTTACTCTATTCCCTGAAAGGAAATAGTAAACCTTTAATAAGTGGCATAGCTAATATTCAGACCAAATAGTCTGATTCCAAAGTCTATGCTTTTATTTACAATGCTATGTTGACTTCCCTCTTAATTGCTTTCTCTCTCTCTCAATATGCGTACCCTGAGCGCCAGTTCCTACCCAGCTGACACCTGTGAATGCAGTATGTTGCATTAAAGGAGAGGAACCCTGAGATTAGGGAGCTCTAATCTTTTCTAGTGGGCAATAAGCATGGTAACCCCTTGCTCTGGAGGGAGACTCTGCTTCTATCTTCTTAGGCTGTTCAAATACAAACATCCTTGAAACAATGGCCAAGAATACAGAGTGTCAGAGCTTCACTTGCAAAAGTGCAGAAATATGAGATATCCTTGAAGGATTGTGTCTCAGCACCCATCCTTGCTATTTTTGTCTCCTTTCCACCTTAAAGTCATTTATAACAAATTATTTCCTTTCTCTTTCCTAAAATACCTGAACCTCCCTTAAAATATTTGAAATTAGGGTATTCCATTTTATATTATTTTATATAAACAAATTTCTAATTTATATTCAACACCATTATCCCACTGGCAAGCATTCTTCATATCTGGTTGCCTTAGTTTGAAGCTGCATCAAGCCAGTATTTGCTCTCCATTAATTGTCCCAATGACAGACAACCTACAGCCCTTGCATGATGTGGTCCCTGTCTACCTCACTGGCTTCATTTCCTATCACTCCTGCCTTCACCCTCCATGCTTCATTGCACAGGTCTTCTTCCAGTTTTCAAATGTGTCACACTCCTTCCAGCTTCAGGGACTGATCACATGCTGTTTGTCTCGCCAGGACTGCCTTCTCCACAGCCAAGTTATTGATGGCTCCTCTCTAAGATCTCCGTCTAAGCACTACTTCCTCACAGAAGCCTTCTCTGACCCCTACATTCTGGGATCAGAAAGGAGACATTCTTCTTAGCTTAACCTTTTTAGCTTAACCTTTCTCATTCTTTGAAACATTTAATCACAATTATAAGGAAATAGTTGTCCCAAGTTTGTTTCTCCTACTAGAATATTAATTCCATGAGGGAGAGACTGTATTATTCTTATTCATAACAAGTACATAGTAGGCACTTAATATGTGTTTCTTGAATGTCTGATTCTCTAATTTAAATTGCTCAAAAGTCATTTGAGGACACATGTATATCACTGAAGTTCTGTGGGTTCATAAAAGGGTTGACAACATGATGTACATTTTTGTTTTCTCAGAAGATTCCATTGAGGTCATCCCTTGACTTACTCTTTTTTTTTTTCTAGATGGGGTTTCGCTCTTCTTGCCCAGGATGGAGTGCAATGGCGCAATGTCTGCTCACTGCAACCTCTGCTTCCCGGGTTCAAGCAATTCTCCTGCCTCAGGTAGCTGGGATTACAGGTGCGTGCCACCACGCCTGACTAATTTTTTATATTTTTAGTAGAGACGGGGTCTCACATTGCTTCCTATCAAAGCCACCTCACTGACCTGCATCCATATAGAGCTTCTGTTGGTGTGAATCTCTCACAAGACGGGAGGAGGTAGATAGATGGATAATGAAAGATGGCTTAGCTCATGAACAATGGATGATATGGAAATAATAACATTACACTGTAATAAATTATGATAATATGATAAATAATAAATAACATTTACTGAACACTTCCTATATACCAGGCACCATGCTAAATACTCTATATGTCTTTATTTAATCTTAACAACATTATTATAATATAGTTCAGTTATTATCATCACTTTATAGCTAAGAAAATTGAGTCCTGGACAGATTAAGTAACTCTCTGAAGGCCACACAATCACTGAGTGGCAGAGACAGGACTTGAATCCATGTTGGTGTGACTCCAGAATTCTCACTCTTAACTGTTAGACCATAGACTGCCTTATGTCACTTCTACTAGTTGTCCAAATATGGCGAGGGTCCATAAGAAAGAGATTGTAAAGTGGTTTCTTTTATCTAATTTCAGCTCTAAAGTAACAAGCAGATCTAGTGATAAAGAAAATATTTGAATTTAGGACTCTAAGTGTTCTTTTAGCCGATCCAAAATTATTCACTTTGTAATGGGATTGTTTCTGTGATTCTAATTCAACGTTTGCAATGTTCTTGTAGGTTGGTTAACCTCAGGACTTAGAAAAGAAATGACTGTAATGTAACCATTCAAAAGATCAGTTTACCACTAAATACACAAACATAAGTGTGTAAAACTTTTTCAATAGAAGACTCAGTCAAGTTCTTAAGCAAAAGACATTCCTTCAACAAGCTGGTGTGCAATAACTGCTTTCCAGAAACTCCAGTACCACTAAAAATTCATGTTTTGAATGAGATTAAATCCTTTATTGCTCTGGCTATTGAAGAGGTGGTGCCAAGAGACTGAAATCTTATGAAAGACATTTATTTTTTCAAGGAATGTGTTAATATTTATTTAATTAAATTCATAACTCTTTGTTTAAAATGTATTTATAGAAGAGGGAGAAAAACAGACTCCACAATTAGTTTTCTTGTATCTAGGACAAGCTTGTTATAACAGTCACGGGATACATTTTGACGGGTGCTATTTCAGCATTGACTATTTTGAAAACTTGGAGAAAAACACTTTAAAGTCAATACTGTCCAATTTAAAAATATGAAGTTGGATCACATACCATAATTTATATTTAACCACTTCAAATCTTCTATGAATTTTAGAGGTGGCTCAATTAACTTGGTATTCTTACATTCTTTATAGATCATGTCTAACAAGATTACAATACTATTTTCCCCCTTTCTCTCAAGAGGACTCCTGCAGACTGTGACTACAGCTTAATGTCCCTGCACCCTCATCCTGCTTATGATAATATTGAATACACAGGGGATGTTACTAAGCATGAGGGGTTTGACTCACTGTCCTTTATGTCATCAAGCCTCACTACCCTCTTCCACTCCCTGTTTTCTCTCCTCCTCTCTTTCTCAAAAGTTGAGATCTATATAAAGATAATACAAAGTAGAAAATGGTAGGCTGTATGAGAGGCGCAGTCAGGTGCTCTGGAAGATCAGAAGGCACATCTGGCTTAGGGAAAATCAGAGAGAGTTGCGGCACGAGATGGCATCGAGTTAGGGGATTTAGGCACACAGACATCAGAGGATGGCTTTCCGGTACAGGCAAAGACAGGTGGTATGCTGTTTAAATGTTTGCTGAGTGAATGCAAGGGTATTTTGAAAAGTGAAATAGGTACATAATTAATGAGAGTGAGAAAAGCCCAAGGGAAAGCTCATGAATGACTTGAGTTCTTGACTGGATCCCTTTAGACAGGAACCTTTTCCCATGTGTAGATGGAGACCCGGATAGATGAGTTTCTCGAAGGGAGACAAGACACTCTTTCCCCTCAGCTCTTTCCTAGAGACTCATGGTTGTGCCAAGGATGCCCTTTGGAAGTAACTCACTAACAAAAGAGATGAGGAGATAGGATGTCAATCAATGTCAAAACCCATTTAGATTGATCATGGTCTGTCCACAGCACTTACAGTACATAGCTCCATGGCAATAATTATTTACTTCTTAAACATCTGCAATTTTTTTTTTCTGCAAATCCACTGAGCTTTGTGAGGGAAGGGCCTGGGTTGGTTTTGTTTGCATTCTATACTAAGCACATAGCTGGTGCACAGTAAATATTTGCTGAATGAAGGTTTTGTCTTCACCCATTCAAAATGGAGATTGTTGAATGAATAAAAGTAAAGTAAACTGTTCTATTTATCTAAAATGTAAAGCACATAGGTGCTTATATTAGGAAGACAGTTTGGGATCAAATTACTGAGGGATTTGAATATCTAGCTAAGACTCAGTACTCGTAGCACTGTGGCAAGCGACAGATTTTTTTTCTTTTTTTATTATTTTACTTTAAGTTCTAGGGTACATGTGCACAATGTGCAGGTTTGTTACATATGTATGCATGTGCCATGTTGGTGCGACAGATTATTAACGAAAAGTTTCGAGTAGGAGAATAACAATTTCAGCTTTGTTTTACAAAAATACGTCGCTTTTAAAATTATGTGAGAATTAGAATTCATGAAGAAGAAGATTGTAAGTATGATCTGAGTCACATAATCATTGCTTTAGCCCGTTGCTTTTAAAGCAACTCCAGGTAATTTCCCCTGCAACCTGCCTGATCCCACTGTTTGGATTCCATGTAGAAGATGCAAAGGGTTGTGGTGGTAATGTAGAGTGTGGGATGGAGGAGGAGGCATGGAGTGGGGGCTGTGTGGCAAATTGGGCATAAATAAATGTCCATTCCTACCATGAATTAAACATTTATTTTACAATTTTTTTTCAGTAGTATGCCAGTCATTTACAAACATATGTTAAGATTCTTACTTGGCTAGAAAGATGAGGCCATAACACTCATGATTAGTTTATTGGCCGAGCTAAACTCAGTGATGCTAAAATCAGAAATGGTTTAATTTTTCTCCAATCATTTTCTCTAAATGTTTCTCTTGATTCTTCTTTTTCCTGCCTTTGTGAACATCTTCACATCGCAAGCAAATTCCCATAGCTTTCTGGTCACTTTCAGATATTCAACTTAGTCCAGTCTAACACTCAGTCAAACATCTAGTTCAAAGATTCTCTTCTGCCCACAATATGACCAGGAGCTCAGGAAAAGGAAATATTCTATGCCTTTTCATACTTGAGGTACTTCCACTCTCCTTTTCCTCCTTCTTTTTCTTCTGGAATGCAGTGGGAGATGGAGATTGCACAGAAGAAAAGGGTTAGAAATATTCTTACATAGTGATATTTGAAGCTCAAAATTCTTGTTCTTTGGGACATTTGTGGTCTTTTCAAACAATCCAAAGAGGCTCCCTGAGGTGAATAATGCACTCTATTGGGGGAATTCTGTAACTTCTTATAAATCACCTCAGCTCCTATCCCTAGTGATCTACCCTTCAGCCATTTAATAAAAGGGTCACCCCACCCTAACTAGCTTCTTACTGGCTGTCAGGGTCCCAGCAGGAAAATAGAAGCCTATCTTCCTTGGTATGCACTTGGTCCTTGGGAAATTCATTCATCCTTGTCATGACAATAAATACGTAATAAGTAAATAAGTAAATAAACAAACAAGCATTATGGGCTTGCCCCATTCTTTGCTCTGTTGCCTTGAGCTGCTCCCTGCAATTACCTGCATTCACAACTCCCCTCTCACAGAGTTTGCCAGGAGGAAGCAGGTGCAACTCTCTGTGTTCACATATGCCTCTCGGTTCCAGGAGTCAAATATCAATTTTATCCAAGACTTCTCTTAGCCTGCTTCATTTGGGTCTCTTAGTAGCACTGGGACCCTTGATTCCACACCTTGCTAATAACCCAGCTGGGGAGTGAGATGCTTTTGTCCTCTTTGTGAGATCACCCTTTTATCTGTATGACTGGTTCTCTAGGAACATCTTCCCACTGGCTTCAGCAAAAGAAAGGGGGAAACACCCTCATCCTCGCTTCCATGGGAAAGGGGGAAGAAATGTCATCACACTTTCCTCTAAGGTCACAACACAATGATGCCATATGTTCCCTCCAAAGAACCCTTGTGTTTTGCTTATATATGAGAATTGGGGTATTGGTCTCTGGACCAGTCTGGCTGCCATTCAGTAAGCCCTCCCTATGTGGATATATTTGGCACTTCTCTTCAGTACTCAGCATTGCTTGTCTTTTATTGTTCTCAGTTTTAGTGCTTAATGGAAATTCCAAGACAACAGAAAATATGCATTTAATTTCCTAGAATATACATAGCCTCACATCCTGGTAGAACTCAGAGTTTAGAAGTTGCCATCAAAAAAGGTGATAGCAAGCAATCTGAATTGTGAAGGAAAGAGTGACTTAGTTTCTTCCTTCATTTATTCATTTATTTCCACCAAGTCAGGTCTTGCTCCAAGAGCTAGATATGCTGTATGAATAAATCTAAATAGTCTCTACTCTGACTGAGATTACAGTCTCATGGGAAAGGTAGACATTATAGAAGTAAATACACCAATTATTACAAATTATAATATAGGCAAAGAATAGGGTACTATAAGAAAGAACAATATGGCACATGACGGCGTGACCAGGCTTGGCTCATTTCTGTGGGCAAGGGCCTAGAAACTGTATCAGACTATTCTCTGCTAGAATTATCAGAGGTGAGTGCTTTCTTAAGAGTGTATCAGTGATGACTAGAACCATACATCCAGGAGGAGTCCATGACTTCATCAATCAACTAATTAGTAGTCCCTGAGTGCTAACCATTTAATAGGTATAAGTGCTAAAAATTTTAAAAAAATAGGATGCTGTTCCTTTTCTCAAGATGTTTAAAGTCTCATTGGAGATACAGCTAAATAAGAAGTTACAATCTGGGGAGCTAAGCTGAGAATAAGCCCAGCAGTGCTATGGGAGTATCACCGTCCCTGGCCTTGGGAGATCAGCAGGAGACATTCTGGGAGATGGACTACTTAAGTGGTTTCCTGAAGGATGAGGGGGTGCTGACTAGACAAAGAAATGAGAGGGAGGGAAGAAGAAGAATATTCAAAGTAGAAGTAGCGTGTTCAAAAACAGCTGAGTATCCCAATCAAGGAGCTTTGACCCATTAGAGTACCTCCAATAGGTTATCAGTGTGCAAAGACATGGATGCTTCCTTCCTTGTAGCAACTTCTGCTGTTTATCCCAATGTGTCAGGATGTGAAAATGATACAAAAGCACTGGTCTAGAAGCTAGCAAGAATATGATATCTTTAGAGAATTTCACAAGTGTTGAAATATATGAAGTGTAGAAAGAGATGATGGCCAAGTTTTGGTCTTACCCATCACACTCAAATACATACATAACAATATTGTCATCAGCATAACCTTCAAGCTAGCAAGATCAACAGCTACAGGAATGGGAATGAGATGTATTGATGAGTGAATGTTATCAGATTTCACTATCTCAACACTATTTATGAAATATTTTATTCTTGCCTCCTTTGTTCATCCACCTCCCTGAATTTCAAGGAGAATTTGGTTGTGTGTGCTTAGTTCCTGGGTTCTTACCATGTAGAATCAGGAAACAGGACTGGATAGACCAAAGGGAAGAGGAAAAAGAGCAAATGGTGAAAGCCCTGTTTTGAGGAGAAAAGAGAAAATAGGACTTGATGTAGTTGTGGGGTATAAATTGAAATTGAGTAAATTTTCTTTAAGATTTGTAAGTACAAATTTTGAAATTGTCTTAAAAATTACTTCAGAATTTTTCTAAAATTAGACCCTTCATCAAATGTGAAACTGAACAGAGACTGGGCTCTATGAAACATCAGGTTTTATTAGGTGGATGTGCTGCATACGCATGCTTATGAATGGGAAAGAGGTTTAGTGCAATGTGGAAAATAATCTCTGGATTTGGAATGAGAATATATGATTCTTGCTTTTGACACGCAATAGTGGCATAATTTTTGATTAGCCCCTCTGATTTCTCTGACTCCCTATCACCTCAATGTCCTTATGAATTAATGTGGATATAGTACCTAACCTACATACTCCATTGGGTCAACATAAATAATAAATAAGACATGAAAGTGCTGTGAAAATTATAAGAATTTATCCAGAGTTTCACAATGGCAATAATAATAAGTGATGTTAATATTTTAAAAATTGATACATAATATATGTACATATTTTTGGGCTATTTGTGATAATCTAATACATTTATATAATCAAATTAAGGTAATTGGGATATCTATCACCTTAAATATTTGTGTTTTCCTTATGCTAGGAACATTTAAATTATTATCTTCTAGCTATTGATGTTAATATTAACAAGAATATCTTTGAATTTTTTAAACATTATAGGATTATATACTTAGCGACTTGTAAGAAATGATAGTTGATGATGACAATAAGAAGGAGATAACAAAAAGATGAGCTCCGTCAAGTTTTAGTGGCAATGGCTCCAATTTAGAGAAAACAAACTGCTCATTAGGAATGACTCTAAACTTGGCAAGAGTACAATTTAAACTCATCACGCTTTCTTTTTAACATTATTCTTATATGTGTGAATTCTTATTGTTCTATCTGGAAATGCCACAGTTCAGTCCCTGTATTTTCTGATTCTGTCATGCTGCAAAATCGTGTGATAGAGGGATAGCTAATAAATTATTTGACAGGAAGTATAGAAAAAAAAGCCTTTGTAATTCACAGTTCTGACATAATGAAAAGCTTATAATTCACTAGTGTGACCTCACAGCTGTGAATTACAAGTTTCACTTGACTTGTTCACAATTTGTCTTTGAATTTATACTATGAAAAGTGGGAACCATATTGTCAAACTGTCACTCCATATTGATATATTACTGCTGAAGATTAAGAAACATTTTGTCAAAGAGCAGGAACATAAAAATACTCTGAAAGAAGATGAAATCTGATACAAATGTGAGGGAGAGTATGAAGAAATAAATGCCTGCAAAAAGACAGCATGCAGTGTTTGCATCTGTCCAGGGACTTGCTTTTAATTCCCCCATTCAATAGCAGCAAACTCCTATATAACACTCAATATCTGCCAGGCACTCTTCTAAGCATGTTAGATATAAACTCTTTTAAAACACAAGAAACCCCTAGAAGTAGCTACTATTTTATTTCTATCTGTATTTATAGATGTACAGAGAGGTGAATCAATTTGCCTAAGGTCACATAGCTAGTAAGTGGCAGAACCAGGATTCAAAGTCAGGCCTCATGCCTCCAGAGGCCATACTCCCAAGCTTCTTTTCCACTTGGCCCGGTTAGAATGTTATTAAAGATAGAGTTGGCTGAGTCTATGCCAATCTTGTATCCTTAACATCACTTTAAAAATCTCTTTGCTAGAACTTTTTTTTGATAGTGTTGTGTCAAAAGAGTGGAGAGCAAGAAAGAGAAATCATTTTACTTGTTTAGATCCATGATAGATGAAGGTTCTCTATATTGCGCATATATCTAGTATTCTTTTAAACCTTTCATGAATCTTTAAATAAAATATGCAAAGCAGATTGTCATTCTGATAGTACTTTTCCTTGAAACCTTATTTTTAAAAATTCAAACTTACAGAAAAGTTTTAAGGATAAATCTCAAAACTGTTGTATACTTTAACCCAGATTTGTGAATTATTTACATTTTGCCTCATTTTCTTGTGCACTTGTGCTCTCTCTGTCTCTCCCTCTTTCTTTCTCTGTCTTCAGAATTATTTGAAACTAAGAGGTAAAGTGCCTCCTTATTCCCAAATATTTCAGTGTGTATTTTCTGAAAGCAAGAACATTCTTCTGAGATAATCACAATTAAATAATCAAAAATAGGAAATTCTTATTGATGCAATACTAATATCCAATCCACAGTCCATAACCAAATTTTGTCAGTTGTCTCAATAGTGCTCTTTATAACTATTTTTCTTCATTAGAGAAGGAGACTTCTTATACATTTCCAAAATGACAAAAGTCTAACTAGGGGAACAGATTAGTGATTGCTGGGGGTTAAGGATAGTTTGGCATGGGGGAGGGGAGAGTGACCATAAAGGGGTAGCATCACTGAGAGCTTTGGGGTGATGAAGTGGTTCAAAATTTTGACTATGATGGTGGTTGCACAAATTCTATTATGTTAACATCTTCAAAAACTTATCAATAGCTGGATGTAAAAGTAATGGATGAAGCCAGAACAAATAAATGAACAGAATACCAATGCTGTGATGATGACTTCTCAGATGTAGTTAAATCGATTTTCTCTCAGCCCAGAAGGTTCCCACAGAGTGTCTCAGTGGGTTCATCAACTACACATCTTGTCTCTAGGAAGGCATCTGCCTTTTTCTCTGGACTGCTCCGGCTTACTCTGGTTTTCTTTCTTCCCATGTGTGTGCTGTTATCACTGTGATCTGTTGCCCAGCCATCTATCAGGCTGCCTCACAGGACTAGAAGTGATGATCTCTTTGAACTCCTCTTTAACCCAGATATAGACTGGTTGGCTCTCTTGCTGCAGCCACTGCACCTATTCTGTTCTCCTACACATTCCAAAAGCACCCGGCAGGTAACCTTCACCTCCACTTATAATATGCATCATTATATAGTTTAAAAATCAACCTGCTTTGGGCTCTGAATAGTTCATAGATATTTCAGTAAGAGTTCATGTAGTTTGTACTGGCTTTTAATAGAAACTCTCTTCCATAATTCAGATTTGAGTCCATAGGTCAATGACTATGAATAATAGACACCATATTGTACCTCAGATTGCCCTTCCTCAAATTTTATTCTCTCCCCTTCCTAATCTCTTCTCAAAATTATTGCCAATTATCCATTCAGTGGACACTTATGGAATACTTTATCTTAAAATTTAACTTTGTTAGTAGTCCCTGAACAAAATTACACACATCTGAGATGGAAATTTACAATATCATCTAATTTCTGCCTTTCTACTTCTATCTGTTACAGTGCTACTCTGGGGATTCTATTCTGCTGTGAACTAGGATTCCTTGCTTTTCTCTAAAGAAGCTTCACTTGTTCCTCCTTTTTTGCCTTGCTCAAGCTCTTCCATTACTCCAATTTCTCTTTCCCGAGCAGCTGTAAAATTCCACTCATCTCTGGTTGCCGACCTGTGAAGTCATCTTTTCCAATGATGCTTGCCTGATGTCTTTAACTAGTCTCCCTCTTTAGAACTTCCACTCTTTCTCGTCTTTGGCACATACATTTGGCATTTTTATAATTGCTGTTTGTGAGCTCCTGGAAGGCAGGATGCACTTCCAGGTCTGTCTTGTAGTCCCCACCCTTATACAGGTCTGCATTATTGCTCACCTAGACTCTTAACTCCATTCACCTTACTCAGTATGGGCAGATAACAAATAATTTAAAAATTTAACCAATGTTTTCAAATTTTCACCGAGCATAATTTGCTCGTTACTTGAGACCTTTTTTCAAGCTCACATTCATTAATTGATATGGGCTGTTTGAGGATAATTATTCAACGAGCTATGATTATGTTTAACTGTAGTGTTCATCATAGGAGTTAAGAGGATGCAGTTTCAGGGCGATAGTGCTGAGTTTGAATCTCCAGTCTTCCAGTTAGTAGCTGTGTGATCTTGGGCATGTTCCTGAACTTCATTAAGTTCCATTTTTTTTCATCTGAAAAGAGACTATAAGGAATGATAATATTTGCTTCCTAGAGTTGTTATGAGGATTAAACACTTGGCATCACAATGATGCCAAACCAGGTTTGTTTTGCATGTGCACAGTAAGCCAATAGCTATGATGCTGGGTTTTGCAAAAGAGAAGGGATTTATTCACGGGAAAGTCCAGCGAGGAGACAGGAGAATAGCTCTCAAATCTGCCTCTTCAAAGGTGGCATTTAGGGATATTTGTGGGATAAAGAAGCAGGCAGCCTACTGTGTGGGGAACGGGGTTGGAGGGAAGGAAAAGTGAGGTCATCAGTGATTCGTGCATGCGCAGTCAGGCTTCACGGCTCTTCATGGGATGCACGTTCAGAAAATGGCAGCATTAGCATAATCTGAGGGAGGAGCTTTTAGCCTTCTGATGTCAAAGGGTCACCTCTCAGGCAGGTTGGTGGTCTCAACTGATTCAAACGGGACACAAGCTGCCCCCTAATTCCTGAAAAACAACTTCAAGCAACGATTACCACAGTGACATATATGTCAGAGATGTTATCTATGAGGAAGCTAGTGGGGGTTTAGTTATATATTGTTTGGCTATGTGACTTTTAGCTATATAGATTTTAAGAGCAACTAGAAGTCAGCAATTAAAAGAAAGCAAGGTAGGTTAATTTTGGTGGGCTTAATCAGGCTAGCCTTCTGTTTCCACAATTGTCACATAATAACTCAATAAATGGCAGCTTCATTATGTTGGCTGTTATCTTTTTTTTTTTTTTTTTTTTTGAGAGGGAGTTTCGTGCTCTTGTTGCCCAGGCTGGAGTGCAATGGCACGATCTTGGCTCGCTGCAAGCTCCGTCTCCTGGGTTCAAGTGATTCTTCTGCCTTGGGCTCCTGAGTAGCTGGGATTACAGGTGTGTGCCACCATGCCCAGCTAATTTTTTTTGTATTTTTAGTAAGGACGAGGTTTCACCATGTTGACAAACCTGGTCTTGAACTTCTGACTTCAGGTGATTCACCAACCTCAGCCTCCCAAAATGCTGGGATTACAGGCGTGAGCCAATGCGCCTGGCCGGCTGTTATCTTTATAACCGTGATATTATAAAGAGGTTGTGAAATAGATCCCGCTAAAAACAAGGATACATTATCCTCTTCAGATATCTCCAGTTGTGTCTGTCTGGTTCACTTAAAGAAAAAAAAAAAAAAAAGGAAATGAGATTAGTTAGATTAGTTAAGCATATTTATTTGTAATGACCCTATGGTAAATCCTAATGAATATTGTTGTCCTTTCCAGAGAATTATTCATTCACTAATCCATTTGGAATGGGGCCATTGGAGACTTATACATTTAATGGGGAGGGCCTGAGGTAGTCTCTTTCGCCTTTGTTGATGATGGGATATTTGCTCTTTTGCTCCTTGCCCTGAGCCACCCTCACACAGACACCCTTCTGCCTTCACTTTGCCTGGGTGTCACCTGTGAGGGTGCTTTCCTCACCCAGTGCCACGTGCTGTACCATGGACCTCTAACACGGATGCCCTCTCGCCCTCCTGGGCCCAGACACTGCACTGGCTGCTGCCCCTGCCCCTTGCCTGTGGGGTGCACCCCCACCTCACTGGAGTTCCAGCATCTGCAGGACGCCCTCCGCTCTCCACGCTGACTCACACACTGTTCTGCACTGCTCTACTTTCTGTTCATCCCACTTGGGCCCTGATGCTCTGCTCTCCATGGATACCCTCCTCACCTTGCTGGGCTCCAGCACCTGGTGCTTGGCCACTGTGGCCTGTTTCCTACTTCACCCACTGCTGGTGCCTACCTTGGTCAGCTCTATCTAACGGCTTTTGAACCAAAAGAAGGGGAGAAAAGAGAAGAGAAGGGAAAGGACAGGGGGAGACTGGAAATGGCTTTTGACAGAGCTTACTCAGGCCAAGTCACAAACTCAGGGCCATCATTCATAGTACCCTTTTATTTTCATGGGTATCCATTCTCGGAATGATTTGAACATTTAGTCAACATTTCAATATTCTGTGCCTTCCTCAGGGTACTGAAGAGGCATGTTCTCTGCAAACAGCTGTTCAGTATGATACCACCAGGGTCCTCCAGTATAATTATAGCTTTGCAATTCACATGCATAGCTCTTCAAAAAATGTAAAAAATGAATCCTTCTAACTTATAAGGAGTATGGAATCCAATCAGTTTTAGCAAGCTTTTCTGTATATTAATTACCATTTATTTGCATGCTGTTTGAAAAACTCATAAATTTGTAAAAACTTTCATTTTTTAACCTTGATCAAACATTATTTTTAAACACCTATTGCAATTTGGGAATTTTGCAAGTCCTGGAACAAAGAACAAAATGTCATAGTGAAACTAATTTTTATGATGAAATGATGGTTATGATATAATTATTATAATTAATGCTAAAATCTAGCTGTAATTCAACATGTTTGACCCGAGTGCTTCTACAGTGACTCAGGTTGTGACAGATTTACTCCTAGGTAATATGATGAGCTGTGGCTGGATGTTCTCATGAGTGTATGTGATGTAATGTTTATTGTAACAGTATCGGTCTGTGGTGGTGAAGATTTTACACTGTGTGTTTTCTCCTAGGAAAGAATCTCAGAAAAAATACACTACTTGGTATATCAACTTTTTTTGTGTGTTTCTCATAACCAAGACTACCTGAAAAGTGAGCTGCAAAGAAGCCCTGACCTTTTAGGTAAAGAGCTACCAAAAGCTAGATTGTGATGATTGACATCATGCTTATCACAATAGGGTGAAGAGCAACTTTGCAAGTTCACCAGGCAAGAAATACAGCTGTGGTTCTTGTTATCAACAGAAGACAATACAGGCAGAATTCCATAGCTTCATTGCCTCAGTCTGGGACATTAAGTTTCAACCTCTGCATGAGATGCATAAATATCCTTTGGATTTTCTTCAGTAAGCACACACTGGAGGTTAATAATGTGGGGATGTTTGATTCCCTGCTGTTTTAAATAATTTCATGGAAAATCTAATGCAGTAGGACACTAGTTTAGAAAGGTTATTACCCTCATCAAACGTTAGCACTTCTTTCCTATTATTTTCTACCAATTTCTTGCCCTTATAGCTCCTCTCCCTTCATTTACTGCAAATGATTCTTCAAAACGACACTCTGTGGTTGGGTGGAGATGGGATTGGAGAAAGCTTAATCCCTAATCAGGACCCTGTCAGTGCTGGTAGTAGTGTGCATCTTTCTTCCTTCTTCTGCTTGCTGGAGCTTAGATACAAGGCAGAGATGTGCACTCGCTGGAGGGGTGTAATTGGAAACTAGTCCCTACCCCCCTCACTGAGCCATTTTACTTAGGACTGGAGAACAGAATGGACAGGGAGCCTCCAGCCAGTCACAGCCTGCAACAGCCCATCCCAGATCTTGTAAACTACTTAGTGCTCTGATTTGCTAAATTCTTGAGTCATTATTACCTCTGTGAGTGGCTGGAACTCACAACACAATAAGAATGCTCTTGGGCAGAGGCTCAGAGTAGAGTTTTCAGGGTTAAAGAATGTGGGGTTCTATGGACTGTGTGGTTCCACTCTTACTGAGTGTGAAGGAGACTGCCTGTTTACTATCCATTCTCCTCTTTTCCTAGTGGATGCACAGTTTGCCTCAGTGGTCATGTGCATTTCCCAGCCTCCTTTGCAAAGGAGCACCATGTAAATAAGTTCTGACTAATGAGATATGAGCAGAAGTTGTTTGGATAGGACTTCTACATAAGATCCTTAAAACAGTGAGAAAACCCCAATTAGCAGTTTCTTTTTTGGCTTTTGCCTTCCCTTTGGGGTGAGCAACTGTCCCGGTTTGCCTGTAGTTTTAGAGATGTGGGACTTTCAGTCCTAAAATCCAGACAGTCCCAGGCAAACTGAATAAGTTGGTCACCTTGCTTCCCCTTCTTCCAGCAGAATATAGGTGTGATGGCTGGAGTTCTAGCAGCTACCTTGTGACCATGAGGTGACACATGCCTGCCAAGGGTGGCTGAGTAAAGGATAAGAAGAGCTTGGGTTTATTATACCTGCCGTAGATTTCTCAGTACATGAGGCAAATAACTACCAGTTTAGTGAAACAATATGTGTATATATGTATTTTGGGGCAGAGTGTTCCTTTTTTCTAGCAATTAAATTTAATTCCTGATATATCAAGCTTCCACAAATTCCCTTAATGTTGACTTGGTTGAGGAGCCCTATTATGTCTTGTGGAGTAAAGACGCTTTCTCCTGGTTGAAGCACATTCAGTTTTTCAGAGGGAAATGTTTTTGACTTTGTGAAAATGGTTCCTACCTGGTTTATCTGACTCCAAACTCTCTCTCCTTGCAACCTCAAGCTAAATTCTTTGTTTCTAGTCCTCACCCATTTAAAATGTACTCCCCAAAGCACCCTGAGACAGATTTGAGTGGAGTTCACAGAAGGTCTGTGTGAGGAGAGAAAGGCCCTTACCAAGGATGTGGCCCTCAGTGTCCTCACTTACTGATGAGGACAGAGAGGCACAGAGAAGAGAAGAGATACAGGGACCTGGCTTTGCAGTGTGCTCACTCTGATGCGTGATGCGCCTCTCCTTGCCTGCAGCCTGCTGTGCCACCCCTGCTGCAGACAGCTGGGTTTAGCCTGGTGTGACCCTGCCCAGCCTTTGATTGTGAACTTCATTGTATACTTTCTCACCCTCTCTGGATTTCCCTGTTTGGTTTGCTTTGGCACCTTATCACAGGAACTGCACAGCTAAGACAACACTGGTATTTAGAACTTGAGGTTTCTGTTTTGTTTTGATTTTTCATTTTACTGTTGGATGTGCAGGGCTGACCTGAGAAATGATTGCAAGGCCGTGAAAATTGGTTCTACTACTTTTGCATATATATATATAGATAGATAGATAGATATACATACACACACATATACATACACACGATACATATATATGTAAATACATACATACATATATACACACACAAATATATATTAAATATATATATAATTTGAAAATTGGTATGCAAAGGTAGTAGAACTAACTATATATATAAATATATATGTGTTTGCCTTTTGCCAATCTGAGTATCAGAATTATCCTTTCTCATCAAGGAAAACATAGTTCCAAGCTCATATCAAATACTTAAAAATAATTGTTCATTAAATGAAAGAAGGAAAGAAATTGGAACATTTTTTGGGCACCTATTATGTGCCAGGAGCCAGGGTTTATTCGTTGTTTGATATCCATGCAATACCAGATGCTAACATTTTAAGTATTACCTCTGGCAATGCACATGTAGCCACACAAACACACACAACTTTGTGCACATGCATGCATCTGGTTTATTCTTTATTAAAAACCCCTATGAGGTAAGGGAAAGGGGCTCTAAACAGTTACATATTCATCCAGGGTCATCAAGTACCCCAGCAGGGATTTGAACTCACATCCTTCTTTTTTTTTTCTTTTTTCTTTTTTTTTTTTTAAGGCAGTCTTGCTCTGTTGCCCAGGCTGGACTACAGTGGCGTGATCTCGGCTCATTGCAACCTTCACCTCCTGGGTTCAAGCGATTCTTGTGCTTCAGCCTACTGAGTAGCTGGGATTACAGGCACGTGCCACCATGCCGGGTTAATTTTTGTATTTTTTGTAGAGATGGGGTTTCGCCATGTTGGCCAGGCTGGTCTTGAACTCCTAGCTTCAAGTGATCTGCCTGCCTTGGCCTCCCAAAGTGCTGAGATTACAGGCGGGAGCCACTGCTCCCAACATGAACTCACATCCTTCTAACCTCAAGACAGCACTCGTTTCTACTGAGCCAGCTATTCATGATTCCCTAGTTTTCTCGTTGCAAGAAGGGCTCTAAAACTGGTACACTTTTGGGGCGAGGGAGAAGGGAATTAGCACTAATTAAATGCCCACTTTGTGTCATCCAGTATATCTTTTACATCCTTTTTGAGTTAATGTTTACTCAGACCATGTGAGGTGATATCATTTACATTTTAGCACCCATCTTATAGATGAGAAGACTGAGTGTTGGAGAGATTAAGTATCCTATCTAAGGTCAAACTGCTGAAAACATAGGTTACCAATCTACTCATGCTCTGAACCACTGAATACCACTGCCTCTTATTTATAATACTCTACAATATGCTTTTCTCACCTAACTATGGACCATAGACATTTCTCCAGGTTAGTAAAGAATAGATAATAGAGTAAAAAAAAAAACCCTGCATAATATTCCATAGCATAGATGAACCTAATGTATGCAGCTATCTGCCCTCCCACCCTGTCATAAACAATGCTGCAATTATTGTTTTACATATATCCTTAGGTACTAGTATATTGTTTTCTACTGGATAGATTCAAAGGTGAGGATGGGCCAAAGGATTTGGATATATTTAATTATAATACCTACTTCTAGATTATTACTATTTTAAAATTTTAAATGTGGTAAAGTACACATGACAAAATTTGCTTGTTTTTATGAAAAGTTCATAACGAGTCACACTCCTGCCACCACTGCACGAGGAGGAGACTGTCCGCTTCCTCACCAGCACAGCATGTTACTGTTTTGTAAACTTTCCTCAAGTTGGTGGGCTAATATGGGTACCTTGATATTGCTTTAATCTGATTTCCTAGACTCCTTGTGAAATTAAGTACCATATCATGTTTATTGATCATTTATACTCTTTGCCAAAAAATCTGATGTTTCAATCTGAAGGGTTCACAACCTTAAATTGAGAGAATAAGTTTCCATGTAAGATTTTGGGCATTGAAAGCAGGTGGAGGAGAGATGAATGTGTGAGTGTATTTAAAGTGGAAGTTTTCTTGGCTTGCTTTCCATGCCCCTGGAATAATTTATTCAGTTTATAAATTAGCCTCTAACAGTGGGTGCTTTAAAAGTGAAATAAATTATCTTCCATGTGGATTTGAAAGCTTTAGAAAAAATAGGGAAAAAAACCATTTGAAATGCTGACCAGCCACTGTGTATGTTGTGTGGACTGAACAAAGTCAATGTGGAAGATTCTTCTCATCTATGCATTTCCAAATACATTTCAGCACACTATTGGAAAGAGTCTTTCAAAGACAAATTACATGGAAGATGACTTTCCATTTTGTAGATGTGAAAAGAGAAAGGATAAAGGGTTCAGAGCTTATGTGCTGTGGGGAGGCTGTTCGCTGGGATGGAGTTGAAACTGCGATCCCTTTCTGGTACTGTGTGAGGACTACTAGTAAAGAATCTCTCTGTAAAGTTAAATGAACTGAATTTTTAATAAAGTTCTGCTTGACAAGCTAGAAGAGAGTTGGGCCAAACTAAACAGTCATTCCCAGGAGACACTAATGTCTGGGAAGGGAGGGGGCATTGCTCCCACCGTCTTCCCTGTGACACCCGTATTGGATCACGGGCGAGGTGTTTTGAGTGGGTGGACTTGTGTCACTGGGAACCTTCTACATAAAAGTAAAATTCCATAAGCTTAGTGGGGGAAGATTTTTGTTTGTGTGGAGAGACGGTGCCCTACCTATGAACCACATTTTAAAATGCATTTTGAGGTTTGAGTTAATAACGTGAATGACATTCAGTGAGATTGCCAAATGCTGGTAATTTACTCTCATTTTCACATTAATGTGGGCCCACCTGTGATGAATTGGAAACTAAATAAGCACATCAGTTTTAATTAGATATTTCAGAGACTGGATCTAGTTAAACAGCAGTATTCATTCTTATCTATTAAATAGTGAAGAGTTTAGCACATTCTTCAGAAAAAGTTTACGCACTCCCTCCCCTCTTCACCATTTGTCCTTCATTGTTGATTTGCAAATATTCTTTTCAGATGGAGGCTTTTAAATTAAAAAGTGCCTAGGTTTGTGCCAATAGGGAAGGAAAGAATTGCATTTAAGTGTTAAAAGGTAAGCAGATCATCCAGTTAATTAGTGGTATGTTGTATATTAAGATATATGAATTTGCAAACCTTAAAAAAGACAAATAACATCATGGTTGCCTGGAAGATGCTGAAAGGGGGCAGACACCTTGAACACTGATCCTACAAATAGGGATCTAAAAATGCCACCAGGGTATGGCTAATAGATGCTGAATGACTTTCTATCACAGAAAGGAGCCATTTTTCAAAATTCAAGACAAGATATTATAGTGCTAATGAAGGCAAAATGTTATCTGATGCATAAGGGTCTAGGACCTAATGAAAGAAACTAGTATAAATGCGGGAGTATCTTTGATTAATATTTGTGAAGGATAAGGAATTAATAGTAGACAAGGAGGCTTAATAATCATGTGTCCCCCTAAAATTATTTATAGGTACAATTTTTGCATCAGTCCTAGCATCATTCTCCCGCGTCATTTCTGTAAGTACTTCTACCTGGTTAGACGCTGAACTCTGGAAGGGTGAGGCTGTGTCTAGCTTGCTACAGCTGTATCCCCAGAGCTCAGTATATTCGTATGCTTCTTTGTTGTCAACCTAAAATAATCAAAAGGTTCAGAATTTAGTTTGAAGAGAGTTTATTCAAGTGCAAAGTTTGAGGACAGGCCACCAGAGAAGCACAGAGTCCAAACAATGAATGTCAGTGTTCCGAGGTGTAGAAGTTTGGCATCATTAATGTAGATAACATTTAGGGAAGCTTAACAGAATTTCAACATCTTTCTATGTAAAGCTTAATGCACAGTTACAACCACTGATTAGTTGAGGTGGTCTTTTTCTTTCTGGAAAAGTATATGTAACATTCCACACTGAAGTTGTAATGGTCATGGAGTCGTGGGCACCATCTGGTCTGAGTTAGGGACAGGACAATAAAGGAGGCAGTTAATCTATAACAAAGATCGGTGATTGGAAGTGAGAGGTCTGGTCTCTGGTTTCTCCCAGTCATTTTCAGAGCAAAATAAGGAAGAAAGGTAAGCTATGACGAAGAGATCTATAAGTTAAAAGGAAGAGAGTTAAGCTTACAGAAGAAAAATAAGGAGGAGAGTTAAGCTATAATCTAAGAAGCAGACATTGCAAACATGCTGCATGACTCAGTCTCCAAGGCTTAACTTCCCCCTTGGCATAATATACATTTAGAGGGTCCTGAAATTTTACATTCTTTTATACTGTGCTTCGAGTTCCTGGTCTAAAACGTTCTCTCCTTGCAGATCTCTGTCATTGCCTGTGTCCTGACTTTCCTTTCACTAAAAGGAATCATGGCAATATTTCCATGTTATTTTTCTTTGTTTTTCTTGAGAGGATAGTATCAGTTTGCCAAAGGTATACTTTACTAAGCTTTCTTAGTTTTCAATTAAATTCTAGATTCATACAAAAGCAATAATAATAATAATAATAGTAATCCACAAGATGTCTATAAATTCCAGAAAATCAAAGATGCTTAAAAAATATTGACTATAGGCCAGGTGCAGTGACTCATGCCTGTAATCCCAGCACTTTGGGAGGCCAAGGTGGGTGGATCACCTGAGGTCAGGAGTTCGAGACCAGCCTTGCCCACATGGTGAAACCCCGTCTCTACTAAAAACACAAAAATTAGCTGGGTGTGGTGGCAGGCACCTGTAATCCCAGCTACTCCGGAGGCTGAGGCAGAAGAATCGCTTGAACCTGGGAGGCGGAGGTTGCAGTGAGCTGAGATCATGCCATTGCACTCCAGCCTGAGGGACAAGAGTGAGACTTCGTCTCAAAAAAAAAAATAAAAGATTGACTATAGTATTAATTAGAGTACTAAAAAACAAAAGAAAAAATCAATAATAGGAGATTGATAAATTATAGTTAAGCAAATTATGATAGTCATTATAATATGTATATAGTCATGAAAACATCTGTCTAGTCATTAAAATAGTATTTTAATATTTAAGGTCAAAATAATTCTCCTTATATGTTAAGTAAAACAACAACCCAGTATAATAAAATATGCCATTAGAGTATGATATTTTGGATATTTGTCCCCGTCCAAATCTCATGTTGAATTGCAATCCCCAGTGCTGGAGGTGAGGCCTGGTGGGAGGTGTTTGGATCATGGGGGTGGATCCCTCATGGCCTGGTGCTATCTTCATAATAATGAGTTCTTGCAAGATCTGGTCATTTAAAAGTGTGTGGCTCCTCCCCTCCCACTCTCTCTCTCTCTCTCTCTCTCTCTTGTTCCTGCTTTAGCTGTGTGCCCTGCCTGTACCTGCTTCCCCTTCCGCCATTATTGTAAGCTTCCTAAGGCCTCCCTAGACGCTGAGCAGATGCCAGCACTATGCTTCTTATATAGCCTGCAGAACCATGAGCCAATTAAACCTATTTTCCATAAAACCTACCCAGTTTCAGGTATTTCTTTAAAGAAATGCAAGAACAGACTAATACAGAATACAGTCATATATGTTCTTTATTAGAATATAATTGAGAAATAAAAATTGTACTGTATTCACACTTTTAAAAGTGTTCCTTCTTTTAAAAAAGAGATTAAAGAATTTCCATCAGAACTTCTTTATAGTTATCCAAAATTTTGACTAGGAAATGTATTACTTTTATATTCAGAAAACATGTTATGAAAATATAGAATTTCTTTAAATATAAATCTCTTTTGCTGGATTTAAAATGTGATGTAATTTCCCACGAATCTGTCTATAGTGGAAGGTGAGTGGGCCTGAGGGAGGGGAAGGTAGTGGATGGAAGAAAGCAAGAACTATTAGAGGGGGAAAAAGTGATTGTGTGTTCTTGGGTAGGGGAGTAGTTTGAAACCTGCATGTCAATTTTCAAATCTCCCTGGAACATTCCCATAACGGTTTACTTGAGAAAAAAAAAATACCTTAAGATTGTCCCTGTACAATTGCCACAAAGAAATTACAAATGGGGACAGAAGGAGGGAGTTGTATTTATAGACTTTAATACCAGCTCTTATGGCTTAATTTTATACTTAACTGTATAGATTTCTTTAACTCCTGAGTAAATGGGTTGGAAATTATTTTTCAAGCTTACTGCTATAGTTCTTTCCTATCTGCTTCATAAGTGATCTTAGGAAAACAATCTGATTACATATCTGCTTAAAATCTTCCAGTGAATTCTCATTGCCCTTCGGGTACCATCCAAACTCCTTACCATGGGGCACATATGTGATACTGCTGACCTGTCTCCTGCCTTCCTTTCCTTCTCATCTCCCAAACATGTCCCAGACTTCATCACAGCAGACCACTCACAGCTTTTGTGTGTATTATCCTCCATTATTAAGGCTGTGCTTCCTTCTAGAAGCCTCTCTGATTGCGTTTCTCTGTCTGGGCCCTCTTTCCTCCCTGCCTGCATGTGTACCTTCACCACACATTGCACTTGCCGTGTGGCATTGAAGTTGATTGGCTGTCCTGCCTTCCACCTCACTGTGTACTTCTGGGTGGGGAACATAACATGGCCTTGTTTTATTTTAGTACCCACCATAGGCCTTTTGGACCACAGCAGGTACTTGATAAGCCTTTGTTCATGAATATGAGAGTGAATGCCCGGCATGTGCATAGTTATTGTTATATCCACTCCTAGTCTCGTCTAAGCTTTGTTTCGTGGCTGATATCTTTGCAGACACAATCTAGTGACCTCTTGGATTCCTTTGTCCAGTGAAAGAAGGGTATGGTCAGTAAAATAATGGCCCCCAATCTCTGGGACCTGTGAAGATGTTACCTTACATGTCCATAGGAACTTGGGAGATGGGTTTAAGGTTATGGACTTTAAAATAAGGAGATTATTCTGGATTACCTGGGGGGACCCAGTGTAATTACAGGCATCCTTAACTGTGGAAGAGGATGGCAGAAGGAAGACAGATGCAACAGAACAGGCAGGAGAGAGTTGAAGTGAGAGAGGGGTGTGGTTTTGAAGACAGAGGGAAGGGACGATAAGCTAAGGAATACGGGTGACCTTTGGAACCTGGGAATAAATCTCAACTGATAGCCAGCAAGAAAACAGGGGCCTCAGTCCCACAACTTCAAGGAACTGAATTCGGCTACTGATCTGCATGAACAGAAATGGATTCTTTCTTAAAGCCTCCAGAGAGGAGCACAGCATGGCTGCACCTTGATTTTAGCCCAGTGAGACCTATGTTGGGCTTCTCGTCTACAGAACTGTATCCTAATAAATTTGTGTTGTTCTAAGCAATGAAGTTTGTGGTCGTTTGTTACAGCAGCATGAGAAAACTAATAATACAGAGCTTAGAACTATTTTAGAGTGTGTGATATCTAACTCCTTGGTTACCTATTTTGTTTATCTATTCTTTGCAAGTGAAGTTCTTTCCCAAGAAAATGGAAACAAGAAGAGGAGGAGGATACCTTATAGTGGATAAAAGAAAAGGGCTTCCCTTTCTTTTTTATAACTATGCTTTGTTAGTATATGCATATCTTTTTTTATTTGTTTGTTTTAGAGATGGGGTCTCATTATGTTGCCCAGGCTGGATTTGAACTCCTGGGCCCAAGTGGTCCTCTCTCATCAGCCTCCCAATTAGTTGGGACTGCAGGAGTGTGCCACTGTGTCTGGCTAATATACTTATCTTAACAGAGTTCTGCCATTAATTTAATTAAAACATCTTTAGTTGGCGAATTTATCCAAACTTCCTTTCCCTTGCCCCTATCTTTTCCTTCCCTCCTACATACATTCCCTCTGTCTTTGTGTGTTTCTTTTTCTTCCTTATCCGACTCTCACTGACTTGCTGCTCATCTCAATCACAATTGGGCAGTTTACCCAGAAAACTCTCAAGTAGTGGAATCACTGAAATGCATTTTTAGAACTCTGAACAGGAGTTGAAATCCTTGCTTTCTTCATTGCAAACACTCCCTGGAACTGTCCGGAACTGTCTGCCATTTTTCCCAAGCCCAACAGGTCTAAATGGGTGTAAGTAAGTACAAACTGCTTCTGTTCTTTTCCTGATCCCATTTTTGGATTTTCATTGCTCAATTCCACCAGGTGTACAAGTGTCACACAATCTCTCAGGGAACCTCCGATGAACTCGATGAATTATGAAATGGTACTGCTCTGTTTCCCTTATAGCCTGCGTCACTTGAGAAGATGGCATTGTCTTTTTCATGGTTGTTGCTCCAAATGTCCCAAGACCACAATCTGTGTTAGAACATGTAGAACATGCTCTAGGATGTAATAAAAAGAACACTGGCCTGGATGGGAATCAGAAGATCCAGGTTCCAGTTCCAGCCCTGACTAAGACCATGTAAACTCAGGGAAGCATCCATTCATTTTATTCATTGTATATACATTATCTATTGTATATACATTATATGTTATACAATGAATATATATATATATACATTCCCTGAACTCTGTCAGTAAGCCAATGTTGTACTGGTCTTGGGGGTTACAAAGATGAGTTAGTTGTAGTTTGTCTTTCTTCAAGGAGCACACAGTTTAGTGAGGGGGAGAGATAAGTAAAGAAACATTTACAACACTGTGATATGTACAGCTATGGAAGTGGGCACCAGTTACCATGGGGCTTTAGAGGAGGCAGTGATTCATCTGCTTTGCTTAGGGACAGGAACAGAAAATGAGCAGCATGTTGAAGGATGAGTTGTAGTTTGCCAGTTGGGGAAGCGGAAAGGGTATTCAATGCAAAGAGAACATGTGCAAAGTCATAGACACATGGCCCTGCACAGCCCATTATGGCTCACATGGGAAAAGCATGTTGTTGGTCTGTGTGCTGAAGGGGCAGCAGTGGGGCGTGGGGGCATGAGATCAGAAGAGATGTCTGGAAGTGTGAAATCAGAGAAAATGACTATATTGAAGGCCTGATTTTTCTTAGTTATGAAATATTATTTGTTATTGGGCCTTCCGCAGATAAGATTCTATAGTTCAAATTATGATTATTTTCTATTATGAACTAAATTTCATGGTTGCATGGTGCTTAAAAAATTTCTATGCACAATCTTGTGACATAGGTTTCTATGGAATAGAGATGTGTGTGATATATGGAAACTGGGACACCCGGGAGGCGGAGGTTGCAGTCAGCTGAGATTGCGCCATTGTACTCCAGCCTGAGCGACAGGGCGAGGCTCCATCTCAAAAATAAATAAATAAATAAATAAATAAATAAATAAATAAATAAAAAGATCTTCTTTAGCGCTTTGCCTTTTCTAAGTGCTAGATGTAGATCAATTTTTATTTATCTCCCTTGGAATACAGTATGTTTCTTAGATCCATGAATTCATATTCTTATTAGATTTTAGTTTTGCAAAACTTTCAGCCATTTTCTTTTTAAATATTGCCTTTCCTTCCCCACCTCCCTCTCTTATTTCCTCTTGTGTCTCTGGGTGGTTGTAGCCTCATTTTACCCATCATATCTCTTAGCTTCTTAATATATTTTCTTATCTCGCTAAGCTACTTTAAGGATATTCCCATCAGAGTGCTCATGTTTCATGGGCAACAGTGCTTGATTTGCTCTTTATCCTTTTTGTTGAGTTTTTCTTTTAAATTAAGAAGTTCTACATATTTCCCCCCTAAAGTGTCATTTTTTTTCAAATCTGCCTGTTCATTTGGATGGTTTCTTGTTATGTGTTCATCTGAGTTGTTGTGCATATTATTTCTATAAACATTAGAAAAATGTATACTTGTTCTCATGTTCCATTTTCTATATCTGTAGTTTTTTGTGCAGCCAATTCTGTTGTTTGTTACTTTTTGTCACTTTTACTTCTGGTGGTTTGTATTCTTAAATGCTTGCTAATTGTTTTTCCATTGTAAACTCATTGATTGATTTTAACCCATGATAGTCATGTGGATCTACATTAGAGTAGAGTAGTTTTCCTCCACAGAGGACTTCTTCCT
Organism: Homo sapiens; assembly: GCF_000001405.40. NCBI lineage: Eukaryota > Metazoa > Chordata > Mammalia > Primates > Hominidae > Homo > Homo sapiens. Next base: position 65,312,794 of record NC_000008.11, on the reverse strand, counting down.
TCACCTTTTCTCATTGGTTTTGGTTAGCATAGAGGCTAAGCTCAGTTTTTCCTTCTTGTCATTGAATCTCATCTCGATATCCAAATAGCAGTGGTGATATTAATATCCACCCATAGGGTAATCCAAACCCTCATGCTGACAGTTGATTATTTTGGGAGCAGGAAGGGTGTTCCTTGGAGACCTCACATGTTTCCTTCAAGAAAAGCAATGGAAAGGAGTTTGTCCCATCCAAAATACATCCTTTCTGCTGCAACATTATCTCTCAGATTATCTAGCCTGCCATAATGTTAGAAGCAAAAGTTGCTAGTTTTTTAAATTAAAAAATTGTTTTGAATAATAAAAATATTTATTATCTAACTTAAGAAGTCTACATAGACAGTTCCAGATATGCTTCACTAGTTCTATGATGCCTTAAGGACTTTTCCTATCTTTTGGTTTGCCTGACCTCTGTTTATCAGGAGTAAATATCTCTCTAACGGTTGCCAAATGGCTGCAGAAGTTCCAAGCATCTTAAATTCACACAACAAAAATCCTTTCTTGTGTTTTGAAATCCTATTTTCATTCTGTATTTCTATCTAGTATTATTTTCCTTTAGCTTAAAGAACTTTTATTTAGTAAACTTTTGTCATATAATCTGCTGGTAATTAATTGTATGTCTTCAATTTTGCATTAAAGTATTTATTTTACCTTCATTTTTTGAAGTTTTTTCTTGGCGTGGCATAAAATTCCAGCTTGATGGAATTTTTTCCTGTATTTTAAAGATGTCATTTTATTGTCATTTGGCTTTCATAGTTCTTGACAAACAGTCAGTCATCAGTCTTACTAATGCTCCTTTGCAGGGTCCTTTGAAAAATTATTTCTCACTGCTTTTAAGGTTTTTCTCTTTGTCTTTGATTTTCAGCATTTGATTAGGTTATGACCCTGTGTGGTTTCTTTTGTATTTATTCTGCTTGAGGTTCCCTGAGGTTTTTGATATTTTTGGAATATTCTCAGCAATTGTTTTTCCAAATATTGCTTCTGCTCCATTCTCTCCTTTCTCTTAATTTGGGACTCCAATTGCATGTGTGTTACAACTATTGATCATGTCTTACATATTTATTTTGCTTTTTCACTATATTATTTTTTTCCTACTAGTGATTTAATATAAATCTTTTTTATTATTTTTTCTTTGAACATTCTAATCCTGTCTTCTGATGGGTCCAGTCTGCTGACAAACTCATCCAGCAAGTTTTTAATTTTAGATATCCTGTTTTGATCCCTTAGCTTTAAATAATTTCAATTAATTTTTTTCACAGATTACATTCCTAAATCATGGTTAGCCATTAAGGAAATGCATTTTATCAATATCAACAAGGCCTAATTTAATGTCTACTTATCATTATGACAATTAGAAAAAACAACTAAATAAATGTGCAACTTTAACCCCTTCATATGGGACTTTAAGTTTTACAAATTGCTTTCCTATTTCTGTGTCATTTGAAACTCACCATGTGAGTTATGTAAGGAAAGTATCACTATTATTTTCTTTATGATTGTAAGGAAACTAAACCTGTAATGGCAGAGGAAAGTGTCTGTGTTTTCTGATGACAAACTTCTTGTTTTCATCCATTACATTATGCTGCTTCAAAGCACATGTCCAGTCATTGGGGGAGGAGGGGAAAATAATGTCAAATTAAAAGGATATTAAATTTTCTTCTAATGATTATTATTTAAATATATAGTCACAAAGCTGGAAGAGAAGAGAAGATCCTAAGAAGGATCACCTAATCCATGCCCTTATATAGTATATTGCTTTCGTAAAAGATTTCTTCTTAAGCTAGTGAACCTATATCTGGAACTTGCAAGATAGGGAAACTTCTTCGTTATCTTTAATTTGACTGTTTATCTAAAACCATGGAACAGGTGCTGAATAGATTTTTAACTGGCATTTACTCTTGAAAAAAAATAGGAATTGTAAGGTCTATCTGACAGTTTTACAACATTCAAAATTTAGACACTATTTGCATTGGCTTCTTAAAAAGCCTAGGCTAAATTTATTTGAAACCTAGAGTTCAAAAAAGATGGTTCTATAGTTTCATAGTTAATTGTTTGCAAAATGGATGCTGATAGTCCACTCTAACTTTATTTTATTGTATATACTTTTTATAATTTAATTGCATTATCAATGGGTACCTATCTTTGTTTTCCAAGTTTTGTACTAGTTTTCGCTCTAAAGCAGTAAATTTAGGACTTTTTGATATCAATAAACCGTTAGAAAAAGAGTCTATTGGTTCTTTTTATAACTCAATATACTTATCCCCCTGATATAAGGAATTAGTTACAAGAATAGTAACCAGTTTAATATACATATGTGATATAATATAAATAATGTGCTTTACTTGCTTTACAAAAGACTAGCACTTTCACATACAACATTTTTCAAAAACCTCACTCTATAGACTGCAAATTTTGGTAGCAGTAAAAAAATTAGCAATGATAATAGTTATTAACTACAAGCTTTGATCTAGTTCGCTGTGATGGCACCAATTCTGGACAACTATCTAACAAATGGGGATTTTGGTCATCAATGACAAAAAAAGAAAGTATGTGAATAGCTGTGTGTGAACTCATTACCACTGCTGGAGAGATGATCTAAAGAGAAAATTCTATCACAGACTACAACAATAACATCATCTTTGGATATAAGATATACATTTGCTGCACTATAATAGCTTTCTCTGGGCACATTTGTAATTGGTGAATGGATTATTTTTACAATTCATTTGGGGCTGAGAAAATTAAGGCTTCTATTTTGGCAGGATTATTTGCTGTGAAATGCTTAACTCGTTATGGCTAGTGAATGTGGCTGGCTATATATGTGTATAAGTATATGTATTTTTGCTCTGAGAATCTTCAGCCTTCAAAGTGATCTTGAAGACATTGTCATAAGAACTTTAAAAAACTCATTGATTAGGCTTTCAGATCCAAATCTCTTCTGAAGAGAGAAGTCATTAGGAACACTGAAAAGATTGTGATCAAGAAGAGAAGGAGATGTTGTCAAGCTTTTACTTTTACCATATGGAAAGGGCATCCAGTGCTCATTTTTCTACTTCTCTAAGTCACATCAATTTTAATCTAGCACATGAAAGAAACTATGGGTGTACTATTTCAGCTCTTAATATTCAATGCCAGGTCCTAGTTTTGGCAAACCCTAAGTAAGAGGAAATAATATTCATTAATTTCTCCCTCCCTTTCTTTCACCTTGCATGGGGCCTTGCCAGAAGCAGGGTTAGATTGCCAGCCAGGAGGTATACTTCACACTCTGAGAGGTGCTATTCATAAGCATATTATCCTCTTCTATGACTCCAGCCTAAATCCACAGCTGAACAGTAGGATGCTGCTTGCTAATGTTGATCATTCTGGCAAAACAGACTGACAATTCTGCAAACCAATATAACTAGTGAGTTTTGTTTTGCAGCTGAATTTCTAAATTATATGAGGGTTTTGTGATACAAAATGGCCTCTGTTGCTGTCCTTTTCTACTTTTCCCTTCAATATCTGTGCCCCTTCTTTCTTCCTATCTCAAAGTTCATTTCTTAGCACTGAAAAAAGAATATAACTGTACCATTATCAGAAAAACAAGCCTCAGTGGTTTGACTTAGATACAGCTTAGATATGTCTAAATGATTAGTTTGTTATTTGTTTTTAAATTTCCAGGAAAGGAAAATTAACTGACTATCCATTGTTTAACACTGGCTAAATTTAATGAAACCATGACAATTTCTACAGCAGATTTACCTTCCTAATTATGCTTGGCGAATGTTTCCACTGACTGATGGAAAGAGATGGTTGCCTGGGAGAATGCCAAATGGCAGAAGGAAGTCTGACCTGAGATTAAAAATGTCCAAGGGTAAATTCCTGAGTGGACAATCTGCAACAAGATGAAAAAAAGAGCTGATGATCTGAATATCATTATTCCTTCAACTCTGTGTCCACCTTTCCCTTGATTTTGGAAAAAAAAAACCTTGGCTGAAATACAAATGGTGCACTTTAACCTTGATAATACGTGAGAGAATAAAGACATATCCTATGCCTCCAGAGTTTCAGCACAAGATTATAAAAAGAAGAAATATTTGCAAATGGTACTAGCATCACAACATTTTGCGGAAATTGCCTGGCTTCCACATACTACAGCTCTCTTCTCTTGCCATTTAAGTCACTTGACTCCTAACCGCAGGCTCTGTGATCTTAGAAGCCCTGGGTCCGATCTTGACTATAGACAGGAAAAATTACAGGAACTTAGAGCCTAGTCTGCTGGGCCTCAGCATGCTGGCATTTGTCATATTTGGACCACATGGCAGGGTGGAGAAAATGGGGAGGAGTTCGGTAATCTGGAATTAGACTCATTTATGAGGCTGGGCTGGGCAATGGGAGACAGACTCAACTGTAGGAAATTAGGCACTGAAATTATCAGGAGAAAAGAAGGAAGATCAGCCATTCTTTCTGAACACATTCTGCAAAAGTGACTCACAGCCAATGTTGTAAAAAGTGGTGATTAAAATAATCTCAGAGAAAGCAGTGTAAATTAAGTGATTAAAAATCAGTGATTAGACCATGAGATATAGAAAAATAGTCCAGTATCAGCCCCTTCTGTGCATTTGCTCCCATACCAATCCATGGCACAGATCCTGTTCCCAGACTTGTTTTCTCTAGAGTCAGAACCTGGCTGTATCTTTGAGTGGAGTCTGGTCTGAAAGGTAGACAGATGATCTGGAGACTATGGCTGAAAACAGGTTGCTGTTGTTGGGTGGGGTAGTTGGAAAGAAGTGAATACAGTACGAGGTCACCAAAGTATTCTCAGCAACTTGATTTTAACATGCCCGAAAGTGTGAGTTCCATCTCCTCCCTCCAATTTGAACCTGCTCCATACTCACCATACATTTAATTGTTAATTGCATAAATACATATAGTTAATTGTTCGTCAGCTCCAGACAATCTTATTCTAGGAATGGCCCTGGTCATTGCCTTAGTCCAAGCTTTCGTTATCAGCTGGACTGTAGGACCAGACTCTTTCATGTTTTTTCTTTTTCCTTCATTCTCAACAATCTTCCAGTAGGTGCTCTTCCTTAAATCACACTGGATTATGTCATTCCCTCCTTAGTGTTCTCCAGTATTCAGTGTGACAAACAAGAGACTTTACAGTCTGGCTTCCACTTAACCCTCCAGCCTCATTTCTTGCTGTTTTTGTATCTTCCCACTCTGCACCACAGCTACACTGACATTCTCCCATTTTCCAAACTGACTGTGCCCTATTATCACTCTGATATTCTTTCTGTTTCCCTCTTCCTGCACTCTCTATCTACCAAATAGAAGTGGGACAACATGGCTTTTTCCTTATGGTAAAAGAATTATCTAGGATGAAAAGAACCACCTTAACTATAGTAAGGTAACACTGATGCATAATAAATTACTAATACATCACAAGACAAATCACAGGTTATATTGAGATACTGATTTGCTTCTGATATAGTATGGATCTGTGTCCCCACCCAAATCTCATGTTGAATCGTAATCCCCAATGTTGGGGGAGGGACTGGGTGGGAGGTGATTGGACCATGGGGGCAGGCTTCCCCCTTGCTGTTCTCATCACAGCGAGTGAGTTCTCATGAGATCTGGTGGTTTAAAAGTGTGTGGCACTTCCCCCGTCACTTTCTCTCTCTCTTGCCACTGTGTGAAGATGTACTTGCTTCCCCTTTGCATTCTACCAGGACTGTAAGTTTCCTGAGGCCTCCAGTCATGCTTCCTGTAGAGCTTGTGGAACTATCAGTCAATTAAACTTCTTTTCTTTATTAATTACCCAGTCTCAGGTAGTTCTTTATAGCAGCGTAAAAACAGATGAATACAGCCTCTATTCGATAAAACCATTAGAAGAATAAAGAGTGAGAAGAAGCTTATCACTAGTCTTGGGTGTTCTCTTCATGATATTTTTAAAAGGCCTAAAAATCCAGTGTCCAAAATACCAAATATAAACTTTGTGAAAAACAAATTCTCAGTCAATATGCTTACGAAAGTAAAAAGTTTCATATTGTTCAAACAGTGTAATTGAGTAGTTTCTTATATCTAAAGACTTTATCTAAAGAAAGAAAGCTTAGACTTGAAGAAGAATAAGAATAAAATTTAAATGAATAATGTTGCATTAAAAGTCATAGCTGGGCTGGGTGCGGTGGCTCACACCTATAATCTCAGCTCCTCAGGAGGCAGAGGTGGAAGGATTGCTTGAGGCCAGGAGGTTGAGACCAGCATGGGCAGCGTAATGAGACTCTGCCTCTATTAAAAAAACAAAAAAAACAAAAAACTGGTGTGGAATAGTGGTGTGTGCCTGTAGTCTCAACTACTCATGAGGCTAAGATTAGAGGATCACTTGAGCCTAGGAGTTTGAGGCTGCAGCAAGCCATGATTGTGTCACTGAACTCCCAGCCTGGGCAACAGAGCAAGACCCCGTCTCTTAAACAAAAGCTGTAACTCTAAAAATAATGTATATATTTCTCCAACTATATTCACATTTCATGTTTTGTTCCTGTTTCTGGTAAAAGATTCTAAATACCAAATAAAACACAATGCCCTACTAGTTTATCAAAAGGAATATATTAAAGAAAAAGGACTGGAATAATCCAGAATGCAATTTTCAAGGCAAAAATAATGCCTCTGATCTCAGTAGGGTTGTGATATGCTCTCTGCGGAACCTATTGCTCCTGGTTTTTCAATTACAACTTTGAATCATATTCCTTGATTAGTAACAAGCAATCAATCATAATTAATTAGTTAAAATGTTCAACCGTTAAAATCATTACCATTAATTAAAATAATTATCTCTATTTTGGCTGCACTTCATTACCATTTTGGGGATATGCATTGCTTTACTGTACCTTGTGTTCTTAGTACAGCTTCTCTGTGAACACAAGGCATACAGCAGATAATCTGTCTGCTACTTTAAAAATGACTACTTGAATAAGGTTTCGGACTTCGTTGTTCTTGTCGCATCTGGGAAAGCATTTTACTACAGTGTTATGAGCTTTATTAAGAAAGCTCTTTGAAATGGATGTTGGCACATCACAGACTGCTGGGCAGTGAGGATTTTTGAAAGAATTTGTGCCTTGGAAGAAAGTGCTTATTTTATTCTCTGAAAATGGGGGTTTAGGAATTTTCTGGTACATAGAAGTTCTTCCAAAGTCTTGGTCTTCTAAGAAAATAGCTATTGAGCTTCCTTCCTGGAGAGTCTCATGGCACAAATTTGTCAGTGGGACTGATATCGGGGTTTAATCATAGGTGATCTTGTATTGTTAGATTGTATGCTTTGTCGGGACAGAGATTTTGTCTTGTGCTCTGGGCCTCCAGGGTGTGTGCAATGCTGAGCACCTCAGAGGAGTTCAATAAATATTTGCTGAAAGAACAAATTGTTTCGTAGTGTTCTGAATATGCTATGATGTTACTTCTACACACACACACACACACACACACACAGACACAGAGCAAAATGATTTATAACTCCTTTAGTATTTATAGCCATGTTGTAGAATATGTGACATTTTATCCCAGTTTTGAAGCAAAATTCATTTCTAAGTCTTTTGTTATTCTAATATCACAAATTTATATTCTTTCTAAAATTTTTTTTTTTGTGATTTTTTTTTGAGACGGAGTTTCGCTCTGTCATCCAGGCTGGAGTGCAATGGCGCGATCTCGGCTCACTGCAACCTCTGTCTCCTGGGTTCAAACGATTCTCCTGCCTCAGCCTCCCGAGTAGCTGTCTTTCTAAAATTTTATACTGTGCTTAAATATGGTTACCAGATCAACTTGACTGACTTCCTGGATTTCCAGTAGCTGAAACCTGTTTTTATTTATCTCTTTTTCAGTAAATGTATAGCTTCGTGCCTGAACTAATGTTTTTATCCAGTTTTTTTCCTCTTGGTGTTTGGGAAATATGATCACAGAGCTTTGTAAAATGGAAGTCTCATGTGGTATGTCCTTTAAACATTCATTGTTTTTAGATGTTCTTTTTTATTTTATGTTTTTGAGACGGAGTCTCGCTCTGTCGCCCAGGCTGGAGTGCAGTGGCGCGATCTTGGCTCACTACAAGCTCCGCCTCCCGGCTTCACGCCATTCTCCTGCCTCAGCCTCCCGAGTAGCTGGGACTACAGGCGCCCGCCGCTACGCCTGGCTAATTTTTTGTATTTTTAGTAGAGATGGGGTTTCACCGTGTTAGCCAGGATGGTCTCGATCTCCTGACCTCGTGATCCACCCGCCTCGGCCTCCCAAAGTGCTGGGATTACAGGCGTGAGCCACCGTGCCTGGCCTTGTTTTTAGAAGTTCTTGAATGTTTCTCTTTTCCTTTTCACTTTCTACTTTGTATGACTGTTACATGATGGCTCTGTACTTGTGTGTTCTCTAATGATACAATTTGGATGACTTTAGTAACTAGGCAGTGATCCGAACTGACATAGGAAGTCCTCCTTTCATTCTAGACATAATAATATAATAATAATAATGCAGAATTCAAAACAAGTTTCTGGGTGGCAGAAATGATGAGGGAACCAATAACATTCAGAAGGAATTGAGGCTGCGTGGCTTACCAGGAAAGTCAAATTGGATATGTACTTGGAAAGTTGATGTAGGGCTGAGAAATCAGGCTATGAATCCTGCATGCAGCATTAGAGCTTGAACACAGCTCCCCGTATACACCAGAAGCTGCCTGCTCAGCTCAGACTGGGTAGAATTTAGTCAGCTCTGGAACACTGAGACCCCTGTAGCATTAGGATGTGGGCCAGAGTTCACCCATGGCTTGATCCAGAAATACAAGCAATATCTCCGGAACACGAGTCATAGCAGAGAAAATTGTGAGACAATCTCTACAATCCGTGACAAGTACTTAATCCTTGCAGAAGATAAGTGCCACCAAATGTGATGAATTCACAGAAAGAAACAAATCTTAGCACACAGGGGAAGCTAATATCATGAGAGATAGTCTAAAGATGCAATAGATGGTCACATTCAAGGAAATACAAATGACAAGACAACATGAAAGAGAACACATTTAAAATTTTCGAAAAGATATGGGAAATAATAGAATTCATAAGTTAAGAACTGAAATTACAAACAACAGACATGAAAAAAGTAGAAGTTCTATAAATGAAAAAACTTATCAAAACAATAGCAACAAAAGAATATACCATCATTGCATAAGTTAAACAATAGCCTAGATACAGGAAAGGAAAGGACTGGTGAAGTAAAGTAGATGACAAAGTTGAGGAAATCTCTACTGAGAGATAAGGAGTTGTATAAAATGAAGATGTTAAGAGACATAGAAGTTATAGAAGATAGAATGCAAAATACAACATTTTATATTAGGACATTTAGAATGTAAAATAAAAAAAGAGAAAGGCAATATTTGAGGAGGTAATGACTGAGAGTTTTCTAAAATGGAAAAAGAGGTATGTCAAGCAAGGTAGATAGAAACAAATCCACATCTAGACACATCATAGTGAAATTATAGAACTCTTTTTTTTTATGGTATTAGAACTTTCATAAACACTTTTAGTGTAAGTTTTTACATGTTTTGTAATCACTGATATTTTGTAATCATTGTGATATTTTTCATGTTTGGTTTGTTTGGAGACATGTTTAAAATATTTAAGAGAGTAAGATATATTGTTTCACAGATTTAATTACAATCAAAGAAAGGGATTAAATATGTAATTAATTTTTTTAGGTTGGGATTATAGAACTCTTAAAAAAAAAAGGAAAAAAAATTTCAATATGCCAGAGAGAAAAGGCAAGTTGCTTTGATCTTGGAAACAAGTGACAATTCAAAATACAGGAATTAATTGCCAGGAACAATAGATACTAGAAAATAATGAAATCCTACCCCAAAGCAATGAGGGAAAATAACTTGAAACTAAAGTAATATCATGTAAGAGTGACAAAGACATTTCCAGATGTACATAAACAAAGCACATTCCCACTTCCAGACATGAATAAAACGGTCAGGCAGAGGTTACTGAGCAATGGGCTGTATGTCTGGTGCACATAGAAGCCAATATTATAGCACTGGCTTTTGAGAAAAGAAGGCTTTATTGAGAGCTGACTGGCAGGGAGACAGGAGGTGATGTTCAAATCTGTCTGCCTGCACTGGAGCCTAGGAGAAGATTTCATAGGCAGAGGGTAACGATGAGAGAGAGAAAAATACGATGAGTCATGATCTGATTGGGTCATGCAAAGAGGTGATGCTGGGTCCTTCATTTTTAATTCGGCTCTGCAACAAAACAGGGCACTCCTTGCTCCTTAATTCCATCCCTCTGCCATGATCTGAGCACTTAGGTTCTGCATGTGATTGACTTCTTTGTTCTGGCTGGCTCCTGGGTCACAAATGGGGCATGCTTGGTTCATCTGGGCATGCACAGTTTTCATGACCTGCAACCTGAGGGTCCTTTCCACTGAAAAACAACTCATCATTTTGTCACATCATGTTACTGACAAAGTTGAACCAGACTTGAACT